>NC_000010.11:23760000-24385000 GCF_000001405.40 Homo sapiens | reverse complement strand
GGCTGGGGGCTGGCAGTAACAGTGTCTGATGCTCCTGGGGTTACATGAGGGGCCAGCACTGGGGTGAGGTCAACAAGACGCATACCTCCAGTGCAAAATTTAAGGGTCTCCCAAAAGCTCAGTGATCATGATAAATAATGTCTTTGTGCAATACTTTTAAAAAGCAGGTGGGTGTGGTGGCTCACGCCAGTAATCCCAGCACTTTAGGAGGCCAAGGCAGGCGGATCACGAGGTCAGGAGATCGAGACCATCCTGGCTAACATGGTGAAACCTGGTCTCTACTAAAAATACTAAAAAATTAGCCAGGCATGGTGGCAGGCACCTGCGTCCCAGCTACTCAGGAGGCTGAGGCAGGAGAATGGCGTGAACCCGGGAGACAGAGATTGCGGTGAGCCGAGATCGTTCCACTGCACTCCAGCCTGGGCGACACTGAGCCAGCTGGGTTGATGTTGCCCTTGACAGCCTCTTTGTCCAAATCCATGGAATGTACAACAGCAAGAGTGAACCCCAGTGTAAACTATGGACTCTGGGTGATATCAATGTGTCGGTCTCATTTCATTGATCGTAACAAACGTACCACTCTAGTAGGGTATGCTGATCATGGGGGAGGCTGTTCATGCGTGGAGGCCAAGGGTGTATGGGAACTGTCTGTACTTTCTGCTCGATCTTGTTACAAACCTAAAAAATTGCTCCTAAAAAATAAAATGATAAAAAAAATTCATGATAAACCATCAAAATTTTAAATAAAGGCAAGATCAACAGGGCTTCATGAGAGAACTTAAAACTCTATGGATTGAGATAAAGTGACAACATACAGATGCCAAAAGACACCCAGGGCTTCCAGATGGCATCAACAGCGGGTTTCCAGGGGGGTTACAGCTCAAAGTATCCAGTCGGCATATCTGAGGCCCCATGGAGTTGCAGCTGTGCTTCTGGGCCACCCAGGTGCTGGTAGACACCCTGCTCATGGCCGGGGCTCTCTGGGGAGCACTGTTTATCCCAGGAACCCGTGCGTCTGTGTGTTAAATAAGGCCAGGCAGGCGGGGAGTTTCCCAAAGACTAAGCTGAGCAAGGCCCCTGGGAGGGAGACTGCATTTGCACTTGCTGTGAGTCACATTTTCCTTTTTATTTCCCGTCCAGGCTCAACTGGATTACGCCATAAGGGCCAGGTGCGGCTGGGGGGACATTCCCCAATCGGCCACAAAGAGGCGGTCAAGGGCAACATCAACCCAGCTGGCCCAGTGCCAGCCTCATTTTCTGGAACCAGAGCTTCCCTTGGCTTTGGCAAGAAACTTCTCATTTCTCTCCTCTCCTCTTACTGTGTTCCTTTGTTTCTATCCAGGAGTAGTGAAAAATGGCAGGCCAAAAAGCCCCTCACAGGGAGGGCAGAATAAACAGGTCAGATGCATTTTTCAGCCTGCTGTGACAGCACACCGGCACTCTACAGCAAAGGATGCTGAGTAAAATGGAGCAATTTGCAGAAGCGTGGCCACCCCGTGCGAAAACACCCGCCACCCTCAGCCATTCCTTGGGCAAGCCGGCCCCAGCTCCTGCAGCCTCTCTGCCCCAAGGCTTGGTTCCTGAACCCAGCAAGTCTCAACCTGCACTGCCAACCGTTCTTGGCTGCAGAGGAAATTCCTTCCTTTAAGACAAAAGATCCATTATCCGACAGAGTCAAAGTTCCCCCAGGTATGGGGGAAGGCGGACAGGCATTTATTCTTATCTTCGTTTTGGTTTGCAGAGCTGAGGTTATCTTTACAGAGACCTGAGCTCATTTCCTCCAAGCACAAAGGAGAAATCCCATTCCTTGCCTGGCTCCTAAGTGTGAGTGGAGTTAAGAAAGCACAAGTTTCAGGCCAGACATGCTGGCTCATGCCTATAATCCCAGCATTTTGTGAGGTTAAGGTGGGAGGATTACTTGAGTCCAGGAATTCCAGACCAGCCTGGGCAACATAGTGAGACCCCATCTCTACAAAAAATAAAAAATTAGCCAGGCGCCTGGGTGCGTGCCTGTAGTCCCATCTACTCTGAAGGCTGAGATGGGAGGATCCCTTGAACGTGGGAAGTCGAGGCTGTAGTGAATCATGATCATGCCATTGCACTCCAGCCTGGGTGACAGAGCAAAACTCTGTCTCAAGAAAAAAAAAAAAAAAAAAGAAAAGAAAAACCACAAATTTCTTGAATCCACACAGAAAGCCCCAGCCTGGTGACGGTGTGGAAGCCTGTGTCATCTTGACACTGTCTTGGCCCATGATGCTCCTTGGGTGTGTCCCTCCCCTGTGTGTCCTTGTCCCTTCATTTGTAAGATCATGTTAATGGGAACTGGAGCCCTGGACTTCCCACTGCTGCCACTTAATTAAGTGTGTGAGCTCAAACAAGCAAACACACACATAAACAAAAAGCACATTTTCTGTGGTCTTCTCTCATTTATACAATGAGGATCCTAGATTACTAACCTAAGATCAAATTTTAATTTGATCTTAATTTGATCAAAATTTAATTTGACACAAAATTTAATGTTAAATATTAATATTGATAATACAAATAATAACAAAGTTGTAGGGTTTTTTTTTAGGACAGCTAGGACAATGTCTGAATTCAGTCTGCTTGGGTCATTATCTGCAGCAAAGGAACTAAAATCAGGGTACCTTCTCTCACATCAATCTTTTTCTTTCTTCTCCCAGCAAGGCATTTGCTCAGTTTTACATGGCAGAGTTCAGCTGTCTTTTGCACGTGCTAGACTCTGAAGGCTTTTGCATGTTGACTCTTTTCCTGTCCCCTCTTATCCCCAAGCCCATCTGTTTGCAAACACAAGTACCCAAATCAGAACCTTAACATGGCAATGAAGCATAAGAAACATCTGCCCCCTTGACAGAGAGGTCTAAATCCTCACGACTTGTCCATTTTGTTAAAGCGCCAAAAAAAGCAATTAAAAAAGCAAAGCAAGATAGAAAGTAAACTTCCAATACAAAAAAAAAAAAAAGGAAATGATACGTGGTAAAATCATAAAAAGAATCCTTCTGCCTTTCAGAAAAGCTGTGCCCTACACACACCAAGCCCCTCTATCCTTTCACGTGGTAGTGGGAACAGCCTCGTGTTTATGGTTCTTATGAACAGTCATGCAGATGTTAGCCACATTGTCCCTTTTTGTCATCTCCTCCACTGGACTACCAGACAGGTGCAGCAGGGCTGGTGGAAACCCACACCACTGGGTACAAATGCCAACTGTCCTGGCCTCTGGGACTGGAGAGGAGGGTTGCAAGGTGAGAAGAGGATCATTCTACGGTCAGTTCCTCACAATTTCCTATAGAGCACTGGTCCCTAATTTTTTTTGGCACCAGGGACTGGTTTCATGAAAGACAGTTTTTCCATGGATGGCAGATGGTTTCGGAATGAAACTGCTCCATCTCGGATCATCAGGCATTAGTTAGATTCTCATAAGGAGCATGCAACCTAGATCCCTCACTCATGCAGTTCATAATAGGGTTCAGCTCCTATGAGAAGCGGATGCCACAGCTGATCTGACAGGAGGCGGAGCTCAGGCGGTAATGCTTGCTCATCCTCTGCTCACCTCTTGCTGTGTGGTCTGTTTCCTAACAGGCCACAGACTGGTACTGGTCCATGGCCTGGGGACTGGGGACTCCTGCTGTATAGTAGCAGGAACATAGGTAAAATACTACTAGCCTCTTGGCTTGAATTGCTAATCCCAACCACTTCTGAAAGTGCCCAGCCTCAAAATCAGCTTGCACTTGACCTGATTACCCAGCAGGCAAATCCTCAATGCTTGATATTAAACCAATGAAGTTTCCCAGTACTAGAGTATTTGCAAATCAAGATCAAATTAATGTTGAATGAAAGAGTATAGGTTCAGTAGTATAACAACAAACGCATTCAGTAAGAAAGGGGCATCAGAAACTGCCTTCTAAAGCTTACCCAGAGATCTTTCTTTCGTCTGGTTGGTTGACCTCACCACAGGAAGGCTCGCACGAGTCCGGCTGCCTCTGGAAAAAGGGGTTGGAGCATCCCCCTCAGACATGGCTTCCAAAGAATCAGCGGACGTCTCTGATAAATGCTCGACCGGGTCACCCAGACTGGGTGGTTGAGGACTGTGAGACAGTTTGGGGCTCCTTGTCTGCAAAAGGCATTTTAAAGAAAGTGGGAAAATAGACTATTATTAATCGTGTGGAAAATATGTCCAATGCCATTTCTATTAATCTGGAAAAATAATATGGCAAGGGGTAACAGTCCATCACAAGGGTTAGATAGGGAAAACTAAAGACCCAGTGGGTCAAAGTATCAGTTGTGAAAATTACCGGAAAATAACATTGCCCTTAAGTGTTCCATTGTATTTATTTATTTATTTATTTATTTATTTATTTATTTATTGCCAGAGTGCAGTGGTGTGAGATCGGCTCACTACAACCTCCACCTCCGGTTTTCAAGCAATTCTTGTGCCTCAGCCTCCTGAATAACTGGGACTACAGGTGTGCCCCAACATGCCTGGCTAGTTTTTGTGTTTTTTAGCAGAGATGGGGTTTCACCATGATGGCCAGGCTTTGAGTACTTTGAGTACTCTTGAACTCCTGACCTCAGGTGATCCGCCTGCCTCGGCCTCCCAAAGTGCTAGGATTATAGGCGTGACCCGCTGCACCTGGTCTCCATTAAGATTTTTATTGTTTGACTTATGTGGTGCATTTTGAACAGGGAGTTGAGGACAAGCCACATTATAAGAAAGTGACAGCAAAACAATTCCTTTTGCCCGACAAATTCTAACAGTGCTTTCACAACAGATGGGACTGTATACTCTTCTACGCACCCTAGATGGATGAGCTACTAATACCAGAGTAAATTGAACACAACTGGTCCTTCAGAGTCTCATACCAAGACTGTTTCCACAATCAGTAAACTCACATTGCAAGGGAGATTTTTATTTTATTTTATTTTTTCTGAGATGGCGTTTCATTCTTGTTGCTCAGACTGGAGTGCAGTGGTGCCATCTTGGCTCACTTCAACCTCTGCCTCCTGGGTTCAAGCAATTCTCCTGCCTCAACCTCCCAAGTAGCTGGGATTACAGGCATGTACCATCATGCCCAGCTAATTTTTGTATTTTTAGTAGAGATGGGGTTTTGCCACGTTGGCTAGGGTGGTCTCAAACTCCTGACTTCAGGTGATGCACCTGCCTCAGCCTCCCAAAGTGCTGGGATTCCAAGGTGCGAGCTACCATGCCCGGCCTTATTAATGATTTTTGAACAAGGTACCCTGACAATTCTTTAGCCAGTCCTGCCTTGAGTTTTGGGCTACAGATTTGTTTCAGGGATGCCCAAGGTGTGCCTGATACTCTAGCAGTACCCTTTGAGAATGGGATGAGCAGCTTCTTGCTAAAAGTACAAGACGACCCCTCTCAACAGAACCAATTGCATTATCCAGACAATCACACCTTCCTACATGCCTCTCAGGACCTTCCCATAGAGGAAAGCAGGGATAAGGTCAGTACCTTCCGCCCTGTGTTTCTTAAGGGATGTGGCTTCAAGGAGATGACTGGGTGTTCTACAGGAAACTCAGCAAAGATATGCCAATATCATGACCAGAAAGGACATGCATTAACAGTGAAATTGTCTCCTTTGGTTAATTTTTCTGTACAAGTCCCCAAAGTGGTGCATTCCTAGATTTATTTTTTACAAAGTCTGCTTCTGTTATGGGGATCTGGCTTTGACACACATTACAAGTATTTGACCAGGAAAATTATCCCTAAATCACTGCCCAGTTCACCAAGATTTAGACAAATTCACGTGGTCCTCAGTGAAGTAGCTTCCTCCTTACTGTGCTCAGCAGAATATCAAGGTATGATGTCCTCATTCCTGACATTTTTTTTTAAAGAAGGTAGATTCAGTTTAGCAAGATAGCCAAGAAATAATATTACTTTAAGCAACATGGCTACATTTATAACCTCTGCCTTTTGGTCATCTTTATAGCTCACGGCAGAAACCATACATTTGATGAGTTGTCATTTTCCATTGCAGAAGGTAATAATCCTTGAAGAAAATCAAAATCAAATCTCTGTTTCTTGTTCAGGGTCATCGTAGTGGTAGGTAAGTAGAAAAATCAGAGATGCAGGGCTATATATTTTTTCTCCCCTCACTTCCTAAACATAGCTATTTAGCTCCAAATGTAAACTCCTCTTTTTGTTGTTATTCACGTTCTCACTGAAAACGATCACTACATATTAGCAGTCTCCTCACACGCAGTACCCTCCCCTCTGATGCCAGCTTGCTGCTGAGACATCATTTAGTTCAGAGAAAAGACAATGGAAATTGCTGACACTTGTGCCAGATACCCTGTGATCTGATATGCTGGAAAAAAAAAAAGTCAAAATAGCATTTTGGAACAGTGCTAGGCACCATGGGTAAAAGTGGACCAGAGATAAAAGTTCTTGAGCTCGTCAAGCATGTAAGGTCTATATGGGGGCAAAAGATAATATATATGCAATAGATGGACAGGAAGAATGAAGAGGCACATCACCCTGGGTGCAGAAGGAGTCTGGGGCAGTAACTGCTGAGTTTAAAGGGGCATCAGGGGAGGAGGAAGAGTGTAGGTGAGGGAGGTGCGAGGGTTGCTCTGAACTGGGCAATAAAGTACAGGGCTACCCACTCCCAGCCTGGTCTTTCCTGATTGGACTGAACAGTAGTCACCTGATCTTAGCTGGATCAATCAAATTCTCGCCCCTGGAAATGTCTTTCCTGATTGGGTCAAGAAGTAGTTACCTGAACTTAGCTGGTCCAATTAAACTCTCAATTGTAAATTTAGATCTGGGACAGAGGATCTATTAGTCAATGTCTACAGAGAACTTGAAACAACTTAGTTTTCAACTTGAAGCTGTGGTTAACGTGGGCAGGAAAAGTGAAACAGAAAAAAGTGCAGAGAAAAAAAATAAAGCGAATCTGTATTAAAAAACAGAGATGTGAGACCCCCACGATCTTCAGAGAGCACAAAAGATAAGACAGCAGCCATCTGGGGTCTCCTGGGCTTCCCACTTTCTGTTTCCAGTACACTGTGGGGTCCTTCCAATGAATTCCTTCAATTAATTCAGTTTTTGTTCTTGCACTAGTTTGGGATAACGGTGCCTTACAAGCAAACCACCGCTGACCAACACCAATTCTAATGGTTCCTCCTGGCTAAGCTGCTAGGATGCTCACATATTCATATTAGTAAGAACCATGGAGAAAGCTAAACTCTCTGGAGCTTATTTCCATAATCATAGTTCCCATTATTTTATATTTCATAGATGAAAATTTCTAAAGAAATATTTCCCCCAAATTTATGAGGGGTTACAATACAAGGATGTTGATTTTATTTTGCAAAGTAAGAGGCATTAAAGAAATCTTACTCTCTGTGGTATCATTTTTTTACCATAAGAAAGGAAAGATACTTTAATACCAAAAAAGGGGGAAGCAAACACAATTTCAGGTTTGATCTAGTGAAAAATTCTTTATGTTGGAGTTAGTGTTCTCATTTTGCCTCCGGTGAAAACTTTTCTCAGTCATGCATGGCCTACAGCTTGGTGTTTGAAGCTGCTACCCTAAGCTGCTGAGTGGAGAGCTATGCCTAACTGAGGAGGAAGCAGGGGATGGTGGGAATATTCTCTGAGCCACGTGAGCAGGACTCAAGGGTCTGTAAGACTGGATTTTCCTCCTTGCTCCATGGAGATCCATGACACCAATCTCCCTCTGTTTCCATCACAACCTTGTAAAGACTTCCCCAAATCATTAGGCAACCCCAAACCCGCAAACCCAAATGGTAAGCCCTTTGGGGTCATGCATGAAGGGGGTGGTCTGTATAATCAGGCCACCTGAACCCCACTTGTCCTTTCTATTCTTCTCTTCTTCGAAGGGGTCTCTCTGTCACGAAGACATTCTGGTGTCATTGGCTCAATGCAGCTCTCTCCTCTTCTGCATCTGTGATTGACCCTATAGAAATATTCTCTTCCTAATGAAAGGATGAGGGAAGAAATAAAGGACCCAACATAACAGGTGCCTGCTGCTCTGTATCAAGTAACTGTCATGTGGTAACCTAATTTAACCTTCCCTGTAACCTCACACTACTGATTACCACTGAGAAAATAGAAAAAGCAGCTTGCCCTGAAACTCTACCAAATGAAAGGAGCAAAGATCACGTGTGGCGCACTCCAGAGTTGACACCAGTGGTAAGATTGGTTGGTTGGTCATTCATTCATTCATTCATTCAGTCAGACAGGGTCTCTATTGCCCAGGCTGGAGTGCAGTGGTAAGATTATGGCTCACTGCAGCCTCGATCTCCCAGGCTCAAGCGATCCTCCCACCTCAGCCTCCTGAGTAGCTGGGACTACAGGTGTGTACCATCATGCCCAGCTAATTGTTTTAATTTGTAGTAGACGAGGTCTCACTTTGTTGCCCAGGCTGGTCTCAAACTCCTAAGCTTAAGCGATCCTTTCATCTCAGTCTCCCAAAGTGCTAGGATTACAGGTGTGAGCCACTGCACCCTGCCTAAAATTTTTATTTAACCAGGAGTCTGGGAATGCTAGTTCTAGTTCAGCTTCTGCCAAAAACTGGTCCACATATAACCTCGTTGAGTCACAGGTATCTCATCTGTAAGGCCAGAGGTTGAGCTAGTTGGTGTCTCAGATCCCTTGCAGGACCAAAACTTTCTAACTCTAAGTACACATCATATAAGAAGAAAAGATCATGTCATCCAGAAAAACAGTTTACTGAGATTTCCTTCGAATTATTTATCCTATAGCACCTGCTCCATAGATATATGTAGCTAGGTAGTGCTAAGATCTGGCTTTCCGCATTTATGTCCTCAAGTGTATGCAACATAGTTGAACAGCATTAATTTTTAAAAGACGGTCATGATTTCATTTTAACATCATGAACAAATATTTGCTGAAATGTTCACCAAGTGCACTGTTCTGCGAGGGAGATCAGATTTATTCATATTCTTTGCAATGCTATTGGATTTGGAGATAACAACAAAGATAAAAGAAAGTTAGAGCTAGAGGTATTGATGATGTATTTTTCATTCCCGTTTTCAGACCCTTAAACCCTAAATTGAAATGCCGAGGTCCAGAAAATGAACCTGCAAATGTAGCTTTACGTAATATGTTAATTGCCAGGAACAGTGGGGTGTCTGGCTAGCCAAGGTATTCACTTTGCTTCAGATTACGTTCTATTGTGAAAAGAAAAATCAACATTGCCGTGATGAAGTTTTACTTCATCCTAATTAATGCCCAATTTGCCACAGGGCATTTGAAAATACAATGAAGTTTTCCACATGCAAATGTATTTGGAATGACTCATTCCTAGCACTCATTAAAGGACATGGTTAATTTAATCATGACATTCAGACACTTTAGCCCCATTTCTTTCACTTGTGAAACTTTCAACTCAAACCCAGTCAAAATTCTGATTTCAGTTGAAGAGAACATTCTAGTTGCTAGGTACTTTTATTAAAAATTCCAGGAACAAAATATTAAATTAACAAATAAATCATCCACAGAATTTAGGTTTTCTCTACCATTCCTGCTTCACGGTACTCCAAAGGAAAATTAATAAACTCTCACTTTGGAAGCTCTACGCTTCTAAATTTGCTTACAGAGTCCTTTTTACAAGCCACAGTGCAGTTGCCTTTTTCCCATTTTCTGCTCTCCTTCTAGTTTCCTGTCTTTAATGTCCATGCTGGGTTGAGGACTAAGGGTGGGAAGGAAGACAGGGAGCTCCATCGGGCACACCTGGCTTCTATCTTATCTCCCATCCTTACATAAACCCATCCCTGGTGACAGCATCAGCTGAGGCCTTCTTCCTCCAGTTGGCCACCACCTGCCATTCTCTGGTGAGTCCTGTGACCAACAGCCAGGTGTATATTTCGAACAGCGAGCCCTGGGGTCAGGTACAGTGGCTCACACCTGTAATCCCAGAACTTTGGGAGGCCTAGGCAGGTGGATTGCTTGAGCCCAGGAGTTCAAGACCAGCATGGGCAACCTAGTTGAGACTCTGTCTCTACAAAAAATTAAAAAATTAGCCAGGTGTGGTGCTGCACACGTGTAGTTCCAGCCACTGGGGAGGCTGAGGCAGGAGGATGGCTTGAGCCCGAGGTTGAAGCTGCAGTGAGCTAGGGTGACACCACTGCACATCAGCCTGGGAGAAAGAACAAGACTCCCATCTCTAAAAAATAACAGAAGAATACAAAATTTAAAAAAAGAACAGCAAGGCTTAGCTATGCATGTCTTCTTGGCAACTTCCCACGGCTTCTGTGGCTTATGGACAGAAAAGCAAAATCTGAATGATATCTCCCCAGTGCCATTCTTGCAACTATGATCACTCTGGGTAATAGACTGAGACACCCATGATTCTAAAATACAACGGGTGGATGTGAGAACTGCAACACAAATGGAGAAGAGAACTGTAGTTAGTTTTATTATGATCTTGCAATTTTGGGGTGGGTCTGGCATTAAAGACTCAGAGAAATGGTGGTAGAGGAGAATAAATCAGCAGCTTTTGTTTTTAATAGAAACCTTGGGTGCAGGCGCTAGAGGGTCCTGCTGTTAATCTACAGTACAATATACACACACACAAAATCGAGTGTTTAGTGGACATCTGGATGCTGGATGTGAGCAGTTTGTGGATACTTGCCAGGATGACTAGTAACCAGGAACTTCTGGGCCTTACAATAAGATAGATCTATATTCACTAACCACATTTTAATGCCAACTTCCAACGGTGCATATCTGAGATTCTCACGTTTCTCCTAGCTTAAGTTGAGGTCTGATAATTAGTATTTCTCTTCCCTGACTTAGATAAAGGGGAAGCATTTTCTCTAGGATTTATTTTGATGAAATATCCTTGATACACTCAGTTTATATCCTGTTTCTTCAACGCTAATATTTCAACACTTTTCTCCCTTTTCCATCCAAAGAGTACCCAGACGTTATTCATGATTTTCACCTGTGAAAACAGAATGGCATTTGTTCTGGATGGAAATCAGACGATTCAGCAGTTGGGCAAAGTACAACTGCATCTTTTGTTTCCACATTTTCCTTCTCTGTGTGTATTATTTCATTATCAGATTGGAAAGATGAAAGGGCAGTGATACCCATTACCCGCTGCCCACGGGCAGCTCATATGGAGCCAGCCACAGTCATCCCTGCACTGAGGCATCCTCTGTGTGGAGCGAAGTGAGCCAGGCAGGACCCCTCTGCCAACCCATTGTCACCATGCAAAGCCCCCTGCCTTCCTACAGCTGCAAACAAACAAATGACAAGGACACCTCTGTGCAGAAAAGGGCTCTTCCTCATTGTTTAAAGAAGCACCACACTATGCAAATACTCTCCATAGAGTATTATCTGTGTGTCAGATTCATCTTCTGAGGTATTGTTAATTTACCTTGTCCTTGTGGTTGTCAGAAACAACAAAAAATTTATGGAACTTCTATTGCTAGCCATCACCTCCTGGGAAACTTCCAAGCCTTTAAGTTCCAAGGTCTTCCCACAGGGAAGGGTTGTTAATGGTATCCCCATGCTACAGAGGCCACTCTGAAGACTCTCTCCCTAAATTGGGGTTAGAAGGTAAAGGTATCTGGAAAAGACGTCTGGACTTACCTCCAGAAGGGGAAAGGAGGAAGTTCCTAATTGCGCAGGAAGAGGGGAGTGGATGACTTCCCAGAGCCAAGAAGAGGGTGGCAGTTTTGGTGTCAGTGGTGGCGATGGTGCTCTTCAAATTGGGAAGACCTGTATTCCATTTGCAAGAAGTGACCCACAACTGGGAAGATGGATGTGTGACATGCTTAGAGTGGGTGGAACCAGGTGCTCACACTTAGGATACTTGGCAAAGGTCCCCATAAACCTGGATGCAAACAGGCTGCACAGAAAGCAATTCACTATAAGTCCCAGGAGACTCAGAGGCCCTGGCCTGGTTTTATTGGATTGGACAAGCTCCTCAAGATTTCCTTATGACTCCAAGTGAGGGGAAAATGCTTCCCCTTAATATGATGAGGATGAATTTCTCAATAATTGCTGAAGCCAGGATAGATTGGTTTGATTTGGGAAAATTAAGAAAAGTGGTAGTTCTTGTACTGGAGTGTCAGGAAGCAAATCTGTACATATTACATCTTTAATAGAATAAGTAAATCTTGAAACAATTTGGAGGGCTGGTTAACAAATTACAATGTCTGTGTACTCTAGAGTACTACACAATCATAATAAAGGTGTTTTAATGGAATTTTGGGGTATAATTTAGTAATTGGACACAATAGAGCCAAATGCGAGCATTAGTTTTCTTTTGATGGTGGGATTACGGGTAACATTCTTTTTAAATAATTTCACCTTTTATTTTAGATTTAGATTTATTTTGGCGTGCAGGTTTGTTACATGGGTATATTGCAAAATGCTGAGGTCTGGGGTACAATTGATCCCGTCACCCAGGCAGTGAGCATGAAACTGACCCAACAGTCCCATAGATTATTTTTTTTGATAAACTGAACAAGAAATTGTTCTGGTCTCAAAGCTGGAAACCAGTATTTGTTTTATCTGAGTTCCTTCCTCAGGAAACACCTTTAGGACTCTCAAAAAAGTATCAAAGAACTGAAACGCACCAGATCACCACACCAGATGCCACACCCCTCATTCATCATGATTGTTTCCTTGCGCCTTCTCAGTTGTTGTTTTCTTATGTGTTCTTAACGTTTCTTTCCTGCTATATAAACCCCTAGTTCTAGTCAGTCAAGGAGATGGAGTTGAGACTGAGCTTCTGTCTCCTTGGCTGCAGCACCCGATCAAAGCCTTCTTCCTTGGCAATACTTGTCTCAGTGATTGGTTTTCTGTTTGGTGAGCAGCAGAACCTCGACCAAACCCCCGGTGTTTTTGTAACAAGCGTAGTATTCAATGGGTTTTCAACCCTTGCTCTCCTCCTGCCTCCCCACTCCAGGAGTCCCCAGTGTCTATTATTGCCATCTTTATACCCATGTGTACCCAATGTTTAGCTCTCACTTATTAAGTAAGAACATGCTGCATTGGGTTTTCTGTTCTGCATTAGATTGCTTAGGATAAGAGTGACACACTTTCTTTATTTCTCCAAAATAAGAATATGTTGTTTTTACAAATCAGAGAATTACTAAATAGGCATGATATTTTTAAAGAATAGATCAGAGGAAGGGAACTTTCCCATAAAACATTTAGAATCCAGAAGGATTCCTGTCTATGGTGACCTGAATGTATTCATGCCCAATTCCTGTCTTCTCTTGTGTATTCTGTATGATTGGATTCTAGGTTTAAGAACTTGTCATTAGAGATGGCCCCTGAAATGACAACACAAATGCATGGGGAAAACATGGGAAGGGAAACACGTTTTCATTTTCATGCCATGCAATATTTGGCAAGAATCCAGTTCTTACAAAACTTCCAATTCTACAAAACGATACAGTTAAGAAAAGCGCCAAGGCCATCAAATCAATTTCAGACATGCAGATTGCATTCCACCTTTTAAAGAGACAGACTTCCACATCTGTAGTTCTGATACCATTATAGTAATTTAATTTAAAGGCTCTTAAAATTTGATTCTAGGTAAATTTGGAATTTTAGCAATTTTCTATGATCCCAGAGATATTTTCCACCTTTCAACCCTTCATAGTTTGTAGATGATACAGTATTCTTTTTTTTCCCTTGAAGAGGTTTGGTTCCACCTAGAGGAGCTGCTAAATCTGTTGCCTTGCAGAGGAGACAGGGGTTCTTATCAGATCAGAAGGCAGGGTGGCCTTTTCAACTCCAGGATTAGACATCAACCTGCCACCTGTCTGCCTTGTGGCCTACCTGTAACATGACATAAACTCTACTGAAATACCACCTCAGATTGACTGCTCTCTGACTCCTCCCCAAAGCCAGAATGAGACAAAAGCTATTTAAAGAAAATAAAGCCTAGCTCAACTATGATCTCCATTTAGCATCCTTCTACCAAGTTAGAAAATTAGATCATCGGTAAGTTCCAAGTCTGGATCTCATTAACTCAGACTTTCACCCCTTTCAGAAATACGTTCATGCAATTTTTATTCAGTGATGTGTTTTCTTCTTTTCGTTTTGCCGATACAAAATTAAAAGCCTGGACTAGGTGTGGTGGCTTACACCTATAATTGCAGCACTTTGAGAGGCTGAGGCAGGAGGATAAATGAAGCCAGGAGTTTGAGACCAACCTCGGCAACGTCCCATCTCTACAAAAAACCAACATGAAAATTAGCCAGGAGTCGTGGTGCACACCTGTAGTCCCAGCTACTCGTGAGGCTGAGGTGGGAGGATCCCTTGAACCTGGCAGTTCAAGGCTGCAGTGAGCTATGCAGTGATCATGCCACTGTACTCCAGCCTGGGTCACACAGCAAGATCCTGTCTCTAAAAAAACAAAAGCCACATGAAGAATACTGCTGTTTACTTGTTGGTCCTGCCTACTATGCTGATCAGTGTACCTTTTATAAAGGCACGAACAATGTTTCTTTCACAATTTGAAACAAAGAATATGATTTTGCTTCCTGAAGGATTAATAAGTATTACCTTGTCATATGTAAAATATCATGTATGTCAGGAAGCTTGAAAGTAAATTTAATGTCCAAGCTAATCATAGTACCTATATTTTAAAATTTGCTTCCTCTTCTTACGAGATTTTGCTTTTTGATTTTCAGTGTATCTACCTTAGGGTAGATGTCTTTTTTTTTTTTTTTTTTTTTGAGACAGAGTCTCGCTCTGTTGCCCAGGCTGGAGTGCAGTGGCGTGATCTTGGCTCACTGCAGGCTCCGCCTCCCGGGTTCACACCATTCTCCTGCCTCAGCCTCCCGAGTAGCTGGGACTACAGGCGCCCGCCATCACGCCTGGCTAAGTTTTTATATTTGTAGTAGAGATGGGGTTTCACCGTGTTAGCCAGGATGGTCTCGATCTCCTGACCTCGTGATCTACCTGCCTCGGCCTCCCAAAGTGCTGGGATTACAGGCGTGAGCCGCCGCGCCCGGCCAGGTAGATGTCTTTTTATTGCAAGTTGCCTTGAATACAACAATTAATTTATTCTTTCTCTCCTTTCTTTCTGAAACAAGAAAAGTAATGCCTTATCAACAAGTAAAATGTTGAACAGGCTTTGGCTGCCAAAATCCTCATTGGTTGAGGTCTGAGCAAGACTGCAGATGCTTTTGTAATTCAGAAAGTCAGGAATGCACTTTAAAAGGCTATAGGATAAAAGGTGTCTGTGTGAGGATTGCTGTTATTATACTGATAAAAGGAAAGAAACCTGCTTGTAGCCTTTGAAGTCTCAAGTAAAATACAACCAGCAAAACATGGTGCTAAGTACACATCTTAGAAGGCCTTCTTAACAAAAGCCATTTTTAAGCTCATCTCTGCAACCTAGGCTTCAGTGCTTTATGGAGAGGATGTGGGATCCCAAGCCACGGAATCGTACCCCTAAAACTTAATTGCATTGTTGCCAAACCAAAGAGGCTTTCCTTGCTAGCAAAGGCCCTCACCCTCAGTGAGGGTATGGGCTGTGCCATGGGAGAGCTTATGATGTCCTCATCACCCCACAGTGGAGAAGGCCACAGGGAACTGGGCAAGAGGGACTCTTGTGGGTTCCTGGGGTCACCAAGGCTCAGAGCTTATGGCCAGACCCTCCCCATACATCCTGGGAATAGCGTTCACTGTTAATTTCAAACACATTCCCCCTCCCGCCAGTCCAAAACAACCACCACTACCACCTGCCCAATTTCACTGGAATGATTTTCAAATGAAAACACACACACACACACACACACACACACACACACACACATAGTGAAAGTTCTAACTAGCTTTCTGCACCAAAGATTCTGATTTTCCTCTAGTCCTGCTCTAGGAAAGTATACCAGTGTTTGAAGAGATGGACAGAAGACAAAATTTATAATGAGAGAACTTACTGTTTTTATCAGGTTATTTTATGAAAAGCAGACTCCAATCCTGCCATGAACTCACGGTGCAACTCCATATGAAACCTTTCTGAACCTCGGTTCTCACTTTTATAAAATAATCAGAATATCTACTTGATAAAGTGAGAAGTAATTGGAAAAATGTTGCATGGGACAGCAATTGGTAAATTATAAAAGATGCCAACCATTTAGCTTTCCTTAGGTAGTAAGCTGGTGTTACTCTCAGTAGGGTGATTCTAGATGGCTCAGCTTCCTACTGTTCTTGGGAAGTCCCGTAGCTTCTGGGATCCTATGTGAGAGGAGAAGGGTACAAACAAACCTTTAATGGATCCACCATGCCTTCATCTTGGTCTTGTGAGATAGGTAAATAGTTACATCCAATTTCAAAACAGAATTTGACATCTGGAGAGGATCTGAGAGTTACTCATTCACTAAAGGGGGAAGATCACCTTCGATTTCCAACCTTAACCTTCATCCTATTCCATCTCTGAAAAACAGCATTATAATTTAAAATGCTTGTAAATGCCAAAAAAGCACTTCAAGAAAAATTTCAGATATCCAATTATTTGCTGATATGGAAAAAAAAAGAAAGAAAAGGAAAGTCAGTACTGAAGATTTATTTGTTTCAAGCAGAAGAAAAAAAGAATAGCGGGAGGGAATCCCAAACTCAGTACTACTTATGATGGGAAAATCCCACTGGGCAATGTCAAATCTCTATTCTGAAAGTAGGAATAAAGGTTAATGGCAGGGTGTGAAGTTGTAGGGAAGAGCTCACTATGCCCTTCTTTTCCCTTTCTGCATTTTAACTTAGTGCACAATACATGCGCACGGAAATAATAAAGATGCCTCTATTTTGCATGAATTTTAGGAATGTGAAAATGATTAAGAATAAAATTAAGGATAAACACTCATCAGAATTGGGATGATGTGTGACATGAAAATTCTCTTTAGTGTCTAAACTTGAACTTTAATGTTTATTTGTCTGGGCAGGAACTTTCTAAATTGAGCTTGTTACCCTAAAAAGAGATCAATGAGACTGATTATTAAGAAGGGGAAGGTAAAGAGATAAGCATGGTCACTGAAGACTGACCAATGGGAAGGAGGTCACTTTTGTACAAAGCCAGATGGCCGAACATTTCCTAAGCACAACCATTACCTAGCTGTGTGACCTTGGGCAAGTTACTTAACTTCTCTGTGCCTCAATCACCTCATTTGTAAAATGGGGATCATAGTATACCTCCCCCACAGGGTTGCTGTGAGAAGTTAATACTTGTAAGGCACTTAGAACAGTGCCTGGTGTATATAAGTTCTAAAGAAATGTGTTTATTTCCATTATGATCATTATTAAAATGTATATAAGTAAAATGATCTGGACCCAACATTGGACACATTGGAACTGAGCAAAGCAGAATGACATAGCTTTGGGATTGTCAGAATGATTCAGGCTTCTGTTTTACTGCCATGAGTATTCTGCTGGAGCAAGCTGGCAAGGATAGGATCTCTGCTTAGAGATGCCCACTTTTCAAACAATTATTCAAAGATCTCCAGCTTGTGGTTGCATTACTGCTGATTCCACAATCCAATCTGTGGAAAGCAAATTAAATATTTCGAAGCAAGCATGCAATTAGTGTTCATTTTAATACTGACTCTCATAATTTTTAGAAATGCACATATTTCAGAATGCTACAAGCACTTGGCTCTGATAGTTTTGAATCAGGGATTGGGGTAAACAGCGAAAAGTGCAGGCGTTAGTGGCTGACACTGATTAGAATGGCACTTGCAGGTGAGGGAAAGGTGCAGGATGAGGGTGCAACTCGATGCAGAAAAAGAACAGGTAGAGTACTAACTCGCTGAGACGATTCAATTTTCATCAAGTACCTTTGAATGTCAAGTTCTGCCTGAAGAGAGATCAGCATGCCCTTCAAAGCCTGTGGACCAGGAGAAAACAAGAAAAAAATAGGAAAGAAAAGGGGTGAAAACATGAAGAGAAAAAGAATAGGTTGACCAAATGGACCACCTATTTATTCATGATGAAAATGTAGCACGGTTAACTCCTCTTCCCCGAAAAGAAAGAAAAATGATGACAGTTCCATCCTTATATTTTAGAAAGACATGTTGAAGCCTTAACTAGCAATGGGTTTGCCCCAAAATACCCTGCCATAGGCGCTTCTGAATTCACCTTGTATCATTGGAGAATGTGTCATATTAATCCACCATCCCTGAGGTTGTCCCAGAGCTGCAGGGAACTTACTAGAGCCTGCCCAACCCAAATGAAATAGCTTTCTTAGCCAGAATGCAGTCTGAGGCTGCCATCTTGATTGTCACTGGCCCCGGGCTCACTGGCCACTAGATTGCTCCACGAAAGCAGGCCTGTGAGTGCAGTGCTCTCTGCCCATGCTTTGCCATGCAGGAGGGCACACCCAAGGTGAATACATGCAGGAACAGAAGATCCACACTGTAATTCAGGGCACAAATTCTAATATTTGAACCTGGTGGACCCTGGAGTGTGCCTTTGGTTTACAATGCTTACTGTGCAAGCATTTAAATATTTTAATTCTCATTGATGCCACTGACTTTATTTTTATTTTTATTTTTAGTTTTTGACACAGAATCTCACTTTGTCGCCCAGGCTGGAGTGCAGTGGCGTGATCTCAGCTCACCGCACCCTCTGCTTCCCGAGTTAAAGCGATTCTCCTGCCTCAGCCTCCGGAGTAGCTGGGATTACAGGCGCCCACCACCAAAGCTGGCTAATTTTTGTATATTTAGTAGAGATGGGGTTTAACCATGTTGGCCAGGCTGGTCTCAAACTCCTAACCTCAAGTGATCTGCCTGCTTCGGCCTCCCAAAGTGCTGGAATTACATTTGTGAGCCACTGCATCCGACTCATTTTTGAGCAACTTAACTTTTTAAAAAAACATGGCAGTGAAATATTTTTTTGTGACTTAAAAAATGAAAATTTCTATAATCCTCATGCAAGAAGAGTGACTTCCTCTTGTGCCCAATATCTGCCAGTGGGGTGCCATAGCTGCATATCTTACTGCACACGCATATACACATATCCATAAGGACTAGTAACATATAGGAGCCTCTAAGTACCGTCATGATTGAATTATACAATATCCATGATCCATATCACCATTGTGTATAGATTATATATATGTGTGTATATTACTTAGAACTTAGTCCCACACATCAGACACAAATTTCCACTAGAAGAAAAAGAACACTTGAACACAGATGGCTACACTCGAAAGCCAAAAAGCCAAACAACAGGTCTCCAGACAAAAACTGTACTAAAATATTCTACCCAAGATGCACATAGGGGTTAAAAAAATAAATAAATAAATAAAAGAACTTGAAGAGACCTTGAAGAGAAAAAGGGAGTGACACTATTAGAAAAACAATTAGCTAAAGTGACCTCATAAAAGCCCTTTTCTAGGTGAATATATTCTCACCAGAAAGGTGAGGGTTGCTTAGGGCCCTCTGATTCTCTGCTCTGAAGTTTACAGGCTTCATCAACTGTGAAAGAAATACCCTGAAGTAGACCACAAATAATAAAGCCCTGCAGATGCATGGTAAATAAAAGTGTAAGATAAAAACAGGATGATAGATTTGAAGAGCTGCTATGGACAGGGAAAAGGGGGACAAAAAAAAAGCACAGAAAATCACAGAGCGATGATAAGTAACACCGGCTGCGGGAGGAGAACCAGGACAACCACAGCCCTTCAGAGAGGACCAGGAATGGAAAGTGGTAATGGAAGAGACCGGAGTCCCAGTGAGTCTGCCAGGAGGGACAAAGAGACCTCAACCACTCTCTGCTAGGTGACCCTCATCAGAGGAACTTACAACAAAGAAAATGAAATATGGAGAAACGGGGGCAAGGAAAGTCGCTACAGCCATTGCTTTAGACAAATATCATCTGAAAGTCAAGAAAGTAGGGGAGGATGGGTGAGGTGGCTCACTCCTGTAACCCCAGCACTTTGGGAGGCTGAGACAGGAGGATCGCTTGAGGCCAGGAGTTCAAGACCAGCCTGGCCAACATAGGGAGACTCCCATTACCACAAAAGATGAAAGAAAAAATTTAGCTTGGTGTGGTGACAAGTGCCTGTAGTCCTAGCTACCGAGGGGGCTGAGGGGGGAGGACTGCTTGACCTCAGGAGGTCGAGGGTGCAGTGAGTACAGTGAGCTATGATCACACCAACGTACTCCAGCTTGGGCAACAGAGAGAAACACTGTCAAAACAAAACAAAAAAAAAAGAAAGGAAGAAAAAAGAAAGAAAGAAAGGAAGGAAGGCAGGCAGGCAAGAGAAACACACAATTGCTCAAAGCCTCCGAACTGTGGAGCAAACCCCTAGTCTACCTGTTACATCTTTTCCTGCCTTTGCTAACTAAGGTCACGGAAACCTAGAAGCTGGAAGAATCTCCCACCATCAGAGCAGGGAAGGCCCCGGGATGCTGGAGACGTAGGAAGCCCTTCTCAGAAGATGCAATGGAATAAGCTCACGAACTTTAGGCCTCAGGATCCTATAATCACACATAAGTTTTCTCAGGATTACAAAATGAACCTCACTGAGAACCTTTTTTCGCTTCTCAGTAGGTTCCATCTGTGTGGAAAGTTTTGAGCCCAACAATAAGAGCAATAAAAAAGAAAACTGGATTTTATTAGGCCTCTCACATATACCTGCTAAATCAACGTGGAGCATTTACAAGCTTGATTTACGGCTTTGACTATACGATAGAAAATTGTTCTTAAAAAATAAGAGCGGGTGGCTGGGTGCGGTGGCTCACGCCTGTAATCCCAGCACTTTGGGAGGCTGAGGCGGGTGGATCACCTGAGCTCAGGAGTTCGAGACCAGCCTGGCCAACATGGCAAAACCCCATCTTTACTAAAAATACAAAAATTAGCTGGGCGTGGTGGTGGGCGCCTGTAATCTCAGCTACTCAGGAGGCTGAGGCAGAAGAATGACTTGAACCTGGGAGGCGGAGGTTGCGGCGAGCCAAGACTGCGCCATTGCACCCTAGCCTGGGCGACAAGAGCAAAACACTGTCTCAAAAAAAAAAAAAAAGTGGATGAGACCAGAGTTGAGTGTTTTCAGTGAACTTCTGGATTATCTATGCTAATGATAATCAGTAGTTTATCACATATAAAGAGGTTAGATCAAGATTAAAAGAATGGGCCTGGTGCGGTGGCCCATGCCTGTAATCCTAGCATTTTGGGAGGCTAAGGTGGGCTGAGTGCTTGAGGTCAGGTGTGCAAAACCAGCTTGGGCAACACAATGAGACTCCATCTCTACAAAAAATACAAAAATTAGCTGGGCATAGTGGCACACGCCTGAAGTCTCAGCTACTTGGGAGGCTAAGGTGGGAGGACTGCTTGAGCCCAGGAGGTGGAGGGTGCAGTGAACTGAGATTGTGCCACTGCACGCTGCACTCCAGCTCGGTCAACAGAGTAAGACCCTGTTTCAAAAAAAAAAAAAAACAAAAACAAAACCCACAAAAAACTAAAGGAATGTTACTGAGAAAACAGGAAGACTCAACTACCTCAAGGAATGGCAAAAATAATAATACTGTAAAAATTAAACAGAAGAGCATTTATTATTTCAGAGACTCCTAATAAATTCATCAGCTATCATAAGAAAATGGCAAAAAGAAACTTCAGACATTGTTGTTGTACTAAATGGCACTTGAGATCTCTTTGAAAGGCTAAATGTGGCAGGAAGGGAAAGGGGTTCAGAGTTTCTTTCCTAATGCTGATGAGTCTGAGAAGAATTGCTCAAGAATAATAAATATTGGGTAACCACACAATGAGCAAATGTAGTGGAGAGAACCAGAAATGAATGACACACGTACAGTACTTCAAACGGTCTGAATGACAAGCGATATTTATTTTATTTCTTTTGCTATGTCTATTTCAGGGTTTTCTATAATAAATATAATTCTATAACAAGGCACAAAGAAAAGTATCAGTAAAGGAGGGAAAAAGTGAATTGTTGATCTCTAGGGAGTAACATCAGGAAACTCTGGAGGCTGCTAAAATTTAAGCACTCACCCAAAGTTCCACTTTTGTTCACAAATTAAAGATTTTCTTTTCTTCTTCTTCTTTTTTTTTAATTAAATTTGAGACAGTTTCACTCTGTCACCCAGGCTGGAGTGCAGTGGCATGATCTCAGCTCACTGTAACCTCTGCCTGGCTAATTTTTGTATTTTTAGTAGAGATAGGGTTTTGCCATGCTGGCCAGGCTGGTATCGAACTCCGGGCCTCAAGTGATCTGCCTACCCTGGCCTCTCAAAGTGCTGGGATTATAGGCGTGAGCCACCGCGCCCGGCCCAGAAATTAGAGACTTTCTGATGTCACTTTACATAGAGTCAAATTTTGACTCTCTGGAAGCAATTTAACCAGTTAGGAGACTAACCATGGTAAACGAAAATATATTCATAAAAAAATGTAAGATCTCATGAAAAGCTCTTTGTATTACAAATTGTCTCGGGTTTGTAATTGCACAGCAAATCACTGAGCCATCCAGCATATCTTCCAACATGAAGATCTAATCGCCAAAGCCTTAACTTAGATTGTTACTTATGTTTCTAAATCTGTGGAAGCACATTTCCTTTTCTTCTTCTTTTCTTTTACTGTTAATATCCTTATTCTCTATTTTACCAGTGGAGAATGTTTAGTATTAATTTCCATTTAGCTCAAGATTCAAGAAATGCAAAGTGCTATTTTTATCAAATTTCTGAAAGCCTACTGTCTTCTGCTTTGGAAGTCCCACAACAGCTCTTTAATTTCCTTAAGCCCCACTTTCCTCATCAGCAAGTTGGTGTGGCAATGGATCATAATAGGTTGCTGGGAGGATGAAGTGAGATCCAGGCATGTGAAACACTGTACACAATTCCTAACACAGACTAAGGATGCAAATGTTAGGAACTTGCAGATTTAAAAAAAATTGCATTCTCAAAAAGATGCTCTATTTTAACAAATGAACAAGAAGACAATTTTGCATATCTTTTTGATACAGCCATTCTATTTCTTTTTCTTTCTTTCTTTTTTTTTTTTTTTTTTTTTTGAGACAGAGTCTCGCTGTGTCGCCCAGGCTGGAGTGCAGTGGCCCGATCTTGCAGTGGCCCGAACCTGCAAGCTCCGCCTCCCTGGTTCACGCCATTCTCCTGCCTCAGCCTTCCGAGTAGCTGGGACTACAGGCGCCCGCCACCACGCCTGGCTAATTTTTTGTATTTTTAGTAGAGACGGGGTTTCACCATGTTAGCCCGGATGGTCTCGATCTCCTGACCTCGTGATCTTCCCGCCTCGGCCTCCCAAAGGGCTGGGATTACAGGCGTGAGCCATCGCCCCTGGCCCAGCCATTCTATTTCTAATAAAGAACCCAAGAAAATAATCTACAGTTATCTACAAGGAGGCCCTGCATGATATGGTATTTGCCCACACACAGTGGAACCAACAAAACCAGGCAACCACATGCAATGATGAAGTAGCTATCATGTAACAGGAGGGAAAGAAGTTCACACATATAATTAAGTGGATAAAATCATATTAGAAAACAATGGGCTGGGCACTGTGGCTCACACCTGTAAATTCAGCACTTTGGGAGGCCAAGGTGGGAAGATCGCTTGAGCCTAGGAGCTCAAGGCCAGCCTGCGCAACATGTTGCAACCTCATCTCTACAAATAATACAAAAATTCGCCAGGCATGGTGGCGTCTGCCTGCAGTACCAACTACTTGGGAGGCTGAGGTGGGAGGATTACCTGAGCCTGAGTAGGTTGAGGCTTCAGTGACCTGTGATTGCGCCACTACACTCCAGCCCGGGGTGACAGTGTTAGACCCTGTCTCAAAAAATAAAATAACATAAATAAGAAAAAAAAATGGCATGTGCTTGTGGCATGTGGTTTCTTTCCTTTGAGTCTATGTGCCTAGAAAAAAATAGGAGAAGGATATACACCAAAATATTAACACAAGTATTCTATGTGGGTCATGGGATTGTAAATAATTCTCCTACTCTTAGTCTATTATTTCTAACATTCCTAGAATATCCATGGTTACTTTTGTAATAAAATTTTTTTAAAAACTCCCGAGATGTAGCATTAAATTATTTGTGCTTGCTTTTCTGATTTGTTTCTACCTCCAAAAAAAAAAAACCACTTAGCATTGAAATAACTACTGATAAATTTGAAACAACAGGAGAAAAACAGGAGATTTGATTTGAGAGTTTTAAAAATGGGAAGAACAATAAAATCATATCTACATGCGTGGCCTCTTCATTCCTCGTCATTTGGCCATCATTCTGTTTCCTCACGTTGATTACGTTTCGAGTTGCACCACAAGGGGGTGCCCTGAACCTAGCGAGTATGATACAGTCTCCAGCATAATCAAAGGAGGCAGCTGAAATCCCAAATTCAAGAGGAAACAAGACACAGGTCAACTGATTGCTTTTGGTCCATCTTCATCCTCTCCAAATGCCCCCAAATGGCCCTGGTTCAAACTCGGGCTGAATGTAACCAGTCTGTGAAAAAACTGTAATGGGCTGACTGCTTGCATAGTTAAAGCCCACGATAGAAGGGAGAGGCTTGATTGCTGCAAGTCTAAGAGATTTCATAAAGTTACCACTGAGGAATAAAAAATTAGTAGCCTCATGACACAAAACTAAAGAATATAACAAGACCAAACGTTGGGAAATAGTCTTGAAAGTAATTCTATCTTGGCCGGGCGTGACAGGATCCCAGCACTTTGGGAGGCAAAGGTGGGTGGATCACTTGAGGTCAGGAGTTCAAGACCAGCCTGGCCAACATGGTGAAACCCCATCTCTACTAAAAGTACAAAGAATTAGCCGGGTATGGTGGCGTGTGCCTGTAATCCCAGCTACTCGGGAAGCTGAGGCACAAGAATCGCTTGAACCCGGGAGGTAGAGGTTGCAGTGATCCCAGATTGTGCCACTGTACTCCGGCCTGGGCGACAGAGTAAGAGTCTGTCTCAAAAAAAAAAAAAAAAAAAAAAAAGTAATTATATCCTAAAGATACACAGTCTGTCAGTAACTGGGGGAGCAAAGTAATTTCTGATTATTTGGGTTAAAAAAAAAGAGCTACTAAATTGAGAAATCTAATTGTAATATAATTCCTTTTCTAACTGTTTAAAATACTTAAAGATGGAATAAAATTACGTAGCCTTGTGAGACTTTATAAGTCACACTAAGAATTATAGTTGATATAACAATAATAAAATATAAAGCCTCAAAGACCTTCAAGGGTAAATAAACTAAAAAGCAGCAACATTTAACAAAAAAGAGTTCAGGGTGATATCCCAACAGCTTCTAATTCTAAGAATTTCTAATTTCCTAAGGAATCTTAGAATCTAAAGTAATCCTATAGTGAATATAGGATAGTGGTTGAAAGTATAATTTCTGGAAAGAGAAAGAACTGGGCGTAAGCTTCATTTTCAACACTTACTATCTGTGAGACTTTGGGCATATTACCTTAGGCATGTTTCATGTACACTTTCTTCATTCATGACATAGTAATAATGATGTTTATATTATACTTTGTTGTATGAAATAACTTGAGAAAAATGCTAAAGCCAATATCTGACATACAGTAATGCAGATTTATGAGCAATTTGAAATAATTAATATTCTCATCAAATGAAAGCTAAGTCAGGCATGGTGGCTCATGCCTGTAATCCCGACACTTTGGGAGGCCGAGGCGGGCAGATCACTTGAGGCCAGGAGTTGGAGACCAGCCTGGCCAACATGCTGAGACTCCGTATTTACAAAAAACACACAAAAAATTAATTGGGTTTTGTGGCACACGCCTGTAGTCCCAGCTACTTGGGAGGCTGAGGCACGAGAATCACTTGAGCTTAGGAGGTGGAGGTTGCAGTGAGCCAAGATAGCACCACTGCACTCCAGCCTGGGTGACAGAGTGAGACTCTATCTCAAAAAAACAAAAAAAAAAAAAAAAAGAAAGAAAGAAAGAAAAGAAAAGAAAAAAGAAAGAAAGAAAGTATTAGAATGAACAAACACATTGGCTAACTATAGGACGACTGTGATCTCATTCACAGATCTCAGGTACTATGTGGCCAATGGATATGTCTGAACTCCTGTGTGCTCCTGTTCTCATGGGTCAAAGTAAGGAGACTGATTTTTAAAAAAACAAAACAAGTACACTTTGTGTGTGTATGTGTATATATATGCATACAATGGAGTGCTGGCTTTCAAAGTAGTGAGTTTGAAGGGTGACAAGATTATTTCTATGACCTTGCCATTGCAATGCAAAAAATAAACAAACAAAAAACAAATTGCAAAGCAAACCTGTCATATACAGGGTGACTATTCAGCCAGTTTTCACTATGGCCAACCACTGTGTATGGCCACTGTCCTGACTGGACAACCCATGCCACAGCACAGTCATTGATCTTCAATTTTGTGTCTCAATATCCACCCTTCCTACTTTGATATAAGACTAAAATGATGCAATAGATTTATGAGAGCTTTGAAATAGTTAATATTCTCATACAAATGCAAGAGTGTATGAGAATGAACAAACACATTGGTTAACTATAGGAGGACTGGTATCACATTCACAAATCTCAGAGTTCTTTCCTAAGCCTCCACATTCCCAGTTAACAAAGAGTGAAATTGAAGTATCCCTGCCCGGTGTTCTACAAAGTGCCTGGGAAGAGTTGACCCAGGTCGTCTCTGCAAGTGTGACAGATACTCTTAGAACTGCCCCAACCAAGTGCAGCCCATGGACATCGGGATGACCAGTTCCTTGAGAACTCTGCTTATTTTTGCCTCCATAACATTTAAAACCCCTAGACACACTAGATACTTTACTTATTTGCTCACTTCTTATCTGTCTCCTTCCCCTTGCACCCACACACTGAAATGTAATGATCACAAAGGCATGAATATCTTCATCCACATCCACGCTGAGTTTTCACTTACAGAATGAATGAATGAAAGGCTGGAAGAAGGCATTGGTTCTTGGGAGTCTTGGCTCTGTGCAGCTTGCTTGATTTGGGGGCTTACCCCCTGACAGTAAACTACTCTTAGGGTCTGGGGAGTTTACGTGCATGGCTCAGGCAGTGGTGCCTACAGCCTCAAGCAAGCCTGCACACTTCACAGCCCTGGAACAGGCCCAATGCTCACATGGCCTCACCAGCCAACCTGCTGGGACTCACTTCCAGACACCAATCACACTCCAGCCAAGAGCATTCCAATCTATCACCCCGACTCCCCTATGCGTTATTGCTTCTTGGTCGCTCTCACACCTTGAAAGGAGGAAAATACTCATCCTATAAGGAATTTCTGTTTGGCAGGGTTTCCCTTCACAATTTTCACTAAAACGCCCCTTCCTTGGAACACGAAACTTAAGTTAAACAAAAATACTCAGAACCCCCCAAGAAAAAAAGAGCTTGCAAACCTCTGGTTTCTATTTCCCTCTCATTATTACAAAGGCTTTGTATTGTAAGACATTCCATCCTTGCTTCAATAGCTGCCTGCGGGTGTGCTGCTGCAGGGGAATTAAGCTTTGTGCTGGCATAGCAGGTGCCAGTTAACTCTTGCCCAGGCCCTAGTCCAAAGGGGCCTTGCTTTAGGAGTGGCCTTCTCAAGCTTGGGCCCGGCCAAAGGTAAGAATTTTAATAGGGAAAAGAGGTGGGATAAGACATAAGATGATTTATTGAAGCTAGTCCAGAATGCACTTCTGATTCTCCCTTTTCTTCCATAGGAAACAGGCCCAGAGTGTAGAAACTCACAGATTCTGACCAGCTTGCATCCAAAGCAAGGTGATTCGTACTACTCCAGGCCCAGGCAGCCAGCTGAGGGATGCTTCTGAGTGTCTTGTCTTCCTCTACCTACAGTGGGCAGGGGCTGGCCTTCATACAAGGTCTACCCTGAAAGTTTCCATAATGGCTGGCCGTGGTACGAGTGGGGCATCTTATCTTGCCACTCTATGAGGGAGAGGTAAGGCTCAATGATCTGGAGAGCACTGGGCTGAGAGTCTGAGACCAATTCTTAGCCCAGGCCCTGCCTCAAACTCATTGTAACTTAGGCATTTATCTGGCCCTTAATTTCCTTATGCATTAAAATGAAGACTTGGATTAAACCTTTTTGGCAAATTTTAGCTTTAAGTTGCTTTAGACACAGATGGCCTCTGTTTTAGTCCGTATCATGTTGCTATAACAGAATACCACAGTCTGGGTAATTTATAAAGAAAATAAATTCATTCCTCATGGTTCTGGATGCTGGAAGTCCAATATCAAGATGCCAGCATCTGGCGAGGGCCTTCTTGCTGTGTCATCCCATGGTGGAATTGTGGAAGGGCAAGGGAGCATGTGTGTGAGTGACAGAGGAGGGGGCCCAAACTTATTCTTTTCTTAGGAACGTGCTTCCAAGATAACAGAATTAATTCATTCCTGTGGGTTGTGCCTCATGACCTAGTCACCTCTTATAGGTCCCAACTCTCAACACTGTTGCATTCGGGATTAAGTTTCTAACACATGAACTTTGGGGGACACACTGAAACCACGGCAACCTCCTAACATCCTTGGCCACACTAGAGGTCTCCCCCACAAGGTTATTATCAAGGAAGGCCTAGACTAATGGGCAGGAGCTCTAAGTGCTTTTTGCAAATCTCTAAATACCCATGGGAAGGACCTGCGGTCAGAAGGACCTGGGTTCAAGATGTAGATTCAGCATTCGATGCTGTTTTACTTTGAATAAATTACTTAACCCAGCATCAGGCTTTGTACTGGGGCAACTAAACCATGACCCTCAATTTCTGCATCTGCAGAATGGCAATAATCATCCCACCTACTTCACAGTGGTCTCCAGGAAGCACAAATGAAGCAAACTGGTTGAAAGCACTGTTAACTATAAAGCTCTAAAAATAATAAAGCAATGATGTTATCATTAAGGAGAAGAAACTTAAGTTATGCACAAAAGAAAGAGAAGAGACCCTAAAATGTTCTGCTGCTAAAGAATGAGGACTTGCTGTCCAGGTGTGGTGGCTTAAGCCTGTAATCCCAGCACTTTGGGAGGCCGAGGCGGGTGGATCACAAAGTCAGGAGTTTGAGACCAGCCTGACCAATATAGTGAAATCCCGTCTCTACTAAAAATACAAAAATTAGCCGGGCGTGGTGGCAGACACCTGTAGTCCCAGCTAGTGGGGAGGCTGAAGCAGGAGAATGGCTTGAACCCGGGAGGTGGAGGTTGCAGTGAGCCGAGATCGGGCCACTGTACTCCAGCCTGGGAGACAGAGTGAGACTCTGTCTCAAAAAAAAAAAAAAAAAAAAAAAAAAAAAAAAAAAAAAGAGTGAGGACTTGCTATGCTCATCTCAGCCTGCTCAGCTGTGGCGACAGAAGACCTACAACACTTGGCTTCAGTTCACAAGTGCCATGAACTGAATGTGAGTGCCCCCCAACCCCAAATTTACATGTTGAAGCCCTAATCTCCAATGTGATAGTATTTGGAAGTGAGGCCTTTGGGGTGTGATTTGGTCACAAGAGTAGAGCCCTTGTGATGGGATTAGTGTCCTTCTAAAAAGAGACATGAGACAGATGCTTTCTTTCTGCCATATGAGGACACAGCAAGAAGACAGAGGTCTACCAACTAGAAAGAGGGTTGTCACCAGAACCTGACCATGCTGGCACCCTGCTCTTGGACTTCTAGCCTCCAGAACTATGAGAAATAAATCCCTGTCATTTAAGCCCCCAAGTCGATGGTATTGGTTGCAGCAGCTGAAACTAAGATAATAAACCACTGAAGACAATGTGACAGATGTTAGCATCTGCATCCCTGGCTGTGAGACTTGCTATCCTGAGGGGCTGAAGCCCACCTGCTTACACAGCTGCAACCTCCTCTGGCCCCAAGCTCCAGGGACTGAGTTCAGCCAACCTGCCTGCCCTCACCAGTCTGTGTCACCTGGGACAGCTCAATGCTGAACTCTGGCCTCATCTTCAAGCTTCTTACCTACTAACCTCTGGAGACAGCCAAAAATACTTTAGGGGCTGACAATTATTCTGTGAAAACTGATAAGCTTTACTGGGAGAAAAATGTTTTCTTGTACAAATGACATGGACAGGAGGCAGGGAAATACTGGGTAGAAGAGGGTGGTTCCTTGGCAAAAGCCCCACCCTCAAGTCTGGAAACCCATGGCCCTAAATGGGAACGGGCATTCCTGTTTTTGTGCCCAAATGTTGCCTTTTGGTCTGCCATGCCTCCCTATCCTGTACCCATATAAACCCCAAGCCCCAGGCTCCATGAGCAGAAGAGCAGAGGAGCAGAAGAGCAGAGGAGCAGAGGAGAGAAGAGAAGGAACATCTGAATGCTGAGAGGAGTTTGGCTAGGAATGGTGAGAGAGGAGATTGGCTTCAGGATGGCTGAACTCCAGGGGAAGATCATCTTCCCACTCCATCCTGCTGAGAGCCACCTTGATGAGGCAATAAAATCCCCCGCATTTACCATCCTTCAGTTTGTCTGTGTGACCTGATTCTTCCTGGATGCAGGACAAGGACTTGGATACCAAGAGGGCACTGAGCTGGTTAACACTTAAGCTGTGTGCAGATGGCAGAGCTAAAAGAGCATGGTAACATGCCCACTGCAGCTTTGAGAGTTGCAGGCACCCACCCCTAGATGCTACTGTGGGGCCAGAGTCCAAAAGCACTTGCCCCGGCTCCTGCACCTGCCCATCTGCATGCTCCCCCTCCTGTAAGGGGTTTGAGTGCTCACTAGGTGGCCAGATAGACTAGCCACACCCCTGTCTCACGTCCTGTGAGGGGGGTCCGGGAACTCTGCCATTTCACAAATACTATTCTGGACAGTTCCATTTCAGGGCTAATAGCAATCAAATAAGAGAATGCTACCATTTCTTAAATTCAAAGATGACTTGATGTTACTTAAACAGACCAGGAACATGGGCCATCATCAATTGGCAGTTCATATGTTCAATCTTCTTTATAATAAACACAACCAAACTGAGGGCCACAGTGACAAGTTATTATTTTTAACATTGTATTTGAGGAAGATAATCCGTGGAGAAACCATCAGAAAACCCAGCTACAGCTCTGCAGCATGATTTTGAAATCACAAGTGGAGTTCATACACTCTGCCAGCTGGAGGAATATTACTGATTGTCATTTTTCATATCTAGTCACATTTTTTGCTCATAAAATAAGATTTTGATCTTTGGAAATCAGAACATTGACTTCTAGGAGTTCTTGAAGAAGTGTAATGCTCATCCCTCTAATTACAATGAATTAAAATAGAATGTATGCTCATAACAATTCCACTCTAAAAAGACTTTGCTAATTGCCTGGAAAAATCAAGAGCAAAAAGTTGAAAACATCGTCTCTGAGTACACAAACAGCCTCTGGCCCTACACTGAAAAACTGAGTCACATCAAGAGAGAGAGGGAAAATAGCCCCTCAGCAAAATTAGAAATCTTACAGCTCTTGTTTATCATCATAAATATGGAACTTTTGGAGCTGGTGTACAACTGCAGTTCATGAGTGATCAGCGGGGCACTGAGTGATGTCATTAAAAGGCTTTCAAAAAGCATTTAAGAAGATTACCAAGTGCTCTTCCAGGAGAAGGGCAAAAATAAAGTAAAATAAAATAAAAGGTACCGCGGAGCTTCCTGGAACACCCCTCCTGTCGGAACTTCACAGAAACAAGCTGAAAATATGCGATGGAATAAATCTAATGAGAAATATGTTTGAAAGAGAAGGACAAACAGAGATTGTAACAAACAAAATATAGTGGTGTGGGAAAGGTGGCTTTTCCCATAAATGAGGTCCAAATGGATATTAAGGTGACACTGTCGTTTCACAGCCATTTTCATCTGGGACATCTGCTTGGGTGGCTCTATCTCCTGTCCTTTGCAAAACAGGAAACCGCACCACCTATATGAGTGCCCCTGGCTTGTCTGAACATATTCAGGATAGAACATCTCTATCTCAGCCTCCACCTAGAAGACCTAGGAGGCTGCTGTGGGTCTAAAGCTGATGTAGAGGGATGTGGGGTCATTCTAGCGTTCTCGGGAGGCCTCAACACTCTTTTTGCTCTCCAGCACTGACTTAGGGAAGCCCATAAGGAACTGACCTGACACCACCCCCACCCACCCTCCATCTACCTGCAAGCCCCTATAAAGCCACATTCCCTCCTTTCGCTTGCACTTTAAGCCATGGGGGTTTAGGACAAAGTCGAGGTCACTCATATTTTCAGATTATTTTCTCCATGGTAATTCAACTCTTAGGAACATCTGGCAAGGAATCCCTTTCTTTTTGACATGGTCTCCCCAGCCCCTCTCATAATTTACCAAGTATCACGATGCCCTCCCACCTCCTTCACAAAGCTAATAAATCCCACTTGCCTGTCATCAAGAAGCAGTGCCTTTGCCTCTGGGAACAGTAACTCACTTTTTCAAGGCAAGATTACTGAGCAAGAATAACCTTGACTGCATTGTTCTAAAATCCAGAGCAGACAGCGGAGTCTAAACAGATGGAACATTTGATTGGTTAACAACAACAAAAAAAAAGATTATACTTTTTAATAGAAGGGTGGTGCTTTGGCCACCATAATCTATAATAGGCAGATCAGCAAGCCCATTTATGAGAATGGCAAAGGAAGGTTTTTAAGTTTCCACCTAAAGTATACATACATACTTTGCAATTAATTGCACATCCATGCAAAAATATTCACGATTATTCCATGTGAAACATTTGAAAGAAGACTGGCTTCCAATGGACTCTTTAAAGGATTACTCAGTGAGTCACCCCACCTCCCCATTCACAATGCAATTCTTGGGTCAGCTGAAAAGACTAATGGTGAAAGCTTAATCCAATGCTTAGCACTATTGTGAGTTCATTTGCTGACCTCTTTTCCACCCCAGCAGAGACTGCAATGTGGCAGAGGGGAAAGGCAGGCTTCACTTGGGTGTGAAGAGTGCCACGCTGACGGCCAACACTCACTGATGAAAGATGAGGAAAAACAGCCCAGCCAGAAAAGTGATCCTGTGTGAGGGATCTCTGGTGGGTTCCCCATTGTGTTAACAGACACCGGCATATGTAGAGTCCTGTCCTGCCCATCAACCACAGGGGAGGGTCAGACCTGTGAGCAGCAGGGTGGTGGCTTGTGGATAGACTGTGGAGGGTGGAGAGTGATGTTAGGGGAACTGGGAGCCCATCTCGCTCCAGCAACCTGCTGGCCGCACCCTGCAAATCCACAGTTGCTTGGTAAGCTATGCAGGGACTGTGGACTTCATTATTAAAAGTTCAAACATGGCTCGGAGAGATCCAACAGCAGCCCCATCAGATAGATCAATTTACTACTACTAATCTAGAACATTTTTTTGAGGAGAGATTTTGCTAAGATGCAGGAAATGGGGTCCATAAACGAAAAAAACGGGTGCAAAACGAAATTATTCCTTGCTTCATTGTTTTTCATGAGTTCTGCCTCAACCCAAGGTGAAGAAAAGTCCTGTATTCTCCCTGGCTCTCCAGCTCTCCTTCCACAAGACTCTGACCCCTCCATTGCACAGTGGGTAGCAGGATTCAGCATGTAACACAGCTATATCCACCCATACTAGGGAATGAACGAGGGAGGACACGCATGAACACTGACCTTGGATGTGCCATAAAGGGCATGGTCATAATGACTGCCAGGATCTCTAGAAAAGAATAAAGCCCAGGGCAGGGAAGAAGATACAGACTCTTAGAAGGGAAGAAAGAAAACCAGATAGAAATTTTGGAAAAGTTAGACCCCAAAAATTCGTTTACAAGACGCATAATCACTGGCCAGGCATGGTGGCTTGCACCTGTAATCCCAGCACTTTGGGAGGCCGAGGTGGGCGGATCACTTGAGGTCAGGAGTTTTAGACCAGCCTGTCCAACATGGGGAAACCCCAACTCTACTAAAAATACAAAAATTAGCTCTGCGTATGGTCGCATGCCTGTAATTCCAGCTACTTGGGAGGCTGAGGCATGAGAATTGCTTGAACCCAGGAGGCGGAGGTTGCAGTAAGCCGAGATCACACTACTTGCACTCCAACCTTGGTGACGGAATGAGACTCTGCCTCAGAAAATAATAAAAAAAAAAGATGCATAATCACTTTTCCAAAAAAACTGTTGAAATACATGACCTATTAGGTATGATCCACCATGAAAACGACCCTTGCAATTAAGATCTTATCAGTTAGCTGTTTTTTTTTTTTCTCTCACTCACCACTTCCTCGCACTGTGTATTTCCTGTCAGCTAACTCCCATGAATGCAGGAGGGAAGTTTAGGATCAATCTGTTTTATGAAGTTTCTCTCGAGACTTACTTGTAGACTCCAGAGGAAAGGCATATCCTGTTTCAAAGTCAATTACTAATGGGTAAAAAGAGTTTACTGCATTCCTTTAGATATGTTAAAAATTAAATAAAAGAAGTAGAATCTTCTTGATTCTTCTCCACAGGGAGAGTTTTTCTTAATTACTGATGTTTTATGGCTTGGGTAGTCTGAACGGATCATGAAAACACATCAAAAGCAGATAATCAACACAAAGACCTTTCAAAATGCACCCAGGCAAAAGAGGTTATCTATGATATTGTCTGAGAACTAGAACACAATAAAAATTATCTTAACACACAATCGAAGTCATGCCAAGTAACTTTCCTTTGGGTAGTTCACGATCTAAACCAGACTGCCTCCCCTCCTCCTAATTTCGTAAAGGCTACCCCACATCTGCTCCTGGAATTACACGATACACAAGAATGTTCTCCCTCAATGTTGATGCTGTAATTGTTGGGGAGCCAGGTCACTGTTTTAAAACCAGGAAGCATCTGCAGCATATAAAAATATAACATTGCTTTCAGCTTCTGAGGCTTCTATGCCTCAAGCCAAAAGGTAATGAGTTCCCTCAAAAATATTTTCTTCTCTTTCTTTAAAAAAATGATTTGGGGGACGGGGGCAAAACAAAAGCAATTTATACCACCTTACCCAGGGATGAAGAGTAACCATGCATCATGCCTGCTTTTAATGGTCTCACTTTCTTTTACCTGTCTTTCCCTCCAGGACCAGGATTCTATTCCTGTCCCAACTCCACCTCCATCCAACGTCATTCCCCCAAAGGCCTGCTCTTCAGCTCACTGGGTTAAAGGCATTCTGAGTACACAAGCTTTTCATTACTGCTTAGATTTCTTTTCTGCTGACCATGATTATACATGAACTTGCCAACAATCTCTACTCCAGAGAGATATTCCTTTCTTTTTAAGAAGAAAAATCATTTCTGTACTTTATTTCTTCACGAAGCTCTCATAATCTAAAGATGTTCAATGCATCCAGAAAGTGACTCATTTTCCTTAATGGCTTTCGGTTCTTGGCATGTACTTTCTAATGTTTACAATCCCACCAGCACACCATAGCCTCAGGTTATAAGAGCCTCCATCAAGCTGGCCAGGCAAAAGAAGGTGTTTTGCAAAGGGCACAGGCTTGGAAACAGGCTGTCCTAGATGTACTGTCTGCCAAACAATGGCCTGATTGAGGCTCAGTCTTCTTGTCTGTAAAATGGGAAAACCACCCTGTAGCTTATGCAGAGTTGTGGTCAGGAGTAACTAAAATAACTTCAGTGTCTGATGCCTAGTTGGTGTCCAACAAATACCTTTGCTTTGCTCATTCTCCAACCTGTACTCAAAAATCTTGCCAGAGGACACACAGATGTTAGGGGATCAAAGCCAGAGGGATTGTTTCTATATTACACATTGGTTCATTCTGGTAGTCATGGTTTTTTCTTTCAAATAACCAGGTTATATGTTCTTCACAAACAAAATCAGTAAGTTAACATCATGCATCCATTAACACTCAGTGTAACCTGCTACAAAAATATGAGATCTCAGATCTCAATCTCTCTTTTTTTTTTTTTTTTTTTTTGAGACAGGGTCTTATTCTGTTGCCCTGGCTGGGGTGCAGAGGCATGACATGATCATGGCTCATTGCAGCCTTACCTCCTGGGCTCAAGTGATCCCACTTCAGCCTCCCAACTAGCTGAAACTATAGGCAAAATTTTAAATTTCTTTGTAGAAAAATGGGATTCTCACTATATTGCCCAGGCTAATCTTGAACTCCTGGTCTCAAATGATCTTCCTACCTTGGCTTCCCAAAACTCTGGGATTATAGTCAGGAGCCACTGTGCCCAGCCCCCAGCTGTTTTTGAATGCTTGGGCCAACCCTTGGGAGTAGTAACTTGCTCAGAACGCTATCTACTCTTTGCTAGGGCCCTAAATTTCTCCAAAAGAAAATCCCCAATGATTCAGCTACTTGGGGGATGGGTGTGAAAATTTAGCCTGCTTATTCTTGAGATCCATTATCTGTAAGATTCTATGGAACATGCAGTGGTGGGCTTGCCTGATATGTATACATTTCTTCTTTATCCTCAAGATTTTACTAACTTCCCATTTTTAAACAAATTTAAAATCTTCCCTGTATCTTTAGGTAAATTTTATCAAAATCACAAAGTAATTTGTAGAATTAAATTTAGAATTTTATTTCCTAATGGATTACATATTAGGATTTATTTTCATTTAGAATTTATCTGCAATGATATTTTCACCATTTAATATATAGTTGTATTATGTGAGTATTGGAATGAACTAGAGTAAGATCTATTTTAGAAGTATACTTACTGGTAATTCTTGTAGGATAATTATTTCATTTTATTTTATTTTTGTGACAGGGTCTCACTCTGTCACCCAGGCTAGAGTGCAGTGGTGTGATCTTGGCTCACTGCAACTTCTGCCTCCCAGGTTCAAGCGATTCTGCCTCAGCCTCCCAAGTAAGCATGTGCCACCATGCCCAGCTAATTTTGTATTTTCAGTAATGGGGTTTCACCAAGTTGGCCAGGCTGGTCTCAAACTTCTGACCTCAAGTGATCTACCTGCCTCTGCCTCCCAAAGTGCTGGGATTACAGGCGTGAGCCACTGCACCTGGCCAGATGAGAATAATTGTATCTTAAGTTCATATGATCAATAATTATCTTTCACTCATATAGCAACTTTCTTGAGTCAAGGAATGGTATGCAAATGACATGCATATGAATATGCATATGAATGACACGCATTCCATTAATTCACCTTAAAACTCAAAGGATGGTAACCATGTGTGGTGATGGATATATTCATGAATTTGATTGTGGTAACCATTTCACAATGTATTTGTATATGAAATTGTCAGGTCATACACCTTAAATATATGCATTTTTTATTTGTCAATTATACTCAATAAAGCTGGGGGGAAAAAAACCTCAAAGCATTTCTTCACGAAACTGGCATGGAATTTGTTGTATCTTTTAATGTATGTTTGCATTGCTTTTGTAGTTTTAATTAGTACTCCCTTTTTTATCCTAGTATATTTTTTCATTCTCTCTCCCTGAATGCCAATAGAGTAATCCCCAGCTATGAAAACAAAATATTAAAAAAAATAAAACTTGTGATGTAAGCCTTATGGCTTTTTCCATGGGTATAATCCCAACAATTAATCTCCCACTTACCTAGTGTCAAGGGTAGTCAAAGCTGGCACGTTTGTAATACAAAAATGACAAAGTTTTTCTTTTTTTCTCTGAGAAATGTAAGGAAAGTGTAGAGGAAGGAAAGTACTCCAGGACAAGAGGATGTAAAAAAAATCTCAATGGCTCCTTCCAGTCCCACTTTCCAGTCCTCTGAGTGTTTATCCAGTGCAGTATTTGAGAGAGTTTGGTGAGAAAGATCACGCACTGCATCCTTCAGAATATAAACCCACACCTCAAGCTTAGAGGCCTGAAAATGACCACGAAAAACACACTTTTCATGGTGCTGGGTAGAGGGCTATCATTTCAAGAAAGCAAACATTCCTCACCAAGTGGTTGCGACCTTTATCTTTTGGCTTTTTTTCATGACTCCTGCACCTGCCTAAACTTGAAGTAAGGAAGCTATGAGGTATCAGACTAGTGAGTGATTAATCACTGTCATTTATTTCTATGCCATTTATTTGGACTACTCTTATATACCTTAACACTCACTAAGCCAACACTCGGTTATTAACAATAGTAACAATTTAATGAGGAAGTATCTTCAGATTCTAAAATGGCTTTGTTGAGACATCATCAGATGGACAAAAGTAGTGTTTGCATATTATCTTGATTAAAAGCCAACAAAACCTGGCTGGTTGCAGTGGCTCATGCCTGTTGTCCCAGCACTTTGGGAGGCCAAGGTGGGAGGATCACTTGAGGTCAGGAGTTCGAGACCAGCCTGGCCAACATGGCAAAACCCCAACTCCACTAAAATACAAAAATTAGCCGGGTGTGGTGGTGCACACCTGGTGGTCCCAGCTACTTGGGAGGCTGAGGCACAAGAATCGCTTGAATGCAGGAGGCGGAGGTTGCAGTGAGCTGAGATCACACCACTGCACTTCAGCCTGGTGACAGAGCAAGACTCTGCCTCCAAAAAAAAAAAAAAAAAAAAGGGCCAACAAAACCCAAAATACCAAATGTCCTTTGACAGATGAATGAATAAACAAAATGTATAGACATACAAAGAAATATTATTATTATTATTTTTTGAGACGGAGTCTCGCTCTGTCCCCCAGGCTGGAGTGCAGTGGCACGATCTCGGCTCACTGCAAGCTCCGCCTCCTGGGTTCATGCCATTCTCCTGCCTCAGCCTCCCAAGTAGCTGGGACTGCAGGTGCCCGCCACCATGCCCAGCAAATATTTTTGTATTTTGTTTTTTAGTAGAGACAGTGTTTCACTGTGTTAGCCAGGATGGTCTCGATCTCCGGACCTGGTGATCCGCCCACACCTCGGCCTCCCAAAGTGCTGGGATTACAGGTGTGAGCCACGGTGCCCGGCCAGAATATTATTAAGCCTTAAAAAGGAAATTCTGACACATGCTGCCACATACGTGAACCTTGAGGACATTGTGCTAAGTGAAATAAACCAGTCACATAGAAAAACCCAAACACTTTCAGTAGGTTTATGATTTTACCTAAACGAGTTGTCTAGAATAGTCAAGCTCACAGAGACAGAAAGTAGAATGGTGGTTGCCAGGGGCTGGGAGGATGGCGGGGATGGAGAGCTGTTGTTGAATGGATAGAGTTTCAGTTTTACAAGATGAAAAAGTTCTGAAGATTGGTTGCATAACAATGTGAATATACTTAACACCACGGAACTGTACGCTTTAAAATGGTTAAGATGGTAATTTTACGTTATGTGTATTTTACTACAATTTAAAAAATCGTAAAGTTGCCGATAGTCAAATGAATAAAATGAGAAAGGGGGAAAAAAGCGACCCCCCCACCCAAAAAAAATCACCAACTCCTAGCCTAGGTTTCTCTACAAAGTATCTAACTATATAAGGAAAGTTCAAATGGCAAATTATTCTAAGCTTCTTATTTGTGTTGCAGAGGCAATTCCTTGCCTGTATATTTAGTCACAGTTAAGTCTTATCTTAACAACTCTCTCCAAAGGGGACTGGATCTGCACTCAATCAAGTCGGACTGAAGATCTTAGGTTCATTCATTTATTCTAATGGTCCCGTTAGTGTTTCCATAATGTTTTGATTCCTTGAGATCTTAAACCATGCCCTTACCTCAAATGTTGGGCTATGTATGGATACCCTTTGGATAGGCTCACAGCAGTAGGCTGCAATTTCTTTCTGTTACCCTTTTTATTTGGAATGACTCCTATGCGTAGATAAATATTGCCGTATTCCTACGAAGTGGGCAGCTCTGTGCTCCATGCGGAGGGGAACTCAAGCCAAGCACTACAGCTGTCCCTAAGTGCCATCTGCCATGATCTGCCGTGGCTTCTACCACCCCCTTTTTTGTGTGTGTTAGGAGGAAAATGAAGTTCATTTTCAATGCTAACTGTCAGTGAAGAAATCACTATGCTTGGTGTCTTGAATTAGTTGGATTGAAAAAAGCTTTTTCATATCTGAAGCCAAAGAACAGACTATATACCCCTTTTGTCACACACCCATGTTGCTTCTCTGACTGGGGTGTGGAACTAACGAGTGCCTATGCCTCTTTGTTCAATTGAACAGAAGCAACCAAATTGCCCATTCAGTTGATGATGGATTAGCCACCTGGATGGTTGATATTGGATTCTCTGAGATAGTCTGCAGAGTTGATTCTGAGATAAGAACAGTTCTTAATTGTATCAACTAACTGAATCCACAGTCTGTTTTAATTCAAGATCCAAGACACATTCCTACCATTAAACATATGGAAGACAGATAGAAAGAAATCTCATTTATTTTCTCGCCATATAAATAGGAAGGTCTCTCCCTTGAACAATAACATGTACAAATAAGGAGATTTTTGAGCAGGGGCTATTCCCTGACCATGTTTAAGCACAGATCTGTTTAAAATTAAAAGTTACATTCCTGTTATTAAAAGCTCATCCTCTTTTAGAAAATACCCAATCAGTTCAGGAGGGAAAAAAATCCTTCACTGTGCACATTATTAACTCATGGAAGGCTTTAGGTTTCCACATTCCCCAATAATAAGGTCAGAACTGACTCTTGGACTCTACCCCAAAACCTCAACTTCCTGCTCTGCAAGAAGATTTACCTCAGAGAAGGAATAGGTCTCAACTGTTGCCAAAGCAAAGACATTTATACGAAATCAGTCAGATCAGGGCAACTGGTAACTCTATTCGATGTGCCACATTCTAAAAGACAAAGCGCAAGAAATACGAACAGTTTTCTGTCTGATTGTCTACAAATGTGTGTGTGAGTAGGTACAGTAGATTTATTGAACGCTGTCCCAGAAGTGAGATTTCCAGATAAGACATTTAAAAATATCCTTCTAGATGCTATTTTTAACATTATCTTATTTATTTAAAATTTTGTTTATATTCAATCTTGTTAAGCTTATTATAAGGGCAAAATTAATTCTTTTTGGATGATACAATGTCATCGTGAACACTAATTCTGGTGTTAATAGAGAAAATGGAAACAAAGAGGCCTCTTCATTAAGCAGTTTCAAAACAGTGAACTGAGCAACCAATTTTGCAAATCTTCCCCCTGCATGGCCCATAACTAAAAATATAGTCACTCAAACATCGTAGAATTGGAGACGGAAAAACAGCTCAATGGAATGAAACATAGAGTTCAGAAACAGACCCAAACACAGGCAGAAATTTGGATCTCACAAAGTGGCATTTCAAATCAACAAGGGAAAAGATTAATTATTCAGTTCGTGGTAGTGGTACTGTTGACTAGCCACTTGGCAAAAGAAAGAAAGCTAGATCTCTATCAAACTCCTTGCCTCAAAATAAACTGTAGAAGGATCAAATATTACAACGTAAGGAAGCTAAACTCTAAGAGCACTAGTATAGAACACAAACAATGCTTAATATGTAATATTAGGACAGGGAAGTTCTTTCTAAAAATACAATTCCAGAGGCAGAAATATGAGAGGAAAGATTTCTGAGGTTGATTGCATGAAAATTTTAAATTTCTATGGGAAAAATACATGCAAACTTTAACAACTGGAGAAATATTTGCATAAAGTGTGAAAGTTAATTCCTTAATTTATGAAGTGGTCTAAAAATACCCCCCAAAAACCTCATCATCCAATTAAAAATGGGTAAAAACACAAACTGGAGCTTCGCACAAACACAAAATTGACTAACTAATATAGGAAAATATACTCTAACGTCAATGATTATAAAAATGTAAATCAAAACAATGAGCTTTTTTTACTCATTGGGTTAGCAAAACTTTTAAAAAGTTAATATACAGGATAGCAACTATCAACTAGCATTCTTATATGTTGCAGAATATTATATATATCCAAATAGGTCTAACATTTCTGGTAAGATTTGTAAACATTTTGAACAATCAATTCTACCTTTAGAAAGTTATCCTGTGGAAAAAAATACCCAGATATATGAACAGACCATCCAGTGCAGCTTTGCCTTCGTAAGAAATTGGATAAAGATGGAAATGCAGGAGTTGCAGTTAGAGAAAGACAGAAACTAGAAAAATAATCATTTAAATTAGCATAGGGAACTGATTTAGTAAATGATAATTCATATGATGGTAAACAATGTAATCATTAAAAACTGAGTCGGCCGGGTGCAGTGGCTCACGCCTGTAATCCCAGCACTTTTGGAGGCAGAGGTCGGCGGATCCCCGAGGTTAGGAGTTCGAGACCAGCCTGGCCAAGATGGTGAAACCCTGTCTCTACTAAAAATAAAAAATCAGCCGGATGTGGTGGCATGCATCTGTAGTCCCAGCTACTCTGGAAGCTGAGGCAGGAGGATCGCTTGAACCTGGGAGGCGGAGGTTGCAGTGAGCCGAGATTGCGCCACTGTACTCCAGCCTGGGCGACAGAGTGAGACTCTGTTTCAAAAAAAAAAAAAAAAAAAAAAAATTGAGTTGTATCTGCATGAGCTAATGTGAAGTACCTTGAAGATGCATCACTAAGTGGAGAAGCGACATACAGAGTAACTGTAGATTATTATAATTTTTATAAATGTTCACATAAGCCATGCATCTATCTACTGGGATATGCATATGCCATTTGAGGAAAGGATCTAACAAAAAATGAATAACAATGGTTAATTTTAGAAAGGAGGATTGAGAATTGAAGGTAGAAGCTTTTAACTTTGTGATTGTGTGCACAGCTTAACGTATGAAGTTTTTCCATGTACATATATTACATTTAATTTGAAATTTTTAATTAAAAAAATCAGTCCTGTTTCTGCTGTCAGCTGCCATTTTCTCTGTTGTCACAGTCTTCTACTAAATTGGACAAGTATGTGAGGTAGGTCTCTCTGATTTAAAAGTTTAAGCTTAAATGACAATGATTTGTTTCTCAATTGTCTTGTTCACACATCTGAATTTATGTTTGTGACTGTTGCTCTCTGTGACCATGGCCTTGTGTGTATTTGTACACAGAGCTCCCCAGTGACTAGGACGTGTACAGTGTACTGTACTTCTAAAACAAGCCCTCTGGCTGCAAAGGCCACAGTGCTATGCCTTCAGGCATAATTTCATGCTAGCAAGGACAGTCTGGTAGACTTCCTTAAATTTTAATTATTTGTCCAAGATCTGTATATCAACACTCTTTTCAAACAACATCAATTATTATAAAAGATGATACTTTAGGAACACATGACGATATTCCAAGTCTATGTGGCTATCTTTTTTTTTTTTCCAGAGTTCCAGAATTTGGAAGCTGAAAGGAATCTTTGAAACCACCCACTTCAACTCCTACATTTAAGAGATTGGAACTAATAAAAGTTCAATGGCTTGTCTAAGGCTATTAGTTAGCAGTTGGAAAGCCAGTGGGAAATTCTAGATCTCCTGAAAACCAGTTTCATGCTCTTTGCTCTAAAAGCTACACTGAAGAAATCTAAATTACAACCTCAGTTCATTAAAGTAAGTATTAAAGGAGTCTTTGGCTATGACGCAGAGTATAAAAGGAAATACACTTCGTTTCCCTGATTCAACTTCATAAAATTTTCCAAGGAATGTTGGGCTCAAATAGAGGAGATACTATACGTATCTACAAGTAGAAATAATGAAATGAACATCAAGTCTCCAATGAAAAGAAAGGCAAAAGGAGAATTCAACTCCAGATAGAGATTAACAAAACATCCAATTTAAATAAAAACAATTCATGAGGTCTTTTTTTTTTTAGGACCGGAAGAGAAAGAATCATCTTGGCTTGACAATCTTCCAACTGACCTACTGATTTCCATCCCAATGAAGGATTTAATCACGACTTTGCCTGTACATAGAAGACATGGAAAAGGGAATCCTATCATATACCACTGTGGAATGCCTCTAGAAAGAAAGAAAATAAGAAGAGTTCATTTGCAAGCTGGGCACTGAGTCCAACTTCAGCCCGGGGAGAATGCATTTCTTGGTTTTCCTTTTGCACTGTGATGGTTATTTTGACAGGAGAAGTAAAAGGATAACAAGCAGATCTAATCCATATGGACTTGGCAGCCTATTGAGTACAACACAGTATCTATAGGGAAGGAAAGCAAAGCAATCAGAGAGAAAAAATTCGCATTTCTCAGGATTACATGACGGAGAACTATCGGCGCATAACATGTGTCAGACACATTTACAAGCGTGCACGTGCTCACACACATTCAAAGAATATTCCCATCCACTAGAAAACTGGATCAAATGCTGAGGCATTTCTGCTCACTTGAAAATAATTTCCAAGTGAACTTTATGATTCCTTATGAGGTTGACATCTCAGAAGAAAAGATCATTCTATTAAACGTGGGGCAGTCAATTACATGAGGTAGCTGTCTAGACGGTTCTTTCTGTGGCAGTTTAAAGCAGAAGAAAACTCTCAGGAGTAAACTTCACAATGAATTGCTCTGCTTGTGCCAGCGGAGCCTTGTCTGGCTTTAGTCCTGTGATGGATGCTACAGAGGAGGGAGGGAAGAGATGTGGGTGGAGGGAAGAGATGCGGGTGGAGGGAACTGCAGGGATATTAACCGGCTGTATTAGTTTGTTTTCACGCTGCTGATAAAGACATACCAAGACTGGGTAATTTCTAAAGAAAAAAAGGTTTAATGGACTCATACTTCCAAGTGGTTGGGGAGGCCTCACAATCATGGTGGAAGGTGAAAGGCATGGCTTACGTGGCAGCAGGCAAGAGAGAAGGAGAGGCAAGTGAAAGGGTTAACCCTTTATCAGACCATCAGATCTCGTGAGACCTATTCACTACTAGGAGAACTGTATGGGAGAAGCTGCCCCCATGATTCAATTATCTCACACCGGGTTCTTCCCACGACACATGGGAACTGTGGGAGCTACAATTCAAAATGAGATTTGGGTGGGGACACGGCCAAGCCATACCACCAACAGAAGGCAGAAATTGTTACAGCATCAGATTCACACCCCTCCAAAGGAAAAGGGCCAAATCACAGGGCTGTCAGTCTAGCCATTCTCCTACCCAGTCCCAAATGGCCAAGAGATCAGGTCCCAGTTGGATGGTTAGACATCCTTTTCCTTCCCCACAGAACCACACAGCCTGCAGCAGGTCTTCTTTCCTGACTTCGCAACACTCTAAATCCTTGGAATTCGCTGTATTTACTAACCCACTCTCAACAATGAACCTGTTATTCTGACAAGCAAGGAAGAGTAGGAGAGAAGACAGAGTCAAAGAAAAGGGGAGAATCTGTTTTGGGAGACAGACTAACATTGGCTTTGGGGGGACACTAAAGTTCTTCATTGTAAAAGATGTCTCCTCATAATCATGGTCCCTAAATGCAATTAAATGGTGGATAATAATAAAAGTCTCAGAGAGACCTGGGTGCAACATTGGCCCAGAACTTTCTTAATGTGCTATCCTCATTGAGTTAACCAACCTCTGCAGCCCTTATTTCCTCTCTTGTAAAACAGTGATAATGATACCTAATAGAGAGTTGTGAAATTAAGTGTGGAAACACACGTACAACACCTGCTCTAGTTCCTGGCTCACAGTGGATATTTGACAAACACCAAAATTCCTGATTATCACCTCACCCTTGAACTTACTGGCTTCTGAACCTAGTAATTCAATAGGTCCATGTAATATTGATTCTGAGCTTCAAACATGTTACTTTGATACTAAGAAAGTAAATTCTTTACAAGAGGTGACATGGGATTTCCTTCCACTCAGAAGTATAATTTTCTTTATATTGAAATTAAGTAATAACTAATGAACTATTAATGAAGATCTATTTGAATAGCCAAAAATTGGGTGACAATGCCCAAAAGGGAAATATATGTATATACTCAATGACTGAATTGTAATGATTACAACCCAATAGAAACATATTTTCTGTGCTACTAAAGAGACATCCAAAAAGGGATATTTAAAAAACAAAACGAGGTTAATTAGAGATAAGGAAAATAGTGTGAGAACGGGGGAGATCATTTTTGGGGGAGCTACTATGTATACCAGAAACCTATCAGGTTCTTTCACATGTAATATTTTATTCAATCCACATAGTAACACTGAGAAAAATATGGAATCTTCAGTTTTACAGATCAGGAAATCAAGCTTCAAAAACTTGCTAGTTCATGCATAAACCAGGATTTCAATGTAAGTCACTTTGACTCGAAATTTTCCTTCTCCATGTAAATGGAATTTATTTCTGAAATGAATCTTGGTTTATATTTTTCTATATATCCTTCTATAAGATAGTTTCAACATGATTCTGTTAAGATGAAATTATTCTTTCTTAAAAGTTATCCATATAATAATAATCAATTCTGTCTAGATTTCCTAGCCCACAAAAAAAACAAATAAAGGAAATAATCTTAAAATGCCTCAAATTGACAATATTTGAAAAGGAACATGTTTTGCTTCTAGAATGAGGAAAAAGCAAATACGTTTACATTATGTGAAAAGAAAACCTATTTCAAACAAGTTTTAGGTCAGACACAGACATTTCTTGAGTATCAAGGTCAAAACTGTAAAACATGCTCAGCTTCTTAAGAAGTTGACAGCTGTCTCTCTTTGAAGGATTAAATTCAGTCCAGCTTGAATGCATGAATAATTTCATGAGGTGCTTTCTGACTTGTGCACATGCTATAGGACTTAGAGAGTATCTGTAAGTCCTTCAGAAGCAAGGGGCAGCCAATGTCATTTTTTTTCAGGCCACTTGCATATCAACCTTCAGGACTGGGGGTCTAGGGCTAAGAAGATTGCTTAAGATTCTGATCCCCCATAATGGGATGTTAAGAAGCTGCACTTCAGACACCAGAGGATGCACCTGCATAGATATATGTATGGGTTCAACCTTAGGACTCAGAAAAGGATAGCTGTCTCGGGCCTCTTTAGAATAACCTGTATAACCTAGAATAATCCTCTGCATTGGCAGAACCTAGAAAATCATCCACATTGGGACATAAACTACTCAGAACTTCTGGTGACAAAAAGATTCAAGGGGAATTGAGTGAGGCTGGTGGGACATTGAGACTCATGCTGCATTGGCCATTTGTTGGTTGCTTTCTAGATTACAGATTCAAGTTAAATTTAGAAAACACTTTGAGAGATTACAATGTCCCATGTACTGCTGAAACTGGCAAAATGACTAGGAGAAAGGCAAACATAAAAATGTTTACGGGCCGGGCGCGGTGGCTCATGCCTGGAATCCCAGCATTTTGGGAGGCCAAGGCGGGTAGATCACGCAGTCAGGAGTTCAAGACCTGCCTGGCCAACATAGTGAAACCTTGTCTCTACTAAAAATACAAAAAATTAGCCGGGCATGGTGGCAGGCACCTGTAATCCCAGCTACTCAGGAGGCTGAGGCAGGAAAATCACTTGAACCCAGGAGGCAGAGTTTGCAGTGAGTGGAGATTGCGCCACTGTACTCCAGCCTGGGCGACAGTATGAGACTCGTCTCAAAAAAAAAAAAGAAAAGAAAAGAAAAGAAAAGAAAAGAAAAGAAAAGAAAAGAAAAGAAAAGAAAAGAAAAAAACCACACAAAACAAAAACAAAGCAAACAAAAAAACATTTAAGTCTGCAGATTAAGAAAATGCGATCTGTCATATTCTCATGAAGTGTGATGCGCATGGGCAGACCAACCCAATATAAGCCATAGCTCACAGAAGACATAATGTGGGCACAGCATCAACTTCCCAGAACCCTTTCAGGGCTACAATGAGATACTCCTTCATACTCATTAGGATGGGGTGTGATATGTATCTAACTGTAGTTTGCATTTGCATTTCTCTAATGGCTAGTGATATTAACCATCTTTTCATGTGCTTAATGGACATTTGTACATCTTTGGAGAAATATCTATTCAAGTCTTAGACCTAATTTTTAAATTGGGTTTTAAAAACTTGTTACAGTTGAATTAAAGGAGTTTAAAAATACCTTCTGAATGTAAATCCCTTATCAGGTGTACGATTTGCAAATATTTAATCTCACAGTGTGAGTTGCCTTTTCACACTGTTGTTAGTGTCCTTTGACGCATAAAAGTTTTAAATTTTGATGAGGTCCAATTTATCTATTTTTTCTTTTGTCGCCTGTGTTTTGTTGTCATATCTATAAAATCATTGCCAAATTCAATGTCATGAAACTTTTGCCCTGCATTTTCTTCCAAGCATTTTATAGTTTTAGCTCTTATATTTAGATGTTTGATCCATTTTGAATTAATTTTTGTATACGGCATAAGGTAAGCGTTCAGATTTATTTTTTTGCATGTGGATATCTGGTTTTCCCAACAGCAATTGTTGAAAAGATTTTCCTTTCCCAATGGAATGATCTTGGCACTGTTGTTGAAAATAATTTGAGTATTAACTTTTTAAAAAACCATATTCTAAGCAGGCAACTCTGTTAAGCTCATAATAGAGTCTGCCCTCTTTCTTGAAAGAAAATCTCCCCAGGTCTTTATATCCTTTATATCAAAGTATAGATAGCTCAGCAAATATCTGTGGTCCTCCTACCATGGGTTCTGGGATAATAAACACAGACACAATGCTGAACAGAATGGCATCATAGTGCTCAGGTTCACATCGTGAAGGGCAGGACACACACAGACATCCACACTTCAGACCTAACATACTGAGTGCAAGATGAGGAGTTTGCACACATTCTAAGGGAAAACAGCAACACTCTACAGTGCTTATGTTGTAGAAAAGGTATTTCTCAAGTGTAATTGTTAAGCACACTTAGCAAAAGGCAAAACTAAAAAGTAGGAAAAATTTTGAATTTTGTGTTGTCTACCATACGTGTTCTTTGTGCTCTTTTTCTTGCTAGAGAAATCTCCTTGATGCCAAGTGCCCCATAAATTAATTAGGTAAGTAATTAATTAATTAGAGATGGGGTTTTGCTCTTGTTGCCCAGGCTGGAGTGCAATGGCCCGGTCTCGGGTCATGCAACTTCCACCTCCCCATGTTCACGAGATTCTCCTGCCTCACCCTCCTGAGTAGCTGGGATTACAGGCACCTGCCACTACACCCAGCTAATTGTTTGTATTTTTAGTAGAGACAGGGTTTCACCATGTTGGCCAGGCTGGTCTCGAACACCTGACCTCAGGTGATTTGCCTGCCTTGGCCTCCCAAAGTGCTGGGATTACAGGCGTGAGCCACTGTGCCTGGCCTGAGCCACTGCGCTCAGCCAAATGTACCCATTTCAAGTGCACAATTCAACTGAGTGCAGTGGCTGACGCCTATAATCCCAGTACCTTGGAAGTTCCAGGTGGGAGGACTGCTTGAGCCCAGGAGTTTGAGACTAGCCTGGGCAACATTAGGAGACCTCTTATGTCTACAAAATTTTTTTACAGTGGCTGGGTGTGGTGGCACATGCCTGTAGTCCCAGGTACCTGAGAGGCTGAAGCAGGAGGATTGCTTGAGCCCAGGAGTCAGAGGTTGCAGTGAGCTATGATCTTGCCACTGCACTCCAGCCTGGGCGACAGAACGAGACTCCATCTCCAATAAATAAATAAATAAATAAATAAATAAATAAATAAATAAAATAAGATAAAATTAAATAAAATAAAGTACACAATCTAGTGGTTTTTAGCATATTCACAGGCTCGTGCCATCATGGCAGATAATTTTAGATCATCTTTTTCATCCCATAATAAAACTCCATACCCATTAGCCGGGTGTGGTGGTACCTGCCTGTAATCTCGGCTACTAGGGAGGCTAAGGCAGGAGAACTGCTTGAACCAGGGAGACGGAGGTTGCAGTGAGCTGAGATTGTGCCACTGCACTCCCAGCCTGGGTGACAGAGCAAGACTCCGTCTCAAAAAAAAAAAAAAACCCTCCTTGCCCATTAGCAGTTATTCCCCATCTCCTCCTAACCTCCCCAGCTCTAAGAAACCACTAGTGTAGTTTCTCTATCTTTATGGGTTTGCCTATTTGGGACATTTCATATACATGGAATCATGTAACAGGTGGTCCTCTGGCTGGCTTTTTTCCCATAGCGTAATGTTTTTAGGATTACTCCATGTTGTAGCATGTATTAGTATCATTGTTTAGATAGATCTCATTGTGTGTATTAGCTCATCAGTTGATGGACATTTGGGTTGTTTCTACTTTTTGGCAACTATTAATAGTGATGCTGTAAACATTCATGTATGAGTTTTTGTGTGGATTCCATTTGCATTTAAAAAGAAGATGCTTACAGAGGAAGTTCTTTAATTCAAATGACACATATTTCCAGGAGTACAACTTCAACAATATGAAAAAGATCGGGAAATACTTCTTAGTGATATTCCAGCCTCCACAAATCATTCTATAAATGACAACCTTCTAAGCCTGCAACCTTCTGTGCTGTACTTCTTCCAACATCCATCATTCATTTTGCAGATATTATGACTATGTGCCAAACACTGTTGGAAGTAGAGTTACAATGGTGAGTGAGCAGGGTAGACATGGTTCATTCACAGAGCTGAGAGGCACCAAGAAGACTGTTAGGTGAGCAAATACAGTAAGAATTTATATACACTACTGTAAGGCACTTAGATGTAAGGATTTATAAGTCCTTATTATAAGGACTTAGATGGTAATTAGAAGAAAGCTGAAGGCATAGTTGTGATAGGAAAAGGAAAATGCCAATTCAAGTAAGTTCCTTCCTTCCTTCCTTCCTTCCTTCCTTCCTTCCTTCCTTCCTTCCATCCTTCCCTCCCTCCTCCACCCCTCCATCTTTCCTTCCTTCCTTCATCTTTTTTTCTTTTCTAAGACACAGGGTCTCACTATATTGCCCAGGTTAGATCTGAAATCCTGGGCTTAAGCAATCCTCCTGCCTTGGCCTCCCAAGTAGCTGGAACTATAGGCATGCTCCGCCATGCCCAACCCCTAGTGAAAACTTTCTTGCAATAGACTAAGTCATCCAAAACTAATACTAATCTTGATGCATAGTTGAAAGAGACAAAAGGGCTCATCTTCATTTTCTACTTTGAGTCCAAACTCAAATATTTTATAAATGTATAACATGTATGTATCCTCCAGCCACAATTGCTCATAATTTTAAAGATCTCTTAGAAGGAGACACATACCCTCCCCCACTAACTTATCTCCATGTTTAGTAATAGTCATACTCTCTTCTTTTAAATCTATTCCAAGTTGATGTAGGGCAAATGCTTCATTCAGTTAAGAATTTGCCCTCTTAGTTGGTCAGCAAAAGAAATATAGAACAGCTGACATCCATGTGCTTTTAGGAGTTCTTTGCATACTTAACATTAATAACTTATCTCTCAACATTTTTCCACACTGAATTCAAGTTTTGTTTGGCCTGGAAGCCTTATTTTCCCCAACCTTTTAACCATCTTTATGGCTTTTTCAATGTCTCTAATCATTCTTTTACTTGTAGGGATCAGACCAGATCCCTGCTCCACTAAGCCTAAGACCCTGAGCTTAAAACAACGTGCTTTGTTACTTGACCTTGTAGGCCAGCCTATTGATTTTTAGCTTTATACCTACAAGATCTTCTCTTAACTCTCCTTAGAGGGTAGTTGGTCAAGAAAGAACCAACTTACAGGGCTAAGAAAGAAACCCATTTTATACTGCTTTTAGCTCACTACCTGAGTGATGGGATCTCATACCCAAATCTTGGCATCATGAAATATGCCCAGGCAACAAACCTGCACACATACCCCCTGAATCCCAAATAAAAATTGAAATTATGAAAAAGATACGCTTTGAGGAATAAATGTCACTCCCAGATAAACTCAGCATGTAGGCCTTCTAGGCAACCATTCATCATCATAATCCTTACCCATAAAACAGTAAGTACCCTGTGGTGGCTCATGCCTGTAATCCCAGCACTTTGGGAGGCTGAGGTGGGCAGATCACTTGAGGTCAGGAGTTCAAGACCAGCCTGTCCAATATGGCGAGACCCCGTTTTTACTAAAAATACAAAAATTAGCTGGCTGTGGTGGTGGGCGTTTGTAATCCCAGCTACTAGGGAGGAGACTGAGGCAGGAGAATTGCTTGAACCTGGGAGGCAGAGGTTGCAGTGAGCCGAGATCACACCACCCCGCTCCAGCCTGGGTGACAGAGCAAGACTTAGTCTCAAAAAATAACACACACACACAAAACAGTACATACTCTGCCCTGCCCTTCTACCTTTCACGTGACCTTCTACTACATTATTTCTGACTGTGCCTCTAAATAATCATAATCATTTTAACCTCTGATCCTAAATTCCTCCTTCCCTCCTACCCCTGCCACCGACCTGGCCATTTTCTGTGTTTCCTGCCATCTTGCAGGTTATGGAACATTTTGAATGAGCACTGGATCTATTAATGATCACTTTAGAACATTTCTTAATATGACCCTCTTTACCCAGTCCACTATGACCATTTAATTCCTAATTAAACACACTTTACATGTGCTCCAATGAGGCAGCCCCTCCAAGAGCTGTACAGCAAAAAGTAATCATTTCTTTCTGGTCCCACAGGTGTGACTTATGGATACGCATTAGCAACTCTCCTAAAATCAATCTAGGTTACATCTTTCACTTTTCCTCCATCTACTCTGTCACCGAGAGAGGATGCATTAGTCTGACAGGAGTTGCTCTTTTTAAAACCACATTGCTAATACCTGCTACCTTACAGCTTACAAGCCATTTCCAAATTGATGTTGTGATGACACCTGCTACCCCAACCCATCCCAAATTTTCTTCCAGGTCATAAAAGCCTTCAGATTTGTCATTTCAAGGCCATTCTTCACCTCCTGTTACATACAAATGACATCTCGCACCTTTTCTAGTTCTATATTCTCTCTACGCTGGGTGTTCCATGAGGCAATCATTCTAAAGAAATATTTCAGTACCCCTGATAGGCAGGACATGGGTGTCTACAGATTTTAATCCAAAGTCTGCTATAACGGCCTTTTGTCAGCTCTTCTCCTCATTTCTCTTACTCTCCCAACTTCCAGTAAATATTACCAGACTCTTGAAACAAAGAAGTTTTGCTTTGCATGGAAAAGAAAACAGACAACCTGACTACTGATATCACGTGCCGTGACTCACACCTGTAATCCTAGCACTTTGGGAGGCCAAGGAATGTGGATCACCTGAGGTTAGGAGTGCAAGACCAGCCTGGCCAACATGGTGAAACCCCGTCTCTACTAAAAATGCAAAACATCAGCTGGGCATGGTGGCACGCGCCTGTAATCCCAGCTACTCAGGAGGCTGAGGCAGGAGAATTGCTTGAACCCGGGAGGCAGAGGTTACAGTGAGCTGAGATCGCGCCATTGCACTCCAGCCTGGGCAACAAGAGCAAAACTCCCTCTCCAAATAAATAAATAAAACCAACTCCCTCCTCTACCTAATAGAAACGACATTTCCCTGTCCTGTTCTTTCAGATGTATTTAAAGAATGTTTCCCTTGAGGTGTTTTGAAATTTGCTTCTCATTTCCTGCCTGAGCTTTCCTGGCTTGAAGCTGCTGTTTGTCCTTTCTCCTCCTTGGCCCTCTGCCATGCTCTTCGCTTCATTGCAGCATTCTTATTGGCCACCCAGCTATTCAAGCCACGCTTTGTTCATCCTGATGGGTTTTCTCCTACCTTCTCTACCTCATTGCTTCGTTAACTGGAATTTCATTAAGTCATAATTACTACTGCTAGATTCTTGTGACTTCGTCTATTTAATCTCTGCATTGATAGCTGCTTCCTCTTCAACACCTGAAATCTGCTTTCATACATTCAACTTCATTAATGCTGCTGCTTTTTAGCCTTCGAAGATTCTAAGGCATCCTAACATCTTTCATGACCAAATGCTTATCCAACTCCTGCCTTTGCAATATTTAATTTTGGAGAGGGCAATCAGTCTAGTTGATTCTTCTGCTTCCTTCTTTAAAATGTCCTCACTGGCCGGGCATGGTGGCTCATGCCTGTAATCTTAGTACTTAGGGAGGCTGAGGTGGGAGCACTGCTGGAGGCCAGGAGTTCAAGTCCAGCCTAGGCAACACAGGGAGACCCTGTCTCTACAAAAAATAAAAAATTAGCCAGGAGTGATGGTGCTTGCCTGTGGTCCCAGCTACCTGGGAGACCGAGGTGGGAGGATTACTTGGGTTCAGAAGTTCAAGGCTGCAGTGAGCTGTGATCATGCCAATGCACTCCAGCCTGGGCAACACAGTGAGACCCTGTCTCAAAAAATAAAAATAAAAAAATATATATAAGATAAAAATAAAATGTCCTGGCTGGGCACAGTGGCTCACACATATAATCCCAGTACTTTAGGAGGCCAAGGTGGGCAGATTGCTTGAGCCCAAGAGTTCAAGAACAGCCTGAGCAACATGGAAAAACCCATCTCTACAAAAAATTAAAAAATTAGCCTGGTGTGGTGGCATGCACCTGTAGTCCCAGCTACTTGGGGGCTGAGGTGGGAGGATTGCTTGAGCTTGGTAGGAGGAGGTTACAGTGAGCCATGATCACACCACTGTGCTGTAGCCTGGGTGACAGAGCTAGACCCTGTCTCAAAAATAAAAAATGCCCCTACTGTTTCTCTATGAATTTATTTGATTCTATAAGGCAGAAGAGGGCAGCAAGACCCCTGATACCTCCAAGGTCTATGGCTTAGTTAGATGTTCTGGAAGCCTATGTATGGATTCTCTGGAATGACAGATCTATATCAAAAGTGCTTGCAAAGGTTCCTTTTGCTCTAAAATTTTACTTCCAAAACTTACAAACTTTCTGTCTAATGATCTCCTTTTACGTCCTCTTAAATGGCAAACAAACAAACAAAAAATGTCCAAAGGGTAACATAGCCTTGCTTTTCAAGTTTCTACCTATTCTTTTTTTTTTTTTTTTTGAGATGGAGTTTCACTCTAGTTACCTAGGCTGGAGTGCAGTGGTGTGGGCTTGGCTTACTGCAACCTCTGCCTCCTGGGTTCAAGTGATTCTCCTGCCTCAGCCTTCTGAGTAGCTGGGATTACAGGTGCACGCCACCACGCCTGGCTAATTTTTGTATTTTTAGTAGAAACAGGATTTCACCATGTTGGCCAGGCTGGTCTCCAACTCCTGACCTCAGGTGATCAACCTGCCTCGGCCTCCCAAAGTGCTGGGATTACAGGTGTGAGCCACCACGCCCAGCCGTTTCTGCTTATTCTTAAGCAACCCACACTTTTGAATCCTTAGGTAAATTATGCATTAGACAAGTTAAGCAAGTTCTAAGTCAAGAATAGAGATTTTCTTGCCTCCATTTTCCATAATTTCCTATATTTTAGGCAACCCCATAAGACAGTGCTGGCTTTGTGTATATTCCTAGCCTCTTTCCATTATGATTTCTTTGCTAATGGCCACTTCTCCAAACCTGCTCAAGTTCCCAATGGCAGTCTACGAAGAACCAATGATAACTACTCCTTATTGAGTGCCGACACTAGAAGGCAGCCAGGCACTGTACTAAGTACATTACACGATCATATTTAAATGTGAGTAAACCTGGAAAGATGGGTATTTTCATTCCTATCTAACACATAGGAACATCTAGGTTCCGAGTAGTTAAATAACTTCTGATTTACTAAATGCAGGGCTATTCATGCTCAACTTCCCATTGACATACTCCAGGAGAGCGTACATTGCCCCTTTAGGTCTGTAAAGGGTGGATCATGCAATGAGTGATGCACTTATATTTGAAGACAATTTATTTTTCTCCTTTGGCTCTGAAGAAAGGGGAATTTATAATGATTTTACTCTAGAAAAGATTTTGTATTAATTAAGTATAAGCAAATAATTCTTATTTTCCACTGAGCAGCAAGTATATTGTATATATTTACACTATGTATAATATAGTATACATATTTATACTTCTGTTTAAAAAATATATTTATAAACTTATTTATATTTGTACTATTTATATACTATGTATATAAATAGCATATATTTATACTATTTATATACTAGGTACACTATTTATATACTATGTATATACACCATTTATGTACTATGTATAAATATAAACTATGTATATATTTATAGTATATATATACACTCCAGTATAATTATATACTAATTACATAGTATATATTTATACTATTTATATACTATATATTTATACTATTTATATACTATGTATATAGTATATGCTATGTGCTACTTATATACTATGTATATAAACAGCATATGTTTATACTATGCAATATACTACAAATGTGATATGGTATAAATCATAACAATGCTACTGGCGAACCCTATAAAGTTATGTCATCAGTTATGAAAATTGGGAAGACACATGCTGAAGGACAGTGATTCCATATCATGTGTTGCAAATTCACTTAATAAAACTGGGATTCCAGCAGAATGGTAGTAGGTATGGTGTTCAGCTCAGTGCATAGAATCAAACTAAGACAAGCTATAAACAGAAAAGTAAATGTATCTCAAAAAGTATGAGATAAAATTTATATTAATTACATTGTTTGTGAGGATATTTTGCGGTTATAAAAAGGAGAGGAGGAAAGAACCCAGTCCTGAAAATTTGAAAACAATATATCAATTGATCATTTATTCCTAGTAAATAAAAAATACATCATCAACTCTGTTAATAAAGTTGTTTTTAAACTGACTCACTTGTTCCATAGAGCCAATGTTTATGGTTTCTTTTGAAAAAAAAAAACATAAAAACTGATCGCCCCAGTCTTAAAACTTGAGATGGTTACATTTGACTTATCTGAGTTCTTTTCTCAGGAAACCATCAGGCCTCCCAGTTAGCATCAAGAAGCTGACACTCACCAGATCACTGCATCTAAACAATAAATTGTCAGACCCCTCACCCATGATGATGCCTCATTGACCCCCTGCTTCCTGTTGACCAACTCCCCTCCCTTACCTCTCCCTAATTCCTGTTTTCTCACACATAGTTACATTTCTTCCCTGCTACATAACCCCCTAATTTTAGTCAGACAGGGAGATGAATTTGAGACTGATCTCCCATCTCCTTGGCTGCAGCACCTGAATAAAGCTTTCTTCCCCGGCAATACTTGTTGTCTCAGTGATTGGCTTCCTGTTAGGTAAGCAGCAGGACCTAGACCAAACCCCTGGTGTTTCATAAGAGTTTCACTGCTGAGTAGTTCAGCCTGGGTCCCAATCAGGGAGTTACAAGGTCAGACACAGAGATGACATGAATATTTAGCCTCTGGGATAGGGTGAAGCATGACTGCATATAGGAGGTGACCCAGAACATCAGACCCAGAATCCCGGGCCTGGAGAAAATGGGTTAATGATAATGCTCTCTAGAACTAGAGTTTGAATCTTGGCTCTGCCATTTGTTAGCTGTGATCACAGTCAGGCTACTTAAATCCTCTGTGTCTCCATTTTCTTGTCAGTAAAATGGAAATAAAAATAAAACTAGTGGCTCACACCTCTAATCCCAGCACTTTGGGAGGCCAAGGTGAGAGGATCCCTTGAGTCCAGAAGTTTGAGACCAGCTGGAGCAACATAGGGAGACTCCATCTCTACAAAAATACAAAAATTAGCCAGGCATGGTGGCGTGCACCTACTTGGGAGGCTGAGGTGGGAGGATCGCTTCAACCCAGGAGTTTGAGGCTGCAGTGAGCTATGATTGTTCCACTGCACTCTAGCCTGGGCAACAGAACAAGACCCTGTCTCAAAAACAAACAAACAAAAAACTACATATGTCAAAGAGTATTGAAGAGACATTAATACATGTCAGGCACATAGCACTCAATGAGAAATTCCCTTAAATTTATACTTATAGGGGACTTTACATCAATTAATAAAACAGCAAAAACACATTAAAGTCAAATAGGTAGCCATGTTTTAGGAGACATTCTTAAACATTTCACTTAGATAACATAATTGGGCTGGGTATCATAGTGATGGTAACCCAATGAACTTATATTTCTGAAACGTCTGTATTTGGCATCTTACCTTGTGAAGGCAGTGCTCATGAAATGGCTTTCCAAAACACTGACCATACCCAAACTAGTTCTCAACAAAGGATAAGCAATACCAATTTAGAAGACTGCAGCAAGCTTGCATCCATTCTAATATAAATCTAATGAGTTTGCACTTTACATCTTATCTTTCAGAAAACAAATCATACTCAAATATTTTGTGCTGTGTTTTGAAAACACTAAGAAGCAATAATTAAACAAAAGGAAAACCAAAAGTTATGCATAACCAAAAGGTATGCATAAAACACTCTCAATGTAGACAACAATTTACCACCTCTCTCTGCTTAAATTATTAAGCATCATTTACAAATCATAAGTAATTTCATATCATTCGTTTCCCTAATTATCATTAAAATGCCATCCTATTTCCAGTTGTACCTTTCCTATATGTAAGGGTTTTGGGGGTCAGTATTAATTTATATAATTATGAAAGTATCCAAAGGCAATTAAAGTTCCATTTTTCACTGGAAAAACAAGAATGCCACAAACCTTTTGTGGACAGCCCAGTTGAGAAAATAAAAGAAAAAAATAATAACAGAAAAATCCATTTTATTTTTCAGATAATATATGACTGACAAATTGAAAAGCATGACATTTAATAACAGCAGTATTCACATCTATTTGCTTTTGATAACCATGCCTTTCACACCTTTAGATTCAAGAAATGTTAAAGCATACTGGAAAAAAATGAATTATATAACTACAACAGCTATTTTATAAAAGCGCTTTTGTCATTTATTCTCCAACTAGGCTACCACAAATATTTATGTTTCATGAGCTAAACCAAAGTATTTTGCCATCGACTTTAAAAAAAATAGCAAGTTTTTTTTTCATTCTTCCAGGGTGAGGGGGACAAGGAAGCAAATGGAAGTTTTATGATTTAAGTCTTTTTTTTCTATAAGGTGTTAATATCAACATCTTGCATGAAATAAACAATTCTAGGAGAGACAATGATTAAAATGGTAGCCTATGGGAACTTTTACAACTTATCTAACAGTATCAATAGAGATACCGTAGTAATAATGAACGAGCTTGATGAAAAACACAACGAAGTAAAAACTGGAAATGAAGTAAAGTTCTTTTACTTTCCCAAATATGCAAGGCCTTTATAGTGTTGCTTTCTTTTAGACGGTCCTGGAGTGATGGAAACATCACTCCAACCAGGCCTTAGCGGGGCAGGTCCTGTTAACTGGTATACCTAAAACTTAAGGCCTTTGCTGGGGCTCATTTCAGTGTTACTCACAGCATTATAAATATGAAAATAATGTAACTCTCTAAATTATCTAATTTTTCTTACAAAGTCATTGAAGTATTCATTTAGAGAGAGGAGCTTCCTGCTGAATTCTGAAATTGAACTTAGGAGAGAAAATGGCAAATTATTTCTTTATTTTCTTCCCCTTATTGCCCCTCTGAAATGTATGTACATTTCATACATGTCCAGACAGATCCACATGCAAAGCCAAACTTCCACCCCATTACATACCATTCTGTTTTTCCACACTCTGCATTAAGAGCATAATTTTCTCTAATCTTATAGCCAGACCAGACAAATCGGTTATTATAGGATCAACCGGCCACTTGTAATTAGTCATGTCTGAGAAGTTTAAGACAATCTATTCAGAAGGTGGTGCAAAAGGCATTTGAAAAGGTGCTGGTGGCAGAGCTGCCTTAACTATCTGAGACCTTGCTTGCTAGCTCTATACTCTCTCTGGACCTCATCTGTGGGTTGACAGGCTGGAACCAAGATGACCTTCTCACTCTTACTCTTAGGTGCCCGCTCAGGGGCCATACACACCCTTCTTTCTCATTTCATCCTGCTTCCATAATTCCCCCTAATAATTCTGAGTTTCTCCATAATGCCAGGAACTGACGCCTGCAGAGCATTGAACTGCTGCAGCCTGCTTGAGTTTCCCTCCTTGAAATCAAAGAGCTGAGTTCCATACCTGAAAGATAGAAGAAAATCCCCAGTATAACCACTACTGTCAAAGAACTTGCAAATCACTGTCCCACACTTTTGTAACAAGGACATGTTGAAGGAATGAAGACAAGTCAGAAACCCGAGTTTTTGTGTATATATAGTGCTTGTTTCTGGGTGACTATGGATTGTTCTTTGAGAAGTAGAAGTGAGAGTTTCTAGGATTATTTCAAGTAGAGAAGGTGGCAACTGACCGGCACTTTGAGAGTCACCTGCTTACACTTTTTTTCAACTCCTTTTTTAACTCAAGCTCTTCACTGCCAGTATCTAAGGGGTCAAGTTCATGGGCAACCCAAGAAGGCCAGGCTTTTCTAAACAGTCAGTCGCTGAATAGGGGCAAGATTGAGCATTGTTAGGGAAACATGATAACCTCGGGCTCCTATCCAAGAAATCAGCACAACAGCAGTACAAGTTTGCAAGACTTGACAAGACCAGCCCACAGACAAGTATTAACATCACATTTTTAAACAAAACAAAACAGGGTCTAAGATATAATACAAAGATCCCTGAAAAAGCAGGACTATAAAATAACTAATGAGCCATAGTCTAGGGGGAAAAATCCAAGAGTCCTTACTAATACTCTCACCCTGGGTCAATTTATCCATAGTTTCTTTGTTGCTGTGGGTTTTGTTTTGTATGTTTGTTTGTTTGTTTGTTTTGATATGAAGTCTTGCTCTGTTGCCCAGGATGGAGCGCAGTGACAGGATCTTGGCTCACTGCAACCTCTGCCTCCTGGGTTCAAGCAATTCTCCTGCCTTAGCCTCCTCAGTAGCTAGGATTACAGGAGCATGCCACCATGCCTGGCTAATTTTTGTATTTTTAGTGGAGTCAGGGTTTCACCATGTTGGACAGGCTGGTCTTAAACTCCTGACCTCAAGCGATCCACCCACCTTGGCCTCCCGAAGTGCTGGGATTACAGGCGTGAGCCACAGTGCCCGGCCTGTTGCTGTTGTTTTTTGAGACAGGGTCTCACTCTGTTGTCCAGGCTGGAGTGCAGTGGTGTGATCACGGCTTAATGCAGCCTTTACCTCCTGGGCTCAAGCAATCCTCCTGTCTCAGCCTCCGTGGTAGCTGGGACTACAGGCACATGTTACCATGTTTAGCTAATTTAAATTTTTTTTTGTAGAGATGAGGTCTCGCTATACTGCCCAGGCTGGTCTCAAACTCATGACCTCAAGCAATCCTCCCACCTTGGCCTCCCAAATTGCTGGGATTACAGGTGTATTTACAGTGGTTCCTTAGCCTAAGATCTTATGCTTAACTTTATAACATTTTATTATACTTATTATTCTTCCTTTGATTTTTAGAAACATACTATCATTAATTAACTAGGATACATTAACTCTCAGGTACTAAGAAGAAATACGAAAAAAAACCACCCTAAGTTAGTCAAACACACACACACACACACACACACACACACACACACACACACACGAAGAGAAAACATGGGCATTGTCTTCAAATTCCATTTGAATCTAGGGCAGTCTCATTGCTACACAAATTTTTCTTCCAGTGAAAAACATTCAATCAATATCTTCTTCCTTCCTACCCAGCTGGTTTTTACAATGGCATTACAAAGCAGGTGGAATACTAGTAACCAGAAGCCAGAAGCCGATTAGGCTGTTTGCAAACTGCGCTTCACAAATAAAGAACTATTACTGAGAAGTAAAGGTCACTCAAAATGAATTGTATTCAATAAAGAGCATGAGTAGGGACACCAGGCCTTGCTACTGATCCTAGAAAATTCTCTGGAAAAGGAGAATGGATCCCTTTCAGGGATGCCTCATGGCATGGGAGGACTTACTCAAATGAACTGTGGTTTGCCTGATTTGGTTAGCCACTGACGGCACGCAAAAATCTCTCTGTACATACGTATAAATTAAATAGATGCATAGGTCACACCATTAATCCAGTGTTTAACAACATACTCCTGGGCCAGGAGTAACAAGTCCAGGCCCTTGAAGAAACAAAAGGGCTGAAGCCAGGTACACAAATAAAAAGAAGACTGAGAGGTTGAGGTGACAGAATCACTTGAGGTCGGGAGTTCAAGACCATTCTGGGCAACATAGCAAGACTCATCTCTACAAAAACATTTTTTTTTTTTAATTAGCTGGGCATGGTGGTTCATGCCTATAGTCCCAGCTACTCAGGAGGCTGAAGTGGGAAGATTGCTGAGCCCAGGAACTTGAGGCTGTAGTGAGCTACGAGTGTGGCACTGCACTCTAGCCTAGCCGGTAGCCAGTAGAGTGAGACTTTGTCTATAAAAAACAACTGAAAATGAAAATAAAAAGAAATGATCACTTGTAAATTACATTATCAAATCACTCTATCAAACTTCTAAAGAAGTTGTTTTATTCAATCACACGTTGCCAAGATGACAGGTAGTATGGTCCATTCACTCTGCACCTCCCTCTGTCCTATTCATTTCAGTCCTAGCAGATGGGTGTCCACCATCTTCAGGATTCAGATGAGCAGCCCTGCAAGGTGAGACGCAGAATAGAGATGGGGCTTCTTAGAGGCACGAAAGACGTCTACCCACTCTGGGTGGTTTGAAGGAGTGGCTCAAATGGAATTTATTTTTTAAAATAGTTTTTAATTTTTATGGGTACACAGTAGGTGTATATGTTTCAAATGTAATTTAAAGACCTCTCTGGCCCATGTGCACAACCATTTACAGTGTCTGGTATTTCTATCACTGAAACAATTCCTTAGCCAAGTTCATGTACAGGGTCTTTTTCCTTGCTGGTGCTTCCCTGCTCCTCCCAACACTAGTCTTTCTCTTTCCCAGTGCCCAGTTCTCCCATCCTGACACATTGGTTACACCACTTGTGTTTAACTACTTCAGAGATTACCCCGCACCTTAGACCAGAATTGCTGCTGCCCAGGCCGCTACTGCTGACTAACTGGAACTGAATTTCTATGGTGGAGCCCACTCCTCTGTAGATTTGCTTTTTTAAAAATAAATTTCAGGCCAGACATGGTGGCTCACACCTGTAATCCCAGCACTTTGGGAGGCTGAGGCGGGTGGATCACTAGAGGTCAGGAATTCAAGACCAGCCTGGCCAACATGGTAAAACACCATCTCTGCCAAATGATAATAATAATAATTAGTCAGGTGTGATAGCATGCACCTGTGATCCCAGCTACTCAGGAGGCTGAGGTGGGAGAATCGCGTGAACCTGGGAGGTGGAGATTGCAGTGAGCCGAGATCGGGCCACCGCACTCCAGCCTGGGTGACAGAGCGAGACCCTGTCTCAAAAAATAAAATAAAATAAAATAAAATGTCAGTAAAATACACCACAAAATGTACCAACCTAGCCATTTTTGAGCGTCCGGTTCAGTGGCACTAAGTATTTTCATGTTGTTATGTGATCATCACCACCACCCATCTCCAGAACACTTTTCACCTTGCAAAACTGAAACTGCACACCCATTGAACAGTAAATCCCCATCTCCCCTCTCCCAGCCCCTGGCAATCACCATTCTACTTTCTGTCTCTGAATTCGACTACCCTAAGTACTTCATACAAGTGGAATCCTATACTATTTGTCTTTTTGGTGACTGGCTTAGTTCACTGAGCATAATGTCCTCAAGGTTCATCCATTTTGTAGCATGTGTCAGAATTTCCTTCACATTTTATCCATTCTTCCTGGGTTGTGTCCATCCTTTGGCTCCTTTTTTTTCCTTTGAGATGAAGCCTTGCTCTCTGTTACCCAGGCTGGAGTGCAGTGGCGCGATCTTGGCTCACTGCAACCTCTGCCTCCTGGGTTCAAGCAATTCTCCCGCCTCCTGAGTAGCTGGGATTACAGGCATGCACCACTACGCCCAGTTAAGTTTTGTATTTTTAGTAGAGATGGGGTTTTGGTATGTTGGTCAGGCTGGTCTCGAACTCTTGACCTCACGTGATCCATTATGCCCACCTTAGCCTCTCATAGTGCTGGGATTACAGGCATAAGCCACTGTGCCGAGCCTATCCCTTGGCAATTGTGAATAATGCTGCTATGAACGTGGATGTACAAATATCTCAAGTTCCTGCTTTCAATTATTTTGGGTACAGAGAAGTGAAATTGCAGGGTTATATGATAATTCTATTTTTATTTTTTTCTGAGGAACCGCCCCACTGTTTTCCATGGCAGCTGTCCCCTTTCTCTGTAGCATTTTTTTTGTTTTTTTTTTGAGATGGAGTCTCGCTCTGTTGCCCAGGCTGGAGTGCAGTGGTGTGATCTCAGCTCACTGCAAGCTCCACCTCCTGGGTTCACGCCATTCTCCTGCCTCAGCTTCCCAAGTAGCTGGGACTACAGGCACCTGCCACCACACCCGGCTAATTTTGGTTTTGTATTTTTAGTAGAGACAGGGTTTCACTGTGTTAGCCAGGATGGTCTCGATCTCCCGACCTCGTGATCCGCCCGCCTCAGCCTCCCAAAGTGCTGGGATTACAAGTATGAGCCACTGAGCCCGGCCTCTCTGTAGCTTTTAAGATGTTCTTAGGTGACTTATGAGAATGAAAAAATGGAGAATTTTCCGTCTTCCTGCCATGAAATCAATTAATGGCAATTGCTACTGAAAGCTGTTCTGTTTTTAAACAGTAAAAATGACAGTGTTTTCTCAGCCAACAGGAAGTGCTGATTATTCTGATAAATGGATAGATAGGTGCTGTGGTGCTATGAACACTGCCCCAAGGCAATATTTATAGTATAATAGGGGCCTCCTGAAGATAAATAATACTCTAACCAAAAAGGAATAGAAATTGCAAACCAGGATTAGGAGAAATTTAAATGAACTTTATGCTTTTGAGTCACACTTTAAAAACAGCACTCCCAGCCCAAGATCTAAATTCTTAATTGTTCACAACAGACTGCGGAGAAAGTAATCAGCATCAGGCACACAAGTTATATTTGTGATTAGCCATTCTATGTCTGATTTGTGGCTTTTGGGTGGATGGGTACCAATTTATTTTTCCTCTACAGATCTCCATGCATGAAGTGTAATTAGAAATTTGTTTGCATTTTCTGTGGTGTGGAATTAAAAATATAATCTCCTTGGAGTCTTGGAATAGGATGCTTTCCTTGTCCTTTATTTTTTCTTCAAAATAAAAATTTAATAGATGCCAAAGAGCATTTCATATCATACATATAATTCCACTGATTCCATCCACTTTTACCTAATGAAACAACCAGTTACTAGACGATGGTAATTGCAAAAAAAATTTGGGAGTTTTATATGCTAATTATGCCACCTTTGGGTTTTGTCACAGTATTGTATCATTCATGCGGGTTTTAGTTATCTCATGGAAACATTTTCCCGAATGTAGGGTTAACAAAGCTAGATATATGAACTTCCTTGCAGGTAAATTAATTCCAATAAATGTCAAGAGGCTTAAAGTGCTTTGGCAAAGACTTGTGGATTTAATGCTGGCTTGTTAAAACTATGGTTCTGAATACAAGCAGGGCCACACCCCACCAGTGAAAAGCTCCTTTCAAGGGCCAGTTGTTGGGGTCTTGCATAAGTGCGTTGCTAAGGCGCACCCCTGGGGTGGTCTTCAAGGCTTGAGCCAGTGTGAAATTCTCACACTATCCACCAGGGTGCGCTCTAGCCCCCGGGCCTCTTCTACCTCTTGCTCTACGTGCACGTGGCCTTGGCCTCTCCTAACTCCCCAACCATGCAAGCTGTATAGATTATTTTTCTGACTTCTCGCCTATGCCAATTTCATCTCTTAGGTGTAATCATATTTTCCTTGCTGTTCACAGACAGTACATCAATTTTTCCCTGTGTCTCTAGTCTCCCTTTAGAATCTCCTTTCCAAAGCCATCCCCTGCCTTTTTTTTTTTTTTTTTTTTTTTTTTTTTTGAGACAACGTCTCGCTCTGTCACCCAGGCTGGAGTGTAGTGGCATGATTTCAGCTCACTGCAACCTCTGCCTCCTGGGTTCAAGGGATTCTCATGCCTCAGCCTCCTGAGTAGCTGGGATTAGACATGCACCACCACACCTAGCTAATTTTTGTATTTTTAGTAGAGACGGTGTTTCGCCATGTTGGCCACACTGGTCTCGAACTCCTGACCTCAGGTGATCTGCCCGCCTCGGCCTCCCAAAGTGTTGGGATTACAGGCGTGAGCCACCACGCCCGGCCCCAAAGCGCTTCTTCAGCTGTCCCTCCTAGATGTTCTCTGTGAAGCTCTTCTCTGCTGTCTCCACCTCCTGTGCCCTCCACCTGAACTCATCCACTCCCATGACTACTGCTGCCACTCTACCTGCAGCTCCCAAACCGTGCACCCAGGTGTCCTGGATGGGATGCCACAGCGAACTCACAGAGGCACTGAGGGATATTTTAACTTTTTGAGGGAAACACAGCAATACTTGTTACACACTGGGCTAATGATTCACTTCAGGTAGTTCACAGTTTCAACATTAGATCATAAGCATTCTTCTTGTTGATGTCATTTTTGCAACATGAGGTTTTCAGAGGTTGCTGGGATTAAAATGCCAGTACTGCAGAAAAATCAAAGCGGAATAGGAAATGTTGTCCAATCTGATTCCAAGGTCAGGGGAGTTGTGCGGTGCCCAACAGGTGCACACATCCCACTGGTAATTGTAGAAGGCGGAGTTCTCCAGATAAGAGAGGGGGAGGTGTGCGTATACGTGTGTATTCAAGAGAAAACCAGAAAGAGAGAGAGTGATGATTTTAAGGAACTGACTAACATGATTGTGGGGGATGGCAAATCCACAATCTGCTGGGAAGGTCAGCAGGATGGAGACCTAAGGTAGAGTTGATGCTGCAGCTCAAGTTCAAGGACAGTCTAGAGGCAGAATTCCCTCCTCCTCAAGGAAACCTCAGCCTGTTTCAGTCTGTTTTCTCTTGTGGCCTTCAACTTATTGAATGAGGCCTTCCACAGTATAGAAGATAATCTGCTTTACTCAATCAGTCTGTCTGTCTGTCTATCTGTCTATCTATCTATCTACCTACCTATTCATCTATCTATACATCCATCTATCCATCTATCTATCTATCCATCTATCTATCATCTACCTACCTACCTACCTCTCTAATCTAATCTATCTCTATCTAATTATCTATCTAATTATTTAGAGACAGGTTCTGCTATATTGCCCAGGGTGGTCTCAAACTCCTAGCCTCAAGTGATCTTCCTGCCTCCGCTTCCCAAAGTGCTGGGATTGCAGGCATGAGCCACTGCACCCAGAAAACTTACCTATTTAAATGTTAATCTCATCTAAAAAACAAACCTTCACAGCAATACCCAGTCAGGGGTTTGACCAAATATCTAGGCCCCATGCCCTACGCACGTTGATGCATAAAACCAGCCATCACCTAAAAATGAAAAAATACATCTTTTCTTTTGAATTGATGTGATTGTATTTTCAATTGGCCACTAAATTGTTAGGTCATAAATAATTACTAAGTTGTTTGGGCTTTACTACTTAATAAACGGAGCTGTTAGCTGTTTCTTTTAGTCTACAGGAATGCCGTGAACAGAGAAAGCCTAAGAACCTTTAACCTGTACACTGATGGCTGCAGCCCAGATTGTATTCTGGAGTTCCAGACATGCATATTCTACATACATGCCAATATACATGTATATTCTAAAGAAAAGAATTCCCAGTTTCCCTACCTCAGAGGTTCCACACTACATTTCTTAGATCTTCCACCAAACCTATTATCAACTTGATTTCCAGCAATGTATTTTCCTCATCACCCCTTGTCCTCATTGCCAACCCCATCGTGACACTCCTTTGAAGGTCTGGGTAATGGCTTTCACCTGTGTCATATTTGGCCATAAAAATAAAATTAAGCTGGGTGTGGTGGTGCACACCTCCAGTCCCAGCTACTCAGGAGGCTGAGGTGGGGGAATCGCTTGAGTCCGGAAATTTGAGACCAGCCTGGGCGACATAGCAGGACCCTGGCTGAAAAATAAATAAATAAATAAAAAGTAACAAAATAAAATTAAATGCGGACAAAAGACCCTTGTCACAAATGATGGGTTTATTTATGTATCAGCACTAGATATTAGGTATACATTGAACATAACATAATCAATCATTTCTGCTCTCATATACAGTTTTGGACAAGAAACTACATGAAAATCTATAGGCTGACATACATTGCAGTATTTTTGGTATAAGAATTTCCCCACATGGCCAACGTTTATAATAATTTATAATTCTAGCCTTTTCTAGACTACACAATCTCACCAGCGCCCCCCACACACTCAGCGTAAACATAACCTGATTTTTTCCAACACTATTACTAAAAATAAAAAGACCACACACTGAGCGTCTCTCAGTATCCTCAGAACCATTTGAACAGGCAGTTTTCATTCCATTCAAAGCCTTCAGAAAATTAGCCTTTCTCCATAGAAGACCACAGAATGCTGAGGCCAAAAGAGATATGTAGGCATCTAATCTCTGGCTCGGAAATATATTCTTCTTATTATTTTAAATTTTAGCTGCAAAGCCTCCTTCCTGATAGATACAAATGGTGACACCTTGGATGAAGGACAGAGGACAGAAATGGGATGGGGTATCCTGTAGTCTCAGCCCCCATTCAGATAGAACACAGAGTCACCAAAGTGTCTGTATCTGTGGATGAGGACAATGAAACACATTCTACAACCATTTTCGTGTTCCTAGTAGGGGTGTGTCAGGAGTTGATCGAGTCCACTAGGGGTGGACATGGGTCACTGGGGAACAAGTCCACTCTACGATGCAAAATAGGTTCAGGGGCATTCAGAATGCCAACAACTTAATACTTTGAAATGATGAAGTTCATGGCCAAATCCATTGCCCCCATGCAGGTTGACAACTCATCCTGGTTTGTCCAGGCCTTTCTCAGTTTTAAAATTGAAAGTCACACATCCTAGGAACTCCTTCCATGCCTGCAAACTGGGACAGGACAGTTAGATAACACCATCCCTCTGCCCTTAAACACACACATAATACTATATAACAGTTCCTGCTGCCAATGGATCTCACTTTGAAGGGACTCAAATCACAGTAATTTAACAACTGATGAACAGCTCGGATTGTAGAATACCTGTTGGAGTACACACAGCACCTGAAGCAGGTGAGCGGACCCTGATGTTTCATATATTATCAGGATACATACTGAACACATTGAAGACCAGTGGCAGGTGCTATAGACTGGGCTCCACAATGCATCTCTTAGGTAGAAACAGATGCCTAAAGTGTTCGAAGACAGCATTTTCAGCTTAGCAGGGAACTACCCTTTATAATCAATTATACTGGCTGTCTTTAAAAAGCTCCTTGGATTCCCCCCCCCCATTAGATAAAATAAAGATAAACTTTCATCCAGTCACTGATAAAATGATCCAAAGTTAAAGTCATCACAAAAAACAAAATGTAGGAAGTATAAACTGATACATTCCCATTCTGGCAACAAATTTATGATGACTTCCATTAGTGGATTCTGCACATATTTTTTTTTTCTTGTTTTGTTTTGAAACAAGGTCTTGCTCTGTTGCCTAGGCTAGCATGCAGTGGCACGATCACAGCTCGCGGCAGCCTTGACTTCGATCCTCCTGCCTCAAGCCATCCTCTTGCCTCAGCCTCCCAAAGTGCTGGGATTACAGGTGTGGGCCACCACTCCTGGCCTAGATATTGCATTTGAAAGCACCCTAAGGCTCAGAACCTAGCAACGGGAGGTCCGGTTGATGGGCTATGTCAAGAAGTAACCTCCTGAAGGAGGCTTCGTGGACACAGGACTGAGTCCTCGCACTTCAAAAACACAAAATTGCTGTTTGTGCAATTAGTCAAAGTCCTACTTCCTTCCTTGCAGACAGTGCCAACACTCGGTATCACTCTCCAGAAAACAGGCAGGGAAGTGTATAGTGTACTTAGAGGGTTTCCCTTTCTGAAGCGGGAGATCATTCTGTGAAATTTGGGCTCCTTTTTACCTTTGAAAAAATTCACTCTAGGCCCCCAGTTCCATCTTCCTTTTCTTTTGGGTGTAGCAGCGTTGATTTTCTGCAGGTATTTTGAACATCAGCAGCTGAGGCAACTGAACATGTTTCTGTGCTGTCTTGCACCCACTTCTCTTTGGAAGCTTCCTATGTATTACTGCACACCTTTTCCATGCCTCCTCTGTCCTCCGCTTCAACCTTCCAGAGATGCTCCAGGGTATCAGTGGGTCCCATGGAAGACTGTCTGAACCAAGACAAGATAAGATGGAAAGCCTCCCGAAAGACATGGGTAGGTTCTTAGATGAACAATGGGTTTATTTTATTATTTTATTATTATTATTTTTTTTTCGAGACAGTCTCGCTCTGTCGCCCAGGCTGGAGTGCAGCGGCGCTATCTCAGTTCACTGCAAGCTCTGCCTCCTGGGTTCACGCCATTCTCCTGCCTCAGCCTCCTGAGTAGCTGGGACTACAGGGGCCTGCCACCACGCCCGGCTGATTTTTTTTGTATTTTTAGTAGAGATGGGGTTTCACTGTGTTAGCCAGGATGGTCTCAATCTCCTGACAATCATGATCCTCCTGCCTCGGCCTCCCAAAGTGCTGGGATTACAGGCGTGAGCCACTGCACCCGGCCAATATGTATATTTTGCAGATCACAGATACCATTAGATTTCACATCTGAACCTCCATCAACAACCATGGAAATTAGTTAAAGCTGTAGGGGGGTTTATAGAAACACAAGGCAAATCACAGGCTCCCCTGCCTGTTTTCTACAGTTATAACATGCGTGAGCACATGTACACGTGTGCACACACAGACACCATACATGCATACACACATGAATACCCTCCCTCATTTAGGAAACTGCTAAAGTGCTACCTTGGACAGATGACACAACTGTGCTGAGCTGAGGGGTTATTCTTCTGAGAAATGGTCCTTCTCTGCCCCTAAGTCTCCCGCATGTTGTCAAGATGCTTAAATTTTAGGCAGAAATCTTACCATGGACTAACAGGGCTGGTACTTCAAAGACATGTGGTTGGTTCTATTTATTTTGTAATATGTAAACAGAGCTACAGTAGGCATTGGACAGGAGTTAAGGCAATAGGACTTATTTTTTAAACGAAGGTACAGAATAACAGGTATTTTTGAAGCTCTCTTGGTAAGGATTAAGTCATCTTTCAAGGGTAAATAAGGTTGACTTCATCATTCAAGAAGGATGTTCAGTCAGGAGTTCAAGACCAACCTGACCAACATAGAGAAACCCCATCTCTACTAAAAATACAAAAATTAGCTGGGCGCGGTGGTGGGCACTGGTAATCCCAGCTACTCGGGAGGCTGAGGCAGGAGAATCACTTGAGCCCGGGAGGTGGAAGTTGCAGTGAGCCGAGATTGCACCACTGCACTCCAGCCTGGGTGACAGAGTGAGACTCAAAAAAAAAAAAAAAAAAAACAACCAGATGGATGTTCACCAAAACCATGCAGTCTTACAAAGCAAGAATCAGCTCCAAAATCCAATCATGGCCTGTAATTTTTTGGTGTTGGATGAAAAAAACATTCAATCAAAGGATCACCTCTCTCAAGGTGGTTTCACCAGCTTTCTGCAATCTATAAACACTCAAAATAAACACATCTCTGCAGGTGGTATCCCCAAAAAGCACAACAGTCATTATCTAAAACCATCCCCCTCTGCAGAAGGACATCCCGCGTGAAAATACACAAGAGTTTCCTACAAACTGTATACAGAAAAACTCCATCTGGCGCTAACCCCGGGCAGCTTTACCAACACAGCCCATTAATATTTCCGCAGTCACATCCCTTTGCTCTTAATTGGACTGTTGATGGGTCCCGTGCTCTGCTAATGGGCTCTTCTGAACACAGCCCGGCTGCTCACTCGAAATAAGAACATTTAATCGCCAGGCTACTCTCCTCAAGCCTACCAGTAAGAGCACTTTGTCACGTCAGTGTTTGTGGAACAAATAAAAATACAATCTCACTGTTATCTCTGTTGGCAATGAGGGCTCCTGTCATTGTCCTCAAAGAGACACAGATAAGGGTACCCACCCAGGCTCCCTAAAAATCAATAACTGAACTGCAAAATACGTCCCGCTCTACTGTTGATTTGCATTCAGCAGTTAACTGGAAGAGATCGCGGTGAGGAGAGAGAAGGATACCATCAGTGACGCTAAATTTCCCTTCATGTCTTATTAAATAAAAGTATCTTTCATGAACTTCCATATCTGAGGTTCTTAATAGTAGTGTATTCTTAAATATCTATTATTTATTTATTTTTGAGACAGAATTGCTCATTGAGTCCTATGTGCTTGGCATGTATTAAGGCCTTCCAATACCTCTTAAGATATGTAGGGTTTTGTTTGTTTGAGACAAGGATGTGCGCTGTCACCTAGGCTGGATTGCAGTGGCACAATCAAGGCTCCCTGCAGCCCAGACCTCCTCAGTCTCAAGTGATCCTCCCACCTCAGCCTCCTGAGTAGCTGGGACCACAGGTCTGCACCATCACACCCAGCTAATTTTTATTTTTTTGTAGAGATGGGGTCCCACTATATTGCCCAGGCTGGTCTCGAACTCCTGGACTCAAGCAATCCTCCCTCTCATCCTCCCAAAATGTTGGGATTACAGACATGAGCCGCCATGCCCACCTTTTTTTTGTTTGGTTTTGAAATGGAGTCTCATTCTGTCACCAGGCTGGAGTGCAGTGGCACAATCCTGGCTCACTGCAACCTCCGCTTCCCAGGTTCAAGGAATTCTCCTGCCTCAGCCTCCCGAGCAGCTGGGATTACAGGCATGCGCCACCACGCCCAGCTAATTTTTGTATTTCTTTTCGTAGAGACGAGGTTTTACCATCTTGCCCAGGCTGATCTCGAACTCCTGACCTCAGGTGATTCGGCCGCCTTGGCCTCCCAAAGTGCTGGGATTATAGGCGTGAGCCACTGTGCCTGGCCCCAGCCTTTTTTTTTTTTTTTTTTAAATCTATGACATGAAGTTCCACTTTAACCTTCCTGCAGTAGAAAAACACATTGAGGCTTCCGGCCATGTCTGTGTATATCTGTTTTTCCTGAATGACTTTGAGCTGGCCCCTCGTTAGCTGGGCTCCTCTCCGTCCTGCCCTTGTGCTGAAAGGCTCAGGGAGAGAGCAGGCATCTCGGGTGTGAGTGGCACCTCCTCTGAAGGAGGAAGCCCAGATCCTACAAATAAACTGTGATGACATTGCCTGCTTCTCCTCGGGTCACCTTATGTATCCAGAGAATCTAACACCAGCACAGGGAGGAAAATAAAATTCCACCTCGAGGAAAGTCCACTTTGTAGAGCAGAGAGCATCTCATCAATGGGCCACAGAGTTCATGAGTCTTACAAAAAAGCCAGCTATACTCTTGCCCTCTCAGTTCTGCTGAACAAAGCCCAGGTGCCACCTGCCAAGTCCTTCTCTTTTCAAGCCTACAAGAAGCCCCTTCCTATTCTAACGGCACTTCTTTTTCACCCGCAGAGGATAAAAAGGAGACTTTTTTTTCCCAAGAAAGCCTTTGTCCCCCCAGATGACAAAAAGTTCCCACAGGCCCCTGACCCTCGTGAGATACAAGAAACCCCAGCTCAAATGCAGAGGTCACTGCAGTACCGCCCAGCATGGGAGCAGTCCTCAGGGTTGGAATGTGATTACCTCCAGCAATAAGTAGAAAAAGTTGCATAGAGCTGTAACTATCGGCTAAGAAAAAGCAATGTGGTCACATCATTGATTCACTTACATAGCTGCTCGGTCATTACTCCTTGGGTCTTTTTCCTCCCTTATCACCATATCCCTAGCAAATATTAGAGAGCACACAATGGGTAGCCAAACATCGCTGATTCCTTCAACCAATACTTACTACTTGACTCCTGTGTCAAGTCAATGTGTGCAGCTCAGAGACAAGCCCAGCGAGGACCCGTTCACCACCCTCAAGACACTTCAACCACGGCAGAGTAGCTGGCAAAAGAAAGGTCCTTTGCTTAACCCTCCAAATATCAACCAGTCTCGATTGTTCTCCAAGGTGTCACAGGACACAGGCTGGGAACTAACACATGTCCGATCCTGAGGTTGCATCACGTGTGCAGAACACAAAGCCTTTAATTCAGGGGCAATTCTAGATCACCTCCTACGGCCTGGGGTCCACTGTTAGGAGTTCTGGCATTGGGGAAAACAGCAGTTTTGACTTCAAGGAGAACCCTGATGGACATTTAAATTAATAGTAACTGACATTTAAATATTTGGCAATCTTCATTTTTTTGCTTTGTTTTGTTTTGTTTGAGACAGGGTCTCACTCTCTTGCCCAGGTTGGAGTGCAGTGGTACAATCTTGGCTCACTGCAACCTCAACCTCTTCAGGCTCACGTGATCCTCCAACCTCAGCCTCTCAAATAGCTAGGACTACAGGTGTGCACCACCACACTTGGCTAATTGTTGCATTTTTTGTAGAGATGGGTTTTCACCAAGTTGCCCAGGCTGGTCTCCAACTCCTGGGCTCAAGTGATCCACGTGCCTCGGCCACCTAAAGTGCTGGGATTACAGGCATGAGACACCACACCCAGCCTATATTCAATTATATGTGCCCTGCCTTGGAAAAGGGACTGAGTGTTAGAGGCACACCTGGAGCAAGGTCCCTGAACTCCATGGAACTCCACTGGGTTCTGTTGATCTTGCTTAAAAATGTAGAGGCTAGAGATGGGGGAGTGGTGTGTAATTTGTGATTTCAAACTCTAAAATATATAACTTTTGTTTCCTGAAAACTGAGAAAGTTTTACTAAAACTTTGCAAGAAAATAAAAACTCTGGGGTTCTACCCCAGGTGGCTCTCCCATTTTCAACTCATCTTTGTTCCTAAGGCTTTAGTCACTCAGAGTCGTGGTCATTCATCTTATCCTGGCAGGGTGGCCTTAGGCATGTTACTCCACCAGCTTCGGTTTCCTTCTCTGCAAACTGCAGATAATAGCACTTACCTCATCGAGTTGTTGTGAAGATGAAATGAATTACACACATAAAGAGTTTACAGCGCTACCTGGTGCCTGGTAAAAGCAAAATGAATGCTAGTGGCCGTTCTTCCTGTTTCATGGAGTTGTTGGACAGCCATTTGTTTGGTAGATTAATAAAACACATTTCCAGGATATTAAAAATACTTCTCCTGCTTAATATCTAATTTAGAAGAACTAGAGGGGAGTCAAGAAAAAAAGCAGAGAAATAACGTTGCCAAAACTCAGGAGGTGATAGCACCAACACGTGAGAAACTAGTTAGGACATGATCTCTTTGCCATAATTTTCCTTTGGGAAAGTATTTTAAAAAGAAAGACCAGTTATTCACATTTTACAGGTGCAAATAACAATTATTGCACTGCTCATAAAGTTTAAGGACAATAGGTTATATCCTAAGAAGCCCCTCTTTGTGGTAGCAGAGTGTTGCAGGGAAATTCTACACATCAGGGTGGAAATTAACCAGGGAAGAGCCACCCTGTGCTGGGTGCACGCAAGATGGATTACCTGCATTAACTGCCTTCATTCTCTCCTTTTAGGAGATGCACATTATCCTCATCATATAGATGAGGAAGGAGGGAACCAGAGGTTACTTAATTTGGCTCAGGATCACACACTATGTGGTAAACCTTGATTCACACTCAGGTCAGCTGGACTCAAGACTACGATGATTTTGTAAATTTCTGCCAATGTTGAAGAAACTGTGTTCGGTGGGTTCTGGGATGTAAAAGGGTATGACGCAGAGGGTTCCACAGTCAAATACAATAGGGGAACACTGAGTAAAAGAAAGGTTAAAGGGGTTCACTTCATTGCAGGTCTTTACAGAGACTTTGGTATACAAACGTACACTGTGATCCCACAGTCAGATATAGTGTGCAACATTTGTAAGAACATGGAAGCCCGTGTGTGTGTGTGTGTGTGTGTGTGTGTGCGCGCGCGCGTGCGCGCGCCTATTTGTCATGGTCTACTGGTCTACACAATACAGTTTGAAAGACCCCATCCTCATACCATATCACATCCCCCATCATATTGATGGCATGCTCCTTACCCTCAGAACTGGATTTCATTGTTTTCTTCCACTCACTCACCCTTCCTCTCTCTCTCCCTCCTTCCCTCCCTCCCTCCCTCCCTTCCTTCCTTCCTTTTTTTTTTTTTTTTTTTGACAGAGTCTTGCTCTGTCACCCAGGCTGCAGTGCAGTGGTGTGATCTCAGCTCACTGCAACCTCCGCCTCCTGGGTTCAAGTGATCCTCCGACCTCAGCCTCCCAAGTAGCTGGGATTACAGGCATTAGCCACCATGCCTAGCTAATTTTTGAAATTTTAGTAGAGACAGCATTTCACCATGTTGGCCAGGCTGGTCTCAAACTCCTCACCTCAACTGATCTAGCCACCTCGGACTCCCAAAGTGCTGGGATTAGAGGCATGAGCCACTGTGCCCAGCCACCAATGCCATTCATTCATTCATTCCAACAAATACGTTATGCCAGTCATTGCATCAAGTAGAAGGGACACAGGAAACGAAGGGGTCATGGACATCAGCTGACACTTGTCAGATGCAACCAAGAACTTATGTTGGAGCCTTACTTCTTAGGGAGAATAACAAGGGAGATTAAAGAAGAGTTTGTGGATGTTTATGATGGATACGCACAGGTTTTTCTGGCTGGATTCAATGGCTTTGTTCCTTTAAAGAGAACAAAAGACAAAGCTCAGAGCCCGTGTCTGAATTAAACCCTAAGAAGGCTGATGGCCTGCCTTCTTCTCCATTCAGTGGACCTTGCCTTGTTCTAAAAGGGCAGAGGGGATTGCCTGCAATTTAGAAACTGGCCTTCGTCCAGTTGTCCAGACCACCCTATTACTGTTTAACTGCAGTCCATTATGTTACCTCCAATTCCTTTGATTTCTTTCCAATCCAAATTCCCCCTTCCTGGGGTAACTGTTGACGGTCTAGCCAGCATATTATCTAACAGCATATGGAATGTGGAACGGTATATCCTTACGAGGGCTGCACACATTCCTTTTCCAGGTTCCATTCTGAAACACATGTGCTATCAGTTAGCACAGGAGGCTGAAAAGGGACACAGCTAAGGAAATGATGGGAAAGAGGAGCTGAGAGAATTCCAAAGCAAGGCTCCTTCCACAGCTTAGCAATAGAGTGGGTACCATGGTACCTACTCAACAATTGTTACACGTAAGAACAAATAAGTTAAATTGGTTTATTGCACTCAATTATCTTAGGCTATATTTTTCTTTTATAATTTTAAACATAATCAGTTCATTCAATGTGGCTCCAGAAATCAAAAGCTTTCTATGGCTCAGGCAGAGACCCCATGACTCGGGCAGTGACCCAACATTCCTTTGTTTCTCTCCATCGCAAAGCACTCAGCAGTTATTTTGGCAGCTATGCGGGAGTTTTGCCTCCACAATGAATGGCATGCCTGCTCTAGCATGCTGGGTGGAGATGAACACCATTCTTTTTTCTTTTCCAGTTCTTTTCTTTTTTTTGAGACAAGGTCTCACTCTGTCACCAAGGCTAAGTGCAGTAGCACAATCACGGCTCAATGTAGCCCCGACCTCTTACGCTCAAGCAATCCTCCAGCCTCAGCCTCTCATGTAGCTGGGACTACAGGCATGTTGCCACTATGCCTGGCTAATATTTTTTTTTTTTTTTTTGGAGAGATGGGGTCTCATTATGTGGTCCAGGCTGGTCTCAAACTCCTGGATTCAAGTGATCCTTCCACTTTGACCTCCCAAAGCGCTGGGATTATAAGCATGAGCTACCATGCCCAGCCAATCATTAAGTCTTGATGGGAAGAAGGGCATGAAGGGAGTGAAGGGTCAAGAAGTGTGTACACGAAGGCTGTTTCCACAGCGCCAAAGCACTTGGCCAGGTTTGCTGGTGGGAAGCTTAACACAGGAAATAATAGCAGTCACAGCCACATCTTTCAATGATTAATAACACCCACTATCAGTCCTTCTCTGCTCATGAACACAAGCTTTATAACATAAGAGCTCTTGAGAAGGAGCTCAACCCGGAGCTAAGAAAAAAGGAGAAATCATATTCGCAAGTCAGTCAAGGTTTCCAAAAGTAGACTTGCCAAGAACTTTGAAAAATCTAAAAGCTATCCAGTATTTTGGAAGAAATGCATCTATTTTCAGAATACAGGACCTCAAGGAACCTTCTGTGATGGAGGAATAAAATAAACTAAGACCTTCAGGAGAAATACTGACGTGAAAGCTGCTGCATTGTAATTAAACGGCTACAGTCTAAAAACTGGGAGAACAATAGAAATCAGAGTATAAGCAGCTTTGCTAACTAATGCCCGGCAGGTAGCCGTCATTTCTTGCCGTGTGAATGAACAATAGACAAGTAGAATGTAAAATGCAAGTGATCAAGAGGTGAAGACCTTCCAAATATATGACAAGAGGAGGAGCAGATACTAAGACAGTTATGTCAGTGAGAACAGAAACATCACATTCCAAACTGTGAAAGACACGATGTCCCTTTGAAGAATACCAACAGAGAACAAGCAGTGAAAGGGGACACTTGGCTTCTGGGCTACTGACTAAAGCTGAGTTATTTTTATCACTTGGAAGATGCTGCTGCTGTTGAAAGTATTACTTCTCATGCACATACGTGATGTGTATCCAGCCTTCCCTGACACTTTCTATGGCTTCAGAGAATAACTCCCGCTCCAGAAAGACAGCTGCCCGCAAGTCACTCAGACTTACCAGGTGGCCAGGGAGTCACCCTTAAAAACCATGCTTGAGCACCTGGGGTTGTAAAGAGAATTCATGAGTGCAGGATTTCTCATTGTTCCGTGATATTGTTCAGGAACCCCTATTGCTGGTAAGAGTAGCCTGTTGGGTTTCTTATAGTAGTGTCTAGGTTTGGGGCAAAACGATGAATTACTTAAAGTCCTAAAGATTTCACAAGTGTTGCATAATATTAGGAACAGATCATGCACAGAACCATGTACAAAGGTGTGAATTATTGGTGATTTGGGAAAGCCAGAACCTGCAGTCATCTTCTATGATGACTGATTTCCAAGTTGGTTGCTGTGGGTATTAACAGTAGAAAGGACATTTTGTTAAAATGTTCTCATAGACACCATTTGTTAATGCCTGAAGAGTGATCAAATAGCATGTATATTTTCTGATAAAACAAAAAGATATATTTTTCTTGGACATTTACCAGTTGGTGAGTCAGGAAATGTTAATAAGAGACTAACTCAACCAGAATTTGAATATAACTCTCTTCTTTTTTAACTCTGACGTCAATAGTAAGACCATTGGTACCACAGAGACTCAATCCCAGCATGGTTTCCCTTGTTGACCATTTTCTCTCCTTGCTCTATTTCCTCTCCTGGGCGATCTCTTTCTCTTTCCTAATGAGATGTTGATGACTTCTAAACATGTTCTTCCAGGCTGAGGTCTCTGCTGAGCCCCAGAACTGTATTCCCAGCTGCTTAATGGATGACCCCTGGGCTCCACAAAGATGACACGTCCTGACAGAACTATGGTCCCATTCAACCTCAACCTAATCCCACCTGCTCCTCATGCTAGAATGACATCACCATTCATCCAAGTAGATGTTGTAATCCTACAAGTAAGACGTAACAGTTACAGAAACATAACGTAGCTAACTAACTCCATCTTGCTTCTAACCGCTCAAGCTGACTATCTTTGCTCATTCCCACACATAAGCCAAGATAACCATGGGGGGGATTTAGTTTACAGTTTAAAGCAAGGATGATAATAGTCCCTTCCCAAAACTAACCACTGAGGAAATAAAAAGGGCATAGACACAAGTAACAATGCAATATTCAATGTAACACCCTCGGACGCCTGCTAATGCTCAGATGTCTGTGGTCACCTGTCACCTCAACCCTCTCCTTGTTCCCCTTTCCCAAATATAAAAAGAAGCTTGAGATTCATGTCTTTTAAGATGGTTCTTTAGGACACCAGTCCACCATCTTCTTGGTTTGCTGGCTCTCCAAATAAAGTCATCTTCCTTACTCTAACTCCTTGTCTCTTGACTTACTGGCTGTTGTGCAGTGAGCAGTACAAGCTTTCAACCTGGCTACAATATCTCCCCAATTTTGTGCTCTCCTCTCCATCACCAATGTTTCTGCTTTCGTATTTAATTTTATGTTATAAACACACGTCACACTAAATGTGTTCCAGTCAAGGCTCAAAGAACTTTGAGACCTTCATCATCTTTTGCCTGCATCATCAAGGACCTTCTAATCAGGCTCCCTCACCTCCCATTTGTTCTTTACATGGCAGTCAAAGTAGCTTTGTCAAAAAATGCAATCCCATCACTGTACCCTGGGCTCTAAATTTTGAATACTCCCCATTTTCCATACTCCTTAGCATAGCCCATAAGTACCTTCATTACCTGCCAGTCATCTGCCCTGCATCACCCAGCTCTCTTCCCAGGTCCTATGCAGCCACCCTAAACTACACATGTGCTCTTGTAGAGGCTACATAGCTTTGCACTTCCTTTTCCTTCTGCCTAGGAAGTCTTTCTCCACCTGGACCTTTTACCATCATCAAACAGGTGTAAGGAAGTTTTCTTTACAGAAGCCTTCCCCAAACCTCCAAGAAGAACTGTCTGAAGGGGCTCGAAGGCAAATAATAAAACCCCAAGGTCAGGTCTGGTGGCTCATGCCTGTAATCTCAGCACTTAAAGGTAGGAGGAGCACTTGAGGCCAGGAGTTCAAGACCAGCCTGGGCAACATAACGAGACCCCGTCCCTATAAAAAAATGAAAAAAACTAGTTGGATGTGGTGGTACATGCTGTTAGTCCTAGTTACTTTGGAGGCTGAGACAGGAAGATTGCTTGAGCCCAGGAACTATGAATGCCCCATGCAGTCCAGCCTGGATAATAATGAGACACTGCCTCATTATTTAAGTAAAAAAATTTTTTTAAATGTTAAAAAAATTTAAATAAAGCCCCAAGTAGATCTAAAACAAAATGTCAAGTGAAAACATAAGATATAGTTGGTTCAACAGAATGAAGGACAGTTGCAAGATTTTTCTTAAGTACTATGGTCAGGCAAAAAAAAAAAAAAAAAGGTAACCTAATATGGAATTCGAAATGATGAAGCAATGACAAACTGAAACACTTTTCCATGCAAAAAAAAAAAAAAATGTGGAGGATTCACACAGCTGTAGTCTTAGCAGCTGTTGAGTCAACCAACTTGGGTAAGTAGGCGTGGAAATCAGAGAATGCTGATTTATGCTAATTTACTTATATTTGGTCTGAATACTCTCTATTTTTCATTTCTAAAACTCCTGTCAGCATCATTTCTGGTTCTATCCATTTTCAGAAAGTTTCATACAGCATTTCTTTCCAATGGTCTTTTTTTCTGCTTTTACAGATTATGATGAAAAAGAATATGAAGATCCAAGTGAAACTGTAGGCCACATTCAGAAAACCACACACGTGCAAATTTGAATCCCATTAAGTCAAACACAAGAGTTAGATGTCCTAATACAAAGACGGCCAACACACGACCTTGAATTCAAGGACTCAGGGATTTGGAAGGCAGACTCACAGCCAACAGCCTTCAACGTCCAACAGGAACTTCGAATGTAGTCTGTCCAAAACCCAACTTGAGTTTGTTCCTCAAGCTTAATCCCACCTCAGATCCCCTCCCCATTCTCTGTAAATGACATCAGGAATCCTCCTCCAGTTGCCGAGGGCACAAACCTTGTTTCTAATCATTCTTGACTCCCTGCTTTTCTTTACAGTCCTTCCCAGTCAGACCAGTAGTAAATCCCATCAACTCTGTGAACTGGGATCTGATTAATTCTCACCTCTCATGGCCACCACCCTAGTCATGGCCTGTTGTCCCTACGTTGTCCAGGAGCCTCCTCACGGGTCTCCCTGCTTCCAGGCTTGCCTTATCCCCCTACAGACTGCTTTAACTAAGTATATAAGTCTTTAAAACCCTCCAATGGAGGCCAGGTGTGGTGGCTCATGCCTGTAATCCTAGCACTTAGGGAGATCGAGGCAGGAGGATCGCTTGAGGCCAGGAGTTTGAAACCAGCCTGGGCATCACAGCAAGATCCTGTCTCTAAAAAAAAAATTTAAAAATTAACTGGGCTTGGTGGTGTGCACCTGCAGTCCCAGCTACTAGGAAGGCTGAGATGGGAGGATCGCTGGAGCCCAGGAGTTTGCGGCTGCAGTGAACTATGATTGAGCCACTGCACTCCAGCCTGGGTGACAGAGCAAGACCCTATTTCTAGAAAAATAAAAAGCCAATGATTTTCCCTCTTACTCAGAGTAAAAATTCAAGCCTTTACTACAGCCTGTTAAGACCCTACATGACCTTGACCTTGACTATGTCCCACCCCCATATGGTCCCTCAGTCCCATGTAGCCATCCTGCCACCCCACCTAAGGCCTTGGTCTTAACTGTCTAACTTGTGTTGTTTCCTCTGCCTTCTGGGCTCTTCCACTAGACAGATATCCACATGGCCACCTCCTCCCTCACTGCTCCCTGGTGTCTGCTCAAAGTGTCCTTTCATCCAGAAGGCCTTCTCTTTAAGGTCTCCTGTGTCGATTTCCCTTACACTGTCTTATTTTTTTTTCATAGCACTTATACTGCATGCCATCTATTGGTTTGTCTGTCACCTGCCTGTTTTCTCTGAAATCCTGGCACTAATAAGGCAGGTACTTTGTGTGTTCCCTGTTTTTCCAGACCTACACAGCAGTGCCTAATATGCCCTTAAGAAATATACACTGAATAAATAAGAATAAAAGAGAAGCACAACATAGACATAGAAAACATAAGGCCAAATTAAAGGTAATTCACTCATAAAAGAGCAACACATTAGGAAGTGTATAGAGATGCACCTGACAGCAATAACTTAACCTAGGCATGCCCTGAGAATGACACTATGATCAAGAAGAATGTGCATTCAGAGTTCTGAGCTAAGGAATCCAGGAGTGGCCAACCCAGGGATTCACTCCTTACCCATGATGGACATCCAAACCCCTGGCCTGTCTCTTGAAATGCAGGTCATACAGGGGATCAAGTCCCTTTGTTTTGGGTTAAATGGAGGTTGCTAGGTGGAGGGTGCTAAGTGAAAATGCTATATAAACTGTATGCTTTTTACAAATGGTAGTGGTTCTCCTGTCCAACCTGCCACCACTGGACCATCCCTGTAAGTAAGTTCCCCTGATAAACCCTATGTCTCGTTTGCTGTCTCTCAGTCTTTTCTTTTCTTTGAGATGGAGTCTTAATCTGTCGCCCAGGCTGAAGTGCAGTGGCGTGATCTCGGCTCACTGCAGCCTCCGCCTCCCCGGTTCAAGTGATTCTCCTGCCTCAGCCTCCCAAGTAGCTGGGATTATAGGCGGGCGCCACCACGCTCAGCTAATTTTTGTATTTTTCGTAGATACAGGGTTTCACCACATTGACCAGGCTGGTCTCGAACTCCTGACCTCAGGTGATCTGCCTGCCTCAGCCTCCCAAAGTGCTGGGATTTTAGGCATGAGCCACTGCGCCTGGCCAACCCGTTCTAAAAAATAAAGTCTACTTACAAGAAAAGATTAATTGTGGAACTTCTGTTGCCTTTAAAAAAAAATAAGTAAATAAACATTTTTTGCAAGCAAAGTCCTTCTTGGAATCCAGAAAAAGGAAAACCACTTTCAGCTGAAGTGATCTGGGGATGAAGCTACAGTGTCAGCAGGTGGAGATGGTTGGGGTTTGGGGAATGGAGAGGAGGGAAGACCTGTTTGGGAATGGAAGTTAGAAGGTGCGTGGGGCCCTGAGCACTATGCTGCACCTGGCACTGTGGTGACATGAAGGCTGCAATTAAATTTCAGTTTTCCAGATACTGAAAACCTTCAGCTTGAAGTCACTCAATATGCTTTATAATCAATTTATATTTGAAAAGAGAAGAAAAAGTTTATCAGCCTTAATAGTAAATGCTTCGGATAATTTTCTAGGCATTTTTAGGGCTTTTTTGGTGTTTTTAACACCTCAGTATTTATGGCATAATGAAATGTCATTGATACAAAAATAATGACCTGGTTCTAACTTGAAGATGCCAAGACTAAAGAGAAATGTGAGAGCAGGGGGGCACTTATCTGCCCCAGCTGCACTGAATTTTATTGTCTGAGATTGCCGGGCTCAAAAGTAGCATTAGGAATGCAGACCTGGCCAGTTGCGGGGGCTCACACCTGTAATCCCAGCACTTTGGGAGGCTGAGGCGGGTGGATCACTTGAGGTCAGGAGTTCAAGACAGGCTTGGCCAACATGGTGAAACCCTGTGCCTACTAAAAATACAAAAATCAGCCGGGCGTGGTGGCTGGTGCCTGTAATCCCAGCTATTCGGAAGGCAGAGGCATGAGAATTGCTTGAACCCGGAAGGCAGAGGTTGCAGTGAGCCAAGATAACACCACTGCACTCCAGCCTGGGCAACAGAGTGAGACTCTTGTCTCAATAAACAAACAAACAGGCGAATTCACTTCAGGTGAGGGGTTTGAGACCAGCCTGGCCAACATGGTGAAACCCCATCTCTACTAAAAATACAAAATTAGCCAGGTGTGGTGGTGCATGCCTCTAGTCCCAGCTACTCAGGAGGCTGAGGCAGGAGAATTGCTTGAACCCAGGAGGTGGAGGCTGTAGTGAGTCGAGATCGTGCCACTGCACTCCAGCTTGGGTGATACAATGAGACTCCATCTCAAAAAAATAATAAAAGAATGCAGACGCCACCCAAAATGCACAGAACAGCGTAAGGAAACCATGCAGGAAATGCAGAGAGAGGGGCTTTCATAGTAGAAACAGAGGCAGGATATATTTATACTACTCAATTCAAGATGATCCTGCCAAAGACAAGAACAGAAGGAATCTCTGGAACACCTGTGACAAGCAAATCGAGGTGTGCAGAAGAGGAGAAGGAAAATGGTCCAAAAGATCTGAACAGACTCAGGTGGCCATGTGGTCACTTTTCTAATAACTAGCATTTAACTTAAAAAAATTGGAAATAATTCTCCCAAAAGGAAACTGACTAAGCAGTGATCTCTTCACACTGTGGGACAGGGATTCATTTTGTTACCAATTTAAAAGATTTTGAATGCAAAATTTATAACTCATGTTGTCTTACAAACATTTCTCTAGGAGTCTCTGCAGATGCCCAGTGAGGAAGGTGAGTAACTGGTAAAGCATCTCTCTGTACGTAGCCTCGGCATCAGTGTTTGAGCTAAAGGTTGGTGACTACCCTCTGCGGTAGCAGAGAAATCACAGGAAGATAGGAAGCACGGGTGAAGCTATATCTCTTGCATCTGGAATCGAACAAGCAGTAAAGAATCTAGGAGAAAAGTTATTGCTGGACATGGAGCATGCACAGCTTCTGGGGGTCTAAAGGGAAGGAAAACAGAGGCAGTTTGGTCAGAGAGAGAAGTCTAAATGGGAGGGAGGCACCACACTGGTTAAATTTCATTAGTTCACAGGGCAGGCTGAACCCACAGAGGACACACCAGGGCTGTAAGTATCACTCCAGCATCCACAGGCTTCATAAAATTGTAGTTTACTCATAAGCGTAAAAGTGACTACTGAAAAGGAAAAAACTAGATTGAGTCAGTGGCTCATGCCTGTAATCCCAGTACTTTGGGAGGCCAAGGTGAGAAGATCACATTAACTCAGGAGTTTCAAACCAGCCTGAGCAACATAGGGAGATTCTGTCTCTACAAAAAAATTAAAAAATTAGCCAGGCGTGGTGGTGCACACCTATGGTCTCAGCTACTTGGGAGGCTGAGGTGGGAGGACTGTTTGAGCCAGGGAGGTCAAGGCTGCAGTGAGCTACGATCAGAGCCTGGGCAACAGAGCAAGACCCTGTTTCCAGAAAAAAAGGAAAAAACTCACATATCAAAGGCACTTACGTTGCCATGAGAAAGCTACAGGATTGTGATATTTGGTGTAATTTGATGTACAGGTTCTGTATGGACAAAGCCAAGAGTACAGGGAATTTTAGAGGAAGAGAGTGATTCAAGTCAGGTCAAACCTAAGTTGGTTGTTAGGCTCAAAATAATCTAAAGAACCTGGATTTTAGAGCCTGGCCCCAAAATCTAGCCATGAGCAATTGTAGAAAACTCGGTCAACTTCTCTAAAAGCCAGTAAGATAGCTTCATCATTTTCCATTTTGAAGAGCCAGATGACATTAGCGTTATTATATACAGTATTTACAATTTGTAACATTTTTTGCAACTCTGTGCTAGGTGTTTTAAGGTCATTATCTCTAATATTCATTCTGACCCTGCCGGGACCCCCAGAAGCCAGAATTCAGGATAGTTGAATTCTGAAAGTTGAAGAGAAGAGCACCAAACTCAGTGCATTAATTCCTGAGCCCAAGCTCTGTTCATTCTGACAAGTTGCCCCATACATGAATTCCCTCCAAGATTGTCTCTCAGCTTCTTTTCCTGTGGGATATGCTCTTACTATTTATTTTATTTTATTTATTTATTTTTTCTTTTTGAGATGGAGTCTTCCTCTGTCGCCCAGGCTGGAGTGCAGTGGTGCGATCTTGGCTCACCATGGCCTCCGCCTTCCAAGTTCAAGTGATTCTCCTGCCTCAGCCTCCTGAGTAGCTGAGACTATAAGCAGGTACTACCATGCCCGGCTAATTTTTGTATATTTAGTAGAGAAGAGGTTTTGCCATGTTGACCAGGCTGGTCTCAAACTCCTGACCTCAGGTGATCCGCCCACTTCGGCCTCCCAAAGTGCTGGAATGATAGACGTGAGCCACTGCGCCCGGCTCGCTACTCCTATTTCTAACCCTTTGATTAAGTCTGAGCCTTTAACTTTTATTATCCTCTGTCTTAAGACAGGAACTAATGAGGCTGTCCATGCCAGTAATTCTCAAACCCATCAGACCCAAGGCCTCTTTTTATATCCTGAGATATACTTATTTTAAAACTTGCTTAGTCACATAGATTTAAAAAAATCAATACAATATCCTATTATATAAATGAGAAAAAAAAAATTTCTAAACAAATAAGGAACATTTCAATATACAAATGCTCAGGTACAATGACATCAGGAGCTACCTCTAAGTAGAATCAGTGTGAATTCAATAGTTACACATGCAGACTGATATGAGCAGAGACATTACTGTATAGTAAAGTTCTAAACAAAACAAAGGACAGTATCCTCTCAATTGAAATGGTAATTGCATTCCTGAAAAATTTAGCATATATTTAATTTTTGTTTATATAAAAATATTTTTAGAGTCTATTAATAAAAACACTTTTTCACCACCAAAATGTCAGGCCAGATGTTCTAAAGTCACGGCCTCAAGTGACAATTCTTCACAGTATGAGACTATCCTATGCCTTGCAAGGTATCTAGTATCCCTGGCCTTTGTCCTATTTCATGTACCTTTCACTTTGTTCCCCTACTAGCTTCTCTCAGTTAAAATCCTTGATGTGATTGTCTACTCAGACATCTGCTTCTTTTAACAGGCAGTCATTTAAAGACTCCAGTTTCTTTCTTTAAATTTTTAAATTTTTTATTTTTTGAGACAGAGTCTTGTTCTGTTGCCCAGGCTGGAATGCAGTGGCATGATCTCAGCTCACTGCAACCTCCACCTCCCAGCTTCAAGTGATTCTCCTGCCTCAGCCTCCTGAGTAGCTTGGATTACAGGCATGGGCCACTACACCCAGCTAATTTTTATATTTTTAGTAGAGATGGGGTTTTACCATCTTGGCCAGTATGATCTTGAACTCCTGACCTGACCTCAGGTGATCCGCCTGCCTTGGCCTCCCAAAGTGCTGGGATTACAGGCATGAGACACTGCACCCAGTCTAAAGACTCCAGTTTCTTTATGATCATTGAGATGGGGACTGAGCAACTGGCACCTTCCCTGTCTGTCCATCAAGGGGCATGTGCTGGATGTGTGTGGATGCTACTTCCATTAGGCAAACTCATGGTAGTTACTTACGTCACACTGAGGAGAAACAGACCACTAAGCATGCAATTATTAAACACAAATGTAGTCAGTGGATCTGTTTCCTTAACAGAACATGGCCCTGCTGCATTGTACCCTTCAACCAACTGCTCCAATTATTGTGACAAACAAAAGTAGCCCCCAAAATTTTCACAATATGCCATAGTGGGTGGTCCTTTTGCCTGGTTTTAGCTGTAGAGAGATAATCTTCCTTACTTTATATGTTTCTCCCCATTCTTGTTTTATTCCTAGACAGCTAACAAGCCTTTAATATCAAATTCTTTTGCATTTTGAAAATCCCAGTGTATTACAGTCTCATGTCCTTCTGTGGTTGGTATCAAGTAAGTGAGAGTTGGAATACTCAGCTTTTGACAGCGACAGAGACCATCCTCCTGTAGTTGCCACGTACTTGGTCCTGAAGATCACAGCTGATAAGATTATAAAACTATACACGTGTAGAGTGCTTATTTTTAGATGCTAGCAATTTCTTTTTTTGCACATAATCTGTATTTAGCCCCAATTAGCAAGCTTTCTCTCTATCCTTCTTCGCGAAGGCCAAACACTACCCAGTGAGGGTACACAAAAAATGAAAGAAAGAAAAACTATCAAAGGTGATCTGAAATAACAAATCCAAGATTTTAAAAGAAGAAAAGGGTTTCCACGTTTTTAAGACTCAAAATGGTCATAGGAAAATGGTACATGTTGGGTTACGTTTTCTATGTTTGAGTAATTATGAGGTAACCTCCCTCTAAGTCAATGAGAAGAAACTCAGCTTTTAATGTGATTTATTCATTAGTTGTTCAATAGCTATCCAGGGAGTCTCTGCTTTATACAAGGTTCTGTGCAATGTACAAAGCCAGAACTCCCAACTCAGCTGCATTGGAATCACCTGGAGACCCCTTGTTAAAATGTGGATCCTGGCCGGGCATAGTGATTCACTCCTGTAATTCCAGCACTTTGGAAAGCCTAGGCGGGAGGACTGCTTGAGAGGCCAGGAGTTTGAGACCAACCAGCCTTGGCAACATGGAGACACCTCTCTACAAAAAAACTTAAAAATTAACTGGGTTTGATGATGTGCACCTGTAAGGCCAACTATTCAGGAGGCTGAGGGGAGAAGATCGCTTGAGCCCAGGAGGTCAAGGCTGCAGTGAGCAATGATTGTGCCACTGCACTCCAGCCTGGGCAACAGAGTGGGCCCCTGTCTCCAAAAAGAAAAAAGAAAAAAAATGTGAATTCTGATCCCACATATCTGAGATGGGGGCTGACAGTCTGCTTTTTGAGCAAGCTCACAGGTGACACCCTTACTGCTGGCCAGCAGAGGACATTTTAAGTACTAAGGCACATTAAAGAATAAAATAATTAAACATGGACCCTGCCTTCAAAGAACTTACAATTTGCATAAGGAGATATACGTTTTTCCAAATCAAACAGAAGAGCCATGTGCCATAAGAGCGATACAACAGGTCAAAGAATTAATTACTCCTGGCTCAGGAGTGGTAGCATGTCTGGGATGAAGAAGGTGGCATTTAGGTTGATTTCTTAGTGAAGGAAGGATTGGTAGCAATAGGGAGGTATAGAAGGGAGAGGATGCCCGGCAGAGGGACCAGTGTCAACAAAGAGACCCTTCACCCTCAGATGAAGAGGGAGAAGTTCCACCAGGAGGGAATGCCTGTTGGAGGTGTGGATAAAATGGTGAAACAGGGGCCTGAGAAATTGGCCTGAGAACAACTGGGGAAGCACCCGGGACACAAATCAAGAAGTCTAGAACTGAGCTTTATGACAACTGTCCTCAGAGCAGTGGGAGAAACAAACAAAGGGGCGGAGGAAAGGAAATTGAGGCTGAAAGACCAGTGAAGGGGCTCCTGAAATAGTCCAGAAGAAATAAATCCTAAAGTAGACACAGTCATAAATCTTTGATAAGAAACGAAAATGCTGAACTATTTATATCTGAGTTTCCCATATTGGATCTTACTTGAATAATGATCCATCTTTTCCTCATCTGACAAGCAGTTACCAGCATTTCTTTAAGGGTTAGAGAAAGATATATTAATTAAAAGTTGTAAGATGATGTTCTTGGAATGCTCACTCCTGGATTATGCTGGAAATAACTAAGAGATGCTATAATTATTTTAAGAGACTTAAGATATAAGTTCTCTATTAACAAATAGTGTCCCACCTAACACAAAATACTCAGTCATTTTTCATTCTCAGAAGAGGAGGTCTTAGCCTCACTGACCATATTTCTCCTTACTTCAATGCCCAATACTATGTTGGTTTTAGGTCAGCCCAGAAGAGAGACATTTCTAGTATTTCCAGAGAAAAGCATCTGGTTTTGAAATATAGTGAGAGGGGCCGCCTCCAGAATAGTAGTTTACAGAGTGGGAGAATGCAAGGTATTCCACAGTAGAAAATATTGTCATTTTAAATTCTCCAATTCCCAGACTTTCAGGCAGGGTATGTGTGATTTGACACCCTGGCAATGTGGACAGTGACCGAATTGCACTTGCCTTTCAGGTCCTAGAGTTTCAGACCCCTGACTCCTTTCCTGTCCCTGTAGGAGACATCAGAAGTCTCTGAAGTATGCAGAAGACTAAATGGAGATCTTAAAGTTTCCACGTTCCTTTCTAAATCCTAATTAAATGAAAACTTTTCTAAGGAAAAAGCTTGCTCTGAAGCAGTTGGTTGAAGTGTACAGTGGAGCAGAACCATGTTCTGTTAAGGAAACAGATCCACTGACTACGCTGGTGTTTACTAAATGCATACACGGTGGTCTATTTCCTCCTCAGTGTGAACGTAGCTAACTGCCATTAACTTGCCTAATGAAAGTAGCATCCACACACATCAAACACATGCCCCTCAATGGACAGACAGGGAAGGTGCCAGTTGTTCAATCCCTGTCTTGATGATCATAAAGAAACTGGAGTCTGTAAACCACTACCTGTTGAAAGAATTAGATGTCTGGGTAGGCAATCACATCGATAATTTAAACTGTGAGAAGCTAGTAGGGGAAAAGAGTGAAATGTACATGAAATGGGACAGAACTGCCTGAACCAAGCAGGCAAATGTAGAGCCCCAAGGTGGCCAGTCCACTCCACGTGGAAAGGAACTATTTCTTTTTTTTTTTTTTTTTTTTTTTTTTGAGACGGAGTCTCGCTCTGTCACCCAGGCTGGAGTGCAGTGGCGCTATCTCGGCTCACTGCAAGCTCCGCCTCCCAGGTTCATGCCATTCGCCTCAGCCTCCCCAGTAGCTGGGACTACAGGCGCCTGCCACCACGCCCGGCTATTTTTTCTATTTTTATTAGAGACGGTGTTTCCCCGTCTTAGCCAGGATGGTCTCCATCTCCTGACCTCGTGATCCGCCCGCCTTGGCCTCCCAAAGTGCTGGGATTCCAGGCGTGAGCCACCGCACCCGGCCAGGAACTATTTCAAAGACGTCGGTCGGAGACCTTCATGCCAGGACACCAGCAAGCTGGCAAAACAGATCTTGCAAAGGGTTTCTGCACTCTATCTGTGAGCTTCATTAATAGGCACTCAGGACTGAGAACCTTCATGTCAGCTGTGACAAGTGAATAGTCAGTAGAGAGAAGCTATTAATTTAAGACACCGTTGATAATGCAGTCTACCTTAAGAACAGGCAACAAGGGGCTTCAGATGCTGAAGCACAGACACAAGACATCCTGGAACTCCAAGTCCAAAGGGGAATGCTCAGGGCAGATATCAACAATGAAACCTTTTAAGCTGAGTCACTCTCAGCCTGACGGCTGCCAAGCCCAACAGCCATCCCTGGTTACAAGCTAGAGGAAAAGTCCCTGAGCATATCTGTTGTTTCCTGTGTGTAAAGATGCTAAATGCCAGGTGCTTTCCTCTAGAGTGGAAGGGCCGGGGCGGGGCAGTGCCTGCAGAGGCAGCAAGGTCAAGAGAGTTCATTTGGTTATTGCCATTAAAAAAGACTTCCCAGCCAGGCGCGGTGGCTCACGCCTGTAATCCCAGCACTTTGGGAGGCCGACGCTGGCAGATCACTTGAGGTCAGGAGTTCAAGACCAGGCTGGCCAATGTGGTGAAATCCTGTCTCTACTAAAAACAAAAACAAACAAAACAAACAACAACAACAACAAAATTAGCCGGGCATGGTGGCACATGCCTATAATCCCAGCTACTCGGGAGGCTGAGGCAAAATAACTGCTTGAACCCAGGAGGCAGAGGTTGCAGCCAGCCAAGATTACGCCACTGTACTCCTGGCTGGGCGACAGAGGGAGAGTCTGTCTCAGAAACAAAACAAAACAAAAACAAAAAACAACTTCCCGAGCATGCATTTTGGGTGCATCTTGAAGTGCAGCTTGTAGCATGTAGAAATTGGCCTTCTGGTTCACAGAGTGCTGCAAGTGAAGTACTAGATGTCTGCGTATTTCCAGATATACTCAGATCATATTTCAGGCCACCTTTCTTCTTTTTTTTTTCTAATCCAGGATGCGCTCAGGATTCCCTCTCCACTCACCATGAAGAACTTCAAGTAGCGGCCACACTTTGCAGTGCCTCTCACTCAGGCTGCGATATCCTAAGCGTTTACCTTCATTCCGTGGAAACTCTTGAAACAGCCCATGTCAATCATGACTCAGCAGTTTTTCCTTACCATGAAAACAGCAGAGCAATGGGTTTCTCCATTTTTAGAGTTAATGCATTAGCTATAAATGTAATTCCATAGTAGATATGAAGTGCAACAAAAAAAAGTCTGGGACAAATTCTGCCACTTTTCAGAGGGTAACAGGAGATGGTTGACTCAAGATGGAATGTAAGAACCCTCATGGCCTCCCTACCCTTCTCTTTAACCTCTTCATGGTTGTGCAGAATAAACCTCTAATACTTCTGATGAGTGAGGCAAATGGCCTTCCTGTAAAGGCAGAACCCCAAGAATTTTCAAGAAAGTTTGTGTGGCCAGCCTGAGGTTCCAGGGAAGAGGAATGGGTATTTGGAATAGAGAAATACAGTGGTTAATTCTGAGCTCCAAGTTATTGGTCCAAATTGGTCTACTTCAATTCCTTGGTCAGTCTTTTGGAGTTTTCCATCAGTTAAACAATGTCCACGGTAAACTGCCATGACCACTTAACCTCAACTGCAAACTACATCCACTTAATCCTCTGGGGTCCCTTTTTATTCATAATAAATCCAGAAAAATCTTGTATTGTGTTTTATTTCCTCAATCATATCTCCTTTAATTCTCCAACAAGCCTTTCCTGATTAGAAAAGCCAGAAAACTCATCCAAATATCTCTGTTGAAGAGCTGGACAAAGTTTTCAAGTATTATTGAATTTTTAATCCACTAAACAAAAATCCTCCAATGTTGTTCCATTTTATTTCAGGGTCTAGTTTCTCTATGCAACTGCAAGGGTAGGGGCCACCTATTTATTTTTATTTACAGACCCATGTGTATATGGGAGAATTTAACATATACAAAAGGAACCCAAATTTTTTAGTCTTAGACTTTCAGGATTCCCTGTATTTAAATAATAGCTATTGATCTAAAAAATCTGCAAGAGAAATGTAATCCTTAGATTTTTTTTTTCTCCACATCGGAGTAGTAAAGCAAAATGAAATGGGTGAATGCTGTTTGTCAACTCTATGGTGGTATAAAAAAATGGTGTAGTGTGACCAAAAGCATACTTCTGATGAAAGCCCACTACCGGACAGGACACAACCTATAAGTTACTGTCCCCACAGACTGCCTTACAAGTGTCCTCACGCTCCAAAGAGGACTGGGAGAGGTAGAAGTGAAATGATTGAGTGAAGTTTTCTTTTTCTGAGATGGAGTGTCACTCTTGTTGCCCAAGCTGGAGTGCAATGGTGCGATCTTGACTCACTAGAACCTCCGCCTCCCAGGTTCAAGTGATTCTCTTGCTTCAGCCACCCTAATAGCTGGGATTTCAGGCACCTGCCACCATGCCTGGCTACTTTTTTGTATTTTTAGTGGAGACAGGGTTTTACCATGTTGGCCAGGCTGGTCTGGAATTCCTGACCTCAGGTGATCCGCCCGCCTCAGCCTCTCAAAGTGCTGGGACTACAGGCGTGAGCCACCATGCCCAGCCGATTGAGTGAAATTTTCTAAGATAATTGTTGGTCATATCCCACAGGGGACTGGGCTCTAGGATAGCCCATGCTTATATGGGAAGAAAAGTTATCGTGGGTCTTTGTTGTCCACAAGACAACCTCAGGGATCTCTTCCTATCCCAACAACCTCTGTCTATGTCAACAACCACTGTGGTCAACAAGAAGGAGGAAGCATTCCAAAACTTATTCACACAGAACAACTCAAATATAGATGATGGAGGAAAAACAAACTTTGAAAAGAGGGCACAATTTGCCATTCCCACTGGATGTATTTTAAACAACCCCCTGCCCCACACAATAAAAGGTCTTAAGAGAGACTTCATGGCCAGGCACGGTGGATCATGCCTGTAATCCCAGCACTTTGGGAGGCCGAGGCAGGTGGAGCACCTGAGGTCAGGAGTTTGAGACCAGCCTAGCCAACATGGTGAAACCCTGTCTCACTAAAATTACAAAAATTAGCCAGGCATGGTGGTGGGCACCTGTAACCCCAGCTACTTGGGAGGCTGAGGCAGGAGAATCGCTTGAATCTGGGGGTGGAGGTCGCAGTGAGCCGAGATCACACCACTACACTCCAGCCTGGGTGACAGAGCAAGACTCCGTCTGAAAAAAAAAAAAAAGAGAGACATCTGTTTATATTATGCTTTGTTGAAACTCTCTTCCTGTTGCATTATTGTGATAAGGTGAAAGTTAGCAAAAAAGAAAGAACTTTTTTTTTTTTACACTCATACAACCTCACCTGAGAGATGAATGACAGGTAATGTTTGCAGATACAATTTTCAGTAAACTTTCATTATCTCAATAGACTTCTACTTTAGGGCACTTGTGGCCTTTTCCAAAACCCTAAAATCCACTGAGAGAAATTGTGATTAAAATCATGTTTTCAGAGTTACTCTTAATATTTTTAATGCAAGTAAGAAGCTTTCTTCTGGGGAGCACATTTCCCATGAATCCTCACTCTTATGCAGATAATGAGCCCACTGTTCATTGAAGATTTGGGAGTTCTACTTCCACTCTCTCTTCCCTCCAATTTTTGCCATCACCCTGAGGGTTTCAGGGCCCTTAGGACAAGGCTTGGCACCTCCAGATTCTTTGACCTCCTGGTTCTTTGGTCTCCAGGTTTTTCGGCCTCCTTATCTCCTAGGACTCTTGCCTAGCCTCTGCACACGAACTGCCATACCTTGGAGCTTAGTATCACTCGGAACTGTTGCTCTACATCTGAAATCTTCAACTCTATTCTCTTCGCTTTTGATAACAACCTGTTGGCTCCCACAATCCCCAAATCTTTGACCATCTGTATCTTCTTTCAGCCTACTATTAAAAAGACTGGGTGCCATGATCTAGCACTTGCCCATACTTTTCTCAAAGCCTTCAGCTCCTCTGACCACTTACCTTCCCTCCTACCACCCCCACACAGCCCAATCTCAATCCCAGGGGGTCCCAGCATCCTTTCCTGTTCCCACACTGTGTTGCTGGTCATTACTGAGACTACCTACTAGAGGTCCCTACCCTTGCCAGGGCCCTAGTGACAATCCTTCTCAACATTCCCCTCTCCTTCCCACACGGAAACTCTCTCAAGCTTGTCCCTTCTCTTCCAGTCTCCTTCCTCATCAACCTCTTCTCTCATTTTCAGTGGAAGATCTTTGTTGGAAAATTCGATGGCAAGCAGTAAACCTTCTACAACTTCCTCCTCCTCCTCCTCCTCCATGAGGACAATTCAGCCCCAACTGCGATCTTCCATCATTGGCAGTGGAAAAAATATTTCCATCCCTCCTCCTCCACCTTCTCCTCCTCTTTCCCCTATTAAAAGCAAATCCACCCACCAACTGTTTCCATGCCTTCAGGGTCTCTCCTCTCAGGCCTCTGTAGGGCCCACACATCTTATAGCCTTCACTGGTTAACTCCTTCCTTTCACAGTCCACCTTCCAGAAGGAGCATCTATATTCCCACTTCCCCTTCCTTACCTCTCAATCAGTCACCACCCCAGTGCCCGTGCCCTCCACTGAACCAGCTCTTCCCAAATTTGCAGGGACTCCCAGTTGCTGAATGCAACAGCAATGGCAATCTCTTCATCTTAATGGCTTTGTATTATTATTTTATTTATAATATTAAATTGAAATATGTTTATAAACTTGGCATAGGATGAGGCAGGTTAAGAGCCAGTAGAGAAAAAAGCGTAAAAAGTAAAGAAAAACATGTATGGGCATGCCCAGGCACACAGTAGGAGATTAATATATGGCAGCTGTATAAATTGCAGGGCATCTAGAAGCAGCTTTTCATAAGATGGAACTCAAACCCTTCTCATTGGACTTGCCTAAAGTGCAAATTTGATATGTCACTTCCCTATTTACCTTTTAGTTGCTTCCCAGTGCCTACAGGATTAAGTCCAAACATCTTAACCAGGTACTTCATTGATTCAGCCCCAGCTGTCTCATGTCCAAGCATGTCCCCTACACACGCTGTGCTCATTAAACTCTGCACAGGACATACCATGATCTCTTTGCTTCCAAGGGTCTCTTCTGTGTCTGGCAAACTCCAACTCACTCTTCAAGCCTCAGCCTTCCCTGACCCAAACTGCCTCTTATCCTTTTGTTCCCTCTAGTGTTCCCATGGTCTGTTTCTCTGGTCTCCTTGTATGCTCTGTCCCTTGAGTGAGCATTCACATCCTATATAGCAATTCTGTGCCATCTCTCCCACTAAGGCTTGAGGACAGGTTAATGGAACTGCTCACACCTGCAGTTCTATTGGCCGGCGTGTGGACGCTCTGTAAAATGTGCTTGCTGAAGGCATGGTGAACAAGAATAGGATTCAGATAAAATGCTCTCTGGTGCAGCTAGCTTTGTATGGACTGCGCTAAATAGTAGAAGAGAAAGCTAAATGGAGATCTAGCCCTGGAAGCTTAAATTCACCAAAATCATATAACTCAGTTTACTAGTCTATAAAATAGGAAAATGGTGAGATACTTTGACATTTTCAAATGAAAATAATACACAGGAAGAAAAGCAATCATAATATACATAATCCAACTTCCATCACAACAACTTTCAAATAAACAAGTCATCTTGGCAAATGAGTAACTAGAAAAAAAAATTAGGGAGTAGGCTTCTGAGTAGGGTGTCTACTATGTCATTTTAAAAAATCCTGTAGTACTTTCCCGATGAAAATAATTTCAAAGGCTGGCTAAGTTTCAACCTGCAGGATTATATTCTGCCAGCTCAGTTCTTCTGCAGGCTTTTAGGATTGACCTGAGATGCCCTTCCAAACTCACATGTCTCCCTGGTGGCTACTAAAGGCCAGAGTGAACAATTTAAAAAGAAAAACAAAATACCCTCATGTTATTAAGTGAGATATGTCTCAACATTTGAATTCTAAACAGTTTGATGAATCGAGTTATGGTTTTATTTCATCAGTTCTCAACTAGTACAATGTAAGGCAGTTCATGGGTCCCAGAAAGCGGTAATGAATTTGATAGACAGCAGAGGTCAGATGTCTCATTCAGTTAAATTATGAGCAAAGCAAATATTCTTTATAAACGTTAAGCCACTTCTACTAACAGGCTAAAAAAAATCTTATTAACTAATTTCTTTGATTTCAACAAAATTCATTTCCATACTCACAGCAGGAAGTGATAGAGTTGAGACTGTAAGTATGAAAGAACATAGTATTTTTTATAATGAGCTTTGGGGAAAAATATAAAAGACAAACAAGCTACTCTCAGAGAAAAATGCCTTTAATTGCATCTCCAGTAGTTGGTGATTATTTCCTGTAATTAAAAACTTGATTTGTCGGCCTAAGTTTTTTCAAAGATGAACGTGGCTGTTTTTGGCTCACACAGGCTCTCACTGACCTAGGCATCCTGATTCAAAACAAGTGAGATGGCCAAGCACGGTGGCTCACGCCCGTAACCCCAGCACTTTGGGAGGCCGAGGCGGGTGGATCACTTGAGGTCAGGAGTTCAAGACCAGCCTGACCAACATGGTGAAACCCTGTCTCTACTAGAAATACAAAAAATTAGCTCGGCGTGTGGCGCATGCCTGTAATCCCAGTTACTTGGGAGGCTGAGGCAAGAGAATTGCTTCAACCCAGGAGGTGGAGGTTGCAGTGAGCCGAGATCACACCAACTGCACTCCAGCCTGGGCGACAGAGCAAGACTCCATCTCAAAAACAAAACAAAACAAAACAAAAAACAAGTGAGAACAGCTTCTGAGAGGTAAAGGCAAGATGCTTTGAAGTCCAAATCCATAAGCAAGAACTGAGGAATTTTGTATTATTTGGTTAAATCAAACATAATTAGACTCCCCCATGACTGAAAGTGAAATAAATGCGCTGACCAGGTACCCTTTCCAATTAGCACCAGGTAGGAAAGGAAAGAGGGTGTGGGTATTTTTGTTTGTCATATGTTTGACTATCTGAAGGGGACAGAATGCTTTGGTGAGAAACTACGGAACAGAATCTTAGCACCAAGAGTTTGGAGTAAAACAAAGTTACCCAGAATTAGGATTTTTACCATTCCTTCAGAAAATGCATAAATGTCTCTGGAAGACTTCTGAAGTCTTTTAAAGCCAGAATCAGCAAAGGATGAAGAGAATATAAAGGGGATAATGTCCTTGAAATTTTCTGCCTCGTTTCCCATCAAATTAAATCTATAATAATACCTCCCATTGAATTTTCCTTCCTGAATTGAAATTTCTCAAAGTCAAGTCCCGGTCTTGCACATTTAAGGAGTGATTGTGTGTATGTGTGTGTGTATGTGTATGTGTGTGTGTGTGTGTATATATATATATGCGTGTGTGTGTGTGTATGTATATAATTTGTTAAAACTAAGCATTATTAAGTGTATTAATGAGGAAGGGTAAACTTTATTCTGAACTAACTTTTAAAATCTATGAAGTTAAGAAGTTGATGATCACATTTAAGGTCTCTCAAAATACTTAGAAAATTTGGGTGTGAAAAATAAGTAAAGTTATACAAAGAACTCTTAAAATTCAATTTTTAAAAAACCAATTAAAAAAATGGGCAAAAGATCTGAACAACCACCTCACCAAAGAACACAAACAGATGCATATAAACATATGAAAAGATACACAATTCTACACTTAGAAAAACCTAGACTTTGCCAAAAGGCTCCTAGACCTGATAAACAACTTCACTAAGGCTTCAGGATATGAAATCAACATACAAAAATCAGTAGCATTTCTATATAGCAACAACATTCAAGCTGAGAGCCAAATGAAGAATGCTATTTCATTAACAATAGCCACACACACACACGATAATAAAATACCCAGAAATATTAATATATCTAACCAAAGAGGTGAAAGATCTCTGTAAGGGAACTATAAAACACTGCTGAAAGAAATCATGGACAACACAAGCAAATGGAAAAACATTCCATGCTCATGGATTGGAAGAATCAATATTATTAAAATGTCCATACTGCCCAAAGCAATCTAAAGATTCAACACTATTCCTATCAAATTGTGAATGTCATTTTTCATAGAATTAGAAGAAAAAGTATTCTAAAATTCTGGAACCACAAAAGAGCATGAATAGCTAAAGTAACCTTAAACAAAAAGAACAAACATATTACCTGACTTCAAACTATACTACAAGGCTACAGTAACCAAAATAGCATGGTGCTGGTACAAAAATAGACACATAGACCAACAGAATAAGAAATAAACCCACAAATAAAGCCACACAGCAACAACCAACTGATCTTCAACAAAGTCAATAAGACTAAGCCATGGGGAAAGGACTCCCTGCTGGGGAAACTGGCTAGCCATAAGCGGAGGAATGAAACTGGATCTCTACTTATCACCATATACAAAAATTACCCCAAGATGGATTAAAGACTTAAATGTAAGACCTCACACTATAAAAATCCTAGAAGAAAACCGAGGGAATACCCCTCAGACATTGGCCTAGGCAAAGAGTTTATGATTAAGTCTTCAAAAGCAATTGCAACAAAGGCAAAAATTGACAAGTAGAACCTAATTAAACTGAAGAGCTTCTGCACAGCAAAAGATACTATCAACAGGCTGAACAACCTACAGAATGAGAGAAAATATTTGCAAACTATGCCTCTAACAAGAACTAATATCCAGTATCTATAAGAAACTTAAACAATTCAACAAGAATAAAACCACCCCATTAAAAAGTAAGCAAAAGACGTCAACAGACACTTCTCAAAAGAATACATACGTAAGGCCAACAAGCATATGAAAAAAAGCTAATCATCATTGATCATTAAATGCAAATCAAAACCACAATGAGAAACCATCTCACACCAGTCAGAATGGTTATTACTAAAAAGCCAAAAAGTAACAAGTTGGCGAAGCTGTGGAAAAAAGGGAACACTCATATACTGTTGGTCGGATTGGAAATTAGTTCAGTCCCTGTGGAAAGCAGTTTGGAGATTTCATAAAGAACTAAAAACAGAATTACCATTTGACCTAGCAATCTCCTTATTGGGTATATACCCAAAAGAAAATAAATCATTCTACCAAAAAGACACCTGCACTTGTATGTTTATTGCAACACTATTGACAAAGACACAGAACTCAGCAAAGACATGGAATCAACCTAGGGGCCCATCAGTGGTGGAATGGATAGAGAAAATGTGGTACATTTACACCATGGAATACTACGCAGTCATTTTTAAAAAACCAAAATCGTGTCCTTTGCAGCAACATGGATGCAGCTGGAGGCCATTATCCTAAGTGAATTAGCACAGAAATAAAATCAGATATCATATGTTCTTACTTGTAAGTAGGAGCTAATAAACACACGGACATAAATATGGGAACAACAGACACTGGGGACTCCAAAAGGGGGAAGAGTGGGAGGGAGAGGAACAAAGACTGAAAAACTTCCTATTGAGTGCTGTGTTCACTATCTGGGTGACAGGTTTTATAGAAGCCCAAACCTCAGCATCATACAGTATACCCTTGTAACAAATCTGCACATGTACCCCCTGAATCTAAAATTAAAATTTCTTTTAAAAAAGAAAAGATGCTCAGCTGGGTACGGTAGCTCACACCTATAATCCCAGCACTTTAGGAGGCCAAAGTGGGTGGATCTCGAAGTCAGGAGATGGAGACCAGCCTGGCCAACATGCTGAAACCCTGTCTCTATTGAAAATACAAAAATTAGCCAGGTGTGGTCACCTGTGCCTATAGTTCCTGCTACTCGGGAGGCTGAGGCAGGAGAATTGCTTGAACCCAGGAGGTGGAGGCTGCAGTGAGCTGAGATCGCACCAATGCACTCCAGCCTGGGTGACAGAGTGAGACTCCGTCTCAAAAACATAAAAAAAAAATAAAGGAAAAGAAAAGAAGAGATGCTCAATATCATTTGTTATTAAGGAATTGCAAATTAAAACAACAATGTGATACTACTACACACTACTATAATGACTAAAATCCAGAAAATGATAATATCAAATGCTGACCAGGATGCAGAGCAACAGGAACTCTCATTCATTGATAATGGAAATGCAAAAATGGTACAGCAAATTTAGAGGACAGTTCATCAGTTTCTTTTCTTTTTTTAATTATTTTTTTGAGATGGAGTGTCGCTTTGTTCCTCAGGCTGAAGTGCGGTGGCACAACATTGGCTCACTGCAACCTCCACCTCCTGTGTTCAAGTGATTCTCATGCTCGGCCTCCTGAGTAGCTGGGACTACAGGCATACACCACCACTTCTGGCTAATTTTTGAATTTTTAGTAGACATGGGATTTTGCCATGTTGACCAGGCTGTTCCTGAACTCCTGACCTCAAGTGATCTGCTCACCTTGGCCTCCCAAAGTGCTGGGATTACAGGCGTAAGCCACCATCCCAGCCAGTTTGTCAGTTTCTTATGAAGCAATGAAAAGTTCTTAAGCAACAAAAAGACATGGACGAATCTTAAATGCATATTGCCAAGTGGAAGAAGCCACTCTGAAAAGGCTACATATTGTACAATTCTAATTATATGACATTCTGGGAAAGGCAAAAGAAAGAAGGAAATATAGATATGTGTCTATGCATGGTTTAGTATCCACACATATATTTCTTTGCTCTATCAGTCAAAGGCCCTAAAAGTAGCAACACCTCAGGCTGGTTGCGGTGGCTCATGCCTGTAATCCCAGCACTTTGGGAGGACGAGGTGGGTGGATCACCTGAGGTTGGGAGTTCAAGACCAGCCAGACCAACATGGAGAAACCCCGTCTCTACTAAAAATACAAAATTATCCAGGCATCATGGAACACGTCTGTAATCCCAGTTACTCGGGAGGCTAAGGCAGGAGAATTGCTTGAACCTGGAAGGCGGAGGTTGCAGTGAGCCGAGATTGCGCCATTGCACTCCAGCCTGGGCAACAAGAATGAAACTCCGTCTGAAAAAAAAAAAAAAAAAAAAAAAAAAAGAAGCAACACCTCAGTAGCAAAGAACACATCTTGGTTTAGAACTCCTTAGAGAGATGGTTGATTTTAGGATTGTGGCAGGAAATGTAGAAGATGAGCCTGGAGTATCTTTCAGTGCCATAAAGAAGAGCCACAAAACAACAACAAAAAACAAAGAACCCACAAACCACAAAGAAGAGGGGAAGAGGGTATATCAAAGGAACACAGGGGTCAACTGAAAGGGCTCCCAGTGGCCAAAGCTGGATGAATGTCAGCAACAATCAAGTAATACTGGATTCAAACCCAAAGTGAAAATAAATATCCATGAGTCTATACTGTTATAAACGAATGATTGAATAAATAAACACAGGGGGATAAATAAACACAAATTTCTTATGCAGAGAATTCCAAATAATTTATGCAGATTCTCCACCCTGAAGGAGGGGGAACATAGCACACTCCTCAAGTGTGGATAACACGTAGTGACTTCTTTCCAAAGAAGACAACATAGAAAAGAGGTGGGGGTGTGTGTGACCTTACAGTGGAGAAACCTGAAAAAGACTCCTCAGCCTCGTGATGAAAGCTAATATTTATAGCAATAAATCATATAGATTATTAGTATTCTTTTTTGAAAAAAAAATTTTGTAGAGGTGAGGTCTCTATGTTGCCCAGGCTGGTCTTGAACCCTTGGCTTCAAGAGCTCCTCCTGCCTTAGCCTCCCAAAGTACTGGGATTATAGGCATAAGCCACCATGCCTGGCCAGATTATTGGTACTTTTTTTGTTGTTGTTGAGATGGAGTCTCGCTCTGTCACCCAGGCTGGAGTGCAGTGGTGTGATCTCCGCTCACTGCAAGCTCCGCCTCCTGGGTTCACACCATTCTCCTGCCTCAGCCTCCTGAGTAGCTGGGACTACAGGCACCCGCCACCACACCTGGCTAATTTTTTGTATTTTTAGTAGAGATGGGATTTCACCGTGTTAGCCATGCTGGTCTCGATCTGACCTCATGATCTGCCTGTCTTGGTCTCCCAAAGTGCTGGGATTACAGGCGTGAGCCACCGAGCCCGGCCGATTATTGTTACTCTTGATATGATATAATGATATAATGAGAATGGCTTTTCATTTCTGTGATCTTCCTTCCAAAAACATATTAACCCTAGTCTACTCATGATAAAATCATCAGACAAGTCTCAATTGAAGGAGATTCTACAAAATAACTCACCAGTACTCCTCCAAATTGTCAAGGTCATTAAAAACAAGGAGAGTCTGAGAAACTGTCATAGCCAAGAGCCTAAGGAACAGATCTTACCAAGCAATCTAACTGTATCATAAATATATGAAACAGTCTCACTGAGGGTAAGTGTATGTGGAAAGGTGATGGGGAGAAGATGCTGACCTAATTAATGTTGGAAACAAACTATTTCTGTAAGACAAAAGACAAAAGAAACTGTCCAAACACACTGTACCCTAATTGATAAAGTTCTTTCCCACAGGGCATGGGTTAACAATTCTGATCTTGTAATTCATGTATACTGAAATGGAATGATTACTTACATCACACATAGGTAAAAACGATGGCAAAAAAATGAATATGAACTTTAGATAATAACTGTGTTAATATTGGTTCATTAATCATAACAAATGTACCATATTGATGTAAGATGCTAATACTAGAGTAGACTGCATACATTGTATGTGGGAGCTCTGTGCTATCTTCACAATTTTTCTGTAAATCTCAAACTGTTCTAAAATGAAAACTTTATTTTAAATACACATCAAAGTTTTAAAAATTACATTATTTTCTAGCAAATATTGCCTATCAGCAGTCTAGCTTTAATAAACAAAACACACTGATTTGAAATTAGCTATCAACATCCCCATCTATGGAATACTGACCTTCACATGTGTTGATATTGTGCTATTTGAATATAAACCCAACTTTCTCTAGAGTATTTGATAATTTTATATTCTTAGGTAGAGAAATGTCCATCTTAAGTTGAAGAAGTATAATTAGGTTTATTCTTTTTTTTTTTTTTTTTGAGACGGAGTCTCGCTCTGTTGCCCAGGCTGGAGTGCAGTGGCGCAATCTCTGCTCACTGCAAGCTCCGCCTCCCAGGTTCACTGCATTCTCCTGCTTCAGCCTCCTGAGTAGCTGGGACTACAGGCGCCTGTGACCATGCTTGGCTAATTTTTTGTTTTTTAGTAGAGATGGGGTTTCACCATGTTAGCCAGGATGGTCTCGATCTCCTGACCTCGCAATCCACCCGCCTCCGCCTCCCAAAGTGCTGGGATTACAGGCATGAGTCACCACGCCCGGCCAGGTTTATTCCTTTATGGAAACATTTTATTTACCTGTGCGGAAAAGGTCATTTTCAATCTAGAATCTAGGTATATTCAAATTAGTGCTGAAATTCAGCATCTTTTCATTTTACTTTATAGCACCCTTTCACTTTCCTTCACTTACATTATTCACCTGTGTGTACTCCAGATTATTTCAGAAATCTTAGAAAAGCAAAAATGTTTGTTAGAGTTTTGCAAACAGGCTTCTAGCCTTTTGTCCTTAAAATACGGACCCCTATTCCTTGCCAAATCTGGTGAGTCAAGGTCTTCATCCAATTTAGAATTCATTAGCATGAATGACATGAAACTGCAGATATTTGACTGTTTTTGACATACGTAATCACCAATATCCTATGGTTCCACCTAAAAGACATGAGCATTTCTTTTCTAGAGAGGCATCAATGATTAAGGATAAAGGAAGAACATCAACCTCTACCAAACCGATCCTCATGGGCCTAAGCACGCCATCCCATTAAAAAAGATAAAGGGCCTATATGTTCATTTTATTTCAGAGAGTTATTTCTTCAACAGAGGAGCCTTCACTGAGTTCCATGCACCATGAATTTTCAAATCGGTTTTTAAGAAAATCAAACACTAAACTTAGAGAACCCCCTTAGAATGTTAGTTGCAACTATCAGATGAACTTGTACCCTCTTAACGACTATTTTTTCTGTCCACTAGCAATATTATTTTTTTACCATAATAACATATTTAGGATGTATTTTTCTCCTGTCACTGTAAAGAGAAGTAAAAAGTTTTAACTCCAGTTAATTGGTAAATCTGTGCTTCTATTTTGAATGTATTACCTTTTAGTTTTATAAGTTTCCATATAAATCCCAGATTCATAATGAGAAGCTCTAATTTCATTACACTTTTTGATTGAAATAAAATATTTAATAGCTATTTATGTTTCATATGCAGAATTCATAACCCTTTGGTTTATAATAACTTTCTCATAGACTCTTCTGCAAAAATCCTTCAGTCCCTTTCACAAACACTTCATTTTCTAGGGAAAATTTTCCACATACTCATTAATTAGTAATATCTCCCAGTTACATGATAATATCTTCACTTGAGCAATATTGTAGATTTTATAATGATGTATTAAAGATAGTTATGACTGAGTCAGATGCCATCAATGCCAACAGACTTTGAAGTCAAGGATGCTACTGGACTTGGGTTATGCAAAGGACACAATAGCCTCTGCAGATCTTTTTTTAAAAAAAAAAACAAACAAACAAAAACACCACCACCACCAACAAAAAAAAAAACAGACACTAGAAATGCAAAGAAGAAAACAAAACAATGGGGAATCCCTGCACTGTTTCATCCTCAATCATCCCCATTAATTTGAGTAAACAGTAATCTGAGCTGGGTGTGGTGGCTTATGCCTGCAATCCCAGTACTTTGGGAGGCCAAGATGTGCGGATCACCTGAGGTTGGGAGTTCAAGACCAGCCTGGCAAACCCTGTCTCTACTATAAATACAAAAATTAGTGGTGGCCCGTGACTGTAATCCCAGCTACTCAGGAGGCTGAGGCATGAGAATCGCTTGAGCCTGGGAGGCAGAGGTTGCAGTGAGCTGAGATTGGGCCGCTGCACTCCAGCCTGAGCAACAGAGTGAGACTCTGTCTCCAAGAAAAAAAAAAAAAAAAGTAATCTGAGTACACCAACAGCAGATTCAAATTACTCAGTCTTCACAGTTAGCAACTTTAACTCAGTTCTTATTTAAAAACAAGGAAGTGAGTGGCCAAAGGAAGTAAATTTCTCTCTAGCATAACACTGTAGAGCACGCTAGTGGTAACACCCACTTTATTTGCAGTCCCCACTAGACAGCACACATTAGGTTACTCATCTCTTTCATTCCTTCTGTCTCCCCAGTGGCTAACATCATGCCCAGAACAGCAGAGTTGGTATCCAAATATTCACTGAATAGACAAATAAGACTCAATACAAGGGACTTGCCACTTGCCTAGTGCCCACATTGTGTCTGCCACTTGCCACATGCTTTCGATAGATTATCCCTTATCCACACAACTCTGCAAGCTCTGTATTATTTTTGGACACTTCACAGATGAAGGTCAGTGGGATTAAACAGCTTTCTCTAAGCCACACAGCTCATGAGTAAATTCAAAACCGGGTCTGTGTAATTTCAAAATTCCTGCTTATCTCACTCCAAACACTGCCTCTCCCTGGTCTGCACACAATGGTCTGAGTTCTAGGTTTCCGGCCTCACAGAGTAACTCTCATCCATCTTCTACCTGACAGTCTTTCAGAAATGAAGACTTTCCAGAAGCCAGTGGTCAGTCTGACCCTTTACACCGCCACTGTGGCTGTAATGTGCTTCTCCACAGTGTTTTGGCCTGCTCCAAAGTGGCTCATGCAGACCCTGCCTCTCCTCGCTACTTTCACACACAGCCTAAGAGGTGGCGTCATCACACTCCACAGCATCTCACCCATGACGGCGTCCTCGAGCTGCACAGACTGTGCGTCCGTCCTCAAAGGACAAAAGGCATAGGTCCATAGAGCTGCTGTCCAAAAGCATCACAAAGGGAAGCCAGCAAGCACTGCTTTCTATCACAGGGGAGAAGTTCCCAGCTGATTGCTGGCAGTGCTGCCACTGTCTTTTGCCCGTCAGAGGGTGAGTCAGAGAGAGGACTCAGGAAAACCTACTGTATTAGGCCATTCTCATGCTGCGATTAGGACAAACCTGAGATTGGGTAATTTATAAAGGAAAGAGGTTTAATTGACTCACAGTTCTGCAGGGCTGGGGAGGCCTCAGGAAACTTACAATCATGGTTGAAGGGGAAGCAAACACGTCCTTCTTCACATGGCAGCAGCAAGGAGAAGAATGAGTGCCCAGTGAAAGGGAAAGCCCCTTATAAAACCATCAGCTTTCATGAGAACTCACTCACTATTATGAAAATAGCATGGGGAAAACCGCCCCCATGATTCAATTACCTCCCACCAGGTTCCTCCCACAACATGTGGGGATTATGGGAACTACAATTCAAGATGAGAAGTGGGTGGGTACACAGCCAAACTATATCATCTGCATAGCAGGTGGCCTTGTCTCCCCATTCCTGGGCTCCCCCAGGGCAACCTGTCCCCCATCCCACTCACGAGGCTTCCCTCTAGGAAGCCGCTAAGAAGAGACCTGCCACCCACCTGCTTGCTCCACTTTGAGTGGGAACCACACCAGGGTCAACCTCAGAAACATCTGAAAAGTTGGAAGTAAATTCAGCAGTCTAGCAAAAGCAGTCTTCTGCAACTGAGGAATCCAGGTTGAGCGCTGCCATGACCTGTATTTGAAAAGCTGCCACCTTCCAATCAGGCCAGAGTTAAAGAGCAATTTGAAAAGAGCAAGAATTTCCAAGCTATAAAACTAGGGACATGATTCTAAGAGGATAAAACATTTTAAGATTGGTTTAAAAGCTTTTGAAAAATTTAAGGCCAGGCATGGCAGCTCACATCTATAATCATAGAGCTTTGGGAGGCCGAGGTGGGAGGATTGCTTGAGGTCAGGAATTTGACACCAGCTTGGGCAACACGGGGAGACCCCATCTCTACGATTTTTATTTTTTTTTTAATTAGCTGGACTTGGCTGGGTGTGGTGGCTCATGCCTGTAATCCCAGCACTTTGAGAGGCTGAGGCGGACGGATCACAAGGTCAGGAGTTCCAGACCAGCCTGGCCAATATGGTGAAACCCTGTCTCTACTAAAAATACAAAAATTAGCTGGGCGTAGTAGCACATGCTTGTAGTCCCAGCTACTCAGGAGGCTGAGGCAGGACAATCACTTGAACTTGAGAGACAGAGGTTGCTGTGAGCCGAGATCGCGCCACTGCACTACGGCCTCGGTGACAAAGTGAGATTCCATCTCAGAAAAAAAAAAAAAAAAAGCTGGACTTGATGGCATGTGCCAGTAGTTCCAGCTACTAGGGAGGCTGAGGTGGGAGCATCACTTGAGTCCAGGACTTCAAGGTTACAGGGGCTATGATTGTGCCACTGCACTCCAGCCTGGGTGACAAAGCGAGACCCTGTCTCTTAAAAATTTTTTGTTTTTAAATTCAAACCCAGTTTTCCTCAGGACTCTTATTAACAGCTATCTAAGGAATAGGAAGGGATGCCCTCAAACCGGGCAGAACGAGATGGAATTCTAAGTCATTTTGTCTTTTGCATTTCTGAAAAGACTTTCATTTTTCAAAGGACATCAAAACTGAAATGCCTTATAAATCCCTTTGTGTTTCTGCGTTCTGTTCAATGGCATCAATAAGATGGATGATCAGCAAATGGCATCAAACTCCATTTGTATTCTTATTAGAATAATAACACGTAAAATGATATGAAATGAAACAGCAGATTCCAATGACCTTGTAGCCCAATTCAATTACTATTTCACTAAATAACGACAAAACTGACAGTCCTCAAGCTGCTGAATTTATGAATTAAATTCAACTTCTCTTCTACATTCTGAGCAGGACTGAGTGGAAAAAGAAATGGTCAGTGAGGACTGGGGAGGAGTTTCCTTCTCTTTGCTATTTAATGCAACATCGCCAAGCCCACTGGAGGGAGGGGTATGGAAAGACAGTTTAAAAAGGAATATCAGGACCAGAAGGGAGAACTGATGGCCAGGGCCCTTGCTATAGTTTGCTCCTGCAGATGAGACACTGCTTTGGAAAATTTTATCATTAACCAAACTGCACTGATGCTAAAAGTCAATAAAGCCAAGTATTAAGTTGGAGCAAAAGTAATTGCAGTGTGTGCCATTACTTTTAAATGGGAAGCACTGCAATTACTTTTGCACCAAACCAACAGCATCAATCTTGCCTGCATCTTAAGCAAAGGCTTAATGAGAAAAAAAACATACTTGAGACTACTAAAGCATTATACAGTCAGTCCTCATTACTAGCAGATTCTGTATTTGTAAATATGCCCATCACCTAAAATCTGTTTGTGACCCTCAAATTAATACTCCCAAATGTTTGCAGTCATCATAGACATGGCAGGACAGTGGACAACTGGAGTTTCCCAACAAGCACGTTCCCAGGTGGCGTCTAACTAAACAACACTCTGCTTTTTTGTTTCAGTTTTCATACTGTAAGGAAGCACCCTTTCCACAGTCTTTTTAGTGCCACAAGTTTCGCATTTTTGTGTCTTTTTGTGTCTGTGTGTGCACCTGCATGCGTGTATGTGTGTGTGAGTGACTTCACTATTTAAAATGGTCCAAGCCAGGTGCAGTGGCTCATGCCTGAAATCCCAGCACTTTGGGAGGCTAAGGCAAGAGAATTGCTTTGTGACAGGAGTTCAAGACCAGCCTGGAATATACTAGTCATGTTCATTGGGGAATTAAGACCTCAAAAACATAGCCAGACCCTGCCTCTACAAAAAAATAAAATTAAAAAATTAGCTGGGCATGGTGGCGTGTGCCTGTAGTCCCAGATATTTGGGAGGCTGAGGTGGGAAGATCACTTGAGCCCAGGAGTTTGAGGCTCCAGTGAGTTGTGATTGTGTCACTGCACTCCAGCCTGGTCAAGAGGGCGAGACCCGGCATCTACAAATTTTTTCTTTAAATAAGAAAAGAGAATAAATTTTAAAAATAAGAAATAAAATGAAATGGCCCTTAAGTATGGTGTGGAAGTACTATTTGGCATTCCTAGGCTCAAGAAGGCTGTGATACACCTTACACAAAAAATAAGTGCATTAGATAAGCTTAGTTCAATGCTAATGAATCAATAATATATATTTTAAAAGGTGTCTTCAAACAAAAACACAGGTAAAATAAGGATTTTTGTTGATTGGTTGATAAAAAGGTAACCAAAGACTCACAGGAACCTAACCCTGTATTTCCCCTAGGAAATTCAGTATTAACTAATAAATTCAGGACTCACTAATGCAGTATTTAGGGCAAGTTTATAGAACATCAATACTGTGAATAACAAGAATTGACTGTATTTTCAAACTGCAGTAAAAATGCCATAAGTATGTAAAATAGGACTTGTAGGAAGACAACAAAGTATATTTAGATGTAGCAGGTTCATCTTTTTTACTTTTTTTGCAGATGTGAGAACTTGACAATTTCTAACCACTGGACTTAGAATGGAGAACACAGCCAATCTGGGTGACAGAGCAATATTCCGTCTCAAAAAAAAAAAAAAATTAGCTGGACTTGGTGGCATGCACCAGTAGTTCTAGTTACTTGGGAGGCTGAGGTGGCTGGTCATGAACTCCTGACCTCAAGTCTCCCAAAATGCTGGGATTATAGGTGTGAGCCATTGTGCCTGGCCAGCAATGGCAATATTTTCTTACTACCAACTCTCAGAAAACATACATTATTCTCCATAATTATCCAATAAATTTGGACCCATCTGAAAATAAGCATCAGTCACTTTTCAGTTTATACATGTATGCTATTAGTCATTACTCTGGTAATATGTGAAATGTAAATCATTGCCTTATTACTTACTGGATATGGGCTGTTTTTTGGTTGAGGTATGCGTCTAATTTATTGGTACTACATTAGAAAATGCCCTACACCAAATATCTGCTCTGATTGGACTAAGATCCTACATTTTTATATTTGGGAATATTGCTCAACTTGAGAAAGGCAAGATGTCCCAATCCCTGCAACAGTAACTTGGACTTTTTTTTTTTTTTTGAGACAGAGTCTTGTTCTGTCGCCCAGGCTAGAACACAGTGGCACGATCTCGGCTCACTGCAACCTCCATCTCGTGTGCTCAGGCGATTCTCCAGCCTCAAGCCTCCCGAGTAGCTGTGATTACAGGCATGTGCCACCACACCCGGCTGATATTTGCATTTTTAGTAGAGACAGGGTTTCACTATGTTGGCCAGGCTGGTCTCGAACTCCTGACCTCAGGTGATCCACCCACCTTGGCCTCCCAAAGTGCTTGGATTACAGGCATGAGCCATGGCGTCCAGCCAATAACTTGGACTTCTAATTAAAGATGTGACGTGGGCCAGTTATGCATAGAGGTAAGCCAAGGGCCTCTTATGTGACACCCTCACTGGACTGGGACAGATTCTGCCATGTCATTTACCTTGAGTACTCCAAAAGGAAGAACATAAAAATAATAATGTAATGAAAGTAGCAAGGGTATGTTTAACTTCAAAGAAGATCATTAATACTTAGCCTGGACTGTCTGAGAATATGACTAGAGAAAAGGGAATGAAGGAAAGAGGAGTACTTAATCTATGCTTATTGTTCAAATGCTCTTCTCTGCTCACACTTTGCAAATGTTAATAAGAGTCTGATCTCTTGATAGTAACCATAGGGAAATTTATCAGCCTCTAAACATAATTTCTCCCTTTTCTCTATCCTGAGTCTCCAATGAGTTGGGCAAAATGCAGAGGCATCTCATTCATTCAGAAAATGCCATCTTTTCTCTCTCTCATATATGTAGTGTTGCTAAAATTAACTAAAAAATTAACTAGTTTTAATTTTCTTCTTCTTAAAGGCTTCTGTCCATAACTGTCCAAGGCGCAGAAGGGCACAGACTTTTACGCAATGAGAGTCCCCTGACATTCTGCTGTCTAAGACTTCATTCTCAGAGTGCAAGGACCAGAGAAAGAACTGGGGTGGATGCTATTCCACGTTTGCTCTTTTCATTAAGACTTTTCAAAGAAGACTTTATTCCAACATGCATTTAAAAGAAAAAGAAATGAAGAATTCTTCCTTCAGGCGAATAACTCATAAGGGGAAAAAAACCCTTGAATATGATTTATTTCACAGGGATCATTGAAGAGCACGTGAAAACCGATCTCTGTTGAAATTCCGAAATACTTGTTAATGCCACCTTGAAAGAAGTAAAGAATTTCGAAGTCAGTTATTAAATAAATCCATGACTATTTGAACAGCTATCTCAATTTGGCTGGAATGTGGCTAGAATTCGAGTTATGTACATTGAGTTTGAGTAGAATGTGGCTTTGACAATGAGTCAACCTTAGTATTTTCTTCCCAACAATGATGGAGCGGCTTGGTGAATGCAGAGCTCCCTAGAGTAGCTTTTAGAACTCGTACTCTCCTTTCAACAACAGATTGCTCAGTTGAGAAGTTTTAGAACTGAATGAAAACTCAGGCATCATTTAGTTATTTGTGCAACTTGAATATTTTTTCCAATAAGATAACCAAGGCCAAAAAAATTAAGTGGAAAAAATGTCACACATCGAGTTAGAAAGTAGAACTAATCTAGATTCAAGCACTCCTAGCTACTAGTCCAGAGTTCTTATTACTAACCTGGACCTGCAGTGAGCACCACTGACATCCCTAACTGAGTAGTGACTTCCCTAGTAATCTCCCTTATCTAATTTTACTGCATAAACACATTGCTATCTGTTACAGGAATGGGATCTTAATCATGTAGAGAGAAGGGAAAACAAGGCATGAGGAACCTTTGAACCTTATTGCTAGGCTTCAAGTAGAGAGATGTCAGGTTGTCTCCCGAGTCCACCCTTCCCACCCAATTTCCTACTCTCACGAGCATCCCATGGGCTTTGGTCTCTCTGTGCCTCTTGTAACCAACCTAAAATGGAGATGCATAAAAGTGGCCTTTTATGCCACTTTTAAGTGGGCTATCTTATCTTGTATAAGGCTAGGTCATACTTTTGAATAAAACAATTTTTATTTGAAGAGGCTGGGACCAAGAAATATATATAGCTAGAATGGGCTGCGTACAGGGGGAAAGTTTATTAAAAGGCCTGCGTGTGCACAGTTTCATTATTCTCACTCTTTTTTTTTTTTAAGACAGGGTCTCACTCTGTCACCCAGGCTGAAGTGCAGTGGCACAATCTCGACACACTGCAGCCTCAACCTCCCCAGGCTCAGGTGATCCTTCCACCTCAGCCTCTCCAGTACCTGGGACTACAAGTACATGCCACCACGCCTGGCTAATTATTATAATTTTTTGCAGAGATGGGGTTTTGCCACGTTGCCCACGCTGGTCTTGAACTCCTGGGTTCATGTGATCTACCCACCTCGGCCTCCCAAAGTGCTAGAATTACAGGTGTGAGCCACCGCACCATCCTATTCCTACTCTTCTTTCCTTTAGTAAAGAGTAAGTATAAACTAACAAATTGGTTATAGTCAGAACTGAAATTAGCACTTATGATGTGGAATCTCAATCAAGATTCAGATAGCATGTTGGTTATATTGTGAGGTTTTTTCAATATATATGACCATGAAATTTCACTCCTAGGGAGGTGATTACTAAGTTCAATGTTACTGAGTTTCTTACTCAAAAACTGTGTTGATATTTTTCCTTTCAGAATGACATATTTTATGTCAATCAAAATAGAAAATAAGTCCCAAATTGAATGGCACTTAGAAAAATAACTTTGATGCCAAATTGGAAAAGAAAGCTTCAAAAGTACTTTGAAAATGGAGCCAAACTACCAATTAAAGGAAAAATTATAGACAAATTAAGAATATGCTTTTTCCAATGACACTGAACCTCAATCATTTTCTCCATAATGACTTGAAAACCCTGTAATTCTCATAGAAATCTGGCAGTCTCACCCATTTCCCCTCAGCAGAATAAATAGTGAAGTATATGGTGTGCTTTGTAGATCAAAAAAATATTGCTGTATGATATAGGTGGGGGGACACATTCCACAGTTACTCCCAAATATCATCAAAAGAAAGAAATCTGGCTGGGTGCAGTGGCTCATGCCTATGATCCCATCACCTTGGGAGGCCAAGGCAGGTGGATTACTTGAGGTCAGGAGTTCGAGACCAGCCTGGGTAACATGGTGAAACCCCATAACTACTAAAAAAAATAAAACAAAAATTAGCTGGGTGTGGAGGCAGGCGCCCGTAATCTCAGTTACTTAGGCGGCTGAGGCAGGAGAATCTCTTGAACCTGGGAGGCAGAGGTTGCAGTGAGCTGAAATCGCACCACTGCACTCCAGCCTGGGCAACAGGGTGAAAAAAAGAAAGAAAGAAATCTAAGCTACTCTTCACAATGCAATAGCTTAATCGATTGCTGTTATTTTTCATGCTGGCTAATTTTCAAAAAGATGAAAATAAGAAAGATGGATGCATTCATGTGATTTAGTGACAGTGGAGTTTGTGCAAATAAATTGCTTTGATGATGATGGAGGGATGGGTTGTAAATATTTTATCTAACAGCCCAAGAGAATGGCATTATGGAAACCCAGTAAGTGGGGGAAGATGAGCCACCTATGACCAAGCTCATATGAGTGTCCCACAGCTGGATGAGACAGTGTTCAGTGACCAAACTGACTCTTGACATGAACCACAATCTTCAGTTTGAATCTAGAATAATTGTGCAGAACGTGAAAGGTATACTAAGAAAGATGATAAAAATCAATTATTCTGTTTTGAAAAAATCAAAGAATATATTAAGGATTTTCCATTTCTAACACCTTCCTTCTACAGTTAGGGAAACAGACCAGACTTGGGTGGACTGAGAACCAGAACTCGGCAATCTGTGTTCTAACGCTTACTGCCCACTCCTGTGGCAGGGGGCGATTCTTCCATACCTGTGTTGATTTGGGTGGTGTGGGCCTGCTGCAGATGATGGTAGTGGGAAGAGACTAGAGGCCTTCTCATAGTCTTTTCCAATCACAGCATTGGAAATTTAGCATTGTATATAGTACGGGGCCCCAATCTTTAGAAGTGTTGCCACTAGATGTCAATTTGAGTTCTTGACACTCTGCTACTCCTAAAAATGCCCCTTGATAAATATCTGCAGTGTTTGAACATTTCCTAGAACTTCTTGAGTTAACCAAACCTGTTAGATGATGAAGGGTTGCAAGAACAAAAACCAATGACTCACTGTCCCAGAACAACATTTCTTGAGGAGAAAAACCAACCCCACTCATTTTGCCTTCAGTGTGGTAAGCCCAGAGGGAATGGGTGCTTGGATTCAAGTATTAGCCTTCATGTTTCTGCCAAAGTGTAATTTGCTCTGTTTTTTGATGAATGTTTAAAGCAATCTTTTTGTTTTTTAAGTCAGGGAATCACTCTGTTGCCCAAGCTGGAGTACAGTGGCACGGTCATGGCTCACAGCAGCCTCAAACTCCAGGGCTCAAGCCATCCTTCCACCTCAGCCTCCCGAGTAGCTAGGACTACAAATGTGTGCCAACAGGCCGCCTCATATGTTTTACTTTTTTGTAGAGAAAGGATCTTGCTCTGTTGCCCAGGGTGGTCTCAAACTCCTGGCCTCCAGTGATCTTCTCACCTCGGTCTCCCAAACTGTTGAGATTACAAGTGTGAACCACTGCGCCAGGCCACAATCCTTTTTTTTTTTTTTTTTTTTTTTAATTATACTTTAACTTTTAGGGTACATGTGCACATTGTGCAGGTTAGTTACATATGTATACATGTGCCATGCTGGTGCGCTGCACCCACTAACTCGTCATCTAGCATTAGGTATATCTCCCAATGCTATCCTTCCCCCCTCCCCCCACCCCACCACAGTCCCCAGAGTGTGATATTCCCCTTCCTGTGTCCATGTGATCTCATTGTTCAATTCCCACCTATGAGTGAGAATATGCGGTGTTTGGTTTTTTGTCCTTGCGATAGTTTACTGAGAATGATGATTTCCAATTTCATCCATGTCCCTACAAAGGACATGAACTCATCATTTTTTATGGCTGCATAGTATTCCATGGTGTATATATGCCACATTTTCTTAATCCAGTCTATCATTGTTGGACATTTGGGTTGGTTCCAAGTCTTTGCTATTGTGAATAATGCCGCAATAAACATACGTGTGCATGTGTCTTTATAGCAGCATGATTTATAGTCCTTTGGGTATATACCCAGTAATGGGATGGCTGGGTCAAATGGTATTTCTAGTTCTAGATCCCTGAGGAATCTCCACGCTGACTTCCACAATGGTTGAACTAGTTTACAGTCCCACCAACAGTGTAAAAGTGTTCCTATTTCTCCACATCCTCTCCAGCACCTGTTGTTTCCTGACTTTTTAATGATTGCCATTCTAACTGGTGTGAGATGATACCTCATAGTGGTTTTGATTTGCATTTCTCTGATGGCCAGTGATGATGAGCATTTTTTCATGTGTTTTTTGGCTGCATAAATGTCTTCTTTTGAGAAGTGTCTGTTCATGTCCTTTGCCCACTTTTTGATGGGGTTGTTTGTTTTTTAAAATGGACATATATTGGCAGGAGATTAGCAAGTCAATTAACAGGCAGGGAGAAAATATAGTGAAGTTTTACACCATTCACCCACCTAATTTAAAAAGAATTTCAAATATAACAGGTTGTTGACATATTGTGCATGAAAACTACTAGTTCGCCTAGTTTTCATGAAAAGTCAATATAGGCGACCTGACCTTTCTAGCCAAATGAACTAGAGAGTAATGACTTGCTCTGATTCCTTTGCCATTCACAGACAGCTTTGTGTGTGTTTTTTAAAATAGTGCCTGCCCGCGTAGCTTACTGTTAGTGTACAGATGATGAACTAACTGCTGGAGACAGGAGCTGCAGCGCAGGGAAACAAAGTTAAAGGGCCAGTTACAACTGCCAATTACAGGGTCATCAGAAGGCACATTATCTCTTTAATTAGGTGTAAGATAATGGGAAATGAAATTTGATTTATGAAAATTTAACCCACACCCAAATTTCAATAGTCCATCTATGGAGTACTCTTAGGCAAACCATGCAGCAGTGTGAGTAGAATATGCAGTTGTTTCTAGGCCAACTCATACCAAGTACTATGCCTAGGTGAAAAGAAAATAGGCTTGTTTTGATTGGTGCTTTCTCTTTCTAAAGCATGATTACTCATATTAAGCATTAACTACAAAATACAAAAATAATGGAACACTCTAAAAAAGTCTATTTAGCTTTATCAGCAGTCTATCATTCTCTTAGGATCAACTCAAATATCCCTTCTTGGGGCCAGGCATGGTGGCTCATGCCTGTAATCCCAGCTCTTTGGGAGGCTGAGAAAGGAAGATCATTTGAGGCCAGGAGTTCAAGACTAGCGTGGGCAACATGGCAAGATCCCATCTCTACAGATATAGGTATAGATGTAGATATATAGTTATAGATACAGATACAGATAGATGGATAGCTCTTTCCGTTTTGTAACTTTTTCTAGGTTCCCTTACCTTGGGAGAACTCTTTCCTCTTCTGGGTTTCTGTAAGACCTTACCCATATTCCTGATAGAATATTTATTCCATTTGTTTTATGTATGCCAGTCTCTGCCAACAGACTCCTTGAGAGACCACAAGTGGTCTTTATAAGTCTTCATCTTCCCAGCAGCTATGTGAATTCCTGGCTCTTAGGAATAGATGCCTAATAAAATTAATTATACTTATGGAGAAGAGGAAAGACACAAAGCTATAAATAATTCAACCTCGTTATTATAAAAACAGACAAATTTCTACTCCAAACTCCTCACCTCCAATTATAGCTGGTAACATGATCACAATACTATCTTGGCAGGTGTTTGTGGATTCCTGCCATCTAGCCATAGGGGAAGATGTGGGTAGGTGGCACTGTGTCTGGTTCCTTCTGGTGGGTTCGTGGTCTCGCTGACTTCAAGAATGAAGCTGCGGACCTTCGCAGTCCTGAGTGTTACAGCTTTTAAAGATGGCACCGACCCAAAGCGTGAGCAGTAGCAAGGATTTATTGCGAAAAGCAAAGGACAAAGCTTCCACATCGTGGAAGGGGACCGAGCGGGTTGCCACTACTGGCTGGGGTGGCCAGCATTTATTCCCTTATTTGTCCCCTCCCAAATTCGATTTCTGTCCTATCAGAATGCCCTTTTTTTAATCCTCCACAACTGGCTACTTTTAGACTCCTGCTGATTGGTGCGTTTTACAGAGTGCTGATTAGTGCATTTTACAGAGCGCTGATTGGTGTGTTTTACAGAGCACTAATTGGTGCATTTTACCATCCTCTTGCTAGCTACAGAGCGCTGATTGGTGCGTTTTACATTCCTAACTAGAGTGCTGATTGGTGTGTTTTACAATCCTCTTATAAGACAGAAAAGCTCTCCAAGTCCCCATTCTACCCAGGAAGTCCAGCTGGCTTCACCTCTCAGCACCATGGCTGAATGCAATGGTATCAGGGAAGGAGAAAAGATGAAGTCTTTGGACAACTGATAAAAAATGATCAGTCTTTAGGTCGAGCATGGTGGCTCACGCCTGTAATTGCAGAACTTTGGGAGGCTGAGGCTGGCGGATCACCTGAGGTCAGGAGCTGGAGACCAGCCTGGTCAACATGGTGAAACCCTGTCTCTACTAAAAATACAAAAATTAGCCAGGTGTGGTAGTGCATGTCTGTAATCCTAGCTACTCAGGAGGCTGAGGCAGGAGAATTGCTTGAACCCGGGAGGCAGAGGTTGCAGTGAGCTAAGATTGCACCACTGCACTCCAACCTGGGCGACAGGGTGAGACTCCGTCTCAAAAAAAAAAAAAAAAGATCAGCCTTTGCAGATACACAAATTTGATGTTGATTACACTGGGGCCTCCAGTGTTCTGTATAAAACAAAGTATCTTTCTGCCCTTTTCTCTTTGGAATTTTATTTCTTTCCCCTTCCTTTCCTTTAAAGGGAAATCTAGAGTGTAGTTCTTTTGTTTCTCTCTGAATTTACTTACTCAGACTTCGCTGACTCCTCATCCCACCTCTACACTATTTCAGTCCCCCTTGCTAAGCATTCCTTATCTTTTCTTACTACTCACCACCCTTGTAACTATTTATTTTAATGTTTTATTCCCTCCAAACTTTAATATACATGAAGATGGAAACCTTGCCCATCTTGCTGACCCCTGTACATCTATCATCTAGCATAATGCCCGGTTCAAAACAGTAATCCTATTTTTTTCAGCGAGGGGAGGAAAAAGAGAAGAAGGAGAGAGAAAATGTCCACATGAAGATGGGAGAGACAAAGACATTAAGAGAGGAAGAAGACAGCTATGGCCGGCTGCCCAATGCCCCTTCACCCTTGACTCTTCCAACTCTGAGTTGCACCAAGAATGAAGAGCCTTTGTTCAGTTATTGTCCTGGGATAGAGACAAAGCTAAGAAAGCAAGCCAAGAGGAAGGAGGAATATTTCTCTACAGGGCAGTACATGTGGGATTAAGGCATGTGAGCTAAGAGGAGGATGAAAGTCACAGTGTTGTCAGTTATAAATGATGTCAAAATAGTCTCCAAAGGACTACATACATACATGGTGGCATTATGAAGACGATTGTTATTTGACCTAATCAAAATGTCTGTGGATCTGAAACCACGTGAAAGACCAACTTAAGCATCATCTATGGTCAAAGATATGAAGCCCTCAAGTCCAGATAAACATGAAGGCCATGGCTAATGTCTTTGAAATATCCAAGCTGGGCACAGAGGCTCATGCCTGTAATCTTAGCACTCATCACTTTGGGTGGCCAAGGTGGGCGGATTGCTTGAGCCCAGGAGTTCGAGACCAGCCTGGGTAACATGGTAAAACCTGGTCTCCTCAAAACAACAACAACAAAAATTTAGCAGGGTGTGGTGGGTAGTGGCACACACTTGTAGTCCCAGCTACTCAGGAGGTTGAGGTGGGAGGATCACCTGAGCCCAGAAGTTGAGGCTGCAGTGAGCTAGGATTGTGCCATTGTACTCTAGCCAGGGCAACAGAATGAGACAAGAAAGAAAGAGAGAAAGAGAGACAGAGAAAGAGAGAAAGGGAGAAAGGGAGAGAGAGAGAGAAAGAGAGAATGAGAGAGAGAGAGAGAGAGAGAGAGAGAGAGAGAGAGAAAGACCGACCGACCACCACAAGAGCAAGTAAGTTCAGGTTAAATTAAGAAAAATGTTGGTGGTAACAAACGGCCTGTCAGATCATTCATTTCCCTGTTTCTTTACAAATCCCTTGCATTGTTTTTTCAGCACAAGTTCTTACCCAGCTATCCTCTAAAACAAATCTTTGAAGGAATAGAAGGAAACACGTTATCACTCACAGTTCAATGGTTTCCTGGAATGTTCTGTGCACCTCTGTTTGTGTGTGTATTTTTTCTTTTCTTTTTCCTCTTCTTTTTTTTTAAACTCTAAAGCTGGTCTTACTAGTCTGACACAACTTTGTTGACCTGAGAAAATCTGTGTCTGTCTGCTTTGTCTCATCTTGTCCATCCCCTTCCCAAATTTCCATTTTGGTATGTGTTCCCTGGCAGCTCTTTTTTAAATGCATCTTTTTGTCTGTCCCTCTGCATGTCTCAGACATACAACAAAACCAGGAAAAGAATGAACTTCCAGGTCTCTGAACACAGTTTTGGCCTTTATTTGATAATATTTCTACCAACTTATTTGCCACAAAACACAGAAAGAAAAGTCCCGCTGTACTCGTTGTATGGATTTAGAGTGTGTGATGGGCTGGGAGCGGTGGCTCACACCTGTAATCCCAGCACTTTGGGAGGCCGAGGTGGGCGGATCACCTGAGGACAGGAATTCGATACCAGCCTGGCCAACGTGGCGAAACCCCATCTCTACTAAAAAATACAAAAAATAGCTTGGTGTGGTGGCACGTGCCTGTAGTCCCAGCTCCTCGGGAGGCTAAGGCAGGGGAATCACTTGAACCTGGGAGGCAGGGGTTGCAGTGAGCCAAGATCGCACCACTGCACTCCAGCCTGGGTTGACAGAGCGAGATTCTGTCTCAAAAAAAAATAAAAAAGATAGAATGTATGACTGATAGAGTATCTATAATTATCCTACAAAACTTAAATACTCCTCCCAAACCTTTTCAATGGACACAAAAATTATTTTCATAATAAAAATGTTAGAGGCATCTCGTAACATGAAATAGAGACACAACCCCACTCAACTGGATAAAGTTAGTCAGAAACAATACTGGTCTTAGAAGGAAACAGCGCCTCACACCTAAAAAGCAAAATGCTTAGTGGTTAATCTCCCAGAACGCATATGGGAGACAGATAATATACCTTTGGCTGCAAAACAAGGCATTGAGAGGTTAAAATGTCCTTGGAGTCAAGATGAGACAGAGATGGCAGGCACTCAAGAACCCAGTGTTCCTTCTGTGAGACACTAAAGACATCATTCATGCCGTTCTGTCCTGGGGACGAAACCCAGGCAGATGATAACACAACAGCATGGTGTTGCAAGAGTTTCCTGCAAGAGCTAAACACAAGGGAATGACCCAAGCCTTTATTTCCAAGCCTTCCCCCAGCCCCCATGAAACGACCCAGAATTTTGCACATTGTCAATTCTAAGCCACCTCCATGCAGACGCTTCCCTTAGCTACCAACAAAGAGTAGCAGTAATCATTATTAAGGAAGTACAACTGGAAAGTTTATGCATAGTTGCTAATCTTCCGTGAGTATTTAAATACACAGAGAAATGCGCATGAAGCCCTGCAGGCAATCCACACTCTCTGGTATCAGCCCAAGTCTGGAACAGAAAAGCAGGAAAACTGGAATGAACAACCTCAGAGACAGCATAAAGTGGTTGCATGAGACACACATAGAAGTCTTCCTCTGAGGGATATTTTTATACGTGAGTGGACTTTGGCCCCCATCCCTAATACTGAAGTGACTTACAATACTTTTCTCTTTTTTTTTTTTTTTTGAGACAGGGTCTTGCTGTTACCCAGACTGGAGTGCAGTGGTGCGATACTGGCTCACTGCAGCCTCCACCTCCCAGATTCACAGAATCCTCCCACCTCAGCCTCCCAAGTAGCTGGCATTACAGGTATGAGCCACCATTGTGCCCAGCTAATTTTTTTGTATATTTAGCAGAGATGAGGTTTCGCCATGTTGGCCAGGTGGACTTACAGTACTTTTATAAGGCATTTTATCTTGAAAGAAACCTCAGATGGAACTCCCAATTTACCTAGCACCTTAAATTGAGACTCCCACAAATATTGACTCTTTTTTTTTTTTTTTTTCTTTGAGACGGAGTCTCGCTGTCACCCAGGCTGGAGTGCAGTTGTGTGATCTGGGCTCACTGCAAGCTCCGCCTCCTGGGTTCACGCCATTCTCCTGCTTCAGCCTCCCGAAAAGCTGGGATTACAGTTGCCCGCCACCTCGCCCGGCTAATTTTTTGTATTTTTAGTAGACACGGAGTTTCACCGTATTAGCCAGGATGGTCTCTATCTCCTGACCTTGTGATCCACCCACCTCGGCCTCCCAAAGTGCTGGGATTACAGGTGTGAGCCACCACGCCCGGCCAATATTGACTCTTAAAGACAGACAATCATCAAGCCTCTAAAACAGCAGCCACCTCTCTACTTAATTGGTAACACATGCCAATGTTTGATTGCTCAGACTCCTAGGACTTGATCAGCCACTATTTCACCTTGAAGTCCTTGTGCGGTTCTCTGTGGACATGTGGATGACATCTGAATGCAACCCGTCGTAGCCTTCCAGACCTCAAATAAATCCCCTTTAGCTTTCTCTTCCATAACAACCCAATTCCTTTATTCCTTTTTTTGTTTTTGTTGGCTTTTCCTCCCTGAATCCTTGGGAATAATTGAGCTGTGATATGGATCTGATACATTACAATGATTCCTGCAGGTCAAACTTTCTTTTCATATACACATAAGCATTGAGAAGGGTTTTCTGTGAAATCGAGTCCTTGTATGTAAAATACTGATTCTGAAAGGCCAAAACATTCTGTCTACTGTGTCTTGGCTTAGTTGCTGTGGAGAGCTCAGGTATCTAAATTTAGATTTTTCCCATGGCTTAGCTCAGGCAAATGTCCTTCCCATGCAAAATAGATGGTGGCAGGACCTACAACTCTTCCCAGTCATCAGTGACCCTGCACCTATCCTCAGAGTCCTGGTTACGGTAGCCCACCCCCTAGTCACTCACCCTCTTTTTTCCCCGACAAGAGGATCACCCACATGCCCCCATGGAGGGTTCCACTGTCTAAACCATCAAAGACTGGGATAGAAGCAGTCACCAAGTCCCAAATACAGAATTAGAACTCAGGACCTATTTCCAATCTAAACAATGAAAAAATCAGAGTACAAGAGGTCAGCTCAGCACCAGATTAAATGCTTTTTTTTTTTTTTTGTCTGAGACAGAGTCTTGCTCTACCACCCAGTCTGGAGTGCAGTGGTGCAATCTCGGCTCACTGTAGCCTCTGCCTCCCAGGTTCAAGGATTCTCCTGCCTCAGCCTCCCAAGTAGCTGAGATTACAGACGCCCACCACTAGGTCCAGCTAATTTTTGTATTTTTGTAGAAAAGGGGTTTCACCATGTTGGCCAGGCTGGTCTCAAACGCCTGACCTCAAGTAATCCACCTGCCTCAGCCTCCCAGAGTGCTGTAATTAGAGTCATGAGCCACCACACCTGGCCTAAATGCACTCCTATAAGACAATGTGGAAGGTAGGGGCCAAATTCCACACAACCAGCTTAGAAGACAAACTTTTACAGCAAAGAGCCATCATTTGGAGAAGGACATATGTATAATGGCAAAGAGGTATTAATACGTGAAGTACCTGTGACATTGAGGATCGTTACCTAGAATTGACATTCAGTATTTACTTCACATAGCTCTGTAACTGGGTCTCTTGTAAACAGGCATTTTGTCCTCCCCCTTCCAATACTGTGAACCCATTATTATGTCACCTTTCCTCATGACAGTCCTATAAACTAGGTAAAGAACAAACGTCTCTATTCACAGACAGAACAGGGGAAACAAGATAAAAAATACAACTTTCCAGTATTTAACAAATTCTGTCAAGTCTAGACAAAAGGTATGATGTCTAAATGAAGCTGTTAGTGGGCTATGTTGAATCTCAAAATTATCTTTCTCCTTTTTTTTTTAAGAGATGATCTCATTCTGTTGCCCAGGCTGGAGGGCAGTGGCTCAATCATAGCTCACTGCAGCCTCGAACTCCTGGGCTCAAGTGATCCTCCCGCCTCAGCTTCCCAAGGAGCTGGGATGTGCCAGCATACTTGGCTTTTTTTTTTTTTTTTTTTTTGTAGAGATGAGGTCTCACAAAGTTGCCCAGGATCGTCTCGAGCTTCTGGACTCAATTGATCCTTCTGACTCAGCCTCCCAAAGTGCTAGGATTACAGGCATGAGCCACCATGCCTGGCCTCAAAATTGTCTTTTTAAATATGTCTGTGCTTTTCATAGTGTAACTACTATACAACTGAAATGTCGATTATGGCACAATTGATCATAACTGACTCACATACTTTGTGTTTTGTTTTTCATGGTGTCTCTCCTAGCCCAGAAGCTTCCTAAACCACTTTTCCAGAGGCTTTTTTAGGAACACACATTAAAACATGCTTCCTGAAGCAGAGCCACTCATTCCCGGGTCCCCTTCCTCATCCTTCAAAGAGCTCTGACTCTCAACTTTGTTTTTTGAGCTAGCATGGCATGCACACAAAATCCAAGCTTATGACTCTACAATGAGAGTGCTTTGATTTAAATAATCTTTCCTTCCTAATTTAGGCCCTCCCAACGAAAACTTAAACCTTTATGCTTCTTTACAGAGAAAAACAAGCATAAGGAAAGCCCCTCCATTTCCTACAAGAGACAGATCTCCAGGACTGAATTTTAAGCCATGGGGAAATTGCAAAGGGAGACACCTGAGCTCTTTTGAGCACTTGTGCCAAAACACAACAGATGGAATGGTTTGGCATTTCAGAATCCAGTTCCACAGAATAAAGAAGAATCTCCACTCTGGCAGTGGGGAGGAGGAAGGAAGTGGAGGTTTGTTGGCTTTACTTTGCCATCCATCCCTTTCTCTATGTGGTAGAGAAGGACTGAGAGGAGTGATCCCACAGGACACAGGTTCCCCCGTGTCTGTCACCTTCAAGGGGGCTCAGGCTCCCAGGGGGAAGGCACAGGGGAATCACGGAGTTCAGTTCCAGGCTCCAGGACTTTCCAGAAGGGACCCCTGAGCAGGACTCGCTTTCACCGTCAAGTATTGCTTTCTTTTTTAGACACAAGATTTTGCTCTGTTGCCCTGGCTGGACTGCAGTGATGCAATCATAGCTCATCGCATCTGCAACCACCAGGGCTTAAGCAATCCTCCCACCTTAGCCTCTGGAGTAGTGGGGACCACAAGCACATACCACCACAGCCAGGTAATTTTGTTGTTGTTTTTGTAAAGACAGGGTCTCACTATGTTGCCTAGGCTGGTTTTGCACTCCTGGCCGCAAGCAATCCTCCTGTCTCAGCCTCCCAAAGCACTGAAGTTACAGGTATATGAACCACATCTGGCCAGCACCAAGTATTTTGACAAAGCACCTATTAGGGTAATTCCAAGTAATCTCTGGCAAACATGGTTTCAGTTAGGCAAGACTACAAGAAACCGCCCACATCTATTTTGTAAAAATCTGTGCTCCCCTTTCCTACTTGAGTAGACACGCTCACAAACAGACACAAAGGCAGACCCCTCCCTCTAGTTTTTCTAACATACCAGAGCCCCCTGCAAACACCTGAGGCCCTCAATGCTGATTTTCGCTGGAATCTCATCACAGTTGAACAGGGTAGAAGCAGCTTAACCTCTCTCCTTGTGCCTCGCTGGAACCAGTGGCTCGTCTTCCACGGGCTGCCCCTGATCCCTGGGCTTTGAGGGACAAAGAGCTTGCTGGAAATAGTGATCACCCTCGTGATGACACCAGGTCAACAGGCAGCTGTGGGCTCATTAAGATGTAAGCCGGCCGGGCGCGGTGGCTCACGCCTGTAATCCCAGCACTTTGGGAGGCCCAGGCGGGCGGATCACGAGGTCAGGAGATCGAGACCATCCTGGCTAACACGGTGAAACCCCGTCTCTACTAAAAAATACAAAAAATTAGCCGGGCTTGGTGGCGGGCGCCTGTAGTGCCAGCTACTTGAGAGGGTGAGGCAGGAGAATGGCGTGAACCCGGGAGGTGGAGCTTGCAATGAGCCGAGATCGCGCCACTGCACTCCAGCCTGGGTGACAGAGCGAGACTCCGTCTCAAAAAAAGAAAAAAAAAAAAAAAAGAAGTAAGCCCCTGAGTGACAGGGGCTGCTTTTGTGTGCTGTCTGCCCACGGTTTTGCTCTAGTATGAAGGCTTAGGCTAGTAGTAAGGCTTAGGTGCAATAGACTCTACTCCTTATTTATGAGCCCTGATTCTCAGGGTGTATCTGTTACACATTTGTTCTCTCACAGTCACCCCTCACTTCCTCCAACTATTAGCCTCAGATTTTCAAAACCAGTGAGGATTTCAAATATGTCCCGCTCATGTCTGTGTGTGTGTGTCTGTGGGTCTGTGTGTATCTATGCGTTTGGGTTTGGAGAACACAGCAACCAAGTATAATATTCTCTTGTCTACAATCACTTTCCCTTCTCCATCCAGAATCTGGTATATAACACTTGTAATATAGTCCTCATCAGAGTTAGGTTGAGGGGACAGGGTCTCATTCTGCCACCCAGGCTGGAATGCAATGATATAATCACGGCTCACGGCAGCCTTGACCTCTTGGGCTCAAGTGATCCTCCCACCTCAGCCTCCCAAGTAGCTGGGATTATAGGTATGCACCACTATCCCTGGCTAAAGAGTTTTTAAAAGCGCAAGGTACAAGTACTGGTAAATATGTACCTGGGAGGAACCCCTCTCTGCTTCTGTGGCCATCTTTGTTGCCCACTGAAGGAAGAGAAAGGAGTTAGGAGGCAGGACCTGACTCAGGTCTGGCCTTACCAGAAAATAAAACACTGGGGCCTAGGGGAAGCATCAGGATGGGTGCCCAAGTCGCTGGGACTGCTACGTTATCCCGCCTTGTCACTGTCCCTCTGCACTTTCTCAAGCAGGGTCATGCACTCCAGGCAGGAATCTGTTTTCAGGAAGCATCAGTCCCAGTTCCAGATCTTTGGCTAAGTACTGGCACGCTCCTGGATAAGTCACCTGAGCTTCCTGGCCTCAGTGTCCTCATCTGCCATTTAGGGAAGGCTGGATACATCTTTCAGCTTCTGTGTTCTCTGATTCCCTGAGGTTGACTTTGATCTGAGTTTGTTTTGATTCTCAAATCAAGACTTGGTAGACTTCACTAGGTGGTAATGCAACTAAAAAAGGGTCCTGGGATGGGATGAGGGAATCAAGGACTCATTTTGATCCAGGATCTAAAAGTAAAAAAGAAAATGAGAAAGGGGAAGGGCCCCACATCTCATCCGGGCTCCCCACAGATGTCTGGTGAACACGTGTGGGCCTCAGGGGAATTTGGAGTATGGTTCCAACCCTCCCTCCACCCCCCACGCCGTTCCATCCTTTCTCAGGAATAAGCTTGGCACTTTTTGCCAAACACTTCTCTAGTAAATATCTTTGTTTCCATTCCCCCAATACACCAAAGTTTTTTAAAGCCATTAGAAAACCAGGTAGAAACTGAAGAGCCTCTCTGGACAGAATATTCTTCAACAGTACGAGGGGCAGAACTGAAGTCTCCATGTAGAAGTCATTACACTGCCTTTTCCCATTAGGCCACCAGTACCATGGCCATGGGTTTCCTTACCTCACTCTATTCATGCTACCTTTGAAAAAAATTGTTTTCCTGACCATCTTGTTTCATACATTTATATGTCCCCAAATCCCTTTGCTCTGCTCAGTCCAAAATACCTTCAGTCTTTCCAACTCCCTGGGCCTTCTTTCTCTCCTGCATATAAATGGCTAGCAGCTGTTTTCACTGACCTATGACCTTATGATGCGTCCCACTTTGTTGTTATTCTCTGTTGACCAGATATTCCATATCTTGGCCATGCATTTCTTTGGCTGCTGGCTCAATATCACCTCAACACAAAGATATCTGAACGAAACACTCTGGGCCACAAAATCAGCCTCTAAGACTGAGATAGCAGTGGTATGGTCAGAACCAAAATAAGGCAAAGCAGACAGACACACACACACACAAAGCAAATCCTCCTACTGCTAACAGTTTCTACTAAAATGTAAAACTAAGGCTTTTGAAAACCAGTGTTGGTTCTGTTCCTTCAGGAAAATCACAATTTCTCCTTAATTCTATTTCTACTTCAAATGTGGGGACTGTGCTTTTTTTTTCCCAAGGTTTCTTTCAGGACATCTTAATTTAGGCAATGGGAAGCCAGAGACATGGAATGAGGCATCAGATAGCAAGCCTTATCACCTGCACTTACTCCAGGGCCAGGGATTTTCATGCTTGAGGGTTTGCTTTTTATTTTCTATGGGCTTTGGCGAAGTCTCTTCTCTGCTTCTACAGTCTCAAAACATTTTCCTCATGGGAAAGACAGTTAGTTAACTTCTCAAGCACTAGGAAGAACTGAGATCTCTGCTGCCTCCACTCCAAGGATTGCCACTATGGGCTCCAAGCCAGATCAACACTGTCTGTGTGCAGAGTTGTAGTCAGGCAGGAACAAGATGGGACATGCCAGACCTCATCTGCACTTTGCGAAGGTGACACACACCAGCCCCGCAGGCAACTGTGCCTGCTTTTAGAAACTCCTAAGCAAAGTACTGAGGCAGAACCAGAGGGAGAAGTGAGGGGAAAAGCAGCTTTTTTTTTTTTTTTTTTTTTTTGGTCATCTGAGCTTGAGTTAATCGGCAGCACTCGGCTTTCTAACCTTTGAGGCATTTCTAAATCTGATCCCACACACTCATTCTTTCAGAGCCCGGCAAGGTAAGATGAACTGATTACACCATACTTAGAAACATCCTGTAGAATCAAAGAAAAATGCTTCCTGCCTTTGTACAGAAAATTAAGAGATTTTTCAAAGTGAAGAAAAGCAATTTAATTACCATTAAACAAGGTTTAACTGCTGTGGGCAATCATTCTCTGCTTGAGAAGCATAATTTCACTTGAAAGAAACCAGATTGGCCCCCGGCCCTCTTTTGGCTTATCCTCAGCAAGAAGCGACTGGGAACAACTGACTCTTGGGTGAGCTGTCCAGATAGTTAGAAACATATCACACAGCAGTTTAGGGACCCCAGGGGGGGCAGGGAAACCCCAGAATCAGGCCACTCCTGTACCTTGCTCCTGTCTGCTGCTCGGAAGGGCCCCCCACAGCAGAAACATGTGATGCCTCCTTTCTTCTTTGGCCCTTCTACAGAAGGGCAGACATGGGTCTTCATGTCCAGATGTGGCATGGAACATCAGCCAGACCTTTAATGTTCTGGGAGCAGTCCAGTGCTGAGCCCACGGGTGGCGGGACCCGCCCGCTCCACAACCAGCTCGTCCATTCTCCCAGCAAGCAGGCCTGACGCACCCCTGACAGTCAGCCGCTCAGGATTTGAAGTGTGATTCACAGCTAGAAAATACCGGTTTTTCATTACTATGCAAATGCCACCTGGGTGGGGTTTAGGTAAATCCGGATGTGGACACTAACAATGAGGGCAAGAATGGGTCTCTTTTCCGTAGTTCTCACTGGGCCCAGTGGGTTCCACCCAGTGGCAGTCTTTAAAGAAAATTACAGGCCGGGTGTCATGGCTCATGCCTGTAATCCCAGCACTCTGGGAAGCCGAGGGAGGTGGATGGCTTGAGGTCAGGAGTTCGAGACCAGCCTGGCCAACATGGTGAAACCCTGTGTCTACTAAAAAATACAAAAATTAGCTGGGCATGGTGGCGGGCTCCTGTAATCCCAGCTACTTGGGAGGCTGAGGCAGGAGAATCACTTGAACCCAGGAGGCAGAGGTTGCTGTGAGCCAAGATTACGTCATTGCACTCCAGCCTGGGTGACAGAGTAAGACTCCGTCTCAAAAAAAAAAAAAAATTAGAGTTGAACAGAGTTGGACGGAGACATTTATAGTTCCCCAGTATCCAATGGGCAGTTAATGTTCACATATAGCCCAAGGTTAGAGACAGATCTTTACCTAATTCATATCAAAATATATTTATTGTGTCATTCCCACCACGTGGCAAAGCCCAAATCACCAACTGTCTCAACACCAGTGTTTGGTCAAATTGTTTCATCCAGAAAGGCAGTGCAGTCATGTGAATGTGCTTCATTTGTGGCCATATCTGCCTTAAAAGCATACCAGGTTGGAGCTTCTAGAACAACAGAATAAAGAAAGGCAGGGCTGTAACATCCAAATGCTTAGGAACCACCCAGAGGACATGCCCCCCATTTCCTAATGGTATGGCCTGCAGCCCCCAACCCACCTAACTGTTTTCAACACATGGCCTCTGAAGAATACGTCCTGCTGGATAAGAGTCACTGTGAGTCAGAAACTTGGATTCGAGCTGGCTCTGGCACTCACAGGCTATGAGACCAACTCATATCCCATATCCCAGCATTTCTCTGAGGCTGTTTTCTCATCTGTAAAGTGAGGAAGTTGCATTCCCATCATTTTCACAAATGACCCCAAGTTGAACAATGCCCGGTGTTAAGGGCATCAGTGGGACTCACAACATCTCCCTGTCTTTGTTCAGCCAATCTTTGCTGGGTGCATTCTGAGCAACTGACCTGAGCCAGGAGAGGGGAGAAGCTTACAAGTCAGCATCTTTCAATATAATTAATGGTTTCTTTCTTTTCAATTGAGAGCAGATGAAAAAGCAAAGATTAGGTAAATGGTCATGTCATTGAGGTAACCCGAACTCAGGGATGCATGACACACGTATCCTGTTTCAGACATGATTGCATAGAACTATATCCTTTTTTTTGTGATCAAGAGGAAACATTTTATTTTATTTTTATTATTTTTATATTCTTTTTGAGACAGAGTCTCACTCTGTCACCCAGGCTGGAGTGCAGTGGCCTGATCATGGCTCACTGCAGCCTCAACCTCCTGGGCTCAGGTGATCCTCCCGCTTCAACCTCCCGAGCAGCTGGGACTACAGGTGAGTACCACTATGCCTGGATAATTTTTTCTTTCCTTTTCTTTTTTTTTTTTCTTTGGAGACAGAGTCCCGCTGTGTTGCCCAGGCTGGATTGCAGTGGCACAATCTTGGCTCACTTCAATCTCTACCTCCCAGGTTCAAGAGATTCTTCTGCCTCAGCCTCCTGAGTAGCTGGGATTACAGGCACATGCCTACACACTGGGCTAAGGAGTAAACATTTTAGTAACCAAGTGGACACTGAAGATGTTGAGAACTGGTAAACAAACAATCAAGCAAGTAAGAACAGAAATACCAGCATTTGGCTTTTGAGTTAATGACAAGAACACTCGGCATGGGAGCCTGGGTGAGCAAATCACAGATCTTCAAGCTTCTGTAAGTGGCCTGCATTGGGGGTCACCGTGGTGAGCTACGTAGCACCCTGGAGTTCCACAGTGCTTCTCTGAGACAGCCACAGAGATAGAAGGACAGCTTAGTGAGGAGTCCCCACTACCCCATCGAAAGGGGACTTCCATGAATAATAGTGCTTGCACAAAAGCTAACTCTCTTCTATCACTCTTCTGCTTAAAACCCTCAGCACTATATTAAGATTAAAATCCTGATTGAAGCTTACTAAGCGCCTCTGGCTACCTCTCCCAGGGCACCTGGGTCCTTCAGCAGACAAGCCCCTTCCTTCCTCTGGGTCTCAGCACTTGCTGTGTGCACCTCTTCCCAAAAAACTCTTGCTCACTCTTTGCCCGGCTGTTTGCAAGACTGGCTCCTTTTCAGGTAATCCTATTTCTTTTTTTTTTTTTTAATTATTTGTAGAGGCGGGGTCTCGCTATATTACCCAGGCTGGTCTCAAACTCCCGGGCTCAATCGATCTTTCTGCCTCAGCCTCCCAAAGTGCTGGGAAAGTGCTGGGATTACAAGCATGAGCCACTGCACCTGGCCTTCCTCTACTTCCTTCATGGCAGGTATCTCCATCTAAAATTATCTGTATATCTGTTTCCTCCTCTGCCTTCCCACCATTACATTCTGAGCTCTATGCAGGCAGTGAGTGTCTGTGTTTTGCCTCTCGCTGTCATCCCAGAGACTAGGGCAATACCTGTCCAAACTAGACTCAATCAGTGCCGAGTAAATGAATGAATGAATGAATGGTTATTTTTTTTTTCCAAATCTGATCACATGTAGCTGTCCCATCTTTGTGCTAATCAAAATTATCTTTCTTTTTTGGACACAGTGTCTTGCTGTCGCCCAGCTTGTGGCACAGTGGCGCAATCAGAGCTCATTTCAGGCTCAACCTTCTGGCCTCAAGCAATCCTTTGGCCTCGGCTTCTAGAGTAGCTAGGACCACAGGTGTGTGCCAGCATGCCTGGCTAATTTTTTTTTATTTTTTGTAGGGACAGGCTCTCACAATGTTGCCCAGGTTGGTCTTGAACTCCTGGGCTCAAACAATCCTCCCTCTTGGGCCTCCCAAAGTGCTGGAATTCCAGGTGTGAGCCATCTCACCAGTTCAAAATGATCTGATGCTTACACTTAATCACTCAAATAGCACTTTCATATACTTAATCTTCAAAATTATAATCTGAGGCCTTTTTGTGGGTTGGTGAAGAGCCACTGGCTATGAACCTGTTTGCCTTTAACTAAGTAATCTTGAAGGAGACAATTCCTCCAGCTTCAGATTCCTCCTCCATAAAACTAGGATGATTCCTCGAGCAGCTCCCACCATGAACAACCTATGAATGTTTAAGACATTGACTAGATAGAAACTGATCCTTTCTCACAAAATGTTTTGTGAGATGTCTCCCTTATTCCTGCTACGATGTCCTGAACATCTACTATATGCCAGGTGCTGGGTTAAGTACTTCTCACACACTGCCTCTGATCTGCAAACCAACTTGCTGGGCAGGAATTCTTAGCTCCCCGCCCCTTTTTTTTTTTTTTTTTTTTTTTTAACAGATGCAGAAGCTTACTTGGACCAAGTGACTTGTCCCAGACCACACAAACAGTAAGTAGTAGAACCAGTTCTCAAATCTAAGTCTGTCCAACAACAAAGGTGAAATTCCTTCCACCTCCCCACAGTGCCCCTAGGAAAGGGACTACAAAAACATCAGATTAGGGTCCCTATTTACAACAGGAGTTAGGCATGTAAGGGAGGCAGGTGTGGGATGGAGAGGGGGAGCCCCATCTTAATACAGCAGCTGTTACTTAGCTTTAGTGGAGGTTGTAACAAAGGAATCGGAACTCAATGTTTCCTGATCATCTGATTTTTTAAAATCAGGATGTAAGAAATTTTTTACATGAAAACTCCATTGTGCAGGCCTTTCTGGAGAAACTGACCCCAGGCCAGGGCCTCTGATCTGTTTTTTTCTTTCTTTTTTTTTCTTGTTTTTTTTTTTTTTTTTTTTTTGAGACAGTGTCTCTTTCTGTTTCTTAGGCTAGAATGCAGTAGTTACAATCACAGCTCACTGCAGCCTTGATCTCCCAAGCTCAAGGGATCCTCCCATCTTAACTTCCTGCATAGCTGGAACTACAGGCATGTGCCACCACATCAGGCTCAATTTTAATTTTAATTTAATTTTTTTGAGACATAGTCTCACTCTGTCGCCCAGGCTGGAGTGCAGTGGTGTGATCTCGGCTCACTGCAACCTCCGCCTCCTGGGTTCAAGTGATTCTCATGCCTCAGCCTCCTGAGTAGCTAGGATTACAGGGGTGCACCACCACACCCAGCTATTTTTTGTATTTTTAGTAGACACAGGTTTCATCATGTTGCCCAGGCTGGTCTCAAACCCCTGACCTCAGGTGATCCACCCACCTCAGCCTCCCAAAGTGCTGTGATTACAGGTGTGAGCCATAGCACCTGGCCTAATTTTTTTCATTTTTCTGTGAAGACAGGGTCTTCCTGTGTTGCTCAGGCTGATCTCAGATTGCTGGTCTCAAGCAATCTGCTCTCTCGACCTCCTTAAGTGCTGGGATTACAGGTGTGAGCCACTGCACCCGGCCCAATCTATTCTTATTCTGGCTTGCATCAATCATTGACCAATGAAAGTTGACAAATGTGGCCAGGCACAGTGGCTCACGCCTGTAATCCCAGCACTTTGTGAGGCCGAGGGGCGGGGGGTGGGCAGATCACTTGAGGTCAGGAGTTTGAGACCAGCTTGGCCATCATGGCGAAACTCCGTCTCTATTAACAATACAAAAAAAAAAAAAATTAGCAAGGCGTGGTGGCAGGCACATGTAGTCCCAGTTACTCCAGAGGCTGAAGCAGGAGAATCGCTTGAACCTGGGAGGTGGAGGTTGCAGTGAGCCGAGATTGCGCCACTGCACTCCAGCCTGGGTGACAGAGAGAGACCCCATTTCAAAAAAAAAAAGTGCCAAATGTGTCCCTTCAATTCCAGTCAGCACTTTTGGAAACACGCGTAAAATTGTTGCCAATGTGCATTCTGTGTGTTTGGGAGTCATTGTGCAAAATGCGTGGGCAGCAAGCACTCTTTTGTGAACCAAGTTCTATGAACCACCAAGTATTCTTTCTCTAGGCTGAATTCCAAGGCTCTGTTCAGAGAGTACAGGTTTCTGAAGGAAGGGATTTGATCTATGTATGCGGCTTTCTTCTTAAAATGCCAGGAAGAAGGTTGCTTAACAAATGCTTTTGACATTCCTGACAAGTAATCTCCAGGCTTGACTTCAGGGGTGAGTTACACCTCTCCCTCCCCACGCCTTTTTGAGAGTATTGCCAACAAGCAGCAGCAAAACTGATGTTCTTCAACTCCACCCTTTGGTGCATCACTGAAATGGCAAAAAGGTAGGAGGTGCAGAGGAGAACTTCAGGCCACGGAGGCAAGAAGTCAGTCATTGATTCCTGGCATGATTGTGATAGTCGTGTTTGGAAATCCAACCCATAAAATGAGCCACCGGTTTCACAGCGCACACCTTAGAGATCTCAGAAACATGCCCTAGGCTTGCTTGAGTCACAATAGCTGGGTTCAAATCTCCACTCCTGTTGTCTAAAGAACGAACTGTCTAGGCTAGTCTCAGCCTTGGTTTACAGGTATCTCTCCGCAGGGTTTTTTTGGGAGAACTATATTTGAAATAATGTGTGTGAAAGTTTCTGAGATATAGTAAGTAATAATACTTGTGGGGATTCTAAGGCTTACTTGCAGTGATTTAAGTGTATATGGGGAATATTTTTATTGTATTGCATTGGCATGAATAAAGACATTTGAGATTTGGATGTTTACGTCTTAAAAAGCCAGTGGTATTTAATATTTGCAGGAAGAAAATGTTGTATTTACCCTATAATATAGGAAACTTGGCCCATTTTTCTAATGATATAGAAAAAGCTCAATTAGGCTTAAATATGACCTAGCACCACCCCAAGCCTACAGCACTTGTATTCTCTTTAATAAAAATTGCGTAAATTATAGCTTTCTCTTGATTTGCACAGTACGGGCTCAATTCTACCCCCTTTCCCCTAAGTAGAGTTGTTTCTTACTATTTTTCAGGTTAACCAACTAATGTCAGACATATGTTTCTTCACCAAACACTGCATTAGGGGACGTTTATTTTACATTTGTTCCCTTTTGCAAATATTTGCAGTTAGTTGCAGAACTGAGCTATTTTATGAAGTACAGAAAATATGTCCAGGGAAAACATAAGGTTTCAAAAGTAGCTTTTGAGAAGGAGAAAGGAAGAAAAGTCTAATTACAGTGAAGATAGGTACTGATTTGTGCTAAGAGAATGTATAAATCACGTCCACTACACTCGTGGTTTTAATGCATTCTGTGCATCTGAATTAAACAGGAGCTAGTGTTTGAAATTATGTCTAAAGCTTTCTTCAGTGATTTGAGAATATAAAAAGTAGTGTTTCTTTTCTTTCAAAAGACATCCCTCTCGCAGTGTGCCTTCTATTCTTGACTTGTCTTGCTATAAAAGAAAAAGCTCTCACAGTCTTTTCAAATCTAAATAGTCTGTACATTAAAACAGTTTCTTTTTTCATTTAGGAAACTGAATCATAGCTATACAGTTACAAACATAATATGAAAACCTAAACACCTTTTATCTAAAATGAACCCTCAGCAAATTAGCAAGAGGTAAGGTTTAGGTATGAGGGACATTTTTTTTTTTTTTTTTTTTTTTTTTTGAGATGGAGTCTTGCTTTGTTGCCCAGGCTGGAGGGCAGTGGAGTGATCTCGGCTCACTGCAACCTCCGCCTCCCAAGTTCAAGCGATTCTCCTGTCTCAGCCCCCCTAGTAGCTGGGATTACAGGCACCCGCCACCATGCCCGGCTAATTTTTATATTTTTAGTAGAGACGGGATTTCACCATGTTGGCCAGGCTGGTCTTGAACTCCTGACCTCAGGTGATCCACCTGCCTTGGCCTCCCAAAGTGCTGGGATTACAGGCATGAGCCACTGCGCCCGGCCTAAAGGACATTTCGGTATACATTTAAAGTGAATGTTTTATACAATGAGTCAAAAGATGCCCTGACCTACAATAAATTTAATTCTTTTGTTGATAATTCCAGGCAACTTAAACATATTCAAAGCAAACATGGGATGGTTAGGACCCAAAACAGCATTTGTTTAGAAAGATGAGGTCCTATCTGGGATTCCTTTTGCCAAGGGAAGATGCCACTGGAAATGAGACTACTAATGCCCCAAGAAGTGACTGATCCTATAATGGAAAAGGGAAAAAAGAAAAAGAGAACTGCTTCCTTCTTCAAGGGACAACCACATCAAAGCACAAATGCACTCCTGCGTAGGTGTGTGAGATGAAGGTACCATCTCAGCCACTGTAGAAACTGCTGGCCTCCCTTGAAAGAACACAGGCCACATTCCAGGGCAACCATTTCTGTTTAAACTAGTTTTTAAATGTTAAAATGTTATATGCATATGATGACAATATAAATGGTAGCAAAATATAGGTGTTAAGAATAAAAGCTTCTGTCCTCATTAGTCTTCTAGTCCCTCTCTCTGATTTATTGGACATCATTCCAGAAATTTTTTTCCTTTAAGACGGAGCCTCACTCTGTTGTCCAGGCTGGAGGGCAGTGGCGCAATCTCAGCTCACTGCAAGCTCCACCTCCCGGGTTCATGCCATTCTCCTGCCTCAGCCTCCTGAGTAGCTGGGACTACAGGCGCCCGCCACAACACCCTGCTAATTTTGTTTTTGTATTTTTAGTAGAGACGGGGTTTCACCGTGTTAGCCAGGATGGTTTCGATCTCCTAACCTCATGATCTGCCTCCCCTTGGCCTCCCAAAGTGCTGGGATTACAAGCGTGAGCCACCACGCCCAGCCTGGAAATTAATGTGTAGACAAGTACACAGAAAATGCACATGGCTTTTTATACAAATAGGATCCACCCTTTTTAAAACAAATGGTGGGCTGAGTGCAGTAGCTCATGCCTATAATCCCAACACTTGGGGAGGCAGAGGCGAGAGGATTGCTTGAGACCAGGAGGAGTTCGAGACCAGCCTGGGCAAAACACAGTGAGACCCCGCCTCTAAAAAGAAATTTAAAAAACTAAAATGAAAATAAAATAATACCTGGGTGATGAAACAATCTGTACAACAAAGCCCCATGACACAAGTTTACCTATGTAACAAATCTGCACACATACCCCTGAACTTAAATTAAAAGTTAAAAAAGAGTTTCATAATGAAAGGGGCATTTGAAAAAAAAAAAAAAGAAAAGAAAATAAGGGTCAGATAGACTATGAGACTAAGCCAAAGGGCCATACTGTTGGTTAAGTAAGCATGAACATGCATTTAATGAATAATATATGGTTGTTTTTTTTTTTGAGACAGAGCCTTGCTCTGTCACCTAGGCTGGAGTGCAGTGGTGTGATCTCCGTTCACTGCAGCCTCCGCCATCGGGTTCCAGTGATTCTCCTGCCTCAGCCTCCTAAGTAGCTGGAATTGCAGATGCGCACCACCGTGTGCAGCTAATTTTTATATTTTTAGTAGAGATCGGGTTTCGCCATGTTGGCCAGGCTGGTCTCAAACTCCTGGCCTCAACTGATCCTCCTGCCTTGGCTTCCAAGATGGGATTACAGACATGACCCAGCAAACCCAGCATAAGTTTTAAATAGTTACATGTTCACGGTTAACAGTTTAGAAAAGCAAGAACCAAACTAAAGTATCACTAGTAATTGTTAGAAAATAAAATAATAAATGGGATCATATTAACTCTACTGCTCGGTAGATTGTTTACTAAATATAACTTGGTTATGTGTTCCTACCCACATGTCAAGTGTATTTCACACATTGGCATCACTGTAGTGAACTGTATTCTCTGAACGTACCATAATATCCCCTGCAACATTCATATCGACAGAATAAACTGAGTGTTTTTGAGAAAAAGTTTGGGCAATACCTTCCAAAACTAGCAATCCAACTTGACATTCTAGAAATTTGTCCTTCAGATTCGTTCCCACATGCACAGATACAAGGATGGTCACTGCAGTCCTGTTCACAACAGGGAGAGAAAAAAGAAGCAATCTAACCAGCAATTAAAAGGGGTCAAGTTTATCTATGATGGGGCCACTTTATAATTGCTTTGAAGAGAGAATAGTTTTAAATGAGAGTCTGTCTTCTTCTGACCGTCATAAACACACACACAGCCCACAAGGGAGAAATTGAAAATTGGCCTTTGTGAGGCTCTTTACCGGAGCTGCTTTCTTCAGTAGTCTTAAAACTTATCATAAAAAAGGATGCAAATAATAAGTTAAAGATGAACGGAGCCCGTGCAACCCTTCTTTGTGCAAAATTCAAAGAGACAATTAAAAAACAAAAAGGTCCCTCCAAAACACAGGCCAAACGATTATCTGCAGCACATTTACCTTACTACCAGTGACTGCTATGAAAATGAGACCTGGCCAGGTGCAGTGGTTGACACCTTTGATCTAAACTTTTGGGGAGACTAAAGTGGGAGGATTGTTTGAGCCCAGGAGTCTGAGACCAGCCTAAGTAACAAAGTGAGACCCTGGCTCTACCTAAAAGAAAAAAAAAAAAAATTAGTTGGTGTGATGGTACATGCCTGCAGTCCCAGCTACTTGGGAGACAGAGGCAGGAGGATTGCTTGAGCCCGGGAGGTTGAGGCTGCAGTGAGACATGATTGTACCACTACACTCCAGCCTGAGTGATAAAGAGAGACCTTGTCTCGGAAAGGAAAAGGAAGGGGAAGGGGAAGGGGAGAAAATGAGATCTGACATCCCTGTGACCTTCTGAGGGGCATTCATGAACATTCATAATATTGAAGAGAGAAAATCACCAAGGGTCCATCAGAATCTTAGTTCTCTTATTCACTCCAAAAACGTATGAGGCTGCAGCCCATTTGCTTCTGAGTGGCAAGTAGTAGGTCCAAAGAGAGCCCTTTCTGGCAAGTCTACAGTGTCACACTGCAGCCAACAGAAGCCTCTCTCTGATGGGGTCTCTGCTCTCTCCATCTTGTATGATCTGAGCAGAGCACAGAGCAGGTGCAACCAGCCAGGGCGGAGACCACAGCTCCGAGGACTCCTATCGTCACTTCGACGGGACCAGCATGATCATGTGCGTTTACTAAATCTAGTGAAACTCAGAGTAGGAAACACCATTACCACGTTTGTTGCTTAATCATGAGCAAGTGAAACGGAGTGAAAGTGAAGAGTGCTATGAAGTGACAAATAGGGGGTGCGAAGTTAGACCGCCATATAGACTCCCGGTGCTGCAAGGGGCCACCAATGCTATCACCTACCTTGACTTTGGACTCACCATCCTCATGCTTCCCATAAACTTGGCTGTACATTCCTTTTCTATAAGAGCTCTAGAGAAGGGCTTCTCCAAATGCATAATATTTCACATTGGCTCTTGTAATTATACAACCAGGAAGTTGAAGACTGTTCCTGCTGCCTACTAAGTCTGTGGTCAGGAAGTAAAAGTATCAAAGCTTCCTGCCGTTAGGATAAGCTGGCCGGAAGCACTGGCTCATGTCTGTCATCCCAGCACTTTGAGAGGATGAGGCAGGCGGATCACTTGAGGCCGGGAGTTCGAGATCAGCCTGGGTAACACGGCAAAACCCTGTCTCTACTAAAATTAGAAAAATTAGCAGGGCATGGTAGCACATGCCTATAATCTCAGCTACTCGGGAGGCTGAGGCAGGAGAATCACTTGAATCCGGGAGGCGGAGGTTGCAATAAGCGGACATCTCGCCACTGCACTCCCGCCTGGGTGACAGAGTAAGACATGTCTCAAAAAAAAAAAAAAAAAAAAAAGAAAGAAAGAAAAGAGGGAAGCCCAATTAATGCCCAAGGATGAAAACAGCCTTCCCATTCTACCTGCTGATCCCTTCTGTGGCCAGACATCTGAAGAGAAAAAGCAAGGTCATCTGGGATGACACCATTCTTCAGGATGACTTTCTTTGAAATAAAGAGATTTTAGAAACTACACCTTCAAAACTGGATTGCTTCTGATCAAGTCAAATTAATAAATAGCGATGAAAAGGGCCTCAGCTGTAAAGAGCTTCTAGAAATCCCTCCCACCCAGGAGAACTCTCTGCTCTCTACCTCCCCGGTAGCCAGCCGAGAGGAACTTCCAGTTAAATTTTCAGTGCCTTTCTTTCTGAAGAAATCATTTCTGTGAAAATTCCAAAAATGACATTCAAAGAGAATAATGTAATACTTAAAGACCACTAATTCCTTTATCAAGAGGCATTGGAAATTCAGATGCTCTATTTTATTTGGAATATGAACAAAACTTCATATGCTCTTCAGTGGAAAGCCTGTGCTACGAGCAAGTAATGAAGGCAGGATCCGAATCCAGGCAGGAGACTTCTTCAGTCACTGCACGCAGCCCATCTGATTTACAAGCCTTTGCTAAAACCCACTAGGTGTAAAGTGCTCTGCTCAATGCGATCGCTACTTATTGATCAAAGATAATCTCTGAACGCTACGACAATTAAGTGTAATAAAAAGCTTCACTGGGCTTCTAAAACAGGATCTATATGTATATATACATACACAAACTCATATATATTCATTCTTATATATTCATATATATGAATATTGTATACATTCATAGATGTGTATATATAGTCCTATATATACACACAAACACACATATATATTCATTCGTATGTATTCATACATATGAATATTCTACACATTCATAGATGTGTATATATATATATATATTCCTGTATATATGTGAATATTCTACACAGCCATAAAAAAGAATGAAACACGTCTTTTGTAGTAACATGGTTGGAGCTGGAGGCCATTATCCTAAGTGAACTAGCTCAGAAACAAAAAAAACAAATACTGCATATTCTCACTTATTAAGCGGGAGTTAAACAATTGGTATATATGAACATAAAGATGGAAATAATGGACCCTGGGGACTGCAAAAGGAGGGAGGGTGGGAAGGGGGTGAGGGTTGAAAAATTACCTATGGGTTATGATGTTCACTAGTTGAATAATGGGTGCACTAGAAGCCCAGTCCCCACCAGTAGGCAATGTACCCATGAAACAAACATGCACATGTACCCCCTGAATCTAAAAGAAAATAAAATAAAATTTAAGAAACATTTCATCAGTGACTCAAAACCTATTTGGAGTTTTGGCACCATGTTTGAGTTCAAAACTCTTTTCTACCCTAAAATTGCAGCTTTGTGATTCATATTTGAAACTAAAACTTTGAATGAAATAAATATTTGCTTTCAATTGCAACAATAAAAAAATTGTCAAGTGGGACCTAATTAAACTGAAGAGCTTCTGTACACCAAAAGAAACCATCAACAGAGCAAACAACCTACAGAATGGGAGAAAATATTCACAAAGAATGCATCCAACAAAGGTCTAATGTCCAGAATATGTAAAGAACTTAAATCAACAAGCAAAAAACAACCCCATTAAAAAGTGGACAAAAGACATAAACAGACAATTCTGAAAAGAAGACATACAAGAAGCCAACAAACATATGAAAAAATGCTCCACGTCACTAATCATCAGAGATATGCAAATCAAAACCACAATGAGATACCATCTCACACCGGTCAGAATGGTTGTTATTAAAAAGTCAAAAAATAACATGCTGGTGAGGCTGTGGAGGAAAGGGAGTGCTTATACATTGCTGGTGGGAGTGAAATTAGTTCAGCCACCGTGGAAGGCAGTGTGGAGATTTCTCAAAGAGCTTAAAACAGAACTACCATTTGACTCAGTAATGCCATTATTGGGTATATACCCAAGGGAATATAGATCATTATACCGAGAAGACACATGCACTTCTATGTTCATCACCGTGCTATCCACAAAGACATGGAATCAACCTAGGTGTCCGTCAATGGTGGACTGGATAAAGAAAATGTGGTACATGTTCACCATGGAATTCTATAAAGCCATAAAAAAGAATGAAATCATTTCTTTGGCAGCAACATGGATGGAGCTGAATACCATTTTCCTAGCAAATTAATGCAGAAATAGAAAACCCAATACCACATGTTCTCACTTACAAGTGGGGGCTAAACATGGAGCACACATGGATGTAAACATGGGAACAAAATACACTGGGGACTACTAGAGTGGGGATGGAGGTGGGATGTGGGTTAAAAAACTACCTATTGGGTACTATGCTCATTATCTGGATCCAGTATACCCATGCAACAATCCTATACATGTACCTCCTATATCTAAAAATAAAAGCAGAAATTTAAAACAAATAAATAAATATTTGCTTTTCTCCTTATAGATCTACCCTTGGGATAAGGTAACTCAACCTTTTCCCAGTGCCCCCAAACAGTGCTGGGAATGAGAGTCCTCAATGCAGCCTAATTCATGGGACCACAGACATCATCTGTCATAGAATGAGTTCAGGCTCAGCAGCTCAGATGCCAAAATCCCTCTAGAATCCCCCTCGATGAGCCTACTCAATACTTCATTAAGAGCCTTCTCCCAGGAGTGTGGAACCTGAATAATTCTGAATAGTCTGACATGGAAAAACTGGAAAAATTGTTAAGAAAACCCTGGAATGAAGAGAGTGTTTTCCCCAGCTAGAAACACTGTGGCTAAAAATAGCACAATGAAAAACATATTTGTCTCTTACATACAATGGATGTAGGATATAATTATGGGCTGTGTTTCTGTCTGGGATAGAGGCAAGGGAGGAAGTGCCAACGTCTAGAATACAGAAGGAATAAAGGACAGTATATTCGACTCCTAGGCTCCTTCTGCACCCTGTAGCAACCACAGCCCCTTGGTGACTTGGGTTCTCACTCCGAAAATACCTGTAACATTAAAATCCGACTCTACTTGTATGGCCAAGAAAAATTTCAGGCAGGTAGAATTTAAAATTTTAAGTCTGTGCAGTACTGGAGCTCCTATCAGTAGGTACCAGTAAAAAGTAAATTAATATCACTTCTGTAGCCTGTCTAGAAAAAAGTGGCAAAAGCATAATTAATATAAAAATATAAATACCCTGGCTCCTTTGGCATACTTAACATTTTGTATTTTAATTACTTTACAGAATCATTGCTGCTGCTGGGAGTTATTTCAATAACACATTCATTTTTTTTCTATGCCTCCTAAAATGAGAAAAAGTGCAGGCAGTATAGGATAGTTTATTATGTCGTATTTCCCAGTAACTCTCTGAGCCACAGTTTCTGCATCTGTAAAGTGGAAATAGACTGCTAGCCAAGGCCGGGTGCAGTGGCTCAAGCCTGTAATCCCAGCATTTCGGGAGGCCAAGGTGGGTAGATCACTTGAGCCCAGGAGTTTGAGACCAGCCTGGGCATCATGGTGAAACCCCATCTCTACCAAAAATACAAAAAATTAGCCTGGCACAGTGGCATGCACCAGTAGTCAGGAGGCTGAGGTGGGAGGATTGCTTTAGCCGGGAGGCAGAGGTTGCAGTGAGCCAAGATCGCGCCACTGCACTTCAGCCTAGGTGGCAGAGTGAGACCCTGTCTTTTTTTTTTAAAAAAAAAAAGACTACTAGCCTTACTTGACTGCTAGTCATTACTTGTAATGATAAGAGGAAGTAAAGAATATAAAAACACTTTCTAAATATCCAATGCCATTTCAGCAGTCAATAAAAACAATCATTAACATTTGGAACATGAATGCTTAGAACTGTGCTACGTCTGTTTTGTTATTTAATCCTCACAACACAGCTAGCTACTGGCATCCCATTTTATGGACATGATGACTGAGGCCTAAGGACATGAATTTACTTTCCTCTAGTTATACAGCCACTAAGTGGTGAAGCCAGAACTCAACGCCCAGAACTTCCGATGTTGGAGGCACAGTTCTTTGTCACTCACTGTTTTGCAATAACTGTGGTAACAATTTAATATGAATGTGAGTTCTGGCATTAATCCACATTATCTAACTGCAAAATTTCAGGAGGTCTCATTCTCACACATGAGGCAGTTCTTAAAACATTTTGAAAGCCTATCCACTTATTCCTAAGTAGTTTTAGTTTCAAAAGTCCAAATTCCCATTTCACAGGTATCTTTCGATGATTCTGAACTCCGCTTTAACCTCACACGCTGCCATGCACTGTGTGGAAGAAACAATAGGCTTTCTTTGTGTTCTTTTTAAGCTTGGTGGAACTAACTACTCACAGGGCAACTGATGCCTCTGAACTAACCCCTTTCAGCTAACTCACAGATCCACAGCCGCATCCAGTGATTGCTATCACATCCAAATGGCTGGCAAGACTGTTTACTTATCCTCACTGGCAGCCGAAGCAAACAAAAAAAACCCTCATACTCCCAAGTGACCAGTATTTTCTTTTAAACCATGCTTTAAAAACTACCTTTATCACCCACACCCCACCTTCCTCCAAGAAGTCTTTATCTATCTTCTTGGAATTTAGAAATCCTGCTTCCCTAAAAGCTCAAAAACTGGATGTCTCTATCAGGACTGTTTTTTTCTAGTCTGGGAAAAATGCCTCGGTGAGAAAAGCATCAGATACATACTTTTAAAAAAGTGCAATGTTCATAAACCTGATTCAAAGATTATTTCTGCAACATTCCATGGATTTTATTTTTGGCATTTTTACAATGTGAAAATACAAAACTACCCATAGTCTCAATTTCAGGTTTGTCGTAAGAGTAAAAGAACACACACACACACACACACAAACACACACACACACACACACACATCTGGGAATAAATAAGAAATACATGGAGCATCTCAATTTTCAGATTGTCCATCTAACCCTTATCTGTGGCACTTTTATAGCAGTATTCACCGGGCACAATCAGCAGAACGCACAATGCATCGCTTGTTTTCAGCTCTATTCAAAAATCTCAGTTCATTCAATAAAAAAAAAAAAAAAAGCCCTTAAAAACAGCCCTTTAGCACGAACATTGCTATGGGAAAGCTGGGCTTATTGATTCACTTCTTCCTGCCAAGAGAACAATGCCGAGAAACAGAGCGAAATGTTTCCAAATAATTTTTGGCAAAAACTTGGAAGAAAAAAACCCCGCATATTTACCTGTACCCAGAGCTCCACAGGTGAGGCGGCAGTTAAAGCAGAAAATCTAATTCTTCTGGAAGTTTTTGTCTGGAACGGACTCCAGGGTCTTCCTTCGGAGCTGTCAGGTAAAACCCCCCTCCATGTCTGGGCTGTTTTCTTTTGCAGTTTTTCCCAGTGAAACTCTCGTCATTTGCATAAAACCTACTTGTAGCCTATAGGACTTTTTGAGTAGCTACTTGTTAAATCGGCTGTCTTGACATGCTCTTTCAAGCATGACATCATAAATCTCCATGGAAACCCTAACCCCACCTGCCGACATGCCAACATTACCTGTCAGGCGAAGACTTAAACAATCGTCTGAAATTGTTCATTAATGAAACCTTCTTAGGGGCTTTGGATCTCTGCACAGTATAATTTGTGCTGTTGGCAGAAACTTAGCCGGGAACGATGGCTTCATTTTCAAAGCCTGAGCTGTTTTGCAAAAAACAATGATCAAAATTATAGGCGTTCGTTAATCTGCCCCTCCCTGTCTAACAATGCACTTAATTGGTGGAAGAAAAACCTACAGCGGCCATGCGTGTCTCTCTCTGCAGGATAAAGTTACCTTGAAAACTCAGGTCTTGAAAAACCTTCAATTGATACTTCTTTTCCACTCTGTTCTCCACCAGCCCCCTTCCTAGAACTTTTTACCAGCAAAACTTGCAAAACAGGTTCCCTGCCAGAGTGTGTATGTGTGTGTGTGTGTGCATTTCCCCTCGGCTTCTATGGCTGCAGAGGTGGTAGGAAAAGGTGTGGAGAACTTTTTAACTCCTTCCTAACATATCCAGATATTTTGCATGTCTATCCTAGTTTATGTAAATTACCAGAATTACGCTGAAATCTATTCTAGGCTTTGGGAAATGGTCCGTAGGCTCTAAGATACTCAATATCTGAGTCCAGCCCTCTTTCTTCTCACCTCTAAATTCACTGCAGACACACCTCTTACTCCCCAGGTCTAAGACTGCTGACCACTAGGCACCAGAAAATTTGAATAGGACTGAGTTCAAACCCATAGGAGTTTATCATAATGTTATCAGGTCGCTGTCATATGCCACAGTACAAAGTTCTTCAGAGGAACTCAGCAGGGAGCTGAATGGAAGCTGAGAAGCACTTCTGAGGAGGCAGCCGCGAGCAAGATGTGACACTGCAGAGTTTTGGAAACAGCAGTAGCTGAAGGAGCAGTCTGCTGTTAACTTGCCACGGATCCCATTGCAAACTGCAACATATTCAGTGCATCTGTCTTCAAAGGTCAGAGAGCAAACATTAACCTCTACACCTTGCTGGGTGCACCCAGGTATTTACAGAGAGCAATCATAGGTTAAAAAAACTCAGAATGACTCTTTGCATAGCAGGGAATTGTAAACGCTTTGGATCCTCTCCTCCAATGATTCTGTAAGCGTTGCATTGCCGTAGTTCACTGTCAACAGATGGGAGGTTACCTTTGAAGGCAACCAAGAACTACCTTGGTTTAATACCGCAGCCAGAGTTGGAGCACTCCTCGGAGGCAAGACTATTGTCAGAGATTCAATTAATGTCTCTGTGAGATGAAAATACATCCAGATGAAGCCCACACTTGGGCTTTATACTCAGTGGGGCACAAACACAACATGAAACAAACAAAAACCAGATATAACCAGATCTAGGCTTGATTCAGTCAAATCTGAAGATGGGGTGGAGGCACTATTCAATTACAGTTATTCTTCAAAGTTCCATTAGAGAGAAGAGCAAGTGCAAGTTGATTCAGCAGTCAGAGTGGTTATAAATTATGCCAGATCTTCCCTTTGGGTTATTTAGGAAATTACAGTATCTCAGCTTTTGCTTATTGAATTCAGGCTTGGAAAAGAGAGCGAGAAGAGTCAGAATGTAAAGGCAAATGGAGAGAGTCCAGAAAGAATTCAGATGGGAAAGCAACTCCATTAACCGTTTCCTCAGTGGACAGGCAGAGGTAAACCCAAGAGAAAAATTTGTAACCAGCATTGACATTATTATGATCAAGACAGAGAGATCTTGAACAACTTAGAGCTGGGAAAGTGTTTGGCAACAAGGATCCCAGCAATAAGGACAACACACGAAGGCTGGGCAGAAATGCCAAGAGTTGATTAGAGGTGGCCAGTCCAGTGACGATTTTTCCTACCATCCCTGAATGAGAAAAACATCTCACTAAGCCTTAATGACATTGTGATTTGCCTGATGGCAACCTTAGCATCATACTAATCAAATCAGAGCTCAATAAATGCATGTAGATGAGCTATTTTTTCTAAATTTAGCAACATCATGGGTACCTATGATTGACTTGGAGAGCAAATAAGACTCTCTGTCTTGAATTCGCTTCAACAAACCTGTTTTATAGCAGAGGTAGAAAACGGGCCAGGAGCAGTGGCTCATGCCTGTAATCCTAGCACTTTGGGAGGCTGAGGTAGCAGGATCTTTTGAGCCCAGGAGTTTGAGACCAGCTTGGGCAACATAGCAATACCCCGTCTCTACAAACAGTGCAAAAATTAGCCCGGCGTGCTGGTGTGTGCCTCTAGTCCCAGCTACTTGGGAGGTTGAGGTGAGAGGAACGCCTGAGCCCAGAAGGTTGAGGCTGCAGTGAGCTATGTTTGCACCCCTGAATTCCAGCTTGGGCAACTGAGTAAGAACATGCCTCAAAAAAAAAACAAAAAAAAAAACTCCTCACTGAAAAAGCTCACAAAGATAAAAGAACACAAACAGCTGGGGAAAGAGGTTAGACTTAACTATTTATGGCCTGAATTTTTGTTTCTTAAGAAACATGAGCCTAGCGCAGTGGCTCACGCCTATAATCCAAGCACTTTGGGAGGCTGAGTAGGGTGGATCACCTGAGGCCAGGAGTTTGAGACCAGCCTGCCCAACATGGTGAAACCTACTAAATACAAAAAAATTAGCTGAGTGTGGTGGCACATGCCTTTATTCCCAACTACTTGGGAGGCTGAGGCAGGACAATTGCTTGAATCTGGGAGGCGGAGATTCCAGTGAGCCGAGACTGCCCATTGCACTCCAGCCTGGGCAACAAGAGCAAAACGCCGTCGAAAAAAAGAAAAAGAAAAAGAATGGAAAAGAAAAGAGAAAAGAAATATGAATTGGAAGTTGTCAGGTAGAAAAGGAATACTTTCTTTCAAGCAAAATATCAATTTTTTTATCATTCAAATAACCAACCCTTATCTCATTTAAGCCTCACAGCAATAGTATGATGTAAGAACAATCATTATTCCCATTTTACAAATGGAGAAATTGAGCTTTAGAGAGGTTAGGTAATTACAGTAAGTTTACATGGCTATTAAGTGTTGGAGCTGAGATTTGAACTCAGGCTGACCCGAGATTTAAACCCAAAACACCTGTACTTAACTACCAGGCACTGATACTCCTAGTTTAATAAAATTGCTCATAATTGGGATACTAAGAGCCTAACTAAACGAAGCCATGCTGAAAGGATTTATTTAGTAGATGAGCCTGAAAGTGCATACTGGATTGCAAAGGGTCAACGCGGACCTTCTGCAGATCCTCCGAGATACGGAGTTAACAGACGGTACTGGAGTCTGGGGTAGTTCAGACAGAAACATCAGCACAGCAGCAGCCTTGGAGAAGCAGTATGTATTTAGCTGCAGGCTGTATTTAGTCCTAGAAGGACTGCACAGAACAGAGTTAATGCATTACAACTCAGGGCTTAGCCCTCAAAACCCCAGGGCAAACAGATCTCTAGGATGTTGATAAGGCTAATGAAATAGCAACTCTTAAGAAATAGCTGCAATCCGAAGTTCTGGTCTAAAGAAAAACTGTCAAACATGAAAAAGGTAGAAAACAACACATATACATTTCGTAAGTCAAGACCACACTACAAGTATCACCAAAAGATAAGAATGCTTGGATTCTTTAATGAAACATGGACCCCAACTGTGGTAATTCTCTAATGCTAAACCCTTGATCTTTGGCTCTGTGTTTGATTGTAGTTGTTACTTGTTTTTAGAAATTATCCATTCACATTCTGTCAACTGTTGGTGCAGAGGGGGATGGTTAATTTCATGTTTCAACTTGGCCAGGTTATGGTGCCCAGTTGTTCGGTCAAACACCAGTGTAGATGTTGCTGTAAAGGTATTTTTTAGGTGTGATTAGCATTTAAATCAGTAGACTTGGAGTAAGGCAGATGGCCCACCATAATGTGAGTAGACCTCATTTAATCAGTTGAAGACCTTAGAAGCAAAGACTGAGGTCCCCCAAAGAAAAAGGAATTCTGCTATTGGCTCTGATATTCTGAAGAACTGTGACTAATAGAGCTGATCCCTCCAACATGTATCTGTCTAGTCTTGTTTCCTGGCATAGGGTCCAGTCCTATTTTATCTCCAATTGTCTAACAGTCATTTTCACTTGGAGCAACCACTGTCATTTCAGATACAGCTTGTCAAGACCTAAACTCAAGCCATTGTTTCGCATTTAAATAGCATGAGCCACATTTAAGAGAGAAGAAGAATAGACATACAGTACTTGCTGTCAAATTAAGATGGAGGAATATAATTAAGTCCATCAGTTGTTACACTAAATGCTAGTGGACGGAATTTCCCATTAAAAACAGACTTAACGAATTAGGCTGAAAAAGCAAAGCCAAGTTTTTTGTATGTAGTTTCTTTTTTTTTTTTTTTTTTTTTTTGAGACAGTTTTGCTCTGTCACCCAGGCTGGAGTGCAGCGGCATGATCTCGGCTCACTGCAACCTCTGCCTCCTGGGTTCAAGCAATTCTGCCTCAGCTCTGAGTAGCTGGGACTATATGCATGCGTCACCACACCCAGCTAACTTTTGCATTTTTAGTAGAGACAGGGTTTCACCATATTGGCCAGGCTGGTCTCGAACTCCTGACCTCAGGTGATCCGCCTGCCTTAGCCTCCCAAAGTGTTGGGATTACAGGCATGAGCCACCGCACCCGGCCGATATATATGTATGTAGTTTCTAATAAACACGCTCATTACAGGTTGAGTAACTGTTATCCAAAATGCTTGGGACCAGAGGTGTTTCAGGTTTCAGATTTTTTTTTTTTTTTGGATTTTAGAATATTTGCAGTACATAGCTACCAGTTGAGCATCCCTAATCCAAAAATCCAAAATCTGAAATGCTTCCATGAGCATGACCTTTGAGCATCATGTTGGTGCTCAAAAAGTTTCAGATTTGGGAACATTTCATTTTGGATTTTCAGATTAGGGATACTCAACCTGTATTAATACAAAAACATTGAAAATGAATGATAAGGCATACCTGACAGATGCAAACAAATGTAAATCAAGAGAGATAATATTTTTAAAAAGTTAACAGACACTAAACAGAATGAAGAGGTCATCTGGTAATGTTAAAGACATAACTTATAGAGAAGGTGTGATCATAACTAAAAACCTGTGAAACAAATTCTTAGGAACGCAGGGAGAAAAAGATAAAAATACAATGATATGGGAGACTTTGTTATACTTTGCTCAGAAGTGAACAACCTTAAAAAATAAAGACTGAGAAGAAATGAATAATACAATCAACAAACCCAATATATATGTGTGCGTATGTATGTGCATAGAATACAGAATAGATAAATGTCCATGAATATCTATGCAATACTGATTGTGTATTTTATTCTAAGAAAAACTTTGTAAACCAATCTTTAAGCGAAATTTAAAAGTAAGAATTTTAGAGATTGCACTCTCTGATCACATCTAACAAAATTATAAATGAGTAATGATAGCCTCAACTACTTGCAAATTCAATACTAAATTAAATATTCCTGGATCATCCCATACTCAAATCATACCCAAAGGTTTGTACTGTTTCCACTAAAGAGATATCTCTTTGGCAGTGCATGCTATGGTTTGGATATTTGTCCCCTCCAAATCTCATGTTGAAATTTGATCCCCAAAGTTGAAGGGGCCTAATGGGAGGTGTTTGAGTTATGGAGGCTGGTGGATCCCTCATGAATGGGATGAATGCTCTCCCTTAGGGGTGAATGAGTTCTCACTTTATTAGTTCCCATGAGAACTGGTTGTTAAAAAGAGCCTGGCACCTCTTCAACACTCTTGCATCCTCTCAGACAATGTGATCTCTGCAAACAGAGGCTCCCCTTTTGGTCATGAGTGGAAGCATCACAAATGGACTAAGAGAGGGCAGATGTTGGGTTTTGTACTTTTTATTTTTATTTCTTTATTTTATTGAGACAGGGTCTTGCTTTGTCACCCAGGCTGGAGTATGGTGGAATGATCATGACTCACTGCAGCCTTGACTTCCCAGGCTCAAATGATCCTCCCATCTCAGCCTCCTAAGTATCTGGGACTGTAGGTGTACACCACTATGCCTGGCTAATTTTTCTTTATTCTTTTTTTTTTTTTTTTTTTTTTTTTTTGTAGAGATAAGGTTTTACCATGTTGCTCCTGAGCTCTGGCAATCCACCTGCCTCAGCCTCCCAAAGTGCTGGGATTAATGAGCCACTGTGCCCGGCCTTGTACTTTTTATATAATGTTCAATGCCAACCTCGAAATGTAGATCCCTAATAAATAAATAAGCATTTGAATGAATTAATCCAAGAACATAACTGCAGGAAGAATGAATAAATGGCAAAGGCTCAAGTTTGACAAGAAAAGACAGGAAGGACAATTTGGACATTTGCAGTATGAGTTCTGCATCTATGCACTGGACTGAATCACATTGGTCTTTTTTAGATCCCTCAACACTGAAAATTTCCATCTAATTTTGTGGCAATTTCCTCTAGCTGACTACCACTTTCCAGGTGTCTCCTGACACTGCCTAGCTAGACTTCGGTTCTTGCCTTTCCATACTTCCCCACCTACCCCCGGGCACTCCTTAGCAGGTTTTCTAGTAGAATCTTATTTTGATTTCTTGCAGAGCTTTCCTTAATATAGCACTGTTCTCAAGATATGTTCTCTTGCTCTTCCATGTCACTAATTAAAATGAAAGCTAATGCTGAGGTTGGTGGCACCCAATTAAACATGGATCAAAAGCGATGTGTTATGAATGATCCCCATTTAGGATTCCTTTGCTGTTTTTCTGCATTCTGGGTGATTAACGTCAACTGTACGTCAATTTTGCAAGTAAAACTACAACCCCTGAATTTAGTCTTTTCAATTGTTCAGTCTCTGCCGCAAGATGTCCTACTATGTAATGGTCCAAATCTTCTGAGATGTACTTCAACGACCTTTGAGTCACAACTCAAAGTGTCAGTCCTCGGCCACGTGCAGTGGCTCACGCCTGTAATCCCAACACTTTGGGAATCCAGGGCAGGTGAATTTGCTTGAGGTCAGGAGTTTGAGACCACCCTGGCCAACGTGGTGAAACCCCATCTCTACTAAGAATACAAAGATTACTCAGGCGTGGTGGCACATGCCTGTAGTCCCAGCTATATGGGAGGCTGAGGCAGAAGGCTGAACCCCGGAGGTGGAGGTTGCAGTGAGCCGAGATCATGCCACTGCACTCCAGCCTGGGTGAGAGAGCCGGACTCCATCTCAAAAAAAAAAAAAAACCCAAGAGTGAAAAATAAATCAGTCCTCCAGGTATCACATCCAAGCTAGCTCCTTCATCTCATCCCTTGAGGAACATCATCTCTCTTAGATCTTAGGCTCTTCTTTCTGTTCATTTTTTTTCTTTTTTACTTTTGTTTTTCATCATATCCAAATGTAAATGACTATTGTTCCTGATCATTGACCACATCCTGATTTTCCTTAGACATATCTAACATTATCTGGAATTTCTCTGAGGACAAGAGATGTTTTTCTACTGATTCGATCCTATCATATTCTTTGCTCACGGGCCTCCAGTATTCCATTAAATATACACTCGCACATACAATATTGTAAATTCTCCAGCTATGACTTGTGATTCTGTTATGACACCATACTCCTTTCACGTGCAGTGCTTGCTCTGAAAATGGTTTTTTCTCAGTTTTCACTTTCTGCGTACTCACCACTATGTATGCAACTGCTTCTTTATTATTTACTTATTTATTTTTGAGACAGAGTCGCACTCCGTTACCCAGGCTGGAGTGCAGTGGTACGATCACTGCTCAGCTCACAGCAGCCTTGACCTCTGGGCATGGATGATCCCCCCAGCTCAGCCTCCCAAGTAGCTGGGACTACAGGCAGGCACACTACTGCTTCTTCAGTGCCAAACTCCTTTTCTTCTTCAAATTATTAAAGGCAAATCCAACCAGGACGCTGGCACTTCATCCATTGCAGGATGAGCGTTAAATCTCATTCACACTTACTGACACGAGGCAGACTGGTCCCCAGTCCAGTCTTTCTTTTCCTTAGCATTTCAGAACATCTTTCTGTTTCATCCCCCATCAGAGAGGTGGTCTGATCTAGAATTTAAGAGCAAGGCTCCCACAGGAAGATAACTGGATTTAAATACTGGTGCTGCCACTTACTTGCTGTGTCTCCTCAGACAAGCCTGAACTGCTTTGTGCCTCAGTTTCCCATTCTGTTAACTATAGTTAATAGTAGTGCCTACCCCACACCTGTAATCCCAGCACTTTGGGAGGCCAAGGTGGGTGGATCACTTGAGGCCAGGAGTTCAAGATCAGCCTGGGCAACATGGTGAAACCACATTTCAACTAAAAATGCAAAAGTTAGCCAAAAATGCAAAAGTTAGCCAGGAGTGGTTGCAGGCACCTGTAATCCCAGGTACTTGGGAGGCTGAGGCAGGAGAACTGCTTGAACCCAGGAGGCAGAGATTGCTGTGAGCCAAGATCGCACCTGCCAAGATGCATTCCAGCCTGGATGAAAGAGTGAGACTCTGTCTCAAAAAAAAAAAAAAAAAAAAACAAAACAAATAGTAGTGCCTACCCAACAGAGTTGTAGAGAGGATGGACTACACTACAGGCTCGGCATCCCTAATCTTGAAATTCAATATCTGAAAAGCTCCAAAATCTGAGATATTTGCGTACCAACATGACACTCAAAGGCCATGGTGGAGCATTTCGGATTTCAGATTTTCAAATTAGAGATGCTCAACCAGTAAGTATATAATGCAGATATTTCAAAATCCACCCCCCAAAAAAATTGAAATCTGAAATATTTCTGGTCCCAAGCATTTCAGATAAAGGATACTCAACCTGTAATACATGTAAAGAGAAACAGCACAGCAATTTTAGCTGATGGCAAATAATACGTTCTCCTTACAGTCTTTTCCACCATTATAAATATTTGTTGAGAAAACAGTGCTAAAAAAAATACTGAGCATGTTACTGGCTTTCTCTGTGTTCTTCATAGTTTGCATAAGGATATTTCTTCCCTCTTCCTATTGTGGCTTATTAATATTTTATTTATTTATTTTTTATTTCTATACGTTTTTGAGGAATAGGTAGTATTTGGTTAAATGAGTAAGTTCTTCACCGGTGATTTGTGAGATTTTGGTGCTATTATTATTTGCTGTGCACACAGTATACTAGATTTCTTAATTGCTAAAAAATTTATGTCCTTTCCTCCCAAAAGTTTAGGTAAAAAACTGCTCTGAGGCTGGGTACAGTGGCTCATGACTGTAATCCCAGCACTTTGGGAGGCAGGTAGATCACAAGGTCAGGAGTTTGAGACCAGCCTGGCCAATATGGTGAAACCTTGTCTCTACTAAAAATACAAAATATTAGCCAGGCATGGTGGTGGGCACCTGTAATCCCAGCTACTTGGGAGGCTGAGGCAGGAGACTTGCTTGAACCCGGGAGGCGGAGGTTGCAGTGAGCCGAGATTGTGCCATTGCACTCCAGCCTGGGTAACAGTGCAAGACTCTATCTCAAAAGAATAAATAAATAAACAAAATAAAAATAAAAAAGAAACAGCTCTGTAAACTCATATTCAGTCATTAGTTCACACAACTAAGTAGCTGCTTCTACTACATGTGGCTATTCTCCCATCATTTCGCCATTGGATTAGAATAAATTAATAGCTCTGAAGAGGAAATTCTTAGCTGAGTCTAGTTCCATTTCTAAACTTTTTACTTATTTATTTATTTACAAAACATGCCTAGTTTTTCAAAACATACACTTTCTACAACATTAGCCTTGTATCCAGACCTTCACTGTGGCCAAAGGCTGCGACTTACTGAACAGTGTATAGTATACATGTGTCTTAATTTCAATTAGCCTTACTTTTCAGCCTTCACTGGAAGGTACCTTCATAAATATAGATGCATGTACGTAAATTTTGAATAGACAGATATAGATCAGAGCCAAGACAAATATGACAGATGCATATCTAATGAATTTGGAGTTTTTCACACATAACAGAGGGTAGTACGTTTATTCCCTGAGGTATAAACTGACTCCCTGAGATCTACAGCATACAGCATAGTCCATGCTGGAGTTCTGCAATTTGATTTGATACAATTAAATTCATCAAAAATAAGTCACAAAGACATAGATGCCATTACTTACAGATAGGAATATCTGTTAATATGTTTATATTCTGTAAAAATGCCAATGACGTCATTGTACAGATAAAGTGCTAGGTATAACAAAATTGATAAAATAATCAATTACATTGGGAGAGCTGATGAAACAAACTAGAGCAGGAAGATTTTAGTCTTAAGCTAGATTCCACAGCCAAAACCTGAATACAACAAATATCCCAGTGGGTACTAGAACCAAGAAGCTACTATGAAGTGAAGTGACATATGCCACTTCCAGGCCAATATATTTAAGAGCGTGTATACAACCCATCAGCTCTGTCTCTCTCTGTCATGGTGACCTGGAATCCATGTGTTGAGATGGCATGATCGCAAGAGGGAAGTAGCCAGAATTCCTAAGTCATTGTGAGAATAAGATTTGTGTGTGTAAGAAATAAAATGTTTCTCTGTCATATCAGAAAATACCACAAATATTAATAAATCACAGGGTTAATTTGTTAAGTAGCATAACCTATTAGGTTGGTGCAAAAGTAATGGCAAAAACTGCAATTACTTTTGCACCAACCTAATAGACAATCCTGATTAATACATCAGCTTTAAGACATACTTCTCTTTGCAGCTTTCTTATGATAACCTATATTTGATTTTTTGTTGTTGTTGTTTTAAGAAGGGGTCTCGTTCTGCTGCCCAGGGTGAAGTGCAGTGGTACAATCACAGCTCACTGCAGCCTTGATCTCCCAGGCTCAATTGATCCTCCCACCTCAGCCCCCCAACTGGCACGAGTCATCATGCCCATCTAATTTTTGTATTTTTTGTAGAGTAGGGGCTTTCCCATGTTGCCCAGGCTGGTCTCAAATTCCTGTACTTAAGTGATCCACCTCAGCCTCCCTAGGTGTTGAGATTATAGGTGTGAGCCAGCTCTCCTGGTCTCCAGAGCAGTTTTTACACAAACACATTCAAAGGAGGGGATGGTTGAGGAGGGGACCCTAAGGAAGCCTGAGGGGCACTCAGACAGCAGCAAAGCCCTGGTCTGATGGGAGAAACCAGAAGAATGACCTCTTGGCCTCACTGACCCTGTTTCAAATGCTCATATTGGCCGGGCGCAGTGGCTCACGCCTGTAATCCCAGCACTTTGGGAGGCCGAGGTGGGTGGATCATGAGGCCAGGAGCTCGAGACCATCCTGACTAACACGGTGAAACCCCGTCTCTACTAAAAATACAAAAAATTAGCCGGGCATGGTGGCGGGCGCCTGTAGTCCCAGCTACTTGGGAGGCTGAGGCAGGAGAATGGCCTGAACCCAGGAGGCAGAGCTTGCAGTGAGCCAAGATTGCGCCACTGCACTCCAGCCTGGGCAACAGAGCAAGACTCTGACTCAAAAAAAAGAAAAAAAAAGTGCTCATATTGGTGTTCATTTTCTTATCTCCTTATTTTTGCCCCCTGTAATGTTCATGTTAAAGAATAATCCCGACCAGGTGCGGTGGCTCACACCTGTAATCCCAACACTTTGGGAGGCCGAGGCAGGTGGACCATCTGAGGTCAGGAGTTTGAGATCAGCCTGGCCAACATAGTGAAACCCTGTCTCTATTAAAAATACAAAAAATTAGCTGGGTGTGGTGGCGGACCCCTGTAATCCCAGCTACTTGGGAGGCTGAGGCAGGAGAATCGCTTGAACCCAGGAGGCAGAGGTTGCAGTGAGAAAAGATCGCGCCATTGCACTCCAGCCTGGGTGACAGAGCGAGACTCTGTCTCAAAATAATGATAATAATAATAATAATAATAATCCCTTTATATCTCTCTTACTCTTTGTTGGACATGTCAGATTTTTAGGTTAAAATGTATTATTCGTTTCTTTTATGATCTGAGCACATCAGATAAAAGAATCCACATAGACTAACTGAAACCACAGAGTAGATTCTATATACCAAGTAAGTTAGGTAGAAATTCTGTGAATAACTGGGAGTAAAGATTGAAAAATTAATTTCAGAATGGTTTCTGAGACTAGGAGTGGAAAGTTGGTTTCTGCAAGTAAGAAGCCATCAACATCTATTCATTAATGAAGACATAAAAAATAGCATTTCCAAACTGTGCAGTTACACAGTGACCACAACTGTGAGGGATTGCTGGACTACAGATCTTTCTGAACTCAGAGTTTTTAAAAGAAGCAACTTTCTTTTTATATAAAATACAGATAGGAATCTATTTTCTATGGTTATTGGTTATTTAATATGCTCTGGAATGGAGTAAGATTTGCCTTTATTTATTTATTATTATTATTTTTTTTTTGAGATGGAGTCTCGCTCTGTCACCCAGGCTGGAGTGCAGTGGTGCGATCTTGGCTCACTGCAACCTCTGCCTCCTGGGTTCAAGCAATTCTCCCACCTCAGCCTCCAGAGTAGCTGGGACTACAGGCGTGTGCCTCCATGCCCAGCTAATTTTCTGTATTTTTGTATTTTTTTTTTTTTAGTAGAGACGGGGTTTCACCGTGTTAGCCAGGATGGTCTCGATCTCCTGACCTCGTGATCTGCCCGCCTTAGCCTCCCAAAGTGTTGGGACTGCAGGCGTGAGCCACCGCACCCAGTCAGATTTGCCTTTTTAAAGAAACGGCAATGGAAGTCATGTCTATGGCTCTATTGCTTGACCCAATGTGATGTACATGATGTCAACAAACTTTGGAAAAATTAGAGGTGGAAGAAAACCTTTAAGAAAACCAAGGTCCATAGGCCCATAATGAATGAAAAGACCATAAACTGGAAATTCTTTTTTTTTTTCCTGGAGACCTCCTCTGAGGACAGGAAATTCTGGCCCTGGTTCAAATGTTGACTTCTTAACTTAGGGGAAAATTACTTAGCCATTCCTAACTTCTTAGTTAAGAAATCTCTTCTTTCTGACTGCTCAAACTGCAATCAATCATTGAATTCTGTGGCTCTGTACCCCTCTCTATCTGTACCATCTATCACATTCTAACTGTATTAGAAATAGTGGCTCATTCCTTCACGCAACAGAAATTTTGGATCTAGCCTAATCTAGGTTGTGTATTCCTTTAAATGCTGAGTTTACAGAGGCGAAAGAAGAAATGGGTGGTAAGACAAGGTTTCTACCTCCAGAAGATTATTCTAGGTGAGAAAAAGAAATGTAAAAAATATATGTAATGCAACCTGATTAGATGCTACAATGTAAGTACTGCAGTACTGCAATGTTATGACCATCTCAGAAGGCATGCCATCTGGGCTGGATCTGGAAAGACTATTCTTTATATGTGAATGCCTATTTCTTTTACTGAATTGAAGACAGGGTTAAGTCCAATGGTTTGCATTCTTCTCAAATACCTTTACCATGGTAGGTGCCAAATAAATATATATGGGATAAATAAATAAAAGAAATATGAATACTAAGCACTGAATGAAAGAAAAATACCAGTTTCAGAAATGTAATAAAGTTATTCTTTAACAATGGAAAAAATTAACCTCTTCAGGTGCTCAAATATTTGTTGACAAAAAAGTCAAGTGAGGCCAGGTGCAGTGGCTCATGATCCCAGCACTTTAGGAGGTCAAAGCGAGAGGATCGCTTGAGGCCAGGCTTTGAAGACCAATCTGGGCAACACAGCAAGACCCTGTCCCTACAAATAATTTTTAAAACTGGCCAGAAGTGGTGACGTGTGCCTGTAGTTGCTACTCAGGAGGCTAAGGTGAGAGGATCACTTGAGCCCAGGAGTTCAAGGCTGCAGTGAGCTGTGATCACGCCACTGCACTCTAAACAAGAGTGAGATCTTGTCTTGAAAAAATAAAAAAGTCAAATGATTGGGCCAGGCATGGTGGCTCACGCCTGTAATCCCAGCACTTTGGGAGGCCAAGGCGGGCAGATCACAATGTCAGGAGATCGAGACCATCCTGGCTAACACAGTGAACCCCGTCTCTACTAAAAATACAAAATATTAGCTAGGCGTGGTGGTGGGCGCCTGTAGTCCCAGCTACTCGGGAGGCTGAGGCAGGAGAATGGCGTGAACCTGGGAGGCGGAGCTTGCAGTAAGCCGAGACTGCGCCACTGCACTCCAGCCTGGGTGACAGAGTGAGACTCCATCTCAAAAAAAAAAAAAAAAAAAAGTCAAATGATTTTAAGTACTAATTTAAAAATAAGAGCCTCTGAGACTCTTCTTTGGGACACTAAAAACCAGAATATTATCACGCTAAAAGCTGCCAGTGAAACAGTAAAAGATTCCATCGTTGTATTTCTCAGTGCTCCATGATGTAGATACTATTTTCCTTTGACAAACGAGGAAACTGAAACAGAGAAAGATTAAGCCATTAAGGTCGGGTGCAGTGGCTCACACCTGTAATCCCAACACTTTGGGAGGCTGAGGCACGCAGATCACTTGAGTTCCAGACTAGCCCCATCTCTACTAAAAATACAAAAATTGGCTGGGTATGGTGTATGGTGGTGCACACCTGTAATCCCAGCTACTCGGGAGGCTTGAGGCACAAGAATGGCTTAACCCAGGAGGTGGAGGTTGCAGTGAGCCAAGATTGCACCACTGCACTCCAGCCTGGGTGACTGAAAGAGTGAGACTCTGTCTCAAAAAAAAAAGAAAGAAAAAAGAAAGAAAGATTAAGCTATTAGCCCAAATCATAGAATTAGCATATTGTGAAGGCTGGATCCTGATGAGTCCCACCTGCATCCAAACCAAGCCCTTAGCTGCCAGGCAATGAGGCTGTACAGCCTGACTGCCCTGCACAACTAAGGTTATGCTGATAAGAGTCCTTAACGATCACAGCTACTATTATGCAGATCAGCATTATGTTGCAATAAGGGCCACCCGCATTTTTTGAAGACTGTAGAAGGGAGTTAAGGTGACCTCTTAGCCTTTCAATAATTTTAGACTAAAGAAAACTCTTGACCAACATATTTTTTAAAGACAAACAGAAGTTTTGCAACCGTGAATCTTCCAGTGTTTGAAGTCAGATTTGGAAACATAAGGCATGCTCTCATTCTTCTTATGTTTAATAGCAGGAAATTAGAACCTAGATTTTCAGTCGGGTATGATGAAGCACTCCTGGACTCCCAGTTATCTGGGGGTGGGCGGGGTGGGTGGTGGGTGCTGGGGTGGGAGGATTGCTTGAGCCGCGGAGGTTGAGGCTGCAGTGAGCCATGATCATGCCACTGCACTCTAGCCTGGGCAACAGAGCAAGACCCTGTCTTCCAAAAAAAAAAAAAAAAAAGAACCTAGATTTTAAGAGATTTCATGTTAGACGGCAGATACATCACTTTCAACATCTTATTCTCTATCTTGCTGATTGGCTCTCTTCTTATCAAGGATACTTCTCTGAGAGGAAGCCAGAAAAACAGCTGCCAGAAGAGCATCTGGTATTAAGAGCCTCAGTATCTGGAGGAGAGCATCAGATGTGTGTTATCTGACTTCCTTCTCACAGCTGGCTGTGTAATCTTCCTGCAAAGGAAGCCTGGGATAGTCCATACTGAGAAGGTCCAGGAGGAACAAATGGCATTGCAGAGAGGAAGACAGGAAAGAGGAAATGGGTGGTAGGAGAAAAAGAGTGGAAAAGACAGAAGATGAGATGATGTCTGCAGCAATTTCATAGGCCATGTCTACACCGATCTCTGGTGTTTACAATGCTGGTTGGGGTTTGCTTGCAGAAGGGCAATGACAGTGTTAGGGGCGTTTGAACCAGAGCAACTCCATCTTAAATAGGAGCTAGGTAAAATGAGGCTGAGACCTACTGGGCTGCATTCCCAGACGGTTAAGACATTCTAAGTCACAGGGTGAGATAGGAGGTCATCACAAGATACAGATCATAAAGACCCTACTGATAAAACAGGTCACAGTAAAGACACCAGCCAAAACCTACCAAACCAACATGGCCACAAGAGTGACCTCTGGTGGTCCTCACTGCTACACTCCCACCACTGCCATGACAGTTTACAAATGCCATGGCAACGTCAGGAAATTATCCTATATGGTCTAAAAAGGGGAGGCATGAATAATCCACCCCTTGTTTAGCATATCATCAAGAAATAACCATAAAAATGGGCAACCAGCAGCCCTCAGGGCTGCTCTATGGAGTAGCCATTCTTTTATTTCTTTACTTTGCTAATAAACTTCCTTTTGTCAGCATGGGGGCTCACACCTGTGATCCCAGCACTTTGGGAGGCCGAGGTAGGTGGATCGCCTGAGGTCAGGAGTTCGAGACCAGCCTGGCCAACATGGTAAAACACCGTCTCTACTAAAACTACAAAAATTAGCTGGGTGTGGTGGTGCATACTTGTAATCTCAGCTACTGGGGGGCTGAGGCAAGAGAATTACTTGAACCTGAGAGGTGGAGGTTGAAGTGAGTGGAGGTTGCAGTGAGCCAAGATTGCGCCACTGTACTCCAGCCTGGGCAACAGAGCGAGACTCCATCTCAAAAAACAAAAACAAAAACAAACAAACAAAATTCTTGCTTTCACTTTATGAACTCACCCTGAATTCTTTCTTGTGCGAGACCCAAGAACCCTCTCTTGGGGTCTGGATCAGGACCCCTTTCCTGTTAATAAGAGAATAAAAATGTATACATAGATTCATGCATTAAAAACTCTCTCCTTTTGGATGGTCAGCTTCGAGTACAAAAGAGGCAGAAAGATAGAATGTGACTTGTTCATCCCTCATTATCAGAGAAGGGACAGCTGGCCAGCCATGGCAGAACTAGCAATGTATGTAACAGCAGATCAGAGCTTGAGAACACCAAAATATATTCATTACTCCTTTCAACCTTAATTATAATTAGGCTTCCCTTGTAATTGTTTTAACCAAAGCCACCATTATTACAGCAATAACAATAATTATAACACTACAAATAAGAAGAGTAACAATAATCATTATTTTTGACATGGAAAAATATACCATTTTTGACAGGCCAATTTCTATATTTCTCAGCAAAATTGATACTTTTGTTTTAGAGACGGGGTCTCATTTTGGGGCTTCAGTGATCTTCCCACCTCAGTCTCCTGAGAAGCTGGGACTACAGGTGTGTGCCACCACACCCAGTTAATTTTTTTAAATTTTTTTGTTGAGATGGGGTCTCGCTATGTTACCCAGCTGGTCTCAAGCTCCTGGCCTCAACTGATCCTCTAGCCTTGGCTTCCCAAAGTGTTGGGATTACAGGCATGAACCACTGTGCCCAGAGTCTTTTTAAAATTATCAAAGAATTAATCATTAGCCCATCCTTATAGCAACCAGGATTCTTTTTCTTTTCTCCTCTTCTGGGTTTACTGACTGTTGGAAGTGTGAACAAAAAGCAAACATGAAGTCCATAAAGCACGTTTCACATTTTTAGCCACTCAGATAATGATTCTCTAGAAGAGAAGATTGAATTTAAGGAAGAATATGAGATTGAGAATAAAGTATAGATTTCAATTATTCGGGCTGATGCCAATCTCCATTTCCATGGATAATCAAAGGCTGAGTGAGTTAGACATAATTTTTGCACCTAACTGGGAAGACAGCAGACTTAAAACACTGAGCTTTCCTCCCTTGTGTGGAAATCAATATCATCCTGCCCTCCTTCCCACCCCCACCCGTCACATATATGGTTAAGTGCTTTCTGCTTCCTTCCCTACATTCTCCATACACAAAGGTCAATCTGGTAACTCGCCAGTGAGGTCGGTAGAGGAGGCCTCAAATCTCCTGTGACCCCAAACTTGCTCTATCTGCTAAAAGTAATTGCACACAGCCAAGAAACAAAAACATCCCTAGCCACAGTTGGGTAATGTCTATATGACTGTCAAAATAACCAGAGGAAACAGGTAGGTGAAGACAGAAAGCTAGCACAAAGCAACGCATGCAGAAGGAGCACATCTGTGATTCAAAAGAAAAAAATGCCAGGCACAGTGGTTCATGCCTGTAATTCTAGTACTTTGGGAGACAGAAGCAGGAGGATCACTTGAGGCCAGGAGTTCAAGACCAACCTGGTCAATAGAGAAAGACCCCGTCTCTACTACCAAAAATAAAAAATGAGCCAGGCATGGTGCTGCATGTCTGTAGTCCTAGCTAGTCAGGAGGCTGAGATGAGAGGATCTTGAGTGCAGGATTTCTAGGCTGCAGTGAGCTATGATGGCACTACTGCACTCCAGCCTGGGTAATACAGCAATAACCCATCTCCAAAAAAAAAAAAAAAAAAAAAAAGGCCGGGGTGCAGTGGCTTACGCCTGTAATCCCAGCACTTTGGGAGGCTGAGGTGGGCGGATCACGAGATCAGGAGATCGAGACCATCCTGGGTAACACGATGAAACACCGTCTCTACTAAAAATACAAAAAATTAGCCGGGCATGGTGGCCAGTGCCTGTAGTCCCAGCTACTCAGGAGGCTGAGGCAGGAGAATGGTGTGAACCCGGGAGGCAGAGCTTGCAGTGAACCAAGATCGCACCACTGCACTCTAGCCTGGGCGACAGAGCAAGACTCCATCTCAAAAAAAAAAAAAAAAAAAAAAAAAAGAAGAGCAGAAACAAAACCCTAATGTCAGCTTTTTAAGGAAAAGGAGTTACCACAAGTCTGTATCTGTAAGATCTATTTTACCCTGAAAATACATTTATGTATTTGTGTATTCATTCATTCATTACTTCATTCATTCACAGTGCTAAGCACTCCGTGCTTTCAGGGTACACGGTAGTTGGTGCCATGCTTTCCTCAGTAGATAATACCCCTTCATTCCCTGCACTTTAGATGTGTTTAGATGTGTTTGTGGTTGAACATGGGAACACTCTTTTGGGGAACTGCATACTCTCTAGGCCCTTCCTCTCTGGCCTGGCCTCCTGTTCTCTTGCTGTATTGGCAAAGAAGACTGAGCTTGCAGGCAGAAGTTTTCTACACCCGGCTTCCTCCTCCCAAGGCCCCAAAGAAATCCAGAACAACTAAATAGTATGCACAGTCCACTAAGCTATCCTTTACCTTTTACAAAGAAAGTAAGTTTGCTTTCCTCGATGTTCATTAGAGAGCGAGCTACACAAGGAGAAATGAGAGCATATTCGTACCTGGTCTCTCAGCCTCTCTTGGTGACCCATGATTGCAGAGGCGTGGTGGGGGTACTTCTGCTTCAGATGTTCTAGGAACGCTTCTCTCTTCCGATCCATCTCAGATGTTTGCATTCCCAGTATTTCCTTGGAACTTCGGGGCCCCCCTAGGGTGTGTCTCCTTGGGATATTGCGGGAAGACTTGGAAACTGAACCACGACTGTTTCCATTAGAAAGGCGTTCCTTGGTTCTGCGGCATTCTGCATCTTCTGGTGATGTTACATGCAGATTGCCTTTGCCTTGTTCTGAAAGACAAAAAAATTCGGTTCACAATTAATGATTTCACACTAGAAGTCTCATTTGCAGAACACCAAGAGGGTTTGCGGCAGTTGTTAATGTATGAATGTTAACTTCGCAAATCTTTTTTCTTTTTCTTTCTTTTTCTGCTTTGCAGCAGTCAGGGGAGAAAATCCACAATCAAAGAAATATGAAAAATCGTACTTTAGAAATAAAGATGTTCATTGGGCATGGCGACTCCTGCCTGTAACCCCAGCACTTTGGGAGGCTAAGGCGGGAGGATCGCTTAAGCCCAAGAGTTCGAGACCAGCCTGGGTAACATAGTAGACCCCTATCTCTACAAAAAATTAAAATTAGCCAGGCGTAGTGGTGCACGCCTGTGGTCCCAGCTTCTCGGGAGGCTGAGGCAAGACAACTGCTTGAGTCCAAGAGGTCAAGGCTGCAGTGAGCTATGATCGTGCCACTGCATTCAAGCCTGGGTAGGTGACAGTTGTGAGACCCTGTCTCAAAACACAAAAACAAGAAAACCCTCAAGAACACTTGGTTAGGCTACTTGTGTGCAGGCAATAGGGTTATTCCTTATCCTTGTCTGTAATTATAGAAAGAGTTAACTCCAGTGATTCTGATTATTTCTGTATTTTTAATAACAGTTGCATTCTGGTAACAGGATTCTTATATAAGCTCAGTCGGGTTTCTGAAACATTTGCTTCATCACCAAGAACAAAAATAGCTATCACCCTGTACGTAAGTAATCATTGACACATGTGAACCATTTGAAAATTTTATTTTCTCATATTGGCATAAACCAAGCAAGCATAAGAATACCATCAGAAGTAACAATCGAGGGCCAGGCGCCGTGGCTCATGCCTGTAATCCCAGCACTTTGGGAGGCCGAGGCGGGTGAATCACGAGGTCAGGAGATCGAGACCATCCTGGCTAACACAGTGAAACCCCGTTTCTACTGAAAATACAAAAAAATTAGCTGGGCATGGTGGTGGGCACCTGTAGTCCCAGCTACTCGGGAGGCTGAGGCAGGAGAATGGCGTGAACCTGGGAGGCGGAGCTTGCAGTGAGCCGAGATCACGCCACTGCACTCCAGCCTGGGAGACAGAGCAAGACTCCGTCTCAAAAGAAAAAAAAAAAAAGTAACAATCGAGGAGTTATAAAGTAAAGGCTTAGACAAATTTTACTTGAGGTGGACTTTACCTAAAACACAGTGAAAAGGAAGAGCAATGGTACATCCTGATAGCCTGGACCTAAGACATCCTGCCTTCTGAGCTGGCTTTGAAGGGACAAGTTGGTTTCTGCTAAGAACAGATCAACCAAGTCATATGATGTCAATGCTGAGAGTGGGGAGCATGTAAAGGGAATCTCCATTCATCCTCGATGGTTGGGAGATGGGGTGTCAGGTATGAATATTCCAGCTAGCTCAGAAAAAAGAGTTACTTTTTTAAAAAAAACAAATAGATTAGGGAGAAAAAGTAAAACATTCAGAAGCACTTCAGGAGTTAGACAGGCTCTCTTCATGAAGTCAGGCTCTTCACGAAGAACAGTTCTTATCATAAAGTATTGCTGATATAGGCAGAATAATGTTTCCTTGTCCACTGAATTCCCTGGAAAAAGTACTAGGCTGGATCTCAGGAATCTTGGCTTTAATCCGACATTTAGAACAAATGATGTGACCTCTCTCAGTGTCATTCTCTTCATGAATAAAATGAAGACGACTGAACTAACATTAGGTATGCAAAGAGCCTTCTACCTCTAAATCTTTTAAAACTATTCTAATTTTTTTAAAAATAAGTTTCCAATAGAAGCATATTTGCCAATTATTTATCTTTACAAGTTAAGTGCAGAAAAATACAGATTTAATATTTGGGAGTTCTGCTCAGTTGAATCCCAGATAAACAGAGAACCAATCCTTCACACTAGTTTTGCAAAGCAACAGGTGTTAAGAGTCTAGGCATAAACCAGTTTCCTGAAAGCAATGTGACCACCACTCTTTCCCTTGTCTTTGCCTAGAAAGATCTGTATATAGAACTCTAGGTATAGATGCCCGTTGGTTGGGCAGAGAAAATATTTTCATCTCAGGCTGGTTTTCCTGTTCCAGTCTTCTAACCCTTGATGTGTGTTCTGGGAATAATTCTTCTTGTTTACCCTTCAATTCTCATTACATTGCTAATTATAGCATCTCCATCAGACACTGATGGGGAAGGGAAGGAAAAGCACAGCCAAATTAGTCAATTCTTCTACTTTTCATTAGTTTCAGCAGTAAGTTTACAAGGAGAAGAAGATGGAACTATTGGTTTAAAAGATATTGGGGGCTAAACTGTCATTTCATTTATTTAGGTTGCGCTTCCAACACTTAGACTCACATCATGGCTACCTTTAAAATGATCTCTTCCTTAATAACAGAGAAATAACAGGATCTACTGAACAAAGCTAGATGCCAAAAATGCTGTCTCTCAGGTTGATAAATACCTGTGCAATCTGAAGAGGTTTAGCTTTATCTTTTGAGTGCTGTGCATGTGTTTCATATCAGCCAAAATTGTTGTATACTTGATCTAACACTCTTGCCTTTTTTTTTTTTTTTTTTTTTTTTTTTGAGACAAGGTCTTGCTCTGTCACCCAGGCTGGAATGCAGTAGCATGATCATGGCTCACTGCAGCCTTTACCTCCTGGGCATAAGCAATCTTCTTGCCTCAGCCTCCTGACTAGCTGGGACCGCAGATGTGTGCCACCACATCTGGCTATTTATTTTTATTTTTATGTATTTTATTTTATTTTTTACCTTTTTTTTTTTTTTTTTGGACACAGAGTCTCACTCCATCACTCAGGCTGGAGTGCAGTGGTGCGATCTCAGCTCACTGCAACCTCTACCTCCCGAGTTCGAGCAATTCTTGTACCTCAGCCTCCCGAGTAGCTGAGATTACAGCCGTGCGCAACCATGCCCGGCTAATTTTTGTATTTCTAATAGAGATGGGGTTTCACCATGTTGGCCAGGCTGGTCTCGAACCCCTGACCTCAAGTGATCTGCCCACCTCAGCCTCCCAAAGTGCCGGGATTACAAGTATGAGCCATCACACCCAGCAATGCTATTGACTTTTAAGTGGAATTGGAAGATTAGTTTTGACATTATTAAGAAAATATATTTTAAGTTATCCAGGACAGCTAGATGAATTAACAGGATTGAGCCTCTGGAAAGGTGATTTCTTATGCAGGCATACACACATCTGTCTACATACACACATACAGCCATACAGATAAACATCCATGCATGTCCAACGGCAATAACGGCAGAAAGTCGCATCCTGCCTTACTATGCTGCACAGGCTCATATGATCTATTCTGTTTCATCCAAAGAGCATCAAGAGAGTTCAAGACAGCCGGGACAATAAACCCTCTTTCTTCTTTGAAATGAGTTGGGAAGGGAGATGGAAGGGGAGAGTTTTGGGGGTCAGAGCCAATCTTCAGTCCACATTAATCTTTGAGCAGCCCTGACTTACTGGACTAGACTCATCAGACCCCTGTTTTTTTCCTAGCACTTTTCACCTCATGTTGCTTTTCTGTTTTTTCTCTTTCTTGTGGATTTTTCCAAAATATCTCCAGTTGCTTAACAAGGATTGATGCGATTTAGAGGAAAGGTACAAAAAGCATCAACCACTAGCAAGGCTAGAAGGCTCAATGCAGCCACTTGGCAAACATCGGATTGCCTTTGGAGCTCACTCCTTCCTTTTGTCTCAATTTCCTGCCTTGTGCCTTCCACCCAATGCCCAATGCTCTATCATCCTGTCTGCCTCCCCTCCTACCTCGAGGCACCTGCTCTCCTGTCACCAGCACTCAGAGCCACCTAACGCCACTTTCCACACAAAGGCACTTCAGCACATCTGTCACTTGAGCCTTTTCCTCGACAAGGCTCAGCTCTTGGAAGCGTCAAGCCCCACACCTGGGGGAGAAGCAACAACTCTGCCATTCCAGCCATTTAAGGAGAATGTGGTCTTTTCAGTGGAGAAAAACTAAGAATGATTACAAACTAGAGAGGGATCAGGCAGAGGACATTTAGTCACAATTCCACAGCCATGTTGTCAGAGATCTGAGCCTGGCCAACTCCTCATTATCCACATGAATAGAGAAAAGCTCAAGTGTGGATTATCCAAGTCATCAAAACAGAAATACAATTCGATTTCTTGTTTGGAATGCGCTTTGGTGTTAACATTTAAATATGGGTGTGTCTAGCTGTTCGCTATTCTGGGAATCCTTGTCAAACAAAATAATGAAGCTGTAGCATGAAGGCAAGGCTTGGGCTTGCTGAAAGGCAGTCCTGTTTCCCTTTCCTGCCCCTCCCAGCCTCTGCAGAGCCCAGGGCAACTCCTCCTGGGAGCTCACTTCAAGCAGGGCAAAGAGCAACATAGGAGCTTAAAGCCGAGCAAAATCCCTGGAACATTCCCTGGAGAAGTGAGGACAAGGCAGGCAGAAATGCTAAAGGGACACTCTTCAGGAATCCAAGGAGCTCCCAGGCTAGGATTTGGCATTCTGGAAAGAAAGCATAGAAAGTAGGGGCTGGGGCAGACACCAAACACGCAGAGGCTCATGGAAGATGGGGCCTCCTCAAGGAGAAAGCCGCACTGCAAGTCCGGCAGGCAGGCAACTGCAGGCGCTGCCAAGGCCAGCTTCTTTGCCACAACTCGGGTTACTCTGGCTGGGTCAGCTGACCTGCAGCAAGGGATTTGGGGCCTTGCACCACTCAGGCATTCCACACCTGCTCCAGAGCCAGCAACAGTGCTGATGGCTTCCCTGAGATCCTATTCCTGGGTCAAGATTAGGTAGGCCACAGACTCTTAGGGAAGGCATCCCTCACTTCTTTCTAGTGGCTTCTGGTTAGCTGTCTCCTTCTCAATTGTGCTGAGAAGCTCTCTTGTCATAGGGAGCATCATAGGGAGTTGCTGTTTGGTCTGGTTGTACAACCTCTCTGGGTGTACCGTGGCAGAGACAGCCCTATGTGTTCGACCAGAACGCTCTTCTGCTGCACACAGAGGAAGACCACATTTTCCAGCCATCTCCATCTCACTGGGTCCTTGTACTAATTCCAGTCAATGTATTGTGGGCAGAAGCCATGTGGGCCACCTTTTGTTGGGGCCCCTAGACCTCCCAAATAACCTTCCACGTTCTCTCTCTCTTTACTCTTTGGCCAGTTGAATACAAAGGATCCAGCAGAACCCTCCAACGCCGTGGGGGATGCCATAGTGACAAGGCAGGAGGAGCCTCATCGGCCACCCAGGAAATCCACCTGGCCACAGAAATCACACTGTGCTGTGTCTGAGTGAACAATTAACCTTAATCATGCAAAGCCACCAAGATTAGAGGGTGGTTACAACAATTAGCCTATCTGATTAATACACATAATCGGTTAGCAGGCCGCAGAATCCTACAGCATCCCTCAGTTTTCAAGCTCCCTTGTTTTTTTTCTTTGTTTGTTTTTAGAAACAGGGTCTTGCTCTGTCACCTAGGTTGGAATGCAGTCATGCAATCATGGCTCACTGCAGCCTCAAACTCCTGGGCTCAAGTGATCCTCCTGCCTCAGAATCTGGAGTGGCTGGGACTACAGGTGCATAGTCACCATGCATGGCTACTTTAAAAACATTTTTTTTTGTAGAGATGGGGTCTCACTATGTTGCCCAGGGTGGTCTAGAACTCCTGGCCTCAAGTGATCCTCCTGCCTCAGCATCCCAAAGTGATGGGGTTAGCTCCCTTGTTACTATCATAATATATATACAAATCAGCACAGAAATTACAGCTGAAACCAGGTCATTATATTCCTCTATAGTACCTTAAAATTTTACCAGTGATGAAGAGGATTTCTGGTATAGATCTTAGACAAAATAGAGACAGGAGCTCCTCTTCCCAGAAAAGCATTCTGTGTCAAGCACTGATTGATTCATTCATTCATTCATACAAATATTTATTGACTGCCTGCTCCCACACTGAAAGGAGTTAGGAGATACAGTGTGAAGTAGATCAAGTCAGACTTAATGCCCTCATAGAGGAGTCCACATTTGAAATAGGCCAACCACAAACAAATCATATAGACTCTAAATGTCATGTAACGGTAAGTGCTTTGAAGAATGAAACGGGATAAGGGTACAGAGACTGAGGGGGCTGTTTTAGAGGAGGCTTCTGCATATCTGATTCCCCAGGCTTGCACTCGATGGGAGGCTGCCAATCAGACAGTGGGGAAGGCAAGCAGGTGGGCTAATAGCACTTCACTTGCATAGAGGTTTCAAGACCTTAGGAACCAGAGCAAAAGCACACACGTCAGGACTGCTGTGGACAGAGTCATCCCAAGGAATGCCTATGCCCCAGGGTCACAATGTAGAGCCCATGGGCTTCAAAGAGAATATGATACAGTTAGATTCATGTTCCACCAATAATTGTTGAGTGCCTACTCCGCAAAGCACACTATGCGCTACACTTCCCCATTGTTATTTACCTGGTAGCCGGGCTATTCAGCCATGGAAGCTTCATTGATTAGAGCTATTCTTAGGGTGATCATATACCCCAGTTTGCCAAAACAGCTCTGGGTTACAACTGTTGTCCCAGTAAAATTATTTGAGTGTTCCCTTTCACTTTCAAAAGGATCTCATTTGGACAGTAAGTTACATGATCACCCTAGGGATCCTTATCTATAGCAGGATAATAAACTCAAAGTCCCAAAGTGGTAAAATTAGCCTTTCATTCAACAAATGATTATTGAGTGCCTTCTACAGTGCCCAGTGAGTGCTCTGTTAGGTTGCCCAGTGCTCTGTTAGGTGCTGGAAATGCAAACGTGAATAAATAAAACATGGTCCTTGCTGTGGAATATCACATTGTCATTGGGTAAAACAGATACACAGGCAGACACAAGAGAGAATGCAATGATAGAAATGAACGTTATGGGTGATGTTAGCATCAGAGATGTTGCTCTCCCTTGCGGCACTCGTGCTCACCGGGAGAACTAAAAATGAAGCCATGCTTCTCTACAGCATCATATTCACCCAGAACTGAACAGGATTTTAAAAATCTAATTTGGATTTTTATTCCACTTTTGCTATTTTTTCCAGCCCTTCCTTCCAATCTCCCTGACCTCTAGATGCTGGACTGCCTCGGGGGGCATCCTTTGGACTTTTTCTTCTGCACACAGATTCAATCTTAGGGGATCTCTCAGTTCTCAGTCTTCCTTCAGCTCTAGTGATTAATATCCAAATTGTAGTCAACATCTCCACTTGGATACCTGATAAACTTCTCAATCCTAATCTATCAAAAGATTGCTCCTCAGAACCTCAAACCATAAACACCCTCTCATCTGTTCTTCGTAAATACTCCCCAACTTAGGCAAATGGCAACTCCGTTCTCCCAGCAGCTTACACCAAAATTTTGGAAGTTGTCTCTGACTCCTCTTTTTCTCTTACATCCCAAGTTGAATCCTTTAGCAATTGCTTTTGTCTTGTCTTGTTTGTCTTTTCTTTTTTCCTCTCCTCTCCTCCCCTCCTCTCTCTTCTTTTTTTTTCTTTTTTCTTTTTCCTTCCTTCTCTTTCTCTCTGTCTTTCTCTCTCTCTTTCTTTCAGAATCTTACACTGTTACCCAGGCTAGAGTGCAGTGGTGTAATCATGGCTAACTGCAGTCTCAACCTCCTGGCTGAAGTGATCCTCCTGCCTCAGCCTCCCAAGTAGCTGGGACTACAGGGCACTATGCCTAGCTAAATTTTTTTTTCTAGAGATGGGGTCTCACTATGCTGCCCAGGCTACAGGAAATGCTTTGGGCATTACCTTCAATATACACCTAGAATCTGCTGGCTTATCACCGCCTGCTAATCACCGCCTGGTCCAAGCTAGCCCTGGTTCTTGCCTCCTTGACTGCAGAAGCTTCCTAAAGGCCTCCCTGCCCTTCCCTCAACCCTACTTGGATTGTGCTCAATACAGCACCCAGTATTACCCCATTTAAAAAGACAAATCCCTTTGTAACTCACCTGGGCAACATAGCAAGACCCCTTCTCTAAAATAAAATAAAATACAATACAATACAATACAATACAATACAATACAATACAATACAATACAATACAATACAACCATGCATGGTGGCATGTCCCAGTAGTCCCAGCTATTTGGAAGCTAAGGCCAGAGGATTGCTTGAGCCCAAGAGTTCAAGGCTGCAGTGAGCTATGATCACACCACTGCACTCCAGTCTGGGTGACAAATGAGACCCTCTCTAAAAAAAAAAAAAAAAAAAAAAAAAAAAAGTAGTCCCACCTGCCAGGAGATTCCCACCTCTTTCAAAATAAAAGCTCTAGTCCTTACAATGGTTTCATGGGCCCTAGGTGATCTGGCCTGGGATTACCTCTCAATCTCTTTTCCTCCCATCCTTCTCCCATGTTCTTGCTGTTCTTTGAAAACATTACATCCCTGCTGTTACCTCTCCTGTCTTTGTTCAAATATCACTTCAGCGAAGCTCTTTCTAATAATCCTATTTACAGTTTCACTCCTTATTCCTTTTCCTGCTTTATTTTTCTCTGTAACCTTATTTCCATCAAATAGGGTTGCCAGATAAGATACAGGACTGCTCAGTTAAATGTGCACTTTACATAAATAATGGAGAAGTATTTTTAACATAAGTATATCCCAAATATGGCATGGGATATACTTATACTAAAAAAAAAAAAATTCACCGTTTACCTGAAATTCAAATTTAGCTGGGCCTCCTGTATTTTTATTTGCTAAATCCAGCAGCCGTGCCATCTAACATGCTATATATTTTATTTATTTGTTCATTGTCTGTCTCTACCAGCTCCCCACCCCCTGAAACTTGGTCCTTACACTGGAAGTTAAATGAAGGCAAGTATTTTTAGTCTGCTTTGTTCACCACTGGATGTCTGGCAGCTAAAACAGTGACGTCTACATAACAGATGCTCAATATTCACTGAATGAATGAATTAGTGAGCAAAGGAGCACACTGTCTCAGGCTGACCATCCTAGCCTCTGAAGCCTCTGAATTGCCCTGATTGTTGGAAAGTCATTTCTTAAATGGATCCCTTTCTAATGGCCCCTCTAGAATCTGAGTCATCTCTTTCAGGACAGGCCCAGAGGTTGAATTCCTGAAGTAGGATCCTGTCCTAGAAAATGGGGGTGGGGGGTTGCGGGGGTCAGGGGGACGAGGTAGCCTTATCTTCCACTGGATGCCACTGACCCCGGTAGCCTGAAGGAGAGTGCTGTGCTTTGGCAGCACGAAGGCAGACACTTCGACAGATGACTGTTCAGACTCAGGGATTCTCCAGCCATTACAAAACTTCAAGTTTTCTGCATTTCACTGGGGGATTTCTATCTCTTGTCATTGTAAGTTCTCCTGACTGGCTTAGCTTTGCATTTTCAGCGTGGATGAGTCATGTGTTACTTCCCTTTCACATTTTCATAAAACACACACCTTTTCCCCTGTGCATAATCCCTACTCCCACGCACAGCACTGCACTCCCGCACGTCTTTTTGTTGTGTACTGGCCCCTGCATGAACCTGAGGGAGGGTGGGGCGGGTGGTCCAGGGCTGTGTGGTTTATGAACATGCTGCCTATAGGATCCCACAGAATCAGCTCTTGGCATCACAGGCATCAGATGCCAGAGAGCAGGGACCTCCTCTGGCCACCCAACCCGGTGCGAAATTTCTTTGGAACAACATAAGCTTCTGGAAATTCCCTACGGAAAAGACAAGTCTATTATAAACACAATTAAAGGGAAACTGCCTGGAGAAAATTTACCAAAATTGTCCAACAACTCCCAAGTTTTGAATTAAAACATAAAAGAAGATCCAGAGTTCTATCTATCACCCAGATGCTCAAGCCCTCCCCTGCTGCTCGGATCTGTAAAATAAAACATGCCTGGTTTCTGTGATTTAACTCTAAAATTCTGCACAAACTTTGCAGCCAGCATGCATCTGCCACATGGAATCCCCCAACCAATGAATGGAAGCTGCGGTCCTAGAGACAGTTTCACAAAAACAGCTCCTTTCTCCCGTGGCTGGAGCCCCGGGGGGAAATGATTAAAAGCTGCTTAGTGATTTATTTGTCATTGCTTAGAGATACAGCTCATGCTGATGGCTCACTGCACTACAAATGTGACATCACCCCACCACCTCTTTTGCTGCTTAAGAAAATCGTGCCAGAGATAAAGTCAAGCCTAAGAAATCACAGTTCTCTATGCTCTACTCAGTTTGGAAAATGTACCATCCCAAGAAATTGCCTTTTTTTTTTTTTTCCTTTGCCGGGTCCCAGAGCTGCAGTTTATAAAAAGCAGCAAGCGGCAAGGGGCACGCGTCCCTGTAACTCCATCTTTGAATGGGTCTGTTACTTACCCTGCATCTGTCTTCTGTCTGCTGAGTAAGGAAGGCACGGCTCACATTTCTGGCTTTCATTTTCTTCCATTGTCTCTGCCTGCCGCAAAAGCTCCTCGCTCTCTGGAAACTTCAGAGCGCAGTTCTAAAAGCTCCCAGAAAGCGCCTGGGAGGGGGCCCGGGGCTGGGGAGGAGGGGACGGTGCGAAACCCCACCCCAAACTATTTTCCACTCCGGTGCAAAGTCTCCCTCGCCCGAGAAAACTGCATTCCAGCGCGGGGCCTCTTGGATCTCCCCTGCCCCTGGCCCTCCGTCCCTAGGTCTGTCCGTCCGTCCGTCCGTCCGTCCTCAGGCGCGCTCTCCGGGGACTGGGGGCTGGGCTCTGCCAGGGCAGGGCGATGCGGGGGTGTGGGGGGGAGGCCTCAACAGGTGACGGCCTCTCCTACCCACAACTGGGCCTGCCTGGTTCCACTGCTGCAAACCACCGAGGCTCTGCAGCCGAGGAAGGAAAACATTTCACACATGATTAAGGCCGAGAGCCTTCGCTGGGAGCCAGTGCCCTCATCTCTTTAATCTCAGAGGCAGAGTGAGCCTCCCAAATCGGGTGATCCACATATTAAAAAACAGCAACCTGTTGAACCTCCCAAATTTCAGTGAACTCCCTTAAAAAAAAATCCCAAACAATTTGAAAGAAAGAGTATATGCTGAGTGTTGTAAGTAAGCACTTTCCGGCACTAACTTTTTAGGGCCCGATTAACATCTATGAAGAGGTATAGCGTCATTTGCACACAGTCGATTTCAATCACTTAATCTGGACTTTTTAAAAAAAAGTTTCTACGTACTTGCTCACTTTCTCAGACTCCTCCCTCCCCCAACACACTTACACACACACACACACACACACACACACCCAGCCCTTAATCACAAATCTGAAAGGTAAACTAGTAAAGTCAATCTTCTGAAGCTCTCCCAGTTAACGACTCCAAAAATCTGAAAGACAGTGAAAATGCATTTCTTTGGACAGGCAGAGTTACAACCAACATACTTCTCCTTTTAAACCACCTACAAATATTTATTTTGTTCTTTACCCAGTCCTTGAAAAACTGGCAGAGTTCCCAGAGAGTGAAAATAGGAGGCATGATGTCCGAAAAAAAAAAAAAAAAGAGGATGGGAAAATAATTTAGGCAACATTAGCTCTGCGATGTCAGATATCTCAGAGTAACACAGTAGCTAGGAGGAAGAGCGCGATTTTGTAACCTGTAGTAGCCCCGTCACAGGAGGGGTAAAAAAGGACAATGGTTAGTCTGGTGACCATACTTTGCCCCAGTTTACAGGGCATTCCAGCAAGGTTTGAGATTGATTTAGATCAAGAATGTGTGCTGAACAATGGCCAGCCTATGTTCCAGATTGTGACCTCGAGTGACCTGTGTGTTTTGGCAGTGGGGGTGACGTATTTTGGCCATTTAAGACATAAGGATGTGGAAGCACCTAACAGACAAAGGATGTAGGCCAAAAGGAAAGGAGACATACCAGGAAGTGAGTTACACTCACGTCAGGAGGGGAAGAAGAGAGCCCCTCAATTCTTAACGGGATTTTTCTTGAAATCCAAGAAGACGCGGTGAATCTTTCAAAAAATTAAAGCAGTGCCTCGGCAGCCTGAATAGAGGCAGTGGGATTTGCAGGGCAGATAACTTAAGGTCTCTATGACTTTGCAACAGAATTACCTGGCAATCTTGCTTTAAGGAGGAACTAATCTTACACAGTTTCTGTCCTGGTGGCCCCTGGGCAAAGGCCAGATGAATCTAGTTTTAACCTTATTATTTCCTTAGGTGCAAAATGTTCATGAAGGAGGGCCCTGCTGTGTTCAGCCTTTCAGGTCCAGATCATCCTGATTCTTGTATACTGTTGTGTATTTGTCTTTAAAGTATTAATGCTAGGAAGAGTGGGGAGGAGGGTGGGAGAAAAGTATGTGTGTGTGTGTGTGTGTGTGTGTGTGTGTGTGAGAGAGAGAGAGAGAAACACTGTAGCAGGAGATGCAGCAGCCCAAATCAGATGTCCCGCAGCCTTTGGTTGTGACCCCAATCCCCTTGCTCTGGTGTCCAGAGAGCCCGTGCTTAACAGCTCCTACCTGTCATTTGGTGTAGCACAAAGGCAAAAACCCCAGGATGAAGGAGGCAGCAGAGGGCTGCCACAGCCGTTGGCAGCCACAAACAGCACCCTGCCCCAGGGCCCTCCTGGCTAGCTCAACCCAGGCAGAAAAGATCCATTGGCAGATGCTGATTAAGATTTCCTGGGGGCTGTTTGGAAGGTGTCAGAGCAGTCTTTCAGGCCTCTGTTGACCCCTAGATGGACAAAAATAGGGAAATGTCTCCCACCAGGTCTGAACTACCATTTTCCAGGCAGCCCAAGGAACCCCCTTGGTCAGCCGACCTTGCTTTCCAGCTGCTAGGACCCTCCCCTCCCCCATACGGGCCAAGCCCACTGCCCTCTCTGCTGATATTCCAGGAAACAAAACTCTGTGATATGCACAACAGAAAAAGGCATTGGGGGAAGAGAATTAACATGAATCATTAAGGATCATGAAACCTAGACATGTATTTATGGTAAAATAATGTTCTTTTGAATGATCAAACTTTCTGACCATTCTATAGGGAAAAGCTTCTATTGGATTACTTACTGGCCTTTTGTTCCTCCTTAAGAAGAGGAACTGAAAACAATTTGAGAAGGCACTCTATTTGCCCTTGCACCGACTATTCCATATCTTTCTCCAAAGCACAGAGACCTTCCTAACAATTTAGCACTGATTGTCAGTGTCTCTGGAAAACAGTAGCTGTATTCTGCAATCTATATAAACCTGGTAACTCCGATCTTCATGAAAATACTCTTATTGTCACTGCTGTTACTGTGGAGATGTTCTTCTTTCTGGAAGAAACACTATTTGAACTAGAAGTAGGTGTATTTCTTTCTGGTTTAATTTAATTTCTGGGCTTAAAAATTGCTATTACATTGCAATCTGCCTACTGCTATACTTTGAAATTTGCTGTGAAAGGCATAAGGAAAGCGGGAAGAACTTGAAATCTGATTTTCCTCCAGTCATATAAAGAACTAGAATAATAATAATACCAGGAGGCTAAGTTTTCAACTCCGTTTCTGTTAACAGGGAAAGGTGCAAGACTATTTCTTGGTTAGTGGTTCCATATGTTGCAATTCATGACTCAAAATGAGCTACCACATAAAACAAATGTCATTTAAAAGGAAAGACAAGTGACGAGATAAAAGAGTGCTGTAAAGACAAATGGTGATTTTGCAGTCATAGCTAACCCGTTACAGAACTGGACCATTATTGGTGTTGATAACGCAACGTAAATGGCATTCACCATAAAGAGAATTAATCACAAAAATCGTAAACAATTGCATATGATTTCTCAGCAGGCCAATTATAGGGTTGTGGAAAGCATGTCAACTTCCTTCATGTAAATTTTTCCTTTTTTCCTTCTTTCCTTTTTTTTTTTGAGACAGCATCTTGCTCTGTCACCCAGGCTGGAGTGCAGTGGCATGATCTCGGCTCACTGCAACCTCCACCTTCTGGGTTCAGGTGATTCTCCTGCCTCAGCCTCCCAAGTAGCTGGGACTACAGGCACATGCCACCACGCCCAGCTAACTTTTTGTATTTTTAGTAGAGATGGGGTTTCACCGTGTTAGTCAGAATGGTCTCGATCTCCTGACTTTGTGATCTGCCTGCCTCGGGCTCCCAAAGTGCTGGGACTACAAGCATGAGCCACCGCGCCCGGCATTTTTTCCTTTTTTTTGAGACGGAGTTTTGCTCTTGTCGCCCAGGCTGGAGTGCAATGGCGCGATCTCGGCTCACTGCAACCTCTGCCTCGAGGGTTCAAGCAATTGTCCCGCTTCAGCATCCTGAGTAGCTGGGATTACAGGCATGTGCCACCACGCCTGGCTTTTTTTTTTTTTTTTTTTTTTTTTTGTATTTTTAGTAGAGACGGGGTTTCACCACATTGGCCAGGCTGGTCTCGAACTCCTGACCGCAGGTAATTCGCCCACCTTGGCTTCCCAAAGTAATCACGCTGGGATTACAGGCGTGAGCCACTGTGCCTGGCCTATGTAAGTTTTTCAACAGAGAAATCATTGCAAGAACCAAGAGTAAGTGGAATTGCCCTGATACATATTTAATATTTTTTCACTTTAAATCCTATTAAGAACCAGATAGTTGAAAATGACTTGACATCAGGACACAAAAGAAATAATTAATGCTTGCTGAAGTCCTTAAAATGTACTTTTCAAAGGCATTCATAACTGTGAGAGTCAATTAAAACAAAGTGAAAAACAAAGAAGTCAACAAAAGTGTTTCAACCAGAGGCCTCGTGTTTGATGTGTTCCACATTAACTGTTTCTAAAAGACAGGCTGCTATGGTATGAGGCCCTGTAAGTCAGAAATAAAGGATTTTTAACAACTGGGATAACATTTGCTTAAATGGATGATCTGGCGCATGTGAAATGTGGGCTCTCCAATCCTAGTTTTGACAGCAATGTGTCAGGTGGTTAGGGTGACCTTATACTTAGTATAAACCAGCATTTGTGAGAGGGAAAGTAGACACTATTAATAATTACAACTGGACAATAAGACACCACGACTGTCCCTGGCAAACCAGCACAGATGGCCACCTATGTGTGATCCCAAGATAAGCCCTCTGGGCGCCTTAGGTTTCCAAATGTGAGGGGAACATAATGATACTGTTTGAGTTTCCCAACAAAGACCCTATAAAAGAATCTGAAACAATAATTAAAAAATAATTAATCTTAAACAATAATTAGAGCAAAGGTGTGAGCCTCACACGGACCGTATTACAAGCCCCACTAACAAACAATTTCGCAGATTCCATAGTATAATACATTTCTATATGACTCATAGATCAAAACAGAATTTTCCCTTCTGCGTTAAGAGCAACAATTTCACCAGGTAACCTCCAGCATTCTCTCCAGAGGGTAACCAATCTTCCCTTACTTAAAGTCCTTAAAATTCCAGTGGCTCCAAGGAGATCCTGCCAGACAATAAGTGAGGTGCCCAGGAGCCCCTCGCCACCCACCAACACTCAAATCTCCCTATGAAATGTCTTGGAACTCTCCTGCTACTCCACACAAATTCCTCATGTGGTCATATGATGTGAAACTACACATAGATCCAATGTGTTAATACTTTAAGCATATTTGCTTTCTTTTTAAGAGAACCCATTGATGTTGGTTTTTATTATGGTTTCTTTTATCTATTTTAAGTTGGAAGATAGATGCTGGGCAGCAAAGACCCCGTGTGCACAGCACTGTGGCCAGAGCTGGCATCTGTGCAGCATACCGTCTTGAAAGCCCCGCTCAGCTCTGCCCTCTGGTCACTGCAGACAAAGTCTGGATTCCAGGTGGCAACTTATAAGTGAAAAGTGTAACATGTATCTGCTCACCCCTTTTATCCCAGAGGGAGCAAAACCATGGCATATTTCCCAGAGTTCCTGAAGGGCCAGGGTGGAATCCACGAGAATATGAGAGCTTCTACAGATACAAGCACCTGGGTTGCTACCTTGCTTTACCCACAGTGCCTCATTATCAACCCTTTCAATAGAGTATTTGGGGGAAAGAGACTCTCCTGGCTTATTTTCTGCCCTTGAGCTTCTCCTCTGCCATTTCTCAAAGCTGCAGTGACCTGTGGAGGTGGGGGTTGGGGGGTAGGGGGAGCAAGAAGGAAGGGGAACCAATCAAGTTGCCAAAACTAGGATCATGGAGTACACTTCTCCCTGTTTCCCCCACCAACATCCCCCAACTTTGCTGCTGAACAAACTGACTCCTGGAGCATTCTCGAACGTGTGGCTCTCATCTCTCCCATCTTTCTCGTCTCCAGGGTCCTGTTCAGCCTTTGCTCTGTTATACTTGATGAATACCTTAGGATCTTTTATCCTCTTTTTTCACTACTGAAGTCCAAGGCAATTGTCCAAGGCGACCCCTCAATCATCAATATTATTTTTATTATTTTGCTAGATGGAAATGAAGAATAAAAGGGGAGGTATCTCTCTTCTTCTTCTTTCTTTTTTTTTTTTTTGACAAGTTTTTACTCCACCACCCAGGCTAGATTGCAGTGGTATGATCACAGCTCACTGCTTCAACTTCTTGGGCTCAATCAATCCTCTACCCTCAGCCTCCCAAGTAGCTGGGACTACAGGCACACTCCACCATGCCTGGCTAATTTTATATTTTTTTGTAGACATTAGGTCTCACTATGTTGCTCAGGCTGGTCTTGAACTCCTGGGCTCAAACAATCCTCCAGCCCTGGCCTCACAAAGTGTTGAGATTACTGTCATGAGCCACTGCCCCTGGCCCGGTATACCTATTTTCTAAAATTCCTCTTCTTTCAACTATAGAATTGGGTCTGGTATTATTTGGGGGGCATTGCTGTAAGAGCCCTAAGGCATCATGCAGTTCGGCCATAGATATTTATCAAAGTCTCCCTGCAGCTGGGCGCCTGCTCTAGTCACTGAGACCTCTAGTCTGTAAGCTAAGACTGTGATGCCAGGGACCTCCCTGGGGGGCAGGGCTTCCAGGAGGATGAGGCCAAAGATGGAAACCACCCTCAGAGCAGAGGAGACGTGGAGCTGCTAGGATAGGGGAAAGCGCCTGTGAGGGGAGCTTGGGAGCAAGGGTGCAACCAGAGCACAGCCTTTGGGCAACGGTGCTCATGAAGGCTTGGGGGCCGTGGTGCAGCCCAGGGTGGAGGGTGGAGGCTCCGAGAACAGGGCCCTGCAGGTCACCCTGATGCAGGAGAAGGAGAAGCCTGTGACTGGTGTCTTGGAGTCCTGGCAGGGATTGCCTGTGCCCAGGGAGTTTCCTGACCGCTCTCTCCCCTGAGCTTTGCTCTCCTCTCCCCCTACCTTTGGAATTCAGAGCTCCTCACCTTCCCTCCCAGGGCCAGCGAAACAAGTGAATTGCCCTGATCACTTTGATCACCTCTACTGGCTTCTCTGCCAAATAAACACTGAAATTGACTTTGTTTCAACAACGCAGCTAGTTTTATTTTGTTTTTGTTCCACTTTTTCATCAGTTCTCAGCCTCCGGTTGAGTGATGGCCATAGGCTTTAAGAGAAACAGAGACACAGATGTTACAGAATGAAAGGCGCAGTGCAAATACATTCACCTTTCCATGTCACCCCCGGGAGGCTGACAGTCCTGCAGCCACACCTGGAGCTGAGGGGGTCACCCAGCACCCGGGGCTGGGCCGCCTGCCTGCGTGCAGCCTGCACTCCCTCGGGGGTCTCAGAACACCAGGAAGAATTGGGAATGGGGTGCTGGATAGGAGGATCAGGGGTGATCAGGAGGTTGGGGGCGCTCGAGAGGGGTGTCCAGAGACTCAAAGGGCTCACTGTAGCCCCTGCTTTGCCCTGAGCCATGCCTCCAACTTCTTCAAGTGCCTCACCCTCGAGTTTATAGAATTCTTGAAAGCCAGTCACGTGCTTCAGAAGTTAAGTATTTTTACAGTGATTTTATTTTTCTCTCCCCACCTCAGTCCACAGAATTGAAGGTGGGGCGGAAGCAGAGGCGGGGTAGGGCAGGGTGGGGACTTCTGTTCCTTGCAGATGGAAAAACAGTTTTAATACAGAAGGACTAATTTCTGGAGCCAAGTGGGTAGAGGGGGTGCTGGCATGCAGGAGGTAGAGGAAGCCCTCCAGGATTTACAAAGTATTGATGGCTAAGCTTCTCTGCCCTAAGCCGAAGTGCATTTTGTGTTTCTCCCCAGGGCTGCTAGAGCTTAACATTCTTCATTTCCCAGATGACATCGTTTTGCTTTGTAAACACTCCCTTTTGCAAAATTTACAATCTCTGAACTGGACAATATTGAGTGGGATAAAATATTTAATGACTGGTTGGGCCAGGGTTTCCATAACACTATATTAGGAGCCTAATTTGTGTAACGCTTGAGTTCATAAAAGTAAAAAAGGTGCAACGAATTTTTTTGTTTTTTGAGATGGAGTTTTGCTCTGTCACCCAAGCTGGAGCACAGTCTTGGGAACTTGGCTCACTGCAACCTCCGCCTCCTGGGTTCAAGCAATTCTCCTGCCTCATCCTCCGTGGTAGCTGGGATTACAGGTGCGTGCCGCCACGTCTGGCTAATTTTTGTATTTTTGGTAGAGACAGGGTTTCACCATGTTGGCCAGACTGGTCTCGAACGCCTGACCTCAGGTGATCTACCCACCTCAGCCCCCTAAAGTGCCAGAATTACAGGTGTGAGCCATGGCACCCAGCTGCTGCAATGATTTTTAAAATTGTTTCTGCTTGCCCCCTACTGCCACCTCTCATCTGCACATACCTTCACCCAACATGTTCAGCAGCAGCACTGATACAAACTGGTGTGGAAAATGGACTACAGGACCTGATGATATTCCCAGGCTCACTCTGCTCACAGGCCCCTTCTGAGAAAGGCAGCTGGGGATGCTTCCTTTCATCACCCCCAAGCTTGACTGGTGCAATCAGTAGGCTCAGCTGGAAGAGCTCAGATGCTCCCCGGGTTGGACAAGGGACAAAGAGATCCAGTCAGATTTCCCCTCTTCTCCTTTACAGAATTCGAATATGAAATATATAGCGAAGGGATACAGGTGGCGTCACCAAACATCCCAGTTCACCTATGACTTTGGGTGTGGCCTGGTGCTGAAACTGGAAAAGTCCCAGGAAAACTGGGTTGAGTTGGTCACCCCAGATGCAGGCAGTATGGCAGGCGAAAGCTGAGGTGCACAAAGACAGCAAGCATAGCCAGGTGGTGCAGTGGCACAGTGGCTCAGTGGCATGGTGGCTTGGTGACTCTTGTCTGTAGTCTTAGCTACATGGGAGGCTGAGGTGGGAGGATCACTTCAGCCCAGAAGTTTGAGGCCAGCCCAGGCAACACAGCGAGACCTCATCTTTACAAAAATATTTTCAGAAAATTAGCCGGAAGCCCGGGAGTTTGAGAGTGCAGTGAGCTGATAGCTCCACTGCACTCTAGCCTAGGAAACAGCGAGGCCCCATCTCTTAAAAAAAAAAAAAAATTAAAAAATAATGAAAAAAGTGACAGCAACCAAAAGCCATGAGGCAACACAAACCAAAGAAAGAGAGAAAAGGAGAAAGAGAGAGATCAGCAGAGCAGACCGCGTAGCAGCAGGAGGTAGAGAAGGAAGCAGGAGTGGAGACATTGAAGCCTGGGCAGGGGTGCATGGGGGGGAAGGACAGTGTACTGTGGGTTTCCCAGAGTTTCTGTCAGCCTGATGCCACTACTGCTGTATCCTAAATGTTATCCTAAAATATGTATATAAATATATAAATAAAAATATATAAAATGTCTCCTAAATGCTGCTCAGGAGGCTTGGGAAAGCCATTTCCTGTTTTTCCTTACTTCCAAATATAAATAATAACCCAAGGTTCTTAGGTTATTAGTATGTCTATTTCTTGTCACCTGAGCCAGTCATAATCTATGAAAATCAGGACATTCACGTGGTCAGTTTACAGAATCACTTATGAAATAAAATAAATAATAAACACAGTTTGATTCATCTTTAAAAACAGACACATACACACACAGCTTTGTCTTATCTTTTCAAAGGTTTCAATTCCATAGTTAAAAATTGCCATTGGTTGCACATAAAACAGTCAACTGTAGGCTGAATTTGGGGAAAGAATAAAACCTGAAGAAAAGGAAACAGTGAAAATTACTTTGTTTCCCAAACTTCAACAATTTCTCTTCGGCTATAGTTTGAATGTCTGTCCCCGCCACAGCTCATGTTGAAACTTAATCACTAATGTGTGGCAATGTGGAAAGGTGGGGTCTTTAAGAGGTAATTGGGTCAAATTCTTACCATTTATATTAGTATTAACTTTATACTGACTTGCTTAAAATATTAAGCTTCCTCTCATCTATATTATTGTTAGATTCTGGGTTTGATAAAACAGTTGCATATTTTCTTACATCCTGTATAGTAAATATATAACTATTAAAATGTAAAATGTTTTGTTTATTTAATTCTTTTCTATTTTGAGAAAGGGTCTTTCTCTGTCACCCAGGCTGGGGTGCAGTGGTGCAATCACAGCTCACTGCAGCCCCAAACTCCTCCAAACTCCTGGGCTCAAGTGGTCCTCCCAACTCAGCCTCCTGAGTATCTGGGACTACAGGTGCACACCACCATGTCTGGCTAATTTTCTACAAATTTTTTATAGAAATGGGTTCTCACTATATTGCCCAAACTGGTCTTGAATTCCTTGCCTCACCTGGTCTTTCCACCTCAGCCTCCCATAGTGCTGGGATTGCAGGCGTGAGCCACCACACCTGGCTTGTTCATGTAATACTGAACATTGCCTCCTAAGGCCTAGTAGTTCGGAGAGTACTGCTTTAGGCCAAAGATGATCAATTCATCCATCTCGTTACTCACTCACACCTTCAGTTTTTCAAAAAACTATTAAGCCCCAGTTTGCCAGTGGTGGAGGCCAAGGATGTTGACATTGATCAGAGAAGCCGTAGATTTTTGAACATTTGTCGCACTTTCTTTGCTTATATGTGAGCCTCTTTCATGAGATTTATGAGGTCACCAAGGAGTAAGACTAGCTTTATTGTCTCTGAATCCCCATTTCCTACCACAGCCCGAGGCACACACAGATCCTGAGTAAATGCTTTTTTTTTTTTTTTTTCGAGATAAGAGCAGTGGCACGATCTTGGCTCACTGCAACCTCTGCCTCTCGGGTTCAAGCAATTCTCCTGCTTCAGCCATCCAAATAGCTGGGATTATAGGCCTGCACCACCACGCCTGGCTAATTTTTGTATTTTTAGTACAGATGGAGTTTTGCCGTGTTGGCCAGGCTGGTCTCAAACTCCTGACCTCAGGTGATCCACCCGCCTCAGCCTCCCAGAATGCTGGGATTACAGGCATGAGCCACCACGCCCACCCAGTATCCCAAACATTTCCATTTTATGTTGAGGTCAGAATCCGATTAATGAAATCCTGAACACCAAAGAGAATTAGCTGAAGAATTCTCTGTAGCTGAGAAGTGGGGAAGAGAAGGGCAGTAAGCTTCTGGAATCGGACAGAAATATTACCCACTGATAATGGGACTCTTTAAAACAACACAGACTCATAACATGTTTTGAATAATGGCATTCGGTCACATCAGGGTTACCTGGTTTACCAAGGAGAAAACTCATAAGCAACACAGCACAGAGGTGGATGCATATGTTTGGATATTCACTCAATAGGCTCACAGACCAATTCAGAGCACCTGCAAAACCCCAGGAGGGATGTGATAGGAAAGATGATGGAATGATGGTGGATGTGGCAGGACAACTATCCGTCCCATGCATTCCGCGCACCAGGACAGGTGTCAGGTCCATGCATTTCATGCACAAAAAGCTTGAACTGTGTCCTGCAAGCACCATGGAGTCATGAACAAGACAATAGCAGACTAAGGACATGATCAGATTTGTGTTTGAGATAAATCTGTGTGGAGAATGGATTTGAGAGAAGCAGGAAAAGAGATTACAATAAAGTTTCTGTTACAGTAATTCAGGAAAAAATATGTGAGATTTGAAACTAAGGGAATTATAAAGATAAAAAGAAGGCAAAGCTTTGAGAAATACTCAGGAAGTAAAATTGGCAGGATGTAGAAATTAAATTGCACATAGGGTAGTGGAAGTTGGGAGATGCTCCAGACTGCTGAACAAACTCAGGTTATGTTTCAACATTCCGCCTCAGTTCTTTTCCCTGATTGACTTTGGTCAGTGCTACCACAAATAGGCCCAACCCAACTATTTCCAAAACAAGTTCACTGCTCTAATAGGTTTCTGTTGGTACATTCTTTCAATGTCAGCAAGTCAGCATTGCACGTTCTAGAAACAGGGATGAAAATTCAACATTCTGCCAACACCATCTTTTTTCCATAAGTCAGAAATGGCTCCAGGCACATCACATGGCATTAATTTTGTACCATATGCAACTCTGATTGATTACTGGGTGCCGAATTATAAATAGTTGTCAAGAAGTCTAATGACCATTTATCAAAAAAGATGCTGAAACCGTGTATATATGAGTTATAAAGAAAGGATGTGGCAGGGATATTAGTTTAACTAAAAGGTCATTGGTTATATAGATCCCCTCACAGTTCTCAAATTTCTGCCTGTGCCTAGCTGTGTGTTCAGTTTGCTTTGGGTACAATTTCTAGAACTCTGTGCAAACTCTTTCGTTTAACTCCATATCGTAGTGAAGGATGTGAAGTGTAATGATGCTTAGCACCTGGCACGGTGCCTGGCATATAGTAGGCACTCCAGAAATATTTGTTGGGTAAATGAGTGTAAATAAAGGCAACCAACTCTAGGCAGATTCAATCCCCAGGGTGTGAAGCCAGATTTTCCCCTATTAGCCCAGGAGCCCCATAAAACAGCTGGAGGCTACAGGGGAGCAGCGCAGCATCTGCACCTCGGCCCTGTCTCTACGCACCGCTCAGACTGGTTTTGGGGCTTAGATATGCCTGGACCTTCACCTTCCTATGTATTTTATTATTACTTCACTTACTGCAGAGTTAGTGCAATGGAGAAGTCCAAGGGGACGCAACTGTCACCAGCAGGAACGCAAACCCCTGTTTAGGCATATGGCCACTAGGGGGCGAGAGAGTCAAAAGGCTGCATATGAACGTCAGCCTTGCCCTCTTCAAGGTGTAAACTTTTTCCTGAATTTCCAATGAAAGCATTCTTGGATTTCTTCTCCCTAATCATCCCCGATACTTGGTACAGCAAGAATCAGGAATCATAGTAATATTTTACCCCCAAGCAATTGTAAACATCCACTTTTGGCAATGCTTTTTGTTTTCTAATAAAAATGTAAACATGAAAACAGAAATCAGGAAAATTTCCCAAGATTGATTACTGTTTTGAGCTGCCTCCTGTGCAATTGCCTGGAAGCTGTGAGGCCCCAATGTGCTCCTTCCAGGCACTGTGACCAGAGACACTGCGCGTTGGGTGGGGTTGCCAGGGAAAACACAGGATGCCTAATTAATTCAAATCAGGTAACAATAAAGCCTTTAATGTAAGTATGCTCCAACTTGTGAGGGCAGTGTGTGTGTGTGTGTGTGTGTGTGTGTGTGTGTGTTTTGAGACAGGGTCTCACTCTGTCACCCCAGCTGGAGTGCAGTGGTGCAATCATACCTTGCTGCAGCCTTGAACTTCTGGGTTCAAGCAGTCCTCCTGCCTCAGCCTCCCACTAGCTGGAACTACAGGTGCACACCACCACACCTGGATAATTATGTAAAAAAAAATTTCTGTAGACATGGAATCTTGCTGTGCTGCCCAGAATAGTCTCAAACTGCTGGCCTCAAGCGATCCTCCTGCCTCAGCCTCCCACAGTGCTGGGATTACAGGCGTGAGCCACTGCGCCCAGCCAATACATATTTTTTCAATGACATAATCAGCAAAGCCCTAGTTCTTTGTAAAAACTAACAAAAACCAAAGCAAAACCTTTCCTAAGTTCCCTTTCTTAGCACATTTCACCTAAAAGATTTGCTCCTCAGTGGCTCTCCCCAGAGCCACTTCCTTTCCTGGCGGATTAAAAACAATTCTCATTCAGTATCTCGCTGTCATCAGATTTTCCCATATTCTGACTTTCCTGGGAGCATTTTCACATATTATCTTAGTGGCTCTGTTGCCCTCTGATTCCAACCTCCCTCTGTTCTTTTCTGGAGGTAGAAGTCCTGAAACAGAAACGCTTATCCCCAGTCCCAACAATTAATCCCCAAAGAACCTTCGAGACAGGGCAGGTTCATGGCTGCCTCGTCCACAAAAGCCCTGTTTTCTGGGTTCCTTGTCTTGGGCAACCTGCAGAGTCAGAGCCATCATTGAAGGATGATTTGGGCTTCAGCTGGAACAAGGAGAAATACTCCTGAGCCATCTCCTAATGGTTTTCTCGGTCAGGGTCTGGATTAAGAAGACATGGCATCTTGTAGCTGGAAATACAGGAAGCTTAATAAAAGGCACTGCAGAGTTTCCATGGGACTGGACAGGGTTTTGATCATACTTCCAGGGATGCTGCAGTCCAGGGACAGGGACTCTTACTTCTCCTAGGCCTGAAGGAGCAAGAGGAGAAAGCTCATTCCCCAGCCCAGAGAGAGAGTCAAGGGGAGGGTTGCCTGGAGGAATCTGCCTTCCCTGGAAGAATACAGCCCACCCAGGGTGGCCTGGCAGGGAGGGGACCAGGAGAGGAGGAAGACAGCCTCATTCTCCTCTTGGCCTCCAGCACTTGGAAGGAGCATGGAGGGATAAGACTGGGGACTTGTTATCCTCGTACAGAGAAGAACAGTCATATACAATAGAAATAAAGACACGGGCTGGACACTGTGGCTCATGCCTCTAATCCCAGTATTTTGGGAGGCCAAGGCTGGAGGATCACTTGAGGTCAGGAGTTTGAGAGACCAGCCTGACTAACATACTGAGACTCTTCTCTCTAAAAAAAAAAAAAAAAAAAAAAAAATTTAATTGGCTGGGTGTGACTATAGGTGGTGCATGCCTATAGTCCCAGCTACTGCAGAGGCTGAGGCAGGAGGATCGCTTGAGCCTGGCTGAGATGGGAAGATCATGGCTGCAATGAGCTGTGATCATGTCATTCCACTTCAGTCTGGTTGACAGAGCGAGACTGTCTCCAAAAACAACCCCCAAAACAAAGAAAAGAGGCTGCCTGTGCTAAGGACAAAGTGAGCTGTAGACACACCTGGTTTGGGAGTTCAGCAGAGTGAAAATAAAGGCCAGAGGTCAGGTGGAGTGGCAAGTGTCCGTAGTCCCAGTGACTTAGGAGGCTAAGGTGGGAGGATGGCTTGAGGCCAGGAGGTTGAGGTCTGCCTGGGCAACATAGCAAGGGGAAGGAAGGAAGGGATGAAGGAAGGGGAGTGGTGGGGTGGGGTAGGGGAGGGGAGGAGAGGGGAGAGGAGGGGAGGGGAGAGGAGGGGAGGGGAGAGGAGGGAAATGAAGGCCAAGATTGGTGGGAAAGGTTTCATAGGTTTGGTAATGTATTTATAGGCTCCTTGGAGATTATTTTTCATTTTTATTTTTTAAGATGGAGTCTCACTCTGTCACCCAGGCTGGAGTGCAGGGGTGTGATCTCAGCTCACTGCAACCTCTGCCTGCCGGGTTCAAGTGATTCTCATGCCTCAGCCTCCTGAGTAGCTGGGATTACAGGTGTGCGCCACCACATCTGGCTAAGTTTTGTATTTTTAGTAGAGATGGGGTTTCGCCATGTTGGCCAGGCTGGTCTCAAACTTCTGACCACAGGTGATCCATCCACCTAGACTTCCAAAGTGCTGGGGTTACAGGTGTGAACCACCGCACCTGGCCTATTTTAAATTATCTCCAAATGAAGAAACCAAAGTACATGAACATGCACGTGACTGCTTTGTGTGTGTGTGTGTGTGTGTGTGTGTGTGTGTGTGTGTGTGTGTAGAAAACGCTGCAGATGGAGTTCATACAAAAAAAAAAATCCTTGAGTACTGTGATCTGCTCTAACTGTCAAATGTTAAGAACTGAGCACTTTCCTCATTTACTGTTGACCCAGATGGAGTTATCTGGATTAGCGCAGTTCTGCATGGCGCAGCTCGTTTATTTCCTCAAGAAGAAACAATTTAAGCCATTGTTCATGTTCAGGTTAGATAGCAACAATTTAGAGAGTTCTCCCCCACAGATAAAGGAAGATAAGTATTATCTGACCTGACCATGGGGAAGATGAAGAAACATCTAACGCTGTGTTTATAGCTGAGCAGGACAGATCGCCAGAGATAGGACAGCAAAGACCCCATTGTCTACACAGGGCTACATTTGGATCAGGGAGGAACAGCTTCTGAAGCAGCTATTGAAATTGAACACTGGTATAACATCTTGTATCTGACTGTTGCTTCATAGCAAATTTTCTCTCCAGATAAGTCCGCAGGACTCCTATAAAATCAGAGTTATAAGATTTGTATCTTTACTGAGGGAACCTTAAGAAGCTAGAGCTTTTTAGCCATTAATAATGTAAGCTTAGGTTAGGTGTGGTGGCTCATGCCTGTTATCCCAGCACTTCAGGAGGGGGAGGCCGAGGTGGGAAGATCGCTCAAGCCCAGGAATTTAAGACTAGCCTGGGCAACATAGCAAGACCCCGTCTCTCAAAAAAATTTTTTTTAATTAACTGGGCATGGTGGCACATGCCCATAGTCCCAGTTACTCAGGAGGCTGAGATGGGAAGATTGCTTAAGCCCAGGAGTTTAAGACCAGCCTGTGCAACATAGCAAGACTCCATCTCTCCAAAAAGAAATTTAAAATTAACTGGGTGTGGTGGCACATGCCTGTAGTACCAGTTACTCAGGAGGCTGAGCAGGAAGATCGTTTGAGCCCAGGAGTCTGAGGCCACAGGGAGCTATGATTGCACTACCAGGCATTCCAGCTTGGGTGACAGAGTGAGATCCTGTCTCAAAAAGATAAATAAAGAAACACCAAATAACATAATCTTCCCAAGGTCTTGCTGTAAGCACCACCCCAGACATTGTAAATGTCACCTCTGGTCACACATGCAGAGTGAATTGGGTCCTGTGCATTTCTCCAAGCCCCTGAGGGACCTCAAGAGTCCTGGTGTGGGTGTGACCTCTAACTGAGGTTGGAGGGCCATCTCAGGGCCCCATGCCCTCTGTCCCAAATGTGCTTCTCTTAGAAGCCTGGGCTGTGAACAAATGGGATGTGATGAACTTAACCTTATGGGGATGACACTGGAAAACAAGGTCGCAATGATTGCTTTGATGGGGTCCAGAGCATACTACCCCCCAAATATGATACCTTGACATTGAGAAAACAGCAGAAGCAGGAAGGTTTCTTGCACCTTCCCCTTATCCTTTCCCCTTATCCTTTCCCACTGAAGCAGGTGGCAAGACCCTAATGTGAGAGATGCCCTCCCTATACCTGGAAGAAAGGAGCATCCTTGTCTCTGAAGACACAGGGACATAGAGAAGAATCTGAACAAAGAATCATCGCTGAGTCCCTAAGTTCATTACCATTAGATCACTTCCTTTTATCTTCTAATCATACTTCTGCGTGACTGTTCCGCTCTTCACCAGACGTATGCATAAACATACATACATTCACCTCTTTCTTTGGATCTTCCTTTCCAAAGGCTCTTGTGTTAACACCCAAAAGCTCTTGTGTCAACCCAAACTTACATTAAGTAAATCCGTGGTTGGGAGCAGTAGCTCACGCCTGTAATCCCAACACTTTGGGAGGCCAAGGAGGGGGATCACTTGAGGTCAGGGGTTCCAGACCAACACGGCAAAACTCTGTCTCTACTAAAAATACAAAAATTAGCCAGGTGTGGTGGTGCACACTTGTAGTCCCAGCTACTTGGGAGACTGAGGCATGAGAATTGCTTGAACCTGGGAGGTGGAGGTTGCAGTGAGTTGAGGTTGCGCCATTGCACTCCAGCCTGGGCAACAGAGCGAGACTCTGTCTCAAAAAATAAAAAGTAAATTTGTACACTTTTCTCTTGCTAATAAGTCCTTTGTTACACATGCCTCAACCATGAAGCTGGCAATGAAATCTGTTACCCACTACAGTTTCACTGCCTCCAGGCTTGATCCTATTCTGGGTTGCTTTTGCAAGAATTTTGTTTGTAAATTTTTAAATTTTTAATATTTGTGGGTACAGAATAGGTATATATATATATATATATTTGTGGGTACATGAGATGTGTTGATACAGGCATGCAGTGTGAAATAATCACATAATGGAGAAGGGGGGCACCATTTATCCTTTGTGTTACAAACAATGCATTTACACAAATGTACAATTAAGTTATTGTTGACTATAGTCACCCTATTGTACTATCAAATAGTATGTCTGATTTTTGCAGGTATTTCCAAACCTTATATAACTCTCCTGAATGGAGAACTTTCCTATTGTGCCTGTTAAATGTTTCTTATTCCTGACCAGATTAATAGTCAGGAATGCAGGTCTTTAAATCACATTAAATAGAGTAAAACTACATTATGAAAAAATTAGACAATGTGGTACAAGGTGACTGATCTTTTGTTTTTTATTTTTTTTGAGAGGAGTCTTACTCTATCACCCAGGATGAAGTGCAGCGCCACAGTCTCAGTTCACTGCAGCCACAACCTTCTGGGCTCAAGTCATCCTCCTACCTTAGCTTCCCATAGGTGTGCACCACCTTGCCCAGCTAATTTTTGTATTTTGTATACAGATGGGGTTGCACCATGTTGGCCAGGCTGGTCTTGAACTCCTGGGCTCAAATGATTCGCCAGCCTTGGCCTCCCAAAGTGCTGGGATTACAAGTGTGAGCCACCGAGCCCCGCCTCTGATCATTTTTTTTTAAGCATGACAAACCCATGTCCTGGTTATCCCTTTCCCTCCCTGGAATGATCTGCTCTTCAGAGCACTTAACTGATATGGATTATACATTTTCTTCTTATAGACTCTATCCATATGGTAGCTAATTGGAGAGCTCTGGCTGGCATTTCCTGGAGTAGGTGCCAAAGGATGGAAAGGTGTTAAGAAAATAACTGGTCAGCAGCCTGCCTTCCCTTAAACAGGATATCCTCCATGGCTCGTCCTAATTCTGGAACTCCTAGATAGCACTGGGTTCTCCCAGGAAATATGGGGGAATCTGTGGGTAGGAGAAACTTCTGGATTCCTTGTGTTTGTCAACCAGGGCAATCCTGCTGTGGGAAAGCCCTAACTTCTAAAGCCCACGGGAATTTAGGGCTGCTGACCATTCTACCATACGGTGAGCTCTGAGTCAAGGGAGGCTTGGGTTCAGCGCCTCACATAGAATAAGCTGTTTGGGGAAGTTCAGGCTTTCGAAGTAAGGATGAGAAATGGCTACCGCATGGGACCTGTAGGTAAAACCTCCTCCTGCTTTGCTGTTTTACTATTTCTGGGCATTGGGGTGCAAAACATGTTACCCCAAAATATGGTACCTTGCAGGTCACTAGCTTTGACTTTCCCCAGTCTTTCTGTTTAAGAGCCAGCCATAAAGGAATTCTCTGACCAACCTCCCCTGAAAATGGGCCATAAGATCCCTAAGTGACAGGTATCTTGCCTTATACCAAGGGGAAACGCCTGCCGCAAAGAGAGGTCAAGAAGAATCTGAACAAACAGGCCTTGCTAAGCTCCCCCTCAGTTTATTATCATTAGATCATACCCTTTGTATGTCCAATCATACTTTTTTTTTTTTTTTTTTAAATAGAGACAGAGTCTCACTCTGTCACCCAGGCTGGAGCACAGTGGTATGATCACAGCTCACTGCAGCCTTGAACTCCTTGGCTCAATCAATCTTCCTGCCACAGCCTCCTGAGTATCTGGGACTATAGGCATGCACCACTATACCCAGCTAATTTTTAAAATTTTCATTTTGTAGAGATGCGGTCTCACTAGGCTGCCCCGGCTGGTCTCAAACTCCCAGCCTCAAGCAATCCTCTCACCTTGGCCTCCCAAAGTCCTTGGGATTACAGGAGTGAGCCACTGCATTCAGCCTCCAATCATACTTGTACAAGACTGTCCATTCTTCATCAAACCAAACATAAAAACACGCAGTCTTCCCTAGGTCTTTGGATCTCCATTTCTGAAGGCTCCTGTGCCATGTAAAACTTACATTAAATCAATTTGTTTGCTTTTCTCTTGTTAATCTGTCTTTTGTTATAGGGTATCAGCCATGACCCTTGTGATGGGTGAGAAAAAGGTATTACTCTTTCTCCTCTGCATGGGTAAAAGTGTGTGCACATGTGTGTTTGGGGGGAAGATAAGGGATAGAAAAATATTTTAAATTATTGTATTAATTGTGGGAATTGTAGAGTTCTATACCAAGGCGACCAATCATTGTCTAGAATTGCTCCTCAGTTTCAGGGGCATATTTTCGAAGCATTTTTAGCCAAAATGATTTGGGGTCATCCTATGATCTCTGTGCTCCTTCGGCCAACCACTTAACAGTAGCAACAGCTATTTTGAATGAGTGTACACTTTATGTCAGGTTGCAGGTCAAGCGCTTTCAATGGTAGGATCATGTATTCCTCTCAACGACCTGATAAGGCTGGTACTATCATCATCCCCAGATTCCAGGTGAGGAATATGAAGCTTTCTTTTTCTTTTCTTTTTTTTTTTTTTGAGACAGAGTCTCGCTCTGTCACCCAGGCTGGAGTGCAGTGGCGTGATCTTGGCTCACTGCAAGCTCCATCTCCCGGGTTCACACCATTCTCCTGCCTCAGCTACCAGAGTAGCTGGGACTACAGGCACCTGCCACCACGCCCGGCTAATTTTCTCGTATTTTTAATAGAGACGGGGTTTCACCATGTTAGCCAGGATGGTCTCGATCTCCTGACCCCGCGATCTGCCCGCCTCGGCCTCCCAAAGTGCTGGGATTACAGGCGTGAGCCACTGCACCCGGCCGAGGAATATGAAGCTTTGACTCATCAATCATCAAGCCCATGGACATGAGGCTTGAGGAAAGTGTCCGGTCTCCTCCATGTTGGGAGGAATGAACTAACAAAGACGATTTCAATAGCTGACTCCTGAAAAAGGACAAACACGTTACACTTGATTCTTTAAGGCCCAACCTCCATCTTTCTTTCCCTACAGAAGAGAGATTCCATTTTAGTTAGAACAACACCAAGAATAAACTGAAATAGGCAGCAGCCTATTGAATACTGCAGAGAATGCTTGCAATTTCAATTTCAGTCAATTCCACATACAATAATCACTGAATCAGGTGTGTACCTCATACTGTGCCACAGGCTAGAGGTTCAAAGCTGGATATAAGGGACCCTTTTTTACATGTGATTTATCCCTGGCTGTGATCCTCTACCCCTGAGAATTCCCAGGGGCATGACAGAAAGTATTGGAAAGCTCATTAGTATTATGGCTTATGTTTTTGAGGCTTCACTTTTACTTGAGGTTTGGAGGTGGGATAAAGGAGTTAATTAATTGAAGAGCTAAGTCACTTAAAACACTACAAATAAACATATTTAAAACAAACACAGATATTATGGTGTTGGATAAAATTACTGCCTTCTTTTCTTTCTTTTTTTTTGCTCTGTCACCAGGGCTGGAGTGCAGTGGTGGGTTCTCGGCTCACTGCAAACTCTGCCTCCCAGGCTTGAGCGATTCTCCTGACTCAGCCTCCTGAGTAGCTGGGATTACAGGCGCTGCCACCATGCCTGGCTAATTTTTGTATTTTTTGTAGAGATGAAGTTTTGCCATATTGGCCAAGCTGGTCTCGAACTCCTGACCTCAAGTGATCTGCCTGCCTTGGCCTCCCAAAGTGCTGGGATTACAGGCATCAGCCACTGCACCCGGCCTATTGCCTTTTATCTTTTTTTTTTTGAGATGGAGTTTTGCTCTTGTTGCCCAGGCTGGAATGCAATGGTGCGATCTTGGCTCACTGCAACTTCCGCCTCCCGGGTTCAAGCGATTCTCCTGCCTCAGCCTCCTGAGTAGCTGGGATTATAGGCATGTGCCACTGTGCCTGGCTAATTTCGTTTTTTTAGTAGAGATGGGGTGTCTCCATGTTGGTCAGGCTGGTCTCGAACTCCTGCCCTCAGGTGATCCACCTGCCTCAGCCTCCCAAAGTGCTGGGATTATAGGCGTGAGACACTGCGCCTGGCCATTGCCTTATTTTCTGAGATAAAATGCTGGACTTCAAAGAAATTGAATGCAGGAGGCCCACCCCCTCAGGACTGCATGATGAATCTTCAAGTGTACTGGTTCTCTTTCTCTGCTGATAGTTATGATGTTTTATAACCAAGTGGAAATGAATTAAAAGTGCAGAACATATTAATGAGTGAAGGGAGATGGAGAAGTATAGAGCAGTGACATTTTTTGGAAGCCGGACCCTCTGAACTGAGAAAGGAAATAAATGACCTGGGAGGCAGCGAAGAGGGAGAAATTCTGAGCAGATTAATCACCATTAGCCCAGTCAGCTACAAAGGTTATATGAGCAAATACAAAAGAGAAAAGAATGAGAGAAAGGGAGGCAGCGGACCCAGGATGCTGTGACAAGCGACAAGACAGGAAGCTCATGTTAGGAAAAATTGAGTCAAAGATGGGGTCTATAATCAGGGTTTTCTGCAATTAGTTAATGAACAGCTCCGATGGACAATGGTCAGACTGGCAGACCAGGGCTGTACGGAGAGTCTCAAAGGCAGATCAATAAAACCATCGTAAAAATGAGGCACCGTTGGAAGAGGAGTAGAGCAGAAGAGATGATGCCGAAAAACATAGCCTGAGTCACAGAGAGTACATTTGAGGAAACTGAGTAAAATGAACTGGGGAAGAGAAAAGGGAATGAAAAATACTAGATTAAAATTTTTTCGTTTTGTTTTTTTTAGACGGAGTCTCACTCTGTCACCCAGGCTGGAGTGCAGTGCCACCGTCTTGGCCCACTGCAGCCTCTGCTTTCCAGGTTCAAGTGATTCTTATGCTTCAGCCTCCATGATAGCTGGGATTACAGGCACTCACCACCATGCTGGCTAATTTTTGCATTTTTAGTAAAGAAGGGATTTCACCATGTTGGCCAGGCTGGTCTTCAACTCCTGACCTCAGGTGATCTGCCCGCCTCAGCCTCTCAAAGTGGTGGGATTACAGGGGTGAGCCACTGTGCCTGGCCAGATTAAAAATGTATAGATGGGAGATACAACAAAGATCCCCCTTCTAAGTAACAGTTATCACTGGAGAAAACCAAGTAATTGGAAGAGGAAAAGGTATAATTATATCCAAAGATAATTCAAGACGTTTTATTGAAATAAAGGACATGAGTTGACACATGGAAATATAGGCTAAGAAAAAATGAGTACAGATCAAATAGTAAGTGACAAAAAAGTCAACTCTGGAAGGCAGTGGATAATAGACACAAAGTCTTCAGAGGTGTAAAGTATGACTCAAGAATTTTACTCACAACACTGTCATCCAAGTATAAAACCAGAGGATTTTCAAATTTAAATGCTCAGGAAAATAGTTCCCATGAGTCCTTTTGAGGAAATATTGGAAGTCCAAACCCCAGTCATCCAACAGAAAATTGAAAAAGTCAGGGCAAAAGGGCTGCTTTTAGGACTGAACCCACTTAGCACTAAAACTAAAAATAAGACAACCATAGAATGATGATTTCAGAACTTAAATTTTATGAGCAATGACCATTTAAAAATAATATTGCTAACATGTGTTGGGAAGGGGAGGAGAAGGGAAGGGAAGACAGAAATTAGAGTAAATATGTTGATTTTCCTCATTTTTCAAATGCAGAATCTTTTTTTTTTTTAATACAGAGCCTTGCTCTGTCACCAGGGCTGGAGTGTAGTGGTGGGATCTCAGCTCACTGCAACCTCTGCCTCCCAGGTTCCAGCGATTCTCCTGTCTCAGCCTCTTAGTAGCTGGGATTATAGGCACCTGCCACCACATTCCGCTAAGTTTTGCAATTTTTTTTTTTGAGACGGAATTTTGCTCTTGTCACTCAGGCTAGAGTGCAGTGGCGCCATCTCAGCTCACTGCAACCTCTGCCTCTTGGGTTCAAGCAATTCTCCTGCCTCAACCTCCCGAGTAGCTGCAATTAGGGGTGTAAGCCACCATGCTTGGCTAATTTTTGTAATTTTAGTAGAGATGGGTCTTCACCATGTTGGCCAGGCTGGTCTCGCACTCCTTACCACAAGTAATCCGTCCACCTCAGCCTCCCAAAGTGCTGGGATTACAGGCATGAGCCACCATACCTGGCCAAGAGTTGATTCTTTAAAGCTGGTAAATTAGGTAATAGTATGATTTAGTAGCCTTTGATTTTTAAAATCATGGGTATGGATTAATTCAAATAAATTAAAAGTAACAAAATAACAGATAGTTACAACAAAGGAAGAGTTCGAGGACTTGCAAGGAGATGCTGAAGCAAATGTCTTGGAGGAGATTCTCATTAAGCCTTAACCAACCAAACTGGAACTGAGTGGTGTCCTTGTATGTAACTGTAACCTACCCCAACTGGAATTCCTTATCCTGCAGGTTACCTGTGGGTTTTACTACTTATGTAGTAGAAGTGTGAAGACTCCCACAACAGAGACAGGTGGGTAAATGGTGATTCTGAGAGTTCCCTCTTTAGCAAAGAAGTTTCCCTTCTAGATGAGAGATTGGTGGAGAATAGAGACTAGTAAGAGCAGTCTCTTCTTAAGGGCATCCTATTTTATTTCAGATAGAACTTTTATTGATTAAAAAAAATTTCAGCCTATGCATCTCTTTCTCTTTTTACATACAGAAACATATATTTTATAAATGTCACACATACCTATATTAGATACCATACGTAATGAGAGAAATACATATTTTTTTCTGAGATAATATAGTTTTGTGTCCCTGTACCAACCAAGAGCAGAATTCTCCAGCGTGTCTGTGATTTCCAAGTATAAAGACCTCATCTGGTTTGAATGACCACCTATGGGGCCAGAGCCAAAAATCTGGCAGAAAGGAAAACTAGGAAAAGGGACAATCATGTGCTCCTGGTTTTGAATTGAATACTGCCAGTATTGCAGCCAGCTTTTCTGTTTCTCCTAGCCCTGCTCTGTTGACCAGTGACCTCCCCATGGGCTGGAATCCTGCTGCTGGACAGCAATCAGTGCATTGGGAGTTTCTTGAGGCCAAAATGGGGCTTTGGCCTCATGGGAAATCCTCCATAACATATACTTGAGGACTGTGCGCTTTGAAGGTGCTTAGTCTGTGTGGGTGATAGTCTGAAGGTGCTGCACAAATGATAGCTTATTTGCATTAGGAAAAGTTTTGGGCTTTCATAAACATCTCCTTATGAAAAGGATTTGCTGGGTATACTTTCAAAAAAAGATACTATCTAAAATGAACATCTGTTGCAACAGCTGTTCTTAAAAGCAGATTAAGGTACAACTGCCACATAAAGAGTGCAAAAGGGGAAATATCTTCCCATTTTACTCTGATGAAATTTAAAACCCCTCCCATTTATTATCCAGTGATTCCACTGGGATTCAGCCCATTTCAAGTCCCACAAATGAAAAACCACTTCTGTTTTAAACCATACGTACACATTCCACCCACCCTGGAAAGCTTGAGCTTTAAAAACAGCACATATCCCCAAGTCTTCACTCACTGGCTCTGTTGAAAGCTAAAGTGTTTGTCATTAAAAGTAAACACAAGAATAACCAAGAGGCAGCTGTCCTACTATAGATGGTGCTGTTTAAAGTGTGAGTGTCACTCAGAAAGGGGTGATTGTCCTTTGGGAGGGCTCAGGGGAGATATGTTTTTGTAAAGATGGTGAAGAATGCAGACACTGTGTTCTGTAAGAAATGTATTTGAGGGAATTGGGGATATTTAGTTTGCAGAAGAGAAGATTTGAAGAGACCTGGCAGTTGTCTTAATATATTTGAAAGGCTGTCATATAGCATATAGAATAGATTCCTTCTGTGTTGCTGTGAGGTGCAGAACCATTCCCCGAGGTAGACTAATTTTGATTCATTTTTAGGAAAGTTATTCAGTCTAACCAGATTTAGTGGGAATAAATGGTTGTTTCCTAAAATAGAGAGGGAGTTCCCCGCTGCTAAGAATAACCAAGAAGAGGCTAGTTGAGGATTGCTCAGGAATTGTGTGGAAGGATTTCTCATACTGGAATGCATGAGGACAACCAAAGGACCCACTTTTACATTCTATCATTCATGTTTAGTTTTAAAGCCTTTTGCATAATTTTCAAAACGCAGCAAATAATGATTTGGGGGAATTATTTTTAGGACACAGAGTAATTTAGCCCCACTGTCTTTTTTTCATTATTCTCTTTTCTGAAGATGAATGAGAAGCAGATGACTAACAGAAAGAGAGGAAGGACAATCAGAAGAAAAGAGGTAGAAGGAGAATCTGTAGCTTTCCATTATTTCCTCTTTTTTGGAAATTTGGCTATATCTGAATAGTTCTATGAAATGTGTCTTCATCCATTTTGTGTTGCTATAAAAGAGTACCTGAAACTGGGTAATTTATAGAGAAAAGAGGTTTATTTAGCTCATCATTCTGCAGTCTGGGAAGTTCAAGGGTATCACCTTGACTTCCGGTGAGGGCTATTGTGCTGCATCATACATGGTAGAGAAGGTCAAAGGTGAAGCAGACATGTGTGAAAAGAGAAAACCTGGGGGGTGTCCCAGCTTTATAGCAACCCGCTCTTGTGGGCACTAATTCAGTCCCTTCAGAACAAGAATTCATTCACTACGACAAGAATGGCACTAAGCCTTTCACAAGGGATCTGCATCTATGACCTAAACACCTCTCACTATATCCCATCTCCTAATGCCACCACATTGGGGATCACTTTTTAACATGCATTTTGGTGGGGAGAAACAAATCATGTTGAAACCATAGCCCCTTGCATAACTAGAGTGTATTGTTATCAAAGACCAACTGATTCTTGCAAATAATCTCCTAAAATCCCTCTCCAAACATGTTTACCAGGAGCACTACAATTTTAGTATAAAATGTTATAGTTCTGCTTTCACTTATTCTCTTCATGGGAGTTCTCTCATATCCTCAAGTATGTCTGAACTCACCCAAAACTGATTAATATACTACATTAAGCAAAATACAAATTGTGTTTATAGATTAACTTTAAAGAACATATGCCCCTACCCTTAGCTTACCCCCAACCAAAGGACCAACATAAATACAATCCATGCAAAGAGACTCATTGACTCAAATCACTTCATAACAAAACAAAATGAAGACAAACAAACAAACAAAGCCATCATAATCTCCTTGGAGAACACAGTCTGTGTGTGTGTGTGTGTGTGTGTGTGTGTGTGTGATGGAGTCTTGCTCTGTCATCCAGGTTGGAGTGCAGTGGTGCGATCTTGGCTCACTGCAGCCCTCCCCCCACCTCCCCGGGTTCAAGCGATACTCCTGCCTTAGCCTCCCGCGTAGCTGGCACTACAGGTGCACACCACCATGCCCAGCTAATTTTCGTATTTTTAGTAGAGACGGAGTTTCACTATGTTGGCCAGGCTGGTGTCAAACTCCTGGCCACAAGTGATCCGCCTGCCTCAGCCTCCCAAAGTGCTGGGATTACAGGCATAAGCCACTGCTTCCAGCCAACACAGTCATTTTTGAAGATGGATTAAAAAATATGGAACTATGAATTCAGTGCATCACTAAGCATCAAGTAAGAAAAAAGACACAAAGGGACCCTTTTGGTAGATAAACACATTTGTGGTCCTTTAACTGGATCCCACTCGTGCTCATCTAAATTCCACAATTCTCTCAAAGCCCCACTTAAAATTCCCCCTTTCCATGGGAAATATGAAAAAGAACAGGCATGTTCCACCTGAATGGTCTGTAGGTACTCCAAAACCTGTGTACCCGGAACTGAACTTTTGTCCTTAAAACCTGGTCCTCAGTGTTATATGGTTCCACAAAATGTTATTAAAACAAAAATCAGAGACATCCTTGACACTTCCCTTTCTCTCACCCAAAAAGGAATTAATGACTAAATTCCATCTAATCTATCTCCTAAGAATCATTTGAATCCATCCTACTACCACCAACCTGGACAAAACTATCATCTCCTTTCTCCTGGAATATTACATTATGTCCCTTAATTATTTTTCCAGGTACATTCTTGTTACCTTCTAGAACTGAAATAATCTGAATGACAAAATTGATCAGGCTGTTCTCCATCAGTTGTTTCCTACTACATTTGGTAAGTTCCAAACTCCTTATCATGGCCTCAAAGCCCCCCATAATCCAGCCATGCATTACCTTGCTAGCTCTTCTTCCTATTACTTTTCTCCTTTGACTTGGAGACTCAAGTTAGGTTGATCTTGTCTGCTGTCCCTCCAAAGAAGAGGGCATGCTCTTTCCCACCTCAGAGCCTTTCTACAGGTAATTCCTTTGGCCTTTCATCCTTCCCCCTCTCACTTCATCTAGCCAGGTCCTACTTCTCTTTAGGTCTCAACTCCATATCCTCTGGGAAATATTCCCTGATACCTGCACTTGCCAGATTAGGTTCCCCTCTCAGATATTTCCACAGGTCTTTACATCTCACCTTTGTAACCGACATCATATCTTAAGTCCTTGTTCATTGTCTGTCTTCCAAACTAAATAAGAAATTCCAAGATAACAGGGACCATGTCTGCCAGACTCACTACTGTATCCCAGGTAACCAGCTCCTAACGTGTGCTCAAATAGTTGTTGCATGGATAAATGAATGAGTAACATGTGCTGTCTATATCAATGATTCATAAACTTCACTATACAGAGGAATCATTTGGGAAGTCAATTTAGCTGATCCATAATCAGTATCAGGACCCTACCTTTTCAACAACAATAGGGGATGAATTTTGACTCAGACTGTTCTTGACTCACACTTTGGAAAGCAATACTCCAGGATTACAGACATGAGCAAGAGAGAGAAGCTGAGGTTAAAGAGACAAAAGGGAGCAAAATGTGAGAAGTTAAATAACAATAGAAGACTCACATAACTTAAAACAACACAACCACAGGACTAAATGACAGATTGTCAAATTAATTCCTCAGACAATGATATGTGTCTTCAAAACATTTGGAAGGAAAAGCCACTTGATATAGCTGGAGGTCTGGGGAGACACTGAAATAGGAAAACAAATTTGAACTTGAGTTGAAGGATGGGTAAGGTTGGGAAGGAGAAGAGGAAAGGAAATGGTATTACAGAGAGATGAGTATGAGTATATGAGTTCAGAGGAGGAAAATCGTAGAGCAAGACAGGCAGAATTTTGCCAACATGGTGAAACCACATCTCTATTAAAAATATAAAAACTAGCCAGGTATAGTGGCATGCACCTTTAATCCCAGATACTCAGGAGGCTGAGGCAGGAGAATTGCTTGAACTCAGGAGGTGGAGGTTGCAGTGAGCTGAGATTGTGCCACTGCACTCTAGCCTGGGTGACAGAGCGAGACCCTGTCTCAAAAAAAAAAAAAAAAAAAAAAAAGAAGGTTGAGGAGTTGAGGATATAGCTGGAAAGATAGGGAAGGACCTGACTGTAGAGGTCCTCAAAGTTAATGAAGGTGAGCAGAATAAGCCACCTTAAAAGAAGCCACTTTGGCATAAGGATTTTTCTGAGTCAAAGGCAATAGAGAAACAGCAGATACAGAAGGAACTCTCTGCCACCCCTATTTTTGCCTAAAAGCAGGGGATAAATTTCATACCAGGAAAAGGAGATAACTCTTATCACTGAAGATTGTAATAACTTGAGTCTGCATAATAAAACTGATTAAATAATCCACATCTTCCACTAGTTTCCTCCATATACTTACTTTCCTACAATTTGTTGCACATAGAAGCTGTATTAGTCTGTTCTTGCACTACTATAAAGAAATTCCTAGACCAGGCATGGTGGCTCATGCCTGCAATCCCAGCACTTTGGGAAGCTGACACAGGCGGATCACTTGAGGTCAGGAGTTCAAGACCAGCCTGGCCAACATGGTGAAACCTCATCCACTAAAAATACAAAAAATTAGCCGGATGTGGTGGCACATGCCTGTAGTCCCAGCTACTTGGGTGGCTGAGGGACAAGAATCACTTGAACCCGGGAGGTGGAAGTTGCAGTGAGCTGAGATGGAACCACTGCACCCCAGCCTGGGTGACAGAGTGAGACTCCATCTCAGAAAAAAAAAGAAAAGAAAGAAAGAATTTCCTGAAACTGGGCAATTTAAAGGGAGAAGAGGTTTAATTGGCTCCTGGTTTTGCAGGCTATACAGGAAGCATGGCTGGGGAGGCCTCAGGAAACTTACAATCATAGCAAAAGGTGGAGGGCAAGCAGCCACATCTTCACATAGCAGAGCAGGAGGAAGTGAGGGGGGAGGTACCACACACTTTTAAATAAACAGATCTCATGAGAAGTCTATCATGAGACAGGACTGGGGGGATGGTGCTAAATCATTAGAAACCACCCCCATGATCCAATCACCTCCCACCAAGCCCTACCTCCAATATTAGGGATTAAAATTGAAGACAAGATTTGGGTGGGGACACAGATCCAAATCATATCAGAAGCCCAAAAGCCTTTTACTTTGTCTTGTCACTTATACACAATGTATTGCTCTTTGTTAAAATGGTATATAAGCATCAATGCCTAAGTACTTTTTGAAGGTTTTTACTTCTTTTCTGTGAGGCACTCTGTGTACATGGGAGATAAACACTTTCTCCTGTTAATTATCCTTCGTCAGTTTAATTCACAGACCCCAGCCACTGAATCTAAGAGGGTAAAGAAACAGTTATTTTTTTCCTCCCCTACATTAAGCAAATGAATAATAGGAAGAAATGCTCAAAAGTGACATCTGACTTATGATTTAAATAAATAACTAAAATTTGGGATACTTAAAAGAAACTACTCTGTTTTTCCTCATATGTCCCATTTCCCTGAAACATTAAAAAAATTCTCCATAACATAGTCTTCCTGTATGTTGCAAAAAATATAGAACAAAAAAAACTCAGGCTAAAGAAAAAGGTGAAATGTATGTCATATCACAGAGCCACTTAGTTCTAAGACCATGGGTGCTGAGAAACTTCAAAGGAAATGGAACAACTGAAATCTAATTCTAACTTTGAACTCAGTTAACATAAGAAGAGTCCCTTTTCCTCCCTTTACTTATTTTATGTCTGCTTTGATGGGCAGTGAAAAGGAATCTACTGGCTGAAATTAAAATGGTACAATCTAATATATGGTAGCTGGCTGTTATCAAAGGTGGTGGAGAACAGATGCAGGAAGTTACAAAGGAAAAGTCCAGAATTTCACCCTGAGTAAATCCCATCATAGCACCTCAGAAGACCTGGCTTTATGTCCTGGTTTCACCATGTTTAAGCCAGATGGATGTATCCCAACTCAACTGCAGATTCTTCATCCATGAAATGGGGATAGGATTCCTTGCCATCTTTTACAATGTTGTGAGAATTCAATGTGAAAGTATTTTTAAACTGTAAGTCACTTTATACAAATAAAGCATTATTAAATTCCATCAACAGATAAAACAATAAACAGCTCTAAAAGAGATTTTTCTTCTTTTCCTAAATCCCTATGCAAGTGACATTAACGTAAACATTCACTGTGGTACATAATGTCAGAGATAATGGTAAAACAATGCTAAATGACATACTCTTATATGCACACTTATCTTTTTGTCTGGCCTTAATTTGCTCTCCTCAGAATAAACATCTTCAACTCTAGCTGTACATCGGTGTTACTCTCTAAAAGCTAAATACTACAGGAATTTATATTTGATATTTAGGAAAAGCACCAGACCTGGTGCTATCTGTACACACATTAGATAAAGGATCCAGCAAACAGATGCTCCTTCTTGCAATCAGCCAAGAACTTCTAATATTCTGACAACTTGTTAATCAACCAACATATGGTATCACTTTAGTAAACACAACACTCAGATTTTGTTTTTTACAGGGCATTTTCTGAGAGATGTAATGGTCCTGACTCATCAGCACTATTCACTGGAAATCAAGTGAAGCTAGCCTCCCCCACCACCTTCAATTTGTCTAACTGCTTGGGGAAAAATAAATATAGGCATTGATTGGAATTTTGTGTACTTTTTTTCTGAGTTGAGATTTTTAAACTGTCATCTTTGTAGACATTAGTAAAAGTAGTAGAATATCTTTATTATACAGATTTACATATATCACAGGTCAAAAAATGTCTGTAGTTCTATCATTTGATCCAGCAATCCCATTACTGGGTATCCAGGGGAAAAGAAGTCATTATATGAAAAAGATACTTGCGTGTGCATGTTTATAGCAACACAATTCACAATTGCAAAAATATGGAACCAGCCTAAATGCCCACTGATCAATGAGTGGATAAAGAAATTGTGAGACACACACATATATATATATATATATACACATATGATAAAGATATATAAGATACAAAGATATATGTGATATATATGACAAAGAAATTGTAATATATATATATATATATATATATATATATATATATATATGATGGTGAGAGGTGAAAACGTGCTAGCAGCCCTCGCTCGCTTTCGGTGCCTCCTCAGGCTTGGCGTCCACTCTGGTCATGCTTGAGGAGCCCTTTAGCCCACTGCTGCACTGTGGGAGCCCCTCTCTGGGCTGGCCAAGGCCTAAGCTGGCTCCCTGTGCTTGTGGGGAGGTGTGGAGGGAGAGGCACGGGCGGGAATCGGGGCTGTGCATGGTGGGCACAGGCTCAGCAGGCCCCGCACTCGGAGCAGCCAGCTGGCACCACCGGCCCCGGGCAGTGAGGGACTTAGCACCCGGGCCAGCAACTGCAGAGGGTGTGCTGGGTCACCCAGCACTGCCAGCCCACCTGTGCTGCGTTCAAATTCTTGCCAGGCCTCAGCTGCCTCCCCGTGGGGCAGGGCTCGGGACCTGCAGCTCGCCATGCCTGAGCCTCCCCTGCCCCGTGGGCTACCGCATGGCTTGAGCCTCCCCGATGGGCGCCACCCCCGCTCCGCGGTGCCTAGTCCTATCAATCACCCAAAGGCCAAGGAGTGTGGGTGCACGGCACAGTACTGGCAGGCAGCTCTGCCCGCGGCTCTGGTGTAGGACCCACTAGGTAAAGCCAGCTGGGCTCCTGAGTCAGGTGGGGACTTGGAGAACTTTTATGTCTAGCTGGAGGATTGTAAATGCACCAATCAGCACTCTGTGTCTAGCTCGGGGTTCATGGATGCACCAATCAGCACTCTATGTCTAGCCAAGGGTTTGTAAATGCACCAACCAGTGCTCTGTGTCTAGCTAATCTAGTGGGGACTTGGAGAACTTTCATGTCTAGCTAGAGGATTGTAAATGCACCAATCAGCACTCTGTGTCTAGCTAAAGATTTGTAAATGCACCAATCAGTGCTCTGTTTCTAGCTAATCTAGTGGGGACTTGGAGAACTTTTGTGTCTAGCTAAAGGATTGTAAATGCACCAATCAGCACTCTGTGTCTAGCTGAAGGTTTGTAAATGCACCAATCAGTGCTTTGTGTCTAGCTAATCTAGTGGAGACTTGGAGAACTTTTATGTCTAGCTAGAGGATTGTAAATGCACCAATCAGCACTCTGTGTCTAGCTCAGAGATTGTAAAAGCACCAATCAACACCCTGTCAAAACAGACCAATCAGCTCTCTGTGAAATGGACCAATCAGCTCTCTGTAAAATGGACCAATCAGGAGCATGTGGGTGGGGCCAGATAAGGGAATAAAAGCAGGTTGCCAGAGCCAGCAGCAGCAACCTGCTTGGGTCCCCTTCCACAGTGTGGAAGATTTGTTCTTTCTCCCTTTGCAATAAATATTGCTGCTGCTCACTCTTTGGGTCCGCACTGCCTTTATGAGCTGTAACACTCATGGTGGAGGTCTGCAGTTTCACTCCTGAGGCCAGTGAGACAATGAACCCACTGGGAGGCATGAACAAGTCTGGACAGGAGGAACGAACAACTCCAGATGCACCACCTTAAGAACTGTAACACTCACCACGAAGGTCTGCAGCCTCACTCCTGAAGCTAGCAAGACCATGAACCCACCAGAAGGAAGAAACTCCAAACACATCTGAATATCAGAAGGAGCAAACTCTGGACACACCATCTTTAAGGACTGTAACACTCACCGCGAGGGTCCATGGCTTCATTCTTGAAGTCAGTGAGCCCAAGAACCCACCAATTCCGTACACAATGGAATACTACTCAAAAAAAGAATGAATGAATGGCATTTGCAGCAACCTGGATAAGATTGGAGACTATAATTCTAATTGAAGTAACTCAGGAATGAAAAACAATAAACACACACACACACACACACACATATATATACACCATGGAATAACATTCAGCCATAAAAAGGAGTGAAATAATGGCATTCACAGCTACCTGGATGGAATTGGAGATCATTATTCTAAGTGAAGTAACTCAGGAATGAAAAACCGAACATTGTATGTTCTCACTGATAAGTGGGAGCTAAGCTATAAGGATGCTAAACTATAAGGAGCTAAACTATAGGGATGCAAAGGCATATGAATGATACAATGGACTTTGAAGACTCGGGAAAAGGATGGAAGGGGCGTGAAGGATAAAAGACTACACATTGGGCTGGGTGCGGTGGCTCACGCCTGTAATCCCAGCACTTCGGGAGGCCAAGGTGGGCAAATCACCTGAGGTCAGGAGTTTGAGACCACGCTGGCCAACATAGTGAGACCCTGTCTCTACTGAAAATAAAAAAAAAAAATTAGCCAGGCATGGTGGTGCACACCTGTAATCCATCTGCTTGGAAGGCTGAGGCAAGAGAATCAGTTGAACCCGGGAGGCAGAGGTTGCAGTGAGTTGAGCTCATGCCACTGCACTCCAGCCTGGGTGACAGAGGGAGACTCCATCTCCAAAAACAACAACAACAACAACAACACTACATGTTGGGTATACTATACACTGTTCCAGTGATGGGTGCACCAAAATATCACAAATCACCACTAAAGAACTTATTCATGTAACCAAAGACCACCTGCTCCCCCACAACCTATTGAAATGAATAAATAAATAAAATTTAAAAAATGTCTGTAGTTCCTCGATGAGTTTCCTGAGGACTGCCATAACAAAATACCATAAACTGAGTTGCTTAAAACAAGAGACATTTATTTTCTCATAGTTCTGGAGGCTAGAAGTCTGAAAGTAAGTTGTTGAGAGGGTCATGCTCCCTCTGAAGCCTCTAGGTGGGGATCCTTCCTTGCCACTTTCAGTTTTTGGTAGCCCAAAGCCTTTCTTGGTTAATCCTCTTCTGTGATAGGAAATGGGGTTTCAAGGTATAGCTTTAGACTCGTGTGTGTGTGTCCACAAGCATGCACATACGTGCACATAGTTTGGATGGGAAAAATACTCTCCTCTCCCCTAGGGTCTGGTGTGGTTGGTGTGGATGCTGAGATGTGCAGAGATACCTGGGACACACCTTTTGGTGAAGGACAAGCTGCCCAGGTGGCAAGGCAGCAAGCCAAGAGCTAGACAGACATAGAAGGGCCTGCATTTGTGGTCTCTGAGTCATACTGGGCAGGGGTAATAATGATAACTCATACTCCATGTCCTATTGCCATTCCATAAAACTTCCAGAAAAGCTTGTCTCCATGCACAATGAAGCCCTTGTCTTACCCCTGCTGAGACTTGAGCCCCTTCTCCGGAAGTCAGGAGGCAGTAGACTTGACAGTGTCATCACAGAGATCAACTGGAATTAGAATGGTGCATTTCCATGATGGAAGAGAACATGGCAGGTGTCACAAGGCACATGTTCCTGAGGGTACAAGACAGCCCCATGGGACATTCAGAAATGCCTGAGGGGCACATGGAAATTGATAAACTTATGGCAAAGAGATGCAGCTTGGACTTTGCAATTTGGACATTTAAAAGGCAACGTGACTTTTTTTGAAGTCACAGTCCTTGGAGGAAAAAGATTTGGGTTACTCAAACTAATACTAACACTCTTATTAAAAAGGTAGTTGATAACTGTTAAGTATTTCCTATGGACCAGGCAGTATTCTAAGCTTTTGAAGTTCTAGAATTATTGAGGAACAATTCCAGTTTTAGAATCAGTTTCTACTTTGAGTGTCTATGAAATATTTTAATATATAAAGTTGAACCATCTTTTAGGTAGAGTATTGAACCAGATGATCTCTTTAGAACTGGAAGTCTTAGATTCTGTAACTATTATGATATCATCTAAGTAGTCTTGGTAACTTTAGAGCAGAGGTCCCCAACCTTTTTGGCACCAGAGATCAGCTTTATGGGAGACAATTTTTACACAGACGAGGGTCAGGGGGTGGTTTTGAGGATGATTCAAGTGCATTATGCACTTTATTTCTATTATTTCTATTTCTATTATTTTTACACTTTATTTCTATTATTATTACATTGTAATATATAATGAAAAATTATACAACTCACCATCACGTAGAATCAGTGGGAGCCCTGAGCTTGTTTTACTGAAACTAGATGGTCCCATTTGGGGGTGATAGGGGACGGTGACAGATCATCAGGCATTAGATTCTCATAAGGGGCATGCAACTTACATCCCTCAAATGCTCTGTTCACAATCAGGTTCACACTCCTATGAGAATCTAATACCACCAGTGATCTGACAGGAGGTGGAGCTCAGGAGGTAATGCGAGTGATAGGGAGCGGCTGCAAATACAGATGAAACTTCACTTGCTGGCCTGCCACTCACCCCTGCTGTGCAGCCTGGTTCCTAACAGGCCACAAACCAGTACCAGTCCATGGCCTGGGGGTTGGGGACCCCTGCTTAGGGTACTATGCTTATGGGAATTGTCTTGTTAATAACTTCATTGAAACTTATAATTCTGGGTACAAAACAAAGGAACAGTCCACAGTTCACTTAGGAATGAGCCAGACAGTCAAGAGCAGGTCTGAAGTATCACATCAAATAGAGAAAACAGAAGTGAAAAGCAGATTCCAAATACCTGTAAAAACAAAATATACGGAGTGCCTGAGTTTGAACTTGTGCACAGGTAGGGAACTGTGAACAATGTTGATGTCTCTGGTCAACTGTGTCCTTCAGATCTTCAACAGGTTATTTCAATGTTGGTACTAGTGATGGCCAGCACCTATATAGTCTTATGATGTGCTAAGCATGTTTAACCATTGGACAGATGTTAACTCATTTAATCTCACAATGGCTCAGTAAAATAGGTACTGTTATTGTCTCAGTTCTGCAGATTAGAAAATAGAGTCACAGAGAGGCTAAGCAACTTTTCTAAGGTAACTCAGCTAGGATGCACTGCGGTCAAGACCCGAACCCAGAGAATTTGGCTCTGGTTTTTGTGCTCTTAGGGACTACACAAACTGCTTCTCAAAATTGTTACTGAGATGCTTTCTCCCTTCGGAATCCCAGAGCAGTCTATCTTGTCTCTATGAATTTGGACATGAAAGATATCCTCTTGGCATAGTGGTCATAGGAAAATGGTTCCTCCAGGAGTGACAAATTATTTGACAGCGTTTCCTGTAAATCTCTTCTCCTTTTCCACCATGATGGGGCAAGACAGAAAAAGCCCATAGTTCCCATTTAAATGGTTGCTGTCTCAATAGAAACCAAGAATTTCAAATTTATTATCTTCTTTTCTGTACTACCTTGTGTGAATTATACTCTCAGTATAATAGCCAAAGTTTGGGGCTTAATTTTTTGTTTCATCACATATCAACTGTATGATCTCTGTCAAGCCATTTGCCATGTCTAAGCCTCAGTTTCTTCTCTGTTTAAATGGGGATAATAATAGCCCCAACCTCAGAGGATGTTGTGAGGATGAAATTAAGACAATGTGTGTAAACTCCTCCCTACCGTTCCTAGCTTGCAGGAAGGTTTCAATAACTTCTAGCTTTTTGCTATGATTTTTGATTATGGTGTTGATCATCATTATTTTTATTTATTTATTCATTTATTTATTTGTTTATTTATTTATTTACTTTTTTGAGATGGAGTTTTGCTCTTGTTGTCCAGTCTGGAGTGCAATGGTGCAATCTTAGCTTACTGCAACCTCCGCCTCCCAGGTTCAAGTGATTCTCCTGCCTCATCCTCCTGGTATGCACCACCACACCCGGCTAATTTTGTGTTTTTAGTAGAGACGGGGTTTCTCCATGTCAGTCAGGCTGGTCTCGAACTCCCAGCCTCAGGTGATCCATCCGCCTCAGCCTCCCAAAGTGCTGGGATTACAGGCGTGAGCCACCGTGCCCAGCCGATCATCATTATTATTGAAGGAAAAACAATATTAACTTTTAAAAACATTTATTGTAATTTGGAAATTAAACATTTTCAATTTTTAAAATTTTACGTGCTTCCAATGTTTTTCATTAGGATCATTTATTTTAAAGTATTTCATGAAGACTTTGTAAATATCTAGACTAATGGAGTCCCTTCTAGCCATGCTATATTCCCTATTTATGAGAGTTTTTCAATAAAAATGTTTCCTGTTGCTTTTCTTATCAGAGCCATGTATTTTGGTGTTATAAATTCGTTGTAAGCTGATGATGAAGAAGATGATGATCATGATAACAATGTCATCACAAACCCATTTGCTCGGAGCACTCACATTCTGGGAGTACCTAATTTGGCTGAAGATAATTCTGATTATGTCTTTGAGTGAATGAAGTGCTTGATGCCTTCTTTGCTCTTGGCAGATTGATGCTACCAATCTAAGCTTTTAGGGGTCCCCAATGGGTTAGTAAGTCTTAGTTTTGCTGATGCCATTTAGAGAAAATAGAGTGTTTAGAAAACAACATTGGAATTTGCTTTTCTACTCAGCATTATTGAGCAGAACACATCTCTGAACAGAACAGGCCCAACTGGGCATGCGTTCAAGGGTATGTCACAGCCAGAGCACCCACAGGATGTGGGCCCCCTTCACTCATAAGCCAGTTCCAGGGAGGATATCTCACAGCTACACACTACTATTTTGTAGGTTTCTAAATTTCAATCCATGTAGACTTTTCTTCAAGTTTATAGGGCACTTATTTGGATTTGGGAACTTCTAGTCAACTCGGAATAGAAATGAATGGCAGCAACTTAAATCTTTTGCTCTATAAGCAGCAGAGGTAGTGGAGATTATTTATATAGCGTCAGAAGCAGTGAGGGTCTTTTGACCATCATGTCCATTCACTACTGCCTTTGTCCTCTCTATATCACTGACTTTGGACTTATTTACTGTGCACCCATCCTTGGCCTTCGTAGTGGGGTGTTGTCAAAGAGCCTCCCCTCAGACAGTGCATCCCTGTGAAACCCACTGACTCAATATTTCACAGCCAGGAAAATAATGAAGTTCCCAAACGAGGCAAATTTCACACAATGAGCTTGGGAACAGATTGGAGACTGTCTCTGTTTTCTTTGAAAAACCAAACAACGGAGATACTTGAAAAAGACTCATTCATCAAACACAAAGGCCAGCTTCCCCTGGGAGTCCCACCTTCCTCTCCTCCTTTCAGGAGCGAGTCTATTTATTTCCTTGTTCTGAAGCCCCAACTTACCACCCGGCAAAAAGCAACCAGTGCTGCAAAATATTGAATGTAGAATAAAGTCTTTTCAACACTGCTGTATTTAGGACAGAAACTAGCATTGGAAAATGTTACTCTTAATTTAATATGAGTTTTTGTATAAAGCATGGATGTATGTAGATAATCACAACCAATAGTGTCTTTACTAGCATAAAATCTACATTTTCCATGGCTAGCAGAGAGCTGCACTTACATAACACAATCAACCACTGCTATCAGATATAGCCTGTTTATGAAAAGTATCCCTTAAAGCTTTTTGAATACTAATAAATTATCTTCCAAAATAGTAACTTAGGGAGCTTAGGTGTTTTTTCGTTTTTTTAATTTTCTTTTTGTTGTTGTTTACTGTTTTATAAGTGTGGAATACTTTATGTCCTATAAATTGCTCAGGGTCAGAGGCACTTTATATGGGTTGCCATGGAAACCAGATGATGACCCAGACTGGGAGAGGAGCTCATCTTTGTCTAAGAGAAGCACCCTTTTCCTTGGAAGGGTCCTGGTAACCTAGGATGCCTGAGGGCTGTGCAGACCCTGGCACAGCAAACATTGGACAAGTTAAATACTCTGCAGAATTTGATGGACTTGCTGATTGAATACAACCATCTTTTCCAGATCTACACTTCATTCATTAATTCATCATGAATTTTTAATTTATTGGATAACTATTAGGTATTCAGTTATGGCAGGGAACAAAACGAATTCCCTATCCTCACAGAGATAGCCTTCTGGTGGTGAAGACAATGGTAAACAATGAGTGGTCAATGCAGTGAAGAAAGATAAAGCAGAATATATGCTAGAGACTGATGGTGGTCTTATTCAGAGGGTGGGTGGGAGGGTGATTGTGGGTAAGAAAGCCGTTGGGACTAGAATGGAGAGAATGAGAATTGAGTGATGGAGCATGGGTCAGGAAGAACGGGCATGGGCCAAACCATTGAGGCCTCATAAACTTTTATGCCAAGTGTGATGAGGAGAAGCAATGGTACATTTACTGGCATCCTTAAAGTTCTGAGCTTTAATGCTCCAGGCAATTTAAAGATAGCAGATAAATAATAAATGAAGATCAACATTGGGCACAGCACAAACATTTGACATGTTGAAGACTTTTGAAAATGTTATTGTATCTCATGTTTCTGAAGGGTTAACTATGCTCATTTTATCAACTGCACTTCCTGCCTGGTTCTCCAGGTCCCACTGGCTGGCAGCTAGAGTCTTGTGAATTATGCACTTGAATGACCCTGTGCTCTGCCAGCACCTAGATCGTGTGCTTGGCAAGCACACCTAAGAGTGAACTTAAGCACACCTTCAGAGCCACTGCTTGATGATCCAGATGAAAAATGGCCTCTTTAGATTCTGGAGTTTCCTTTGCTTAAGAAAAGAAAAATAATTTCTCCAGGAAGTGAGAGGTAAAGTGCTCTGCTATGTAGGACAGCCTTTGAGGCTAATGTGTGTGAACACTGATAATGTCAGACAGTGGCCGGAGAGAACCGAGGCTGGCTTCAGTGAACAGAGGAAACAGGGACAGCCTGTCTTCTGCTTCTGGGGAGTGTCAGGAAATCCTTTGATATATTGGCCAGTCTGCTCGTTCTTCCCACCTCACTTTATCATACAGAAAAGGACCCAATTTTTAAATAATCAGCCATTCAGCTGGTCACGTTTCTTTTAAGAAAAATGTAGGTGTCCCATGTAGGGAGAGAATGGTCCACACCCCCACTGTCTCACAAAGGTCTCCATAGCACAGAGGAAATGTTCTGCTGGATTTCAGCTTCTGCTTAAGAGTTTTCTTTGGACAGAGGCCATGCTGTAGTCAAACTCAGGACTGAATCCCAGTTCATCTGTTTTCTAATTGTGCATGCTTAGACAAGTTACTACTTTCATGGAGCCTCAGTTTTTCTTGTCTGAAAAAATATTCCCTCCTTATAAGTAAGCTTTAGGATTAAAAATTATACACCTATACCTCTATGACCTGACATCTAGAGGCGCTTAATTGATGGTCATAATTTTTATCATTGTGATGAATAATTCAAATCTTATAATTTTTAGGTCCTTGTGTCACATACCCCTAGCAATCCCCAGGATTCAAGTTCAGTAATATCTGGAGAGTGAAGAATCTGCCAGAATTAGAATCCTTATGTTCTATCCATTAACAGAGGTCATGGTTCATATGTTGGAAACCTAACCCCCAGTGCAAAACTGTTGGGTGGTGGGGCCTCATGAGAGATGTTTTCGTGAGGGCTCTGCTCTCATGGATGGGCAACGTTATCTCAGGATTGGGTTTGTTATAAAAGTGAGTTTGGCTCCCATCTTGAGGTTTCTTGCACTCACTTGCTCCTTCCACCACTGGATGACATAACATGAAGGACTTTGCCAGATGCCAACCCCTTGATCTTGGACTTCCCAGCCTCTAGAATTATGAGCCAATAAATTTCTCTGTGGCATACCATTACAGCAGCACAAAACAGACTAAGACATGCCTGTATTGTTCTAAATGATCACTAGAAAACATTGAGTTTGTGTGAGGGAGGGGAGTAGTGTCAGTGAGGAAAGAGTTTTGTTCATGAATATAAACATAATAATGGAAGGCTACAGAGTTCTTCACAGTTGTCCAAGTTGGGTAAAGGTGGAAAAACACTTAGCTCTCAGAAGCGAGAGGGCCTGAGTCTGTCCCTCTAAAAGATAATCACCCCTTGACTGCTAGAAAGGGACAGGAGGCCTTTACATCTTGGGCTCTAGTTTGCACATGTTGTAGAGAACTACAGGAAAGATAAAGACATCCTGAGTTTGTGCTGTTACCAACAAATGACTTCACCAATGCTATGACACCTTTGAATCCTACAATATTGTGAGAGGACAAATATAGGGCATTGGTTTGCTTCATATTTTTGTAACATCTAAAGTAACACACACACACACACACACACACACACACACGCACATACACACCAAACCTTTCTAATATTTCTAAGTAAGTGTTATTTTGTTATTCAGTGCTTTTTATCAGAAAGATGAAAGGAATTTGAAAAGGAGAGAACCTAAAACAAAGACTAGAGAAGTCCAAGCAGAAAGGAATCTTACCAGTTGACTGTCATTCAATATATTTTTTAAAAAAGTAAGTGTGCTTCCTGTTTTTTAATCATTCAGGAAATATATTTTCCTTTTAAAAAGAGATTATGTGAAACCTAAAGGGGGTATGCTTAATTTTTAACTTATTCGCTGCCATCCCTTTCCAAAGCAGCTTTCTTCTCCAGCTATCAGCACCTGAAATGTGTTTCTTCTGATCAAAATTATTCTTTTTTAAAAAAATGATTAATTTTTTTGTTGTTGATACATAATAGCTGTACATAGTTTTATAGCACATAATCTGATACATCCATATAATCAAATCAGGGTAATTGGGATGTCCATTACCTTAAATATTTATGCTTTCTATATGCTAGGAACATCTGAATTATGCCCTTCTAGCTTTTTAAAACTTTTTAATTTTTTAATTTGAGACTGAGTCAGGCTGGAAGTGAAGTGGCATGATCTCAGTTCACTGCAACCTCCACTTCCCAGGCTCAAGTGATTCTTGTGCCTCAGCCTCCCAAGTAACTGGAATTACAGGTATGCCCCATTACGCCTAGTTAATTGTTGTATTTTTAGTAGAGATGGGGTTTCACTTTGTTGGTCAGGCTCGTCTTGAACCCCTTACCTCAAGTGATCCACCCGCCTTGACCTGCCAAAGTGCTGGGATTACAGGAGTAAGCCACCACGACTGGCCCCTATTTTGAAATATACAATTGATAATGTTGACTATTGTCACCCTACTGATCTATTGAACACCAGATCTTATTTTTTTTATCTAAGTGTATATTTGTACCCGTTAATCAACAACCAAGATTATTCTTAACATGAATTTCAGTGCATTTTCTTTTAATCTAGTTTTCAACAGCCACAGGAAATGCCTTCCTAGGTTGTACGCCCACTCAGAAACAATCTCACAGGTGATTTCTTTATTAAGGTGATTTATTTATCAAGGAAGGAGGAAATGAGGGTGGTGTTTTTTTTTTCAATCACTCAGTTTTATTAAAAAGTATCCTTGAAATTTTAAAAACGATTTGTCCAAATGTCTAAAAAGTCCTTTGAAGCTGCAGAAAAATGACTTTCAAAAAATAAGTTTTTAATCCTTTTCTCTCTTGACTCTTAAAAAATTGGAGGTGGGGAGGAGGATGGAGCATGGAAGAAGAAAGGCAACTGAGTCTACAGCACCAAGGGTGTGTCTTGAGTCTTGCTTTTTATAAACTGTCTTGTCACCTTGGCCACTGATAAAAGCCAGCAAAGTTCACCCAAAGATAAATCAAATGCCTGAAGAACTCTCTTGCTAAAGGTTCAGCAAACTGCTTTTTTTCTGCTCTAGTTAGGAGATTGGATAGTTTGAACTCAGTGTTGAAAACATGAAATAGTTTCATTTGTTTAATTTTTCCAGTTATGGCCTTCAACCATGCCCTGTCAAATACCATTTTCCTGTTCCTTAATGATACCTGAGCAAGATCCTATAAACTTGTGGTCACTTGGAGTTACAAAAAGTCTGGGCCAGTTTAAAACTCGAATTTTGTATCCAGCTTAAATCTAATCTCTTTTTCTCTGGTGCAGGCTGGGCGATGGCTCAGGGTATACCCCATGGGTACAGAAAATGTTCTGCTTCTGGGTCCTCCACCTCCACCTCCATTCAAAATCTTGCTCCTTGGTGGGTCTGGGTTAGTGGAGAGGGATTAGGCGAATCCTCTCTGGGTGGTTTTCGTTTTCTGTTTTTTGCATCTTGCACTAACACTGACACATTCCTAGCATCTCTTGTGTGACAGCCATCCACATATGGATCTTGGGTGCCAGACCAGGGTGCGGACAGTTCCTGGAGGTGAGAGGTCAGGCTCCTATTCAACTTCTTCCATTCCCAGCAATACTCTTCCACCCTTACAGATACAAGTGGATCCTCTAAGAAACTTGGGAGCCTTGTGGGCTGGTGGAGAACTCTCAAGATGGCACCAGCCTGTCTATGGTCTATGTGGGAATCACCGCCATCCTTGCCATTCCATGCAGTGTAAGTACAGTTGGCTTCCTGGCCACTTCTCTTTGCTTTACTCTGCCATTTTTCTCTTATTCGCTTTTCCCCAGGTTAACAAAGCTGAGGAACTGAACTGTTTGTTTGCTCCCTAAGCAGACATCTGCCCAGCCAAAGAGGTACCAGTCTTCCACTTTTGCCAGCACTCTTCTCTTCAATGCAATCTTCCCTTGGCTTCAAGAAGGGGAAGGCACCCTTCCTGTCTCCAGGGGAGAGTATCCCCTGTCACAATGAGCATGGCATCCATTGAGTGGTCCCAAATAGTTCAGAAATATTATTCTCTCTTCTTCTTTTCTTCCTGGGGCACAACTGGTTCTGATAGCAGGGCCTTTCCACCTAGAATCCCTGAGGGGGGTGTCTGCTCCCAATTGTTGGGGGTTATCTTAATTACGTGGGATACACAAGTCTCTTTGTTCTCAGATTTCACCCCTACTTGCCCATTCCAAGGGAACAGAAAATAGGTCCATTTAATATTCTTTTCCACTACTATCTAAGTGTCTCCTGAAACTCACATCCATCAAACTACAAGCTTTTTCAGACTGACCTATTCATTCATCCATTTAACAAATATTTATTGAGTGCCCACTCTACACCAAGAACTATTCCAGACTGGAGATGTGGCAGTAACCAGGATAGATGGGGTTACCTCTCTCAGACAGCTTACACTCTATTGGAGGCGAACTCTTGAAACAGGTACACCAGTAGATGATTTTAGATAGGGCTACCAAGATAGTAAAATAGGGTGTGGTAGAGAATGCCTGTAGGGGAGAGGATGTCACTTAAGATTAGTGGCTAGAGAAAGCTAATCTGAAAATGTGATCCTTGAAGTGAACCTAAGTGATTCCCAGGCAGGGCAAGTACAAATGTCCTGGGGCGGAAGCCTGTTCATCTCGTTCAAGTAATTAAACGATAAGCAACTGGGTGGCTTTCCTATTCTCATCTTAGAAGTTCAGTCTCCCAAGAGGTTGTCCCCTGTCCTTAGCTCACTCTAGGCTAGTACAGGAGATGAAGAGTTCACTGTTCATTCCATTGCTAGTCTACTCTATATATGGTAGGCCACTGCAGCTGTCTCTTTAGACTTAGAAATTTATTTTTTATTTAATTAAACTAATTAATTTTAGAGACAGGGTCTCACTATGTTGCCCCGGCTGGACTCAAACTTCTGGGCAACATAGTGAGTGATCCTTCCAGCTCAGGCTCCCAAGTAGCTGGGACTACAGGTATGTGTCACTGTGCCTCACTTAGACTTAGAGATTTCAGACAGGAGGAAGCCTTTTTCACCCATCTATTTGGGCCATGTGCCTGGGAGTGTCTTTATTAGAAGGCTATTGTAGTTCTGGCCAAATTGCCACCCATGCAAACACCAGCCACTAGGTAATGGGAGAATGAAGCTGGAAGGCTTTCCAAGCCTAATACCTTCCTAATGTGGTTTACAGATGAATTCACTTGCATATGTAGAATATGTGTACTACACTTTAAAGCATCATGCAAATAACAGTATGTTATTGTGAGGCGTACTTACTAAAGTATGAATAATGAACGGAAAAGAAATAAGCTTCAAGAAAACTCTAGGGTGCCATTTCTCCAGTTGGTTTATTACTTTAAAACAAGGGAAACTCATTGGAAAATTGTCCATTTTGTAAAACAAAATCACCTTCATAACTTTCATGCCTGAAATGGCACATTTCTTAATGGCAATTAAGATATATGAATGAAGAGATGGAATTTGAGAGTTGAGAGACATCCTTGAGGCCATTAATGACAATAGTCTCATTTTACAGATGAGATAACAGATGGGCAAAAAGGTTAACCAGCATTCCAAAGACACAGAGCATTTTTGATTGTCAGAATTGAACTTGAATCAAAATCTCTTTACTAGCAGTCTACTAGTCTTGCCACTGCATTGCAGTACCTCTAAAAAGTGTTACCTGATATACATTATATCGAAGGCTGGGGCCAACTGTGTTCTTAGCACTGTTAGATGAGAAGTGTGGTAGGCAGCCTCCAAGAGGGTCCCCAGTGATGCCTGCTTCCTGACACTCCCCTTCTACATTGTTCCAGAGTTGGTCTGTATGACCAATAGAATATAACAGAAGTGATTTTTTCCCATGTCATTTCCAAGATGGATTGTAAAAGACTGTGGCTGCCATATTGGTCTTTTTCTCTTGGATCATGTCCTCAGGGGAAAGCTAGCTGCTATGTCATGAAATTGCTCAGGCAGCCTTTGGAAAGGCCCACATAGCAAGGAAGTGAGACACTCAGCCAACAGCCAGCAAGAAACTGAGTCTTGCCCACAATCACATAAGAGAGCTTGGAAACAGATCTTTTAGCCTCACACACCTATAGCCCTAGCCAAAAGCTTGACTGCAATCTCACAAGAGATCCTGAGCTTGAACCACCCAGCTAGGCTGCTCCCAGATTCCTAACATCCAGAAACTGTGAGATAATAAAAATTTATGATTCATGTTGCTATTCTGGTGGGCAATTTTTTGTGCAGAACAGATAACTAATATAGGCATTGTGCTTTAATTCCTTGAAATCATCCCAGGTACCATGTGATGGGCTGCATTACTTAGTGACAATGCTACCTTCTCACTCCTTGCACAGAGGAGAGACAGACACCTGCTTGCTCCAGGGCCTGCCTGAGCTCAGGCTCTGCCACAGGGATGAAGAGGTTGGAGAATGTTTCTGCCAAATGCCAACAACGCCTCCTCAAGGACGATTCATGGCGGCTGTTAGCCTGTGCTCAACTTCCCTTGGCAAAACTGCAACAAAGGCATGGCAGCAGTTTGATGTTCACAGAGAGTAGTGAATACAAAGCATGGCTTTAGGCAGACTTCCTTTAAACATGCACAGTCTCCTGCTGCTGTCTTATGCTTTCGGAGGACTGGAAATTTCCAGAGGCTGTTCTTTCCCTGCCCTGTTACAAGTTTATTCTGGATTCTGTAGAAAGGATATTTGAAAGTACCTTTGAACCCAAATTTGATATTTTCTTAACCAGTTCCAGGGCTGTGGACACTTCAAAATACTTGCAGTTTGGGGAGTGGGATTTATTTGTGCTGGTGTGCTTTGGGTCTAGAAAGCATCACTGAGCACCTCAGATATACCTCCTTTGTTTTTCTGCTAGACTGCATCTGTTTCCTTCTTCATTGTTAAGTTTGAGCTCATCAGATTCATAAAGCTTTTCTAAAGTGATTCTATCTAGCTCGTATCATTTCTTATCCATCTACTTTGAACCATTATGCCTCATTCAGGAGAAGAGCTGAGCTTGGTTCTACATTCCTCTTGTCTCTATGGGTGTCCTTCCTGGTTCCCAACATTGAATCTCAAAGATAACGGACAATCAAAGCTTTAACAGTGGAGGCTTAATCAATGTCACCAAATAATGCCAGTGCCTGAGAGGCTGGTGTGGTAAGGAAGGGGTTGAATAATGGTAACAGCGTCAACTCAACCTAGACTTGAACTTTCTTTATTGCGACTTTGAGTATTGTGTTCTCAACTTATATCTTTATAACTTTATATCTTTATACCTTCTCAACTTTCCTGTGTGGAAAGTAAAACAAAACAAAACAAAATCCATGATCCATTGTCACATAGTTGGAGACACAGGGACAGAAAAGTCTTGTGTGTGTTAATAGTGTATTTCAGGACGTAGAGCCCAGCGTTCACAAAGTCAGAGGTGAAGGTTGGACCAGATCATCTAAAAGGCAAGACTAATGATGACATCACAGGGGATGCTGAAAGGCTCTCTTGCTGTTCTGTCTCTCCTTCCCACAATGCCTGAAACCCACCATTACCATGAATGCCTGTACATTAGAATTACTGTCTTTTGAAATGTGGATGGTCTTAGAAGTGTTAACTTGCTCTCTGTTCTTAACATTTTATGGCGAAGGAGTTTCCCAGAACATGTTTCCCCAAGGCTCTGAGAGCATAATAGTTAAATGGAATAGAAGGAGATAAGACCCAGCTAAATTTAAACCACAAGACTTCTCCTGAGTATAGCTGTTTCTTTAGGGAGGTAGGGCTGCTCACTCACTCCTTACAAGGACTTGATGTCTGAGGTGAGGTTATTTGCTTTTTGAAAAGTTTACAGGTAGGAAACTAAAAGTCAAGCACTCACAGAAAGTACAAATAGAATAGCTGAATTTTCAAATAAGAATTTATAGACTTGTAGGGGCCTAGTCATTAATGCTATTAAATTCAAACACTTTGGGGAATACCACTTTGGTATTTCAATTTTAGCCACAGCAAAGTCAGGAAGTGCAAAAGTTGAAGTTCTCAGGGCAAGAGTAATACATCCCTGTTACACATTTTTGACAGAATCCTTACAAGTCCTAGAAATTTGTGTCTCTAATATACTCAATTTATTCAGCTGCTTTTGCAAAAGAGGACAGCACAGTTAGCTCCTTCTGGGCAATATGGTCACATTTTCAGCCTCATTATAGGACTCTTGGCATTTAGTTTGAAAGGCCGAGAGGAAAATCCATTTGCAGAACTTCTTTAGAGAGATAGGAGCCAAAACAGAACAGGGAAACTATTGTTTTACTGTTCTCTATGGAAACACAGCATTCAAGTTTGAAGTAACAAGGTTTTTTTCCAGTTGAAAATTGAAATTAAGAAAAAAATACCATTCATATAGCATCCAAAACTTGAAATACTTAAGGATAAATTTCACAAAAGATGTGTACTATATGTACACCGAGAGTATAAAACATGGCTTAAAAAGTTAAAGAAGTCCTAAATAAATGGAGAGATATATGCCACATTCTTAGGTTGGAAAAATTAATATTGCTAAAATATCATTTTTGCCTAAATTGATGTATTCCTATAAACATTCCAGAAGGCTTTTTTTTTGTAGAAATTGACAAGATATTATTAAATGCTTTTTAAATGATATCAAAATGCTCATTAATTGGAGAGAACCTAGAATAGCCACAACGATTTTGAAAAAGAAGAGCAAAGTTAGAGAACTAACACTAACTGACGTCATGCCTTATGCATTTATCGTAATCCAGACAGCATGGAATTAACAGAGAAAAGATGGGCAAATAGATCAATGGGACAGACTAGAGAATCCAGAAACATACCCACACTAATATTACATAGACAACTGATTTTTGACAAAGGTACAAAGGCAATTCTATGGGGAAAAAATAAGCTTTTCAACAAGTGGTTCTAGAACAATTAGATATCAAAGAAGGAAACAAACTTCAATGGGTATCTTGCACCAGATAAAAACTCTATATATATCATAGACCTAAATATGTATCATAGACACTGTATATATCATAGAACTAAATGTAAAACCTAAAACTTCAAAACTATTTTTTTTTTTGAGACGGAGTCTAGCTCTGTCGCCCAGGCTGGAGCGCAGTGGCGTGATCTCAGCTCACTGCAAGCTCTGCCTCCCGGATTCACACCATTCTCCTGCCACAGCCTCCTGAGCAGCTGGGACTACAGGGGTCTGCCAGCACGCCGAGCTAATTTTTTTGCATTTTTTTTTTTTGAGACGGGGTTTCACCGTGTTAGCCAGGATGGTCTTGATCTCCTGACCTCGTGATCCGCCCGCCTCGGCCTCCCAAAGTGCTGGGATTACAGGCATGAGTCACCACCCCCAGCCTTCAAAACTGTTAAAACAAATCCTAGGTATATTTTTATATACTTATTTTTCTTAAGTGAATCCTAGGAGTGGAATTGCTGGATCCTATGTGTTTAAGTTTTTAAGAAACTACCAAACTGTTGTGCAAAGTGTCCCATTTTATATTCTTTTTAAAATCATTGACAATGTTTATTATGAAGAAACTGTAGTAGTAGGTTTTTTTAAAAGAATGCTGATTTTTTAATACACCAAGAGAACACTCTGTGACAGGACATATACAAACAAGGATAATTATAATATTAAATACTATCTAAATTAAAACACCATAATTCAAATTGCTAATTATAACCTTTGTGTCTTGGTAGAAATAACTATAGTCCCCTTTTATGAAATTCACCCCCACCTTCTCATGAAGACTATGAAGTCTCACCAGAATTTCAGTTACTTAATTTACAATAATCAATGCTGAGTTTTCTGTGTTGAAGCATGCACTGTTACAGAAAGCACAAAATTCTATTTACAGGGATTTTTAGTTTTCTTTAAAATGTATCTCAAGCATCTTCTAAAGTGTGAGCTACAAATAGGCTGTATCTTTAATGAAAAAGGCTTCTTCCTAAAAGAAGTATAACTGTCCAATACTGCAGGAACAGTTATATAACTAACCGAAGGAACCAGCAGCACTCTGCTAACTCTGTTTTAGTGTAACAACCTCCTCCTTGGTCTTCTACTACCGGCCAGACATGTACTCCATTGCTTTGGATACAAGATTTTCATCTGTCAGAAATAACCTGATAATCACTAGTAGAATCTTTGTATGCTGTAGCAAGAGGTCTCATGGCAGAAATCCTAGGAGTACTTTCAGGTTGTGCTAGTGTACCTAAAGTTTTGATTGGTGGTGTAAAGGCGAAAGATGGAGATGATAAAGCACGTCTGTCAGTGCTTCCCATTACAGTTTAGTCAATACAGGATTTTACACCAATCATGATGAATTCTCTAAAAATCCTCCCATCTTTGGTTAAGGCTTTCCGAGCCTGCAGTTTAGACTGATAATGAATATACATTCAATTTCCTGTGTTAGACATCATGTGTTTTAAGATATTCCCATACTGTGCAAATTGTAATAATATGTAGGAAGCAGAGGCTTGAGAAAACCCGAACACAGTCACCCAAGTGTCATCAAGGTGACCTTCTGAAGTCAAAGAATCTCCTTGAGTATAAAAAGGATCCAACCGGGAAGGAGAAAATGTCATCTTTCATGACTGACCGACATTTGCTGGACTAAACGTACTTTGCCCTGTTCCAGGAGTAGATGTAACTCCAGTAAGAGGACTCTGCATCATGAAATGTTTGGCTGTCTTCTTGAAGTTAAAGGTGTTGATCCAAATCCCAGGCTAGAAATGTCATCATATATACTTCTAACTTGTGGAGCGCCACTTTTATCTTTATGAGCTAGTAAAACTGGTTGTGGTGGTGACCCACCTGCAAGTAAAGGTGATCTCATTTCCACTACTCCTACTGAAGGGCCACTAATTGATCGAGATTGTGGAGTCACCAGGGCTGGCAAATTCCACATTCAAAATCCAGGTAAGAACTGGGCATTAACTCCTGGCTTTGGAGATGAAGCCAGCATCATTGGTTCAGATCCTAATGCAGGCACCTGGAGTTCCATGGCAAAGGCTGCCATTGCATCAGGAACTTCTATTTTATATTCTTAGAAATATCATATGAGAGTACCAGTTGCTCTACTTCATCACCAACACTTGGTATAATCAGTCTTTTTAATTTTAGCTATACTGAGAGTTATAATCTCATTAATTTGCATTCCCTTACTAAACAATTATGTTGAAAATTTTTTTTGTGTGCTAATTTGCCATCCTTGTATCTTCTCTCAGATATATCTTTACAAATCCCAGGTATACTAGAAGAAAACAGGGGAGAAAATCTTTGTGACCTTGGGTCAAGGAAAGATTTCCTAGATATGATGCCAAAACCAAAATCCATAAAAGAACAAATTGACTTCATCAAAATGTAAAACTTCTGCTCTCTAAAAGACACTGTTAAGAGAACAAGAAGACAAGCCAGAGACTGGGGGAAGTTCTTTGCAAAACACACATCTGATAAAGGACTTGTATCTAGAATATAGAAAGAGCTTTCAAATTTCAACAGTAAGAAAATAAACAACCCAATAAAGAAGTATGCAAGGGATTTCTATGGATACATCTGAAAGATAAAAGGATGGCAAATTAGCACACAAAAAATATTCAACAAAATTGTTCATTAAGGGCATGCAAATTAATGAGACTGTAGTTCTTAGAATGGCTAAAATTAAAAAGACTAATCATACCAAAGTCTGGTAAGGAAGTGGAATAACTGGTAATTTCATATGCTATCGCTAAGAATGTGAAATGGACAAGCACTTTGGGCAACAGTTTTGTAATTTATTAAAAACTGAAACGCGTACTTCCTATATGATCCAGCAATTCCACTCCTAGGATTTATTCAAGAAAAATGAGTGTTTAAAAGTGTACTTAAGATGTACTTTAATCAGGTATGTTAAGACATGCAGACACAGAAATGACTGTTGTGAAGGAAGTTGTTTTACTCACAGTTTCCTAGAAATGGGAAGCATGACACTCAAAGAGGCCATATGAGCAAGCACAAGGTCAGTCCTGAGTAAGAAGAGCCAGGGGAAAACATGAGCCTTTATGTGGTTTCTGCAGGAAGGAATGTGTGAGGCAGGATAAGAAGAATAAATGAGCTTAGGACTGGCTAGTTTGAATAGTTTCAGCCGGCTCTAGGGTGTAGAGATTGCCCCTAGTTTTCTGGTACTCAGCCCTGGGGTGATTAGGGAAGGTGGATAGTGGCCCAGAGTGTAAGAGTCTGATCAAAGAGGCAGTAGGGGATTCCAGGCTCTGGACTGGTTAGTTTATGTATAAAAGTGATGTTGGCAGGTGAGTCTTGTTACCTTTAGGAACTGGCTTACCTTGGGAGAGGCAATGTCTCTAAGATCAGCAAGGTTTCAAATGTCAAAATATCAGAAACACATGGTTAATACAGAATTCTATCTCTATATAGAAACTCTATGTGAATGTTCATATTGGATTTATCTGCAATAGCCCCAAACTGGAAACAAACCAAATATACGTCAACATTTAAATGGATAAACAGATCATGGCATATCCAAACAATAGGCTACTACTCAACAGTAAAAAGAAATGAATTATTGATACACACAAAAATGTAGATGAATCTCAAAATAATTATGCTGGTTGAAAAAGGGAGACAAAAATGGAGTATGTATGATACCATTTACTCTAGAAAATGCAAGCTAGTTTCTAGTGACAGAACAGAGATCAGTTGATGGCCTGGTGATGAGGTATGATGGAGAAAAACATTAAAAATGGGTGATGGACTTGTCATTATTTTGATTGTGGTGATAGTTTCATGGTATATACATACGTTGAGGTTTATCAAATGGGAAAATTTAAATGTGTGCAGTTACTAAAGGTATAAATGTGTGCATTTATACTTCAAATAAGCTATTTAAAACAACTTCTTGTCAAGGGAATATTTTATTTCCCAGTCTCTGAAGTTATCTAATCAGAATAGAGAAAACTCTTAGCTCAACTTCAGGTCACAGAGTGGCCCAAATGATCCCCAGAGACAGTTGCAAACCTAACATTTTTTTTTTTATTCCAAGTCAGAGTCTCACTGTGTCACCAGGTTAGAGTGCAGTGGCTTGATCTTGGCTCACTGCAACTTCCATCTCCCATGTTCAAGCAATTCTCCCTGCCTTAGCCTCCTGAGTAGCTGGGATTACAGGTGCCCGCCACTGAGCCCAGCTAATTTTTGTATTTTTTAGTAGAGACAGGGTTTCATCATGTTGGCCAGGCTGGTCTTGAACTCCTGACCTCAGGTGATCCGCCCACCTCGGCCTCCTAAAGTGCTGGGATTATAGGCATCAGCCACTGCACCCGGCCCCTGACATTTTTTGAAAAGCAAATTGGACTCAAAATTAGTAATCTTGGGTCTTGGTTCCAGCTATGCCATTGATTTGCTGTGTCATTTTAGGCAAATCATTCAATTCCTCCAGACCTCAGTTTTCTTGTGTATAATATGAATATGTGGAACTTAGATGTTCTCTAAGTACTTGTCATTTCTCAACTGTGGATCCAGCACCACTAACTAGGGTTCTGTGGATCTATCCAAGTTGCCCAACTCAGAGAGTTTCAGATAACCCCTGATCCTATCTCCAGTTACGGACAGCCATTTGTCAAGGGCAAAAAGGAAGACTAGGAAAGGAGGCAGGAGCAGGTTAACAGGAGTTGTTTGGGAGTGCACTAAGTGTTTAAAAAAATTATTGTGGTAAAATACATATACCGTAACATTTATCATCGTAATCATTTTTAAGTGTACAGTGCAGTGCCTTAAGTACTTTCACACTCATCTGCAACCATCGCCATCACCTATCTCCAGAACTCTTTTTATCTTGCAACACTGGAACTCTGTATGCATTAAACGCTAACTCCCCATTCCCTTTTCCCCAGACACCTGGCTACCACTCCTCTACTTTCCTTTTTTTTTTTTTTTTTGACATGGAGTCTCACTCTGTTGCCCAGGCTGGAGTGCAGTGGCGAAATCTTGGCTCACTGCAACCTTTGCCTCCCAGGTGAAAGCAATTCTCCTTCCTCAAGGAGTATTCTCTATTCTGATTAGACAACTTCAGAGACTGGGAAATAAAATATTCCCCAAGTAGCTGGGACTACAGGCACACACAATCATGCCCAGCTAATTTTTGTATTTTTTAGTAGAGACAGGATTTCACCATGTTGGCCAGGAAGGTCTCGAACTCCTGACCTAAGGTGATCCACTTGCCTCAGCCTCCCAAAGTGCTGGGATTATAGGTGTGAGTCACTGTGCTCGGCCTCTCCTCTCTACTTTCTATCTCTATGAATTTGGCTACTCCAGGTGCTTCAGGTATGCAGCATCACACAATGCACTAAGTGCTTTTATATTATCTTATTTAATCCTTCCAATAAGTCAGGAAGTAGGAATTATCCTCTTCATTATTATTTTTATTTTTATTTTCTTGTAGATAGAGTCTCATTCTGTCAGCCAGGCTGGAGTGCAGTGGCGTGATCACAGCTCACTGCAGCCTCAAAATCCTAGGCTCAAGCAATCCTCATACCTCAGCCTCCTGAGAAGCTGGGACACAGGCGTGTGTCACCACGTCTGGCTACTTTTTTTAAAAAATTATTTTTTGGCCGGGCGGGGTGGCTCACGCCTGTAATCCCAGCACTTTGGGAGGCCGAGGCGGGCGGATCACGAGGTCAGGAGATCGAGACCATCCCGGCTAAAACGGTGAAACCCCGTCTCTACTAAAAATACAAAAAATTAGCCGGGCGTAGTGGCGGGCGCCTGTAGTCCCAGCTACTTGGGAGGCTGAGGCAGAAGAATGGCGTGAACCCGGGAGGCGGAGCTTGCAGTGAGCCGAGATCCCGCCACTGCACTCCAGCCTGGGCGACAGAGCGAGACTCCGTCTCAAAAAAAAAAAAAAAAATATTTTTTGTAGAGACACAGTCTTACTCTGTTGCCCAGGTTGGTCTTGAACTCCTGGGCTCAAGTGATCCTCCTGCCTCACCCTCCCAAAGTGCTGAGATTACAGGCATAAGCCCGGGGGAATTATCTTTTTAAAAAATACCAAAAAGATGAACAAACTAAGGCTTTGATGGGAAGCTGTATATCATGCAACTAAGAGTCACTGGCCCAGGAGTGACACATGGGTTAACTGCTTCCAAAGCCCTGAAACTTCCATTACTGTAATTCAATAACAATGCATTTAATGAGAAAGCAGTGATCTAGCAAAGAGATAACAAAAGTTTGAGAACAATATACAGGTCAGTGGAATTCATTCAACTCTCAGCCTTGACTGGATTATAATAGGCTGCTTAAAACCTTAGTAGCTCGGTCTCCGGCTCTCTATAAATTATGTGTATGTGTACATTAGTAAGAACAAAGTTACACAAGGTACCTTCTTAAAACTAAGGTGAAATAAAAATGAGTTAGATCAAATGTGTAAAGCTCCAAGTGCCTTCTGAAAGACATATGGTACCATGTAACCACAGAACATGTTTTTATTACTTCCAATGTTTAGAGTTAAATGTCTCTCGAAAACACAGAATATGATTCCAGACAGACATAACCACAAGTGGTGTTCTTACCCTCAAAAGTATAAACTAACCCTTCCCGGCTGCTGTCTCAGCTGTTGGTGAATCCTAGGGTGTAGGAATTTGCAGCCCTTAATGTTATATGAAGAGTTATTTGCTTCCAAGACCAGCTGTAGCCAATCAACCCAGGAGCGAAACAGACAGCCCCACAGTCAGACTTCATGGTAAAAAGGAGTGAAGTCCTGTGATGGGCAAACTGACCTAAGGCTAGTAGTTCATGAATTTGACAGTAGGATCTAAAGCTGGAGAACAGAGGATTTGCACCCAGCAGGCACTGTTCTGAATAGGTTCTTCTTGTAGACTTTCTAGGATTTTGTTGCATACAAGACTGTTATTACATTTATTCTTAACTTCAGAATGAGTGGATTTTGTTGCTCTTCTATATTAGTCATTTAAGACTTATGTATTCCTGATTAAAGCAAGCATTCCACCATATCTAGGAGCAGATCGTTTTTAGTAAGAAAAAAGTTCAACCTTAGAGTTTTCCTTGTATAGTGAAAGATTTAGTGTTGCTTTTAAAATAAATCAGCACAATCTTTCTTTACAAAGAGTTTTTTTTTTTTTTAAGGGAATAGAAAGTACAAGATAGTAAAGTTTATTTACGTGTTAGACAATGGATAGAAAAGATGTAATATGTTCTGCCCTATTTAGTCCAAGGAGAGAATTACTGGATATAGAGGGAGATTTAGAAATCTCACAGAAGTAACATAATCTCTGCTTTGTGAAGACCATCATCACACTTAAAGCCACTGCCTGTTTCTGTGTACTTCATGCACAAAGAGATAAAATGCTATTTCACAAAATAAGAATATTTTGTAATTCATTAACTTTCAGTTTGGACACATGACAAATATTTTACATACTGATTCACACGGAAAGGTTTTTAAAAGGCTAAGTACTTAGCCAGTAAATGAGAAGGAAAGGAAATGGAGATAAAACAGGCGCTCATTCTGTATCTGTGGATATTTACTACAATAAGAATATTTTATTTTTATAGCACATTGCTACCATTTGCAATCTGGGCATTTACAGCAAATGTAGACTAGTCAAACCAGAGTTTAAAATACATAAAAATACATCAGGAAAAAATCATATGCTCGCTGCATGAATACTAAATGCTGAGCTACAGAAAAAGAGAGAGGTTATTGCCCATATCTAAGAACCAAAGCATTCTTAAGATAGTGGAGGCTAAAAAGAAGGAGAGAGCCATGCAGGGAGGGAGGGAGCGGGGAAGGGAGGAAGGAGAACTAGAATGTTAGGTCTGACCTATGGTCACAAAACTTAACTACTCTGGTTAACAACAAGAAACTTACCTTTGGATATTCAAACATGAAACTTAAATGGTTGGGAAGAGTACAGATAGAGCATAGAAAGGATTTGGAATTAGATGAGATTCATATCATAGCTTTGCCACTAACCAGCTGTGTGATCTTGGGTAAACCACTCATCCCATCTGGCCCTCAGTTCTCTAACCTGTAAAATGAGAGGATTGGTTAAATCCTCCCCCTAAGTCTATGTAGCTGTAAAAGGCTATGATTCTCCAATAAAGTAACACAAAGAGCCAGTGGTGCATCTAGCAAGGGGCCTTCCGTGGTACCACTCAGCAAAATTCAGGGAGGGATTTCAGCAGGGAAGAAGGCGGCCATACTGTTTCTTGAGCTAAGAGAGCATTCTCTCTCCAGAGAGACCTCAAGTCCTTCTGAATTCTTACGCATCAACTCTGAAGCACACACACACCTAGAGTACATTAATTCTTACAACGCCGTGTATGATGTGGCTGGAACATCCTTCCTCCAGCGCCTGTCATAGAACCTTGAACCATGCCCGATGCATACTAGATACTCAGTGAATGAACTCCAGGAAAATCTCTCCTCTAGTCAGATTCTATACCTGCCCAGCATAAGTGCCCATGGGTTAGTTTCTTAGTCTCTTAAATCCTCAGTCTCCTTATCCTTAATCATGAATGTTGCTAACTCTAAATTTTTAAAATAAAGATTCAATGAGATAAAATATGTGAAATTCAGTCCAAGCAGCCCAACTATTGTGAAATGAAGCATGTGATGTCTGGCTTTAATATGTTCTTCCCCCACCCTCTACAACCAAAAAGTAAATGAACAACAGGAGAAGCGCACATTCCTATACTTACTTGCAGCAATTGGCTCAGATGCGCCTCCTGCCCCTGACTCTACTATCCTTCCCTGCTCAGCTCCTAGCACACCTGGCCTCTGTTCCTCCAGCTTTGTCTCCCAGAACGGGAGTCAGATTTCAGCTTCTCTAGCCCCCTAAGTCTCACTCTCAGGCATATCCTACTCCTGGCCACTTAGGATAACATTCCCTTCCATTTCAGGTGTGAACTGGAATTTTCAAGAATGACAGCCAGGAGCATGCTGCCTCAGTACCCCCTGGGGAAAGATAACTAACCCTCTTCAGTTCCAGTGATCAAGACTGTCATGGGAAAATTATGCTCTTTAATGAACTTCAGCTCTATCAGATAATTCAGCTACCGAGAAGGAAGCCACACAGAAGCTAGAGATGCTGGGAGGAGGGGAGATTCCTAATGAGGACTTCAGGGATCCCAGATGCAGCCATGCCTGATGCTGATGTGTCCTTGGCTATTTTACTGCATATCCAGTTGATTATCTATAAACTCCTACCCTAAGCCAATTTATTTTGATTTCTGTCCTGACAAGTGAGAGCTCTAATACTTACACTCTATCAGGACAATTGAAAGAATAGAAGAAGGGAGGGAGGGAATGGTAGGCTTGGAAATCAGGACTCCTCCAGGATGGCTTCAAAACAAACCCTTCTGCTCCTGCAGACCTTCTCTGGTCTGGCCCATACTCCACAGTGAGACAGAATCAGACTAGTCTCTGGAGGTATGAAGGTAAGATGATCATTCTCTTAAACGGATTCTCAATGATGGTTCTCTTTTTAAATATGGTCACACTGGTTGACAAGGTCTTACTGCCTTCTAACAAGCTAGGCACAGTGGCTCATGCCTGTAATCCCAGCGCTTTGGGAGGCTGAGGTGGGTGGATCATGAAGTCAGGAGTTCAAGACCAGCCTGGCCAACATGGTGAAACCCCATCGCTACTAAAAATACAAAATTATCCAGGCATGGTGGCGTGCACCTGTATTTCCAGCTACTCAGAAGGCTGAGGCAGCAGAATCACTTGAACCCAGGAGACAGAGGTTGCAGTGAGCTGAGATCGCGCCATTGCACTCTACGCTGGGCAACAAAAGTTTAACTCCATCTCAAAAAAAAGAAAAAGAAAAAAGAAAAATACAGAATATCTCTTAGTTCTGTTTTAAGCTTTATTGTTTTTCCTTTCACATCTGGCTCAATTTTACATCATTTTATTGTCTTCTGGTTCTTATTGCTCCTTTTGTTTTTTAAAAAAACTTGCTATATAATAGTTGCACTTATTTTGGGGGTATTGCGACATTTTGATATATGTATACAATGTGTAATGATTAAATCAGGGTAACTGGGATATGCGTCACCTCAAATATTTATCTCTTTTGTGTTGAGAACATCACAAATATTTCTTGTAGTTATTTTGAAATATAAATTATTTGCTATAACTTCTCTTCTGTACTATTGAGTACTAGATCTTATTCCTTCTAGCTAAGTGTATTTGTGTACTCCTTAACTTCCCTTCATCCTTCTCCCATTTTTAGTTTTATTTAAAATAAAAATTTGTTTATTTTTTTTTCTTATTTCTAGCCACTTCAGATGCACACACACAACATCTGATGCCTGTTTATGAACAAGCTGACTCTATTTTCTTACATTAAAAAAAAATAGGGCCAGGCATGGAGGCTCATGACTGTAATCCCAACACTTTGGGAGGCTGAGGTGGGCAGATCCCTCGAGGTCAGGAGTTCGAGACCAGCCTGGTCAACATGGGTGAAACTCGTCTCTACTAAAAGTACAAAAAAAAATTAGTCGGGCATGGTGGCAAACACCTGTAATCCCAGCTACTGGGGAGGCTGAGGCAGGAGAATTGCTTAAACCCAGGAGGCAGAGGTTGCAGTTAGCAGAGATTGTGTGACTGCATTCCAGCCTGGGTGACAGAGTGAGACTCTGCCTTTAAAAAAACAAAAAACATAAAACCATTCTTGAGGAGGAAAAAAATTGTTGTTTATATTATACTTTTCTATAAACTGTCAGTTCTATCAAATAATTCATATATTTCTGTAAAATTCAGGAAACTTTAACTGTGATTCCATAGGGAATGGGATGTCAGGCAGTAAGCAGAGGTCAGGCCAACACCAAGATTCTCACCTCAACACAGAATGAGCTTATCTGTTGTCAACAAAAAGTAAAAAACTCACAGAAGTTTCCATATCATTTTAAGATATGTAACATGGATTAAGATCTGAGGATCAGGAATGAATATTGTATAGAAACAGAAACATATATTCAGATTAAAAAATAACATATATCTATCTTTCCCCAAAACAATTCATGATGTGTGTTAGTCCATTTTGCATTGCTATAAAGGAATACTTGAGACTGGATAATTTGTAAAAAAACAGAGGGCTTATTTGGGTCATAGTTCTGCAAGCTGTACAAGCATGGCACCAGCATCTGTGAGGCTTCTGATGAGGCCTCAGGAAGCTTACAATCAAGGCGGAAGGCACAGGGGAAGCCGGCATATCACATGATGAGAGAGGGAGCAAGAAGAGAGTGAGGAGGCAGTGTCAAGCTCCCTTAAACAACCAACTCTTGCGGGAACTTACAGCGAGAACTCAATCAATCATTACCATGGGAATAGCGCCAAACTATTCATGAGGGATCCACTCCCATGACCCAGTCACCTCCCACCAGGCCCCACCTCCAACCCTGGGGATTACATTTCAACATGAGATTTGGAGGGAACAAACATTCATACCATATCAATAAGTAAATGGAAAAAAAACACTAAGCTTAACTTTAGGTTTTTTTTTAGCTTTACAAAACTGTATCTTTCTATTTACATGTAAAAGATGAGCATCAGAAGTAGCAATTCTACATAATACTACATAAGTGTTCTATAAAACTCGGTTCGATTTGTGCAAGAAAAATTTTAAATCTATTCATAGTAATGAATGCAGTAGTTAAGAATGCAAAATAGTTTCAGTAATTTAAAACCAAGAAAAAAAAGTCTCCTTTAGGGATAAATATCCATATATGGCTTTTATTCAAAGGCAACTTATTTTTAGAAAACAGGAGAAAAAACCTTTTGCCTCTTTTGGGCTTATACGCTCAAAAGTGACCATACTTAAAACAATATTCTAACCTTATATTTTAAAAAGCAGTGGTTTGGTAATACATGCACTAAGTGTAATAGCTTTTATTTTGAATCTTGCAAAGTACATAATTGAAAATGCGAATCTAGACACAGGGTAGAAAGTTCATTTTTCTTTTCTTTTCTCTTTCTTTCTTTTTTTTTTTTTTTTTTTTTTTTTTTTTTGAGACAGAGTATCACTTTGTTGCCCAGGCTGGAGTGCAGTGGCATGGTCTTGGGTCACTGCAACCTCTGCCTCCCAGGTTCAAGCCATTCTCCTGCATCAGCCTCCTGAGTAGTTGGGATTACAGGCACGTGCCACCACACCTGGCTAATTTAATGGAGACTGGATTTCGTCATGTTGGCCAGGCTGGTCTCAAACCCCTGACCTCAGATGATCCGCCCGCCTTGGCCTCCCAAAGTGTTGGGATTACAGGCATGAGCCACCGTGCCTGGCCAAAAGTTCATTTTTCAAATAACTAATGATTTTACTCAGCACACATTTCTGACATTGTGGCTATTTTACCACAATTTAGACATAGCACATCTGTTGGACAATCTACTCTCTAAAACTCAGATATATTAACTGGCCTCTTCAAAGAATTCTCAAAGTGGTGCGTTCAAGGTTAGGAAAAGCTCTCTAAACATTGACAATATAGATCACTTTAAAAGAGGTTTTCTTTTCCTATGAAACAAAATGTGTTTAGGGAAATAAAGACAATCTACTCTTCACTCTCCCTTGTCCCCACTGAACTGCAAAAATAAAAATATTACATTTTCAAACTGTCAAAAGAAAATAGAAGACTTCTTTGATGTCTGCAATGAAAACATGGTAGAAAAGAGCAATGTGTTCTGTATTTATCAACCAGCAGAAGCTATTACCCAAACCATTCTAGATTCACAGAGAAAGGGTAATTAAAACTGCAAATCCTGGGGCCTCACCAAATCATTTGAATTTTGAACTGGAATCAGAATCTCTGGGAACTGTTTTTTTTTTTTTTTTTTTTTTTTTAACAAAACAAAAACATGTTCCTTAAGTGATTCTTAGGAACACGGAAATGTGCGAGTAACACATTTTGATGTTGAAGATACGAGCAACGCTCAAACCTCTCTGGAAGGACCAAATATTTTCCAAGACACTTTCTCTTTGACTTTCTCTTCCTCTCCTGTTTTGTGACTGCTTTGTCTCTCCATCTTTGGGAGATGGGGTAGAGGGATATTTGGGAGGTGGAAAGGTGGATTATCCTAGCCTGTCTCCTTCCATCAGCACAGCAGACAAAGGCTGGGCCTATTGCATTCTCCTTGGACATTTCTTTTTTCTTTTTTTTTTCTTTTTGAGACAGGGTCTCTCTGTGTCATTTCGGCTGGTGTGCAGTGGTGCAACCACCGCTCACTGCAGCCTTGACCTTCTGGGCTCAAGTGATCCTCCCACCTCCATCTCCTGAGCTGGGACTGCAGGCGTGTTCCACCATACCTGGCTAACTTTTGTATTTTTTGTAGAGCTGGGGTTTCGTCATGTTGCCCAGGCTGGCTTGCTGGACATTTCAATCAGGGTCTTAACAAATGCTTGATGATAATTAAATTGTGTCCAATTAAGGACTCAGTTTCTCTGCAGATCAAATTGATGGCTCTGGTGCCTGGATTCTCTTCCAGATATTAAATAGTAAAAATAACTTTATCAAGAGACTATTTCTTCATATGCTTCATATAACTTAAAAACTTAGAATGGGCAACTTCTGAAGTTTCTTCAGGTGACCAAATGCTTTGAGGGAAACTAAAAAATACAAAGAAAAGCATGCAGGGAGATTATTTATGTAACCCTTTTGTATCTTTCTGAGCAAATGTGATTAATTCAATATGAAACGGTTGATCCTTACTACAAGTAGGTTCTTTTTTCCCTTTTATCAGGTACACGTAAAGTTTCTTACAAAGCCAAAAAAGAAATTATTTGGCTGGTTACTCAGCGTGATGGTTAATATTGAGTGTCAACTTGATTGGATTGAAGGATGCAAAGTATTGTTCCTGAGTGTGTCTGTGAGTGTTGCCAAAGGAGATTAACAGTTGAGTCAATGGACTTGGGAGAGGCAGAACCACCCTCAATCTGGATGGGCACATCTAATCAGCTGGCAGCATGGCTAGAATAAAGCAGCCAGAAGAGAGTAGAAGGACTTGATTGTTGAGTCTTCTGGCCTTCATCTTTCTTCCATGCTCAATGCTTCCTGCCCTCAAACATCAGACTCCAAGTTTTTCAGCTTTTGGACTCTTGGACTTAACACGAATGGTTTGTCAGGGGCTCTCGGGCCTTCGGCCACAGACTGAAGGCTGCATTGTTGGCTTCCCTACTTTTGAGGTTTTGGGACTCAGACTGGCTTCTCTGCTCCTCAGCTTGGAGATGGCCGGTTATGGGACTTCACCTTGTGATCACGTGAGTCAATACTCCGTAATAAACTCCCCTTCATATATACATCTATCCTATTAGTTCTGTCCCTCTAGAGAACCCTGACTGATACGCTCAGTAAACACTTATTTTCTGGCTTTGCCTTTCTTGAAGTTTGATTTATATGATTCTTTGACAACAATTAACTGCCAGACTAGCTCTTGTAAGAGGTCCATATGCACAGGTGTGTACAATACTTAGTTATCATTTAAGCTTCTGACTAATCTCCAATAATCAACACCTGGATGTGTTTGTGAGCAAAGCCTCCAAGTCAGAGTGAAACAGACAATAAGGAACAGAACAAATTGTCCTTGACCAGATTGCTTAAAATTGTTATCCCGATTTTTGAGCAATTCAAGACCTGTTTGTGTGACCGCGGGAAATGGGTCAGAGGAATAACAAGTATGAACCACAGAGGAGGTGTCTTATAAGAGCTGGCCCCTGCCAAGGAAGACTTTGTTTGCATTCTTCTCTCTATGCAACCCTGAAACAGGACCTTTAAGAATTTCAATCTCATCCTAAATCAAATTCCAAAGTATTCTTTGATCTATAATGAAAACCCAAATAAGATGATAATCATTAACTCAAATAAATGCCCTGTTTACAAAACCATTGTGACCATTTGGCAGTTGTAAATAACTCTTTGTCTAGGATTGGAAAACTGGACAGAGAAGCAGGATATACAAATTATCAAGAATGTGAGGGGAGGGAGAAAGGTGGGGCTAACAAGAGAAAAGCAGAGATACTGAGTAACTTGGAGAACAATAAAAGGCAGGCTAGGGGGACTTAAGGAAGAAGCCAGGGTAGAACACCTAAAAATAGCAGAAGCATAGGAAATTGTCCTAAAGATATTTGATCTGCCATTGTACTCCAGATCCTGCCATTTCAAGTTCAGATCTATAAAAAGGCATGTTTTAGACACGTATCATCTCCTTCCTATCTGTTCAGCAAAGGTACTGATTGCGCATCCTGCTTCAAGCCGGTGGTCCTTATAGCAGGATTCCCTAATTTCTTACTTTAAAAAATTAGTCATGTTAGATTACTTTCCCTTTGGGAATTTGCAGGAATCACAAAATTAAGTCAATAATAGTTACCCCTCTTGTCTTTGCAATCAGCCATGAAAGCATGAGGGCAAAGCAGATGTGTGTGCCTTATAAACACATTTTAAAACATGTATCCCTTCTTTCCTTAGCAGAGTTCACTCTACATTAATTTTTGCTCAATATCTGCTCTTCTATTTCCCTCTGCCCTTTGCTCTACAAGATGACATGCAAATATTCTTTTGCTCAGTTTCCAAATGTTAATCAATGAAAAGCTTCCGAATTGCTACTGTGTCTTAGATAATTTAAAATGAGATTCACACATGGAGAAGGTAGCCCCTTGTTGAATATTGAAAAATGCTTTGAAGATTGGAATGAACATATGAATAAACACAGAATCATTCTTGTAATAAAACTTTTTGATCAGCTTAATTCTATTTATCCTATTTATTACTGGGATTCTTTTTCCTCTCACTTTTCTATCTAGATTCTGTAGATTTAAGTCCAGTCTAATACTGCAGATAACAAACATGCACATTCATTTTTACAGAGTTGGGTTACAGACTTAACCCTAAATCAGCTGAGAAGTCCATGATTCATTGAGTGTCTGCCATGCCCATAACTCTCTTCTGATAAAACTGATGGATCTCTAGGTCAGATGCCTGGTACCATATGATCCTGCTGTCCTGGTCAGAACTGGTTTTTTGTTTTTGTTTTTTTTTTTTTTAATCAGGAATGAGCCCCAGTCAAAAGATTTGCTGCTAGCCTAGGGGGAGGCCAGATATGTCAATAAGGCTGCCCTGTCTCAGTGGTGACCAGTAAAACCAATCACACCCTGGTTCTCCGTGAGACTGAATATGGGATACACTAGGCAGATTAGCTAGATAATAAGTATAGCAGCACAAATAAGTAGAAGCAGAAGCAGAATGTAGCTTAGCCCCAAAATGGTGGGGCATAGGTTTAGAAAAAGTGGATACTAGGTCGGGCCTGGTAGCTCATGCCTGTAATCCCAGCACTTTGGGAGGCCGAGGTGGGTGGATCACCTGAGGTCAGGAGTTCAAAGCCTGGCCAACATGGTGAAACCCCATCTCTACTAAAAACACAAAAATTAGCTGGGTGTGGTGGCACACGCCTGTAATCCTAGCTACTCGGGAGGCTGAGGCAGGAGAATCGCTTGAACCTGGGAGGCAGAGGTTACAGTGAGTTGAGATCGTGCCACTCCAGACTCCAGCCTGGACAACGGAGCGAGACTCCATCTCAAAAAAGAAGAAATGGATATTGCTTGCTGAGGGGATAACAACTTGAGTGGATCACTGCAGCTGTGGTGTCCAGAGGGTCTCTGGAATTACAGCTGCAACCCAAATGGCTTTCCTGTTCCATGAGATTTCTATGCAGAAATGGACACATGTCCCTCCTCTTTTGTCTATTTCACTTTTAACTTTCAACTAAGGTAAACTACACATCTCTCTGCTCCTTGTAACCTTAAAGAATCTACGTGAGACAACCAGTAAATTGCTCACTGCTATTTGTCCTCTCCGCCCTTCTGCTTTTTAAGGGTATACGAAAATAATTTCAGCATGGTATGGATTAATGTTTTTCCCCCTCCTGTGGATTACTGCAGTCTTGGTCTTTGACAGTGGTAATAAATTCCTTTCCTCTTCCTGATATATCTGCCTGTCTTTTATTATCAAGAACAATACTCAGATTTTGTCTTTCAGTCACTTTTTGTATTAAACCTACAGGGACAACAGTGATGTTTCTCAGTAACAGCTCTTGGTCACATGACTCCAAGGGAGGCCAGGCTGGTTTATCCTTCTCAAATTCTTGACAATGTTCAAGGTTGACAGCAACTCTCTTTCCTCTCATCTGTCTTTCTAAAAATAGTTCCCAGCATCTTCTATTTTTATCCTTTTTTAAATTAAAAGTTTATTTATTTTTTTATAGATTCAAGGGGTGTAAGTACAGTTTTGTTACATGGATGTATTGCGTAGTGGTGAAGTCTGGGATTTTAGTGCACTCATCACTCGAATAGTGTGGATTGGACCCAACAGGTCCATCTTCCTTCTTTCTCCAGCTATTCTCTTCTCATCTTTCTAGACACAAGGAAACCATCTTATCTACACCAAGACACTGCCTTGGCACTATCTTACCTATAGGAAGATAATGCTTAAGAACAATGAATCATGTAATTTAACAAAAAGTAGAGCCACAAATGATTAGATCAGGAACACATCATGTAGCCCCCTCAATTTATAAACTTAAATTGATACTCGATTCACTAACTGGAAAACTCGTAGGTATGTTTGGAACAACTTGAGTATGTGAATCCACTTTTTTTCAATTGTAAATTTTATGAAATCTAAATACATATCAGGTATTTCTGATGAAAATCTAATGCCTGAATTGAACTGTGCTGTAAGTACAAAATGCACACTGGCTTTTGAAGACTTAATAGAAAGAAAAAAAAAACAAAAAAATCTCATTAACATTTAAAAATATTGATTATATGATGAACTAATATTTTGGATATATTGGTGTCTTTACCTGTTTGGGCTGCTATAACCAAATTCCATAGACTGGGTAGCTTATAAACAACAAAAATTTAAAATGTCATATATTGAGGCTGAAAAATAAAATTTAGAACACAAAACACATAAAAAACACTAAAAAAAAACAATAGAAATTTATGTCTCACAGTTCTGGAGGTTGGGAAGTCCAAGATCAAGGTGCCAGCAGGTGTTCACATATGACCTGGTTGGGTTCAGGCTGCTGGTTCTGACCAGCCTTATCTACGGGTTGTGATTCCAATGTGAATTTAATTGTTTATGATTTCAAAGCCTTTGGAGTGCTGTTTGCGTCTGTCCTGTGTTTGCACCTTCCTGTGTCCAGTGTGATCTTCGTCCAGTGGCCATTCTCATAGTTCAGTTCTCAAGGACTGATGCATGCTGCTTAGGGTCAGAACAAAGCACACACAATTTAGGGGTGGGCCCAGGAGTTCATACACAACTTTAAGTGATTGCCTTCCTAAGCTCCTCCTTTTCTGCAATATCTCTGCAACATAGTCCTTTTTCGTTCCCTGAGGCTTTCAAAGAATCTGAGACTTTATTTATTCTGCTGCTACGGCATATTTCTTGTGATTACACTGTGTCTGGGTCCAAGTGGTAGGAAAATGGAGAGAGAGAAAGAAAATGAAACCATCAGGCACTTGCCCCAGGTTCTTAGAATCACAGTTCCTTTGATCAAAGGATTGGAGGGGAACGTTCTCCTTCTTCAAAGAACAGAGAAAAGGAAAGAAGAGAGAAATGGGGGGGGGGGGTTTATTCTTTCTCTGAGCATTAAGAGACTCCTTTTTGCTCCTTGAGCCAGAAATAAGGGGATTCTCCTTAGGGTGTCTCTATTGGCACCAGTACCCTTTTGAGCTGAGTCTGGGAGATGCTGGAGGAAAGAAAGTAAACTCATTGCCATTTCAATGGTAGTTTGAATTGTAGTCTTCTACCCCAGAAGACTTTTCAGTCTTCAAAGAGTTGTTTCATGCATTCTATCCAGGCTTTTCAGTTGCATTCAATGGGAGAGACACGGTGCCTTTACTCTTATCCAGAACAGGACTTGCACCATAATTATTATTTAATATTGTTTTAGACACTGTTGACAATGCAATAAGACATGACACAGAAGTGAGATATAATGATTGCAAAGGAGACAATAGGATCACTATTTGCAAATTCTAATAAGAGGTAACGTTCGCAACCACTAAAGGTATGTCAAGCACGGCCTTTAGATAATTTATATACAGCAGCCCCACCTTATCTGCAATTTTGCTTTCCGATGTTTCAATTAACCTCAGTTCAAAAATATTAAATGGAAAATTCTAGAAATAAACGATTCCTAAGTTTTAAAGTGCATGCCATTCTGAGTGGTGTGATGAAATCTCATACAGTCCTGCTTCATTCCACCCAGGACAAGAATCATCCCTTTGTCCAGAGGATCTACCCTAAGTTACCCACCCACAGTCACTTAGGAGCTGTCTGGGTTATCAGATCGACTGTCATGTATAGGTACCATAGTGCTTGGGTTCAAGCTTATTTTACTTCATACTGGCCCTAAAGGGCAGGAAAAGTGTTGCTGACAATTTGGATATGCCAAAAAGAAGCCATAAAGTGATTTCTTTTTTTTTTTTTTTTTGAGACAGAGTCTTCCTCTGTTGCCCAGGCTGGAGTACAGTGGCACGATTTCGGCTCACTGCAACCTCCGCCTCCCGGGTTCATGCCATTCTCCTGCCTCAGCCTCCTGAGTAGCTGGGACTACAGGCGCCTGCCACCTTGCCCAGCTAATTTTTTTGTATTTTTAGTAGAGACGGGGTTTCACTGTGTTAGCCAGGATGGTATCCATCTCCTGACCTCGTGATCCACCCGCCTCGGCCTCCCAAAGTGCTGGGATTACAGGTGTGAGCCACTGTGCCCGGCCCATTGCCATAAAGTGATTTCTTTAGGTGAAAAGGCGAAAGTTCTCAATTTGATAAGGGGGAAAAAAAAAAAGTATGCTGAGGTTGCCAAGATCTATGGGAAGAACAAATCTATTCATAAAATTGTGAACAGTATATTGTTATATTTGCTTGACTTTACTACTAGTTATTGTTATCAATCACTTACTGTGCCAAATTTAAAAATTAAACTTTATCATAGGTATAAAAACATAGTATAGGAAAAAACATAGTATATATAGGACTTGGTACTATCTGTAGTTTCAGGCATTCACTGGGGGTCTTAGAATGTATTCCCCATGGATAAGTGGGGACTACTGTATATATTAAATCAGATGATCTTCATAATAAACCTATAAAATGGATATTATTATGACCATCTCCATTTCACAGATAGGAAAATTAAGGCCAAAATAAATTATGTAAGTTGTTCAATATCACATAGTAAATTCGTGGAAGGCCCAGTATATTAGACTGGGTAGACCATCAAACTTGTGCCCTTACTCAAAGATGATCAATTGAAAACATGATTGAAAAGAGTAAGAATGAAGCAGGCAAACTCTAACAAATATTGAGATATAATAGAAAGGTATAATAATTAGAATATTTTGGCACTGATACAGAAAGACATATAGATGATCGAGACAACATAGATAATTTCAAAACAGAATCTACAATATATGAGAAATCAATATATACTCAAAAAAAGTACCACACACCAATATGGACAAAAGTAAATTGTTTTGGAATAATTATTTAGCTAGTTAGAGTATGTATAATTATATGTTATAGCATATACCTAAACCAAATTCCAAATATATATATTAAAAATGGGAACATTCAATAAACTAGGGAAGTAGAAGTAAATATTAAATCTCTAAAGGAATTCCTAAGCTTAAAAGTGATAACAGCAATCAATATATTTTGCTCTTTAAAAGATACAAATAATTATACAGAAAACTAAAATAAAATGAAAAAGCCAAAATCTTTTGGGAAAAATGTACACCCAAATATGACAAAGGTTTACTATTATTAATACAGTGATCACATCAATTTTAAGAAAACATTCAGAGCCTATGTAAAGGACATACATATATTTCTTTCCTTATTAAAAAATTAGACACAAAAATTCAACATTTTAAAAAGCACATTGAAGCTACACCATAATGTCACATGAGCTTTAAAAAGTGATAAAATCTCACGACACTGAAGTCTTTGATATAAAACTGTAAAATGGTTAAAAAGCAAAACAAAAAACATTTTAGACACTGGGTTCAGGATGTGTGTGAAGATTCTTAAGAATGTAATTACAATTTTGATCAGTAACATTTCTGAGACTGTATGTCAAAAAATTAATTCCAGATAGGGGGAAGTGGTGATATATAAATGTTCATTGGAGTGGTTTTTTTTTTTTTGGTTAATGAATGGAAGAAATCTAAATTTAAAACCACAGGAAATTAACTAAGTCGATTATATAATATCCATTTTATAGAAAACTGTATCATCAATAAAACTGTGTCTACAAATAGCTTACAATAACATAAAAACACATAATCTAATGAAAAAAGTCTAATCATATACATAATAATTGCAAGTATGTGAAAAAATATATACAGGCCAGCTCAGTGGCTCATGCCTGTAATCACAGCACTCTGGGAGGCTGAAACAGGAGGATTGCTGAATCCAGGAGTTCAAGACCAGCCTGGGAAACACAGTCAGACTCCATCTCTAAAACATAAACCACCCAGGTGTGGTGGTGTGCACCTGTAGTCCCAGTTACTTGGGAGGCTGAGATAAGGGGGATCGCTTGAGCCTGGCAGTTCGAGGTTGCAGTTAGCCATGACTGCACCATGGCACTCCAGCCTGAGTGACAGAGAAAGACCCTGCCTCTAAAACAAAACCAAAAAGCAAAAACCTCCCAAATTCAACCAAATACTGTAAACCAAAAGTCCAGAAGAAAACTACGCATAATACTAAGGTTGGAAAGAACCTTATGCTACTATACGTTCATAGTGTTTATCTTTCATTTTTCTTAATTTCTATTTTTCTGCATTTTTCAAATCTACATTAAAAATACATTATTTTTATATTTTAAAATAAGTTAAAGAAAAACAACCATCCTTTGCAACAAAAAATATCCCAACAAAATTCTTTTGTGCATTTGGAAGAATTAAATATGAACTCACATGTCCACCTAAACCCTTGTTTTTTAAGAGCATGCATAGAAAAGAAGTGTTTTTACTAAGATGTCATGACATCAGCTTAATAAGGGAATAAACAGATACCTAAGCATTAGCACTTCATACTTTTTAGAATGAATAGGATATTTTTGATAATAAAACCTTCCAAATAAAACGCAGTGTCTTTATTGTTTTCAAGTTCAGGCTTGGTATACCCTAGCAGAGTTACAAATGGCATGTCACATTTTATGTAATAATATGATTCTACTCTATTTTAAAAACTCCTTGCTTAAAAATTGAACTCAGGTCAACAATTTAAAACAAAGTCTGGGCAAACGTTTTGATTCTTGGCCCACATTAGTGGTGCTAGACATCTCAAGAATAGCAGTTTTGCTCAAATGTGAGAACTTCCAAAGAGTGTTGGTGCAGCAGCAGAAAATGCCTGCAAAGTGTCAATCTCTGCTCTGATCACCAAGAAGACAGCAATCTCCTGGGGGCCTAGGGATGCCCTGCTGCAAAACTGGCATTTGGCTTGGAGCAGGTGAGAGCATGCCTACTTGCAGTCATTGGGTCTCTGCAGGATTCAGTCATCACCACACGTGGCTGCCTGGGGCAGGGGGAACTATGGGTCTTGCCAACAGCAGTGAAGGCAAACCTGCCTTTCTGCAGCCTTTTGACATGTAGGTAGTCTCCAATATGATGATGATGTCAACAATTCTTTTACTTTTGTACAGGGATTAATAGTTGCCAATGTCCTCTCAAATGTGATTCCACATGATGCATGTTTTTACATGAATATGTCAGAATTTACGTATTAAATGAGTGCTATCCCTTCAAAAGAGTTACCTTATTTTAATGACACCGTCATCTTTCAAGCCACCTTTGATTCTCTACTTTGGACCCTGATGCCAGAGTATATTGTATATTAAACAAAAATCTTCTCAATGTTAGCAACATCTTGACCTTTAGGGTAGGCTTAATGCTTTTGTAAACAGCTAAAAAGAACAAGCCTTGTGAATAACGTGGACAATTCAGCTACACTCTGAGTGAATTTCAAGGACCACGCAGAACCTCCCTCTTACTGCAAAGGGCTAGTTAAATGCTCAGTCAATGTTTCCTCGAAGAACCAGACTCAAAATATGTTGTTATTGGAGATGGAGGTTTTCCTTGTAAATATCCAGGTGAGATTCTAAAGTCAGGAGGCTGTTGCTTTGCATGACTATAAACTCACAAAAAAGGTTATGTAGACAGTCAATACAAATCATAAAAATATTTTCAGCAAAGGTGGGATCATCAGTGTAAGTTTCTACCCTCGAAGATGACTAGTCATTTGACCGCGTTCCGGTGTATCTCTCTCTCTCTCTCTCTTTTAAAGTAGCCTTCATATTTTATAGTCCCATTATCATAGTAAGAATAACTTATAAAAGATAAGCACTGAATAAATAAATGTTCACTTAATGAAAATTTATCCTCTCAAAAATCCCTAGTTTAAAAAATCTAATAATCTCAACTAGAATTTAAAAAATTCCACTCCCCTCCCCTTCCTCTTTAGAAATCGAGACTTCTGGATATAATTTATCCATTTTTTGATGACTCAGAAGTATCTTTGCAAGCATCAATTACTCATTATGTTTGAAGATGCCGGAAACTATAGCACAAATATGCATAGACCTCCAGAGCATACAGAGATGTGGATATTCTTTGTACCGATGCCGAATGGATCCATATTGCTATTTTGAAAATAATTCCTTTGCTTCCTTTTATCTCCTCCTTAGAGTGGGCCCTTCTCTCATGCCTGAATCTCATACTCTAATACCCCTCTTTCTTTGCAAAATCTTCACTTCTCTGGGAAGAGTAATTAGAATGTCAAATGTTAAAATTGTCTCCAAACTAGGTATGTAGCTATTGAAGAAGAAGCTGGAGAAAAGTTCTGTCTCCTGTTTTCAGCATGAAAGTTGTAATACCTATACAGAATGCCCAGAGACAGTTTTTACTTACTTATATGTCTGCCTGAATTTTGGATAGATGAGATTTCAAATTGCAGCCTCTAAATAAGTGAGGTGTCACTTAGAACCTATTTGATACACGGAGAAACCACAACTCAGAAAGCTTCGCAGCAGAGCTGGGACTACAGTCCCTGTCTCCTGCGTCTTGCCAATCCTTTCTGCCTTCAGGCCTAGGTCTGTGCTGTTTCATCTAACTTGAATGTCCCACCCCTTGCTCACCTTGCCATCTCCTCTCCACGCTGCATGGACCGATATGTCAGGTGTCAGCTCTCTCCCCTCCTCTAGCTCTGTCCTCCTTAAAAACCTGTGATCACACCGGAATAACATTCAAGCCCTTTTGGCTGGCATGTCTCCTCCCCATTATCCATTTTATTTCTGCCTCCCTGAGCACTTTAGACACAGAGGACTGGGAACCTGCAAACTCAGCCCCGCCCAGTCCCCACGCCAATCCCAGCGGAGGCAAGCAGAGACGGAACTGGCAGAGGGTGGGTGCTTCTTGATGTAAGCTTGGTATTTACGGGAGCTAAAACTCACTGACTTAAAGTCTTCCCCCAACTTCCACTCATTCTGTTCATGAAACAGAACATCTGTCTCATCTTCCTGATTTTTCCTCCAGATCCCTTGCTGAGACGGGGACCATCACTGGTGTGGCAGCCCGCTGCTTGGAATCTCCATCCTCCTTCTCCTCTTGGAGGAAAGAGAAGGGAGTGTGTGGATTGTTTTATTATATGTTATTATTACCACCTTACAGATGAAGAAACAGGAGTTCAGGGAAGTCAAATTACTTGTTGGAGGTCACAGAATGTAGGAGCTGCCTGTCAGAAAAGGAACTTCTCCTATCTATAGAAATTTGACTCCCAAACTTACTCCAAGCTGAGGGTACTACCTTCAAGCACAACTTACTGAATTTATCATCCCACTGCTTACACTTCCTTGTTTTCACACCTAACCTATCACATCAGCCTGCTTGGATATCAATTAGATAAAAATTAATGCCTCAGCTGGGCGTGGTAGCTCACACCTGTAATCCCAGAACTTTGGGAAGCTGAAGCCAGAGGATGGGTTGAGGTTAGGAGTTCGAGATCAGCTTGGGCAACACAGTGAGACCCTGTCTCTACAAAATATATAAAAAAGATTAGCTAGGTGTGGTGGCTTGTGCCTATAGTCCCAGCTACTTGGGAGGCTAAGATAGGAGGATCGCTTGAGCCCAGGGGTTCGAGGCTGCAGTGAGCTCTGATCATGCTACTGCACTCCAGCTTGGAGAACAGAGTGAGATTTTGCCTCTAAAAAATAAATTAATTAATACCCAATACCTCCATGGACACTATGGATACTGTAAACTAGACATCTGACTACCTACTGTGAAGGTCAGCGCAACTACAAGGTTCTCCTTTTGCCCTTATTACCTAGTCCCAGATACCTTGCCTTTTGTGCAGACAACCTGCTGAGGTTTCAAGCATATCTTATGCTTTTGCCCAAGCTGGAAGCCAACACTTTCTACCTTAATTTTAATTATTGCCCCATGCTTGGCTTCAGCCAAATGGAACTAATTGCTCTCCTACCTGCATCTGCTATGTTTTTCTGTCTCCTTACCTTTTTATGTTTGCTCTGCTAAAATGCCCTTAACAATGCACCATCAGCCACCTCTCCTCCACTAGCCCATCCCAAATCTCTGCACATCTAAATCCCTTTATCTTTAAGGTCTGGTGCATACACCTTCATCTCCATGAAGCCCTTCCTTAAACACCCTTGTACTCTAGCTAGAAGCAAATGACGTCTATTTCACCTCCCAGAGTACTTTATTTGTACTTCTCCTGGAGCACTTTCCCAGAATTCAAAGGCAAACATCATATTGTACAAATCAGCTGTGTCAGCAAGAGTCATAAAAGAATGTTGCTTTTGCCTGTCATTGTTCCTCTAAGCCTGATCCAAGGGGTTGGTTAGCTCTTTCTCCTGCCTCTGATGAAAACTACTATTTTCTGACCACTCCTAGTTAAGAAAAAGTTCTATTTTCACAGTAGGTTACAAAACACAGTCTGATTTCAGAAATTAGGATGGATGTCCAGCCCAATATTCATTAGCACCTGAATCATCACTGAAAGCTAACATTTCATCATTTTACAGCCATGGCTGCCCACAGGCAAATGGGTGTCTTCAATATAAAGAATATGTTTGGCTGTCTCTTTCTGTCTATGTCCATTCTCCTTCACTCACTAGTTGCTGTTTTGATCAGCTTCCATCCCCAGGGTTGAAGTAAAGAAGAGAGATAAGAGGAATAGGCAAGACATTTTTTTTTTTTTTTTTGAGACACAGTCTCGCTCTGTCGCCCAGGCTGGAGTGTAATAGTGCAGTCTTGGCTCACTGCAACCTCTGCCTCCTGGGCTCAAGTGATTCTTCTGCCTCACCCTCCCCAGTAGATGGGATTACAGGTGCACTCAACTCTGCTTGGCTAATTTTTGTATTTTTAATAGAGACAGGGTTTCACCATGTTGTCCAAGTTGGTCTCGAACTCTTGACCTCAAATGATCCACCCGTCTCAGCCTCCCAAAATGCTGAGATTATAGCATGAGACACCGTGCCTAGCCAAGATCTTTTTTGACTAATAGAATCATGACAGCTTAACCAATATTTAACACTGATCCTTTCTCTAAGACTACTTTGTGCGGGTTCCTCAGAGATTCTCCTACTCTTTTCATTCTTGTTAAGCAAGCAGTCTGAATTCAGCTGGTTGCTTCTTTCTCAGCCCCTAGGGATCTAGGCTCCACTTAAAGGTTTTCTCTCCTGAGGTTCCATTTTTTTTTTTTTCTCTCAGTGGCCATATTAGATGCATCCTCATTCTTCTAAGAAACAAGCTCCTGCTGGCTGATTTCAACCAGCAACAACTTTCCTTTGCTCTTGCCATCTGAATAACTAGCCAGTTAGGGTGTAACTTCCTCCAGATTTCTCATGTTTGAGTCATCAATCCACATCTACCCTCTTCCAGCTCCAGGAGGTATGTGTCAAGTTCTCAAAATGGTACTGTTGAAGTCAGTCTTCTTAGCATTTAGGTGAGGCGGCAGACAGCCCCCCAGCCTCATCCGGTGTCTTTTTGAAAATAGAAATTATCCTCACGAAATCCTCTCTTAACCTTCACTCTTGGGGGCCATATATCCTCTTTATGCTGACAAATGTTTCATGTATAGAACCCATTCTTGATATTCCGCTGGAAATTGGCACCTTGGTCTGGTACCTCACTTTGGAATTTCATATCTATTAGAACTGGGAGCCTCAGTAGAAATTTTCAATTTAACATCCCGGTGCACAGCTAGAAAACAGTTTACAGAGAAACTGCTCCTTTAGAAGACTGGGTCCTGCCGGAGGGCAGAGACAATGTCCGATTCATCTTATATTCCTCGTAGCCTCTAAAATTGAGCATGTTCTCTCATAGGCAATATGTAGCTATAGCTCTCTGAAATGGACACACTTGGTCTTGTATTTTCTTACAGCGACTGGCATTCAGGACCAACCACAGGGCTATTTTTTCACACACCTTATTAACTCCAACTCAAAATTATTGATGATGTGACAGACTGCTCTGTGTTAATCAAATCCTATTTTCTTTTCGTCTTTCAGCCAGCTGGGTTACATTTTTCAGCCTCCCTTGCAGTTAGGTGGGACTGTGTGACTGAGTTCCAGCCAATGGGATGAAGGCAGAAGTGAGGTACATCACTGTCAAGTCTGGACCCAGAAGACCTCCCAGGCAGTCCTTCGTGATTTTCTACCATGGGTGGACTGCAGGCAGAGAAGGTGGGGGCCCTCAAAATAGCAAAGCCATATGTTATAAGTAGCTTGGGTCCCTGAATGAGTGCATGGAGCAGAACCTCATGCTGTATTCATCGGACCATCATTGAACTATGCTGTGTGTAATAACCACACTTTTATAGTGAGAAGTCACTGAAACGTGGAGATTGTTTATGGTGATTATGTCTACTAACACAGAGGGCTAGACTCTAATGATACACTTCTAAAATCAAGCTAAGGAAATTCTTCGAGGAACTTTTTATTAACTCCCCAGAGAACATGCCAAAAGTTTATTTCCTCAGCTTCCAGGTACACAATCTATTCCTTTCTATGATAGTTTCCATGCCCCCACTAAAATGCATTTCATCATTCTTTTTGGATTAAATGATTTCATTTTTAGTTCAAAGAAACCTAGAACAATTATTTCCTTCTTTTTATCATTTTCTCGGGCCTGTAGGCAAATAATTCATTTTTAATTAGAAAATTGTTATGGGATATAAAGATGTACAGCGGGCATAATTATGGGACGCTAACTTACAGACTTGTCTCTTTTCCAAAGGGCTGCAGTTCAGGATATGGTAGGCTGTATTTGTGGAGTAGGAGAAAGATAAGTTCATTCAACCATGCATATTAAATTACAAGACTTGGAATCACTATTTTTGTGAAAATGTTTTCTCCATATTGTGTTCATTCTGACATTCTTTTCAGATTTTCAAAATAACGGTTCCATTTGGCCTTTAAATAACACAGGATGGGTAAATGTTGTTGGTGAAAGAGATGAAGCTCCAAGGTTGAATTTGAACATCTTTGCTTCAGTGTTCCCAGGTTAAAAATACCTCGAAAGAAACACCACGTAATCGAAGAACAGCAGAGCTATTATGGATGAATGTAAAATCCTAGGTCTGAAGAGTTTAAAATAGTCTTCAAATCCACCTTGGATCTCAGTATGTTAATGCTATTTTTAATAAAATAGAAGGAAAGTGATTTCATATCTTCAACAAGTATGTTTCAATATTCAGTAATGCTGAGCTGTAATAATTCTTTAACTAAATCATTTATGTAGTAATCTAAAGATATGTATTTTTATTCCCCCTGGAGGAAGAACTGTAATCACTATCTCACCAATCTTTACAAACTTTAAATTTTTATCTTTTAAGTATACCAAGGAAAGTTAGAGGCTTGTGCCCATAGATTAAAAGGCGTCAGTTTAAAGTCATGTCTACCAATTGGCCTTTGAAATCTAGAGGTAACCATAAGATAGCCAGAGATTTTATAAAGAAGTTGCTGGAAAAGTTAATGATGGTGACGAATTATATGGTACTGAACACATATTCCAATCACAGTAAATTTGATAGTTATTGAGAACTTACTATATGGGAGTCATGAGGTGCATGAAAAGGTAATTCCAATCGGCATTATTCTGATTTTTATGAGCAGCTGAATAATACATCTGTTTGGGATAGTTCCTGGATATTTATTTCTTGACATTTTTTCAATTAAGAATGCAGGAACTCCATAGTACTCTATCAACTCTATATTCCAGGCATACATTTGCTAGTTCATTTTACATATGGAGTTGGATACTACCATCATCATTAACTGCTTTGATACAGATTATGCAAAGTAAGGATTCATTGATGCACACAAAAAGATGCTACAGGACATGAAACTTCATAACTGCCTTAAAATAGCCTATAATCTGGTTCCAGGAAAATAATAAAACATGGCATGCCCAATGCATGCCAATCACACATGTTTTTACATAGGAAATCGTGATGCTTGAGTTATATATAATACATTTGAAGCTAGTAGCACTTCAAATAACCCAGTAGCCCAGGAGCTTGAGGTTGCAGTGAACTATGATTGCGCCATTGCGCTCCAGCCTGGGAGACAGAGTGAAACTCTGTCTCTAAATTAATAATAATAATAATAACCCAATAGCCCAATCTAGGAAGTTTTCATTGAAAGGTTGAGTTATAACTTGTACACTGAAGGAGGAAAGGATGTGAGTAAAAAGGTTTTTCTGTGAGAGATGGCAGAAGCAAATGGTGAACAAGTTTCTGAAGAATATGCATATACTAAGGATGAAGGTCTTATTAGGAAAGGAGGAAGGGGGTACAGGAAGTCAAAGGTTATGCGGGACAGGGGATGTGGGCAGAGACACATGCAGCCTATGATCATGAATCTGGCCCTTGATCATGAGAGACACATGAGGCCTAAGATCATGAATCTTAATCAAAATAATAATAAGTCAATGGAATGGCATAAAAAGAATAAAGAAAAAAAGAACTCTGTGAAAAACTGAGAAGTGGATGGTCCACTGGACAGGAGGAAAGGGAATTCACATCAAGTTTCTAGGAATGGGTAAGAGGCAATTATAAAGTAACTGAAATAGATTAGTTGAAATGATCAGATACAGAGATATAGGACAAGAGATAACAGAGTCATATGGTAGGGAGGTGTCATACAGTAGCAGAGTCATATGGTAGGCTGTTTAAAATCAAGATTAATCATGAGAGTGGCAGGAGTCCTATTGATTATGAAGTATAACTGTTCTAGAGTTAAAAATTAATGATTATATACTTTAAAGACATTTGAATTATTTATTGAATATATATTTATACTCACTTATGCCACTTAGAAGTATGAAGTCTATAATATACCAATGACCAAATGAGACCTACAAGTGTCCTTTCAAACATTAATGCTAAGATCTTAGGGAGTAAGTATAACTCCTACCCCTGATTTTAGCAATTTACTAATTCTAATGATGTTATTTCTCTGATGCCCTTGAGTAGATACAATAAATAACAGGTAATGACTATAAGTTTTTCATCCTGGCTCTCCTCTAATCCACATAATGACTCTATTACACTGCAGTAAGGCACATAATTGAAAGTATAAATTAAAAGACAAAGATAACAAAAACCTTCGGGTAGAACTATCTGCATCAGCATTTTCTGTACATAGTAGGAGGTTAGTACCTTTCTGCCTAGCTCAATATGGCCCACTTCCAGCATTTACTTCATCCCATATGACTTCAGGTGAGAAAGGATTACTACCCTATACAAAGAGGGAAAATATTTCTTTGTTAGGGAAATGCACTCCGACTAAACTTTAGCTGAAGTAGGGTTAATTCTGATTCTCTTGAAAAGAGGTATGCAGCCTTTAACAGGGCCATTGAGGGCCTTGGCTACGAGAGCTTAGGTAATAACACTAAAAATGCAATGTACTTTAGCTAAGAATTATTAATGCCAGTTTATGAAAGTAGAAAATGAAACTATTCATTCTTATTTATCTCAAGTCTTTGGCCCTGCCTGCTCCCAGTTCAAGCTTGATAAACTATGAACTTGCAGCTCGTCTTAATGGGTGGTAGAAGACTGTGCTCCATTTCTCCTGGGACTTCATGCTCATTAGTCACAGACGTCAATTAAAAGCTTTGTTAGAGAACCAGAGGAATGTGCCACAGCACATGTAGAGGCCCGGAAGCCCCTTTCACTTCTAACATGGATGAATGAGTCCCCATGGCATGCGAAGCTGCACATCAATAGGTCGTGTGCATCAGCAGACAGGATCAACAAAAGCAGCGCAAAAATGTTGAAGTCAGCACTTTCTGGAGCCAGCCCTATTCATTCCAACTGATAAGGATTTAAACATTTTCATTAGCTTTGCTGATCCCAGTTATTTAAAATGACAAACACATTATCATTATTTTTAAAGCAAGTTACATAATCTAGGGTGCAACCCAGGCTTGATAATTTTCTAAAAATGATTATTGACCCTTGCATCCTCCTCCTGCAACCATGAGGGGTCGAATTGAGGTTAATGTTCTGGCAAATCCCTTAGGATCCAGACTAACAACTGTTTTGGAAGAGATTATTGCCATTGTAAACCACTGACCAGGGCCTGAGATGGTAATTCTTAATTAAGAAAATAAAAAGATTCAGCGTCTCCGCTCTCATCATGCAGCTAACAACAGACTCCGCCTCAATCCAAACACAGAATAAAATTCAGCAAAGGATGGATTTTAAAAAATAATTTGTTGTAGATACTTAATCTAAAATAATTTGGTGAGGCTTCAGAAATAACTTTGGGTATTGAGTATGAGAAGAATATTTGCAATATTGTTCTTTTTGTATGTGTGTGAATTCTTTGTTTTTATTCCAATTGTGTCTTATTGCTGACTTATTACTAACATGTTGCTTCCAAAGAGAATTTTAGGGCAAAACATTTCAAAATTACAGGATGTTCAAAGGAAGTAATAAAAGTTTCCAACAGTGGGTATTGTGAAATATGTCATGTTATACAATATTCGATAACTTACATTCTTTTTAATCAACTAATTATTTTGTTTGCTAATGTACTCTTTGACATGTCATAAAAATTATGTGGACAATGAGATCTGAGAAGCATTAACAGCAGAGAATAGAGTCCCCATCATATCTGTAAAGCTGCTGGGGTCCTATGGTGAGTAGCAGAAAGAAAAACTGGAGTGCATTGTGAAAATCTTGGACTACTTTGATACTCAGAATTTGATTACAAAGCTGTACACCGGCTGTAAAAGGATTTGTCAGGAACATGTCTCAAGGCAGTAGAAAAATCATAGGATTCCAGGGATAGAAAGGGCTTTGGACTTTTATTATAACTTTTAAAAAGTCTCTTCTAGTCTCTCAATAAGGAAAAGCAAAAGACATTTGCACGATTTCAGAAAATACTCTGTTTCTCTGCAATATACTCCCTGAAAATTTTTTCAAGGTAGGATATAAACCCTCCCCAACCCCACCCTATCTTTTCTCAACACACCAGGCTGTGGCTGCATTTATTTTAAAAGTCCAAAGGAACACAAATCCCCAAAGGTTATACTGTAAGGCATTCAGGGTTACATTAGTTTAATACTTTTCAAGCTGGTTTTTGGACAGTCTACATTTGGACAGAAGCTAGCAGGAAAGTTTTGCATGGAGAATATGATTTGTTTTAGGTCAAAAGGTCAAAGTAGAACTTCTTGTTCTGCTTTTTCTTTTTCTTAAAGAACCTGATAACTTTCCTACTATAACCACTTAGAAATAACTGACAAAAAGACATTTTTTCAAGTGTTTTATTGGACTTGCAAAAAGAGAAAGAGAGAAAGCAAACAAAAAGAGAGACCCAGGTGTAAGGTACAGAGACCTAAGAGCAGTGTGGTAAGATACAAACTGATATTGATCTGCATTAAGGGGACTTAATGGGTCTCAGTGACCTAGAAGCTTAGGTTTAGATTCTTATGTAGTGGACATAAGAGGATAGTGAAAAGTGTCCAAATAAATGGGCACCATAATGATGCCTATCTGTTTCTATCTAGATGCCAAGTGAAGGGAAGAGACAGTATCACTCAGAATTTATAACCAGGGCTATGTGGGTGGTTCAGGAATAACTGAATTAAGAAATTAGCCTAAGGATTCACTTAGGACATGAATTAAAAGCAAATTCAAAATGTCTCTGAAGGGCTAGCTATATCCAATCTGGCTACATATTTGTATACAGTATTCCCCATTGAAGATGAGCTCATAATCCCAAATTACAAATTTCATGCAGAAACAATCTGTCATGAGAAGAACTGCATCACCAGAAACAATAAATATGGGACTTTGGACCCTAAGAAGTTTGGATAAATGAACAAAAGAACAGATTATCTAACATGTTTTAAGTGACTAAGACTAAAGGGCATAAATACTATATGAAAAGAAAAATATGTATTAAAACAATACATCATCTAGAAATAAAAACTATAGCAATTGAACCAAAAACTCCATGGATAGGTGAAACAGCTGTTCAGACAAAGTTGAAGCATAATCAATGATCTGAAAGACAGGTTTAAGGAAACAATTTAGAATGCAGTTGTATAAGAGGATAGGCATAAAGTTAAGAAACAGAGAGCATAAAACAAACAAAAAATTCAACACGTTTAATATAAATTTCTGAAAGAGAATAGAATTATAAATTGGCATTATTTAATGATATATGCCTATACATTACCAAGAATTCATTAAATATATGGTTACTTTGAGACAAGGAGGAATGAAGATTAGTATAGATCCACAATGAGCTACATTGTAGCAGAAACTGCAGAACGAAACAAAGACAAAAGAGATCTTAAAAGCAGGCAGAGACAAAACACAAGTTAGCTACCAAGCGGTAACAAGTAGACAATAGCAGATTCTGCAAAAGCAAAAATAAATGACAGTAATCAGCGAAATATCTTCAAAAGGATAAAGGAAAATAACTGCCAATATAGAAGAATATGTCCAACTAAATTAATGTCTGACTATGGAGGGTATTTGTTACTAATATCCTTGAAAACTGAAAACTGTTTCTTTGGAAAAAATAAGCCTAATGGACTCAATTTTCACTGTTAGAAATAGAGAGAAAGGGAAACCAGAAATGACTATTAGTATTAGCTGCTGGGGTCCTATGGTGAGTAGTAGAAAGAAAAACTGGAGTGCATTGTGAAAATCTTGGACTACTTTGATACTCAGAATTTGATTACAAAGCTGTAAAAAAAGTGACATGACCACAGAGAAGGTAGAGATTTTTAAAAAGAAAAAATATCAAAAACAACTTTGTATCAATACATTTGAAGATCTAGCCAAAAATGGTCAATTCATTATAAATGTAGCTTACAATTACATGAGAAGCAATACAAAGTCTGAATTAACCAATAATAAGAGGAAGTGAATTTATAGTTAAAGCCTATTCACACACACACACACACACACACACACACACACACACACACAGAGCATAGGATTCTTTCAGACAAATCTTTACCAACCAACTTTCTTTTCTTTTTGACAGAGTCTTGCTCTGTCACCCAGGCTGGAGTGCAGTGGCACGATCTCAGCTCACTGTAACCTCCATCTCCCGGGTTCAAGCAATTCTCCTGCCTTAGCCTCCCAAGTAGCTTGGACTACAGGTGTGTGCCACCACATCCAGCTAATTTTTGTATTTTTAGTGGAGACGGGGTTTTACCGTATTGGCCAGGCTTGTCTCAAACTCCTGACCTCGTGATCCGCCTGCCTCAGCCTCCCAAAGTGCTGGGATTACAAACATGAGCCACTGCACCCGGCCAACAAATCTACCAGCTTTCTAAGGGGAGGTAAATCTAATGCTGTAAAAACAGTCTCATAGAATAGAACAAACCAGATAATCTTTCCTAACTCATCCTATGAGGCAGAATAAAGTTAATATAAAATGAGTAAGTCTCATTTATGAATATAAAAATTCTAAGAAATGTTAGCAAACTAAATTTAGAACGGATATTTTATAAAACTGGGATCAAGTAGAGTTTTTCCCAGAATAGCAGAATGATTTAATTTTAGGAAATTTATTAGTATAATTTACCAGTTAATGCATTAAAAGAGAAAAAACAAGTTCATCTCAATAAATACAGAAAATATTTGATAACATGAAAAACACTTTCTTGATAAGAACTTTGAGCAAGCAAGGAATAGAGGGAAGCTATTAACCTGATAAAATATACCATATGCTAAGAGAATACCATACTTAATGGTTAAAGTCAGAGGCGTCTCATATTAAATCTGGAACAAGACAGGATGCCTGTTATCAACATTTCTATTCAACATTGGACAAGCGTTCCTAATCATGATATCAATAAGAGAAAAAGAAATAATAAAAATATATAAATGTTACTAAAGAATGAGCAGAACTGCCATTATTTGCATATATAATGATTAATTTAAAAATCAAAAATAATTTACAAACTTCTAAAACAAGTAAGCTGTCCAACATGGTTGGAAACATGATAAACTAATAAATTGTACTGGGGCAATTGCTTATTCATACCTAAAGAGATAAAAATCAGGATAATACAGGCCATCATATAGAAATACAAATCCTAGATAAAGATCTCATTTAGAAAAAGTAAAACATTTAAAAGAAAGCATAGAAAAAGAACTTTATTAAATTATGTGGAGAAATGTTTCTTAAGATTCTCCAAAGTACAAAGTATTTTTTATCCATAAAATGAAATGTTGACATTTAATTATATTAAAACTTTTAACTTCTATATGATAAAAGATAGCCTAAATAAAGTAAGGAAAAAGTCATTGACTGGGGGTCGATATTTGCAAATCATATATTACCCCCTTCAAAATTACTGCCCAGAATACTAATATATAACACAGTTCTCAATGCAAGGCTCAGTAACGTTAGACAAATATACTCAACTTCACCAGTAATCAGAAAGTCCTTACATCTAAGAGATTAGCAAAGAAGAATATCAGATAATTCCAAGTATTGGAAAAGATATGGGGAAACAAATACAAAACCAGTGGATCTTAACCCTAATTTTATGTTACAGTCACCTGGGGAGCTTTACACAAATACCATTTTCGAGTCTCCACAGATTCTGATTTAATTGGTCTGGGGTGGGACTTAAGCATCGGTAATTTTAAAAAGCTCCTTAGGTGACTGCCATCGGCAGCTAGAGTTCAGAACTACTGCTCCATAATCAAATAAAGCAGTATAGTTTGTAGAGCAATTTAACAACATCTAGTAAAACAAAGATATGTGTCCCCCATGATCAACTTCTAGAAAATTTCCCTCAAGAAATTCTAGCACATACATAAAAGACGTGTACAAGGAACACTGCAGCATGGTTGTAATGGCAAAACTGCAGGGACAACCCACACTTCCCTCAGTAGAAAAATGGATAAATCAACCTTGGATTATTTATGCAACATGATACTATCCTGCAATTACAATAAATGGACCTATATATAGGTATCAATATAAATACATGCCCAAAATAATGTTGAATGTAAACAAAGTTACAAAAGAATATGGACTATGCTTTATGTATTTTAAAATTTTAAAATAAACAGTAGTATAACCACAAATAGATAACAACAACATACAGACATGAATATGCCTGTTATCACACACACACACACACACACACACACAAACACACAGTAAAAATGCCAAGATACCAAAATACACATGGGAAAGTTATGTAGCAATTTTAGGATGATAATTATCTTGGAAAGGAAGGGGGAGAGAAAAGAATTGTACTTTCACTGTATTTATAATGGGCTCTATTTTATTCTACAAGTTTTCTGAACTAATATATGCAAAATAACATATTTTTGGTGGTGGGTTTGCAGATGACTATTATACTATTTTATATTATGTTTTATATTATTTTTATATTAAAATATTTAAAAGTCAAAAGAGCAATGAAATCGGCATGACCATGGGGGCATAGCTTCATTATTTTTTAATTATTGTAAATAAATAGTACTTTTAAAACATAAAAACTAAAAAGTAAACAAAAAAAGCATTATATTTGGAGGCCAGAGGCTAGAATTCTCATTCTAGCTCTGCAGCTGATTAGTGAAGTTTCATAAATCATTTTGTTATGCTGGCTTTGGTTTTCTTATTCATAAAGAGGAGTCAGATAAGATGATCCCAAATCCATTCTAGTTTCAATGTGTGTAAATCTAAAATTGTGAGAGGATAGTATTTCTGAATTTGGTTTTTCTGTCTCATTGGATACCATCTTCAAGCATATAATCACCTGGTAGCAGTACATTTGTTCTCCAATATAATCATGGACTATTCTGATATGTTGAATATTTGAACATATCGTCACAGCACTATTCACAGTAGCAAGGACATGGAATCAACCTAGATGCCCATTAATGGTGGACTGGATAAAGAAAATGTGGTACATATACACCCGGGAATACTACACAGCCATAAAAAAGAATGAAAGCATGTCCTTTGCAGCAACATGGATGCAGCTGGAGGCCATTATCCTAAGTGAATTAATACAGAAACAGAAAACCAAATATTACATGTTCTCACTTGTAAGCAGGAGCTAAATCTTGGGTACACATGGACATAAAGACAGGAAAAAGAGACACTAAGGACTCCAAAAGGGTGGGGGGAAGGGCTGAAAACTTCCTATTGGGTACTATGTTCACACCTGGGTGATGGGATCAATAGAAGCTTAAACCTCAGTATCACATAATACACCTATGTAACAAACATGCACATGTACCCTCTCAATCTAAAATAAAAATTGAAATTAAAAAATAATTTTAAAAATTGAACACAAAGCATCAAGATAACCACACGTTATGTAGTTATATGTATGTCTGTATCTAACACACCCACCCCCATACCCGTTAGTGATGCCCCAAGAGATATTCAGTAAATAATCATTGAGTATGTAATAAAGGTGGCAAATTAACCTAAAAATGCCCCCATAACCAAGGTTAGAAACAATAGAAAAACAAAGAAAATGTTAGTAACCCCCAGTGACTTCCCTTCCCATATTTACAAACTTATTTCTTTATCCACTTGTTCATTGATTATTTAACATGCCTTTTGTTGAAAAAGGCATTTTGCTGAAAAATCATCTACAAATCAGCTAACCTCTATTTGTCGTATACTAATAAAATTTTCATGACAGTAGATGTTATAGTAAATTTTACTTAAAACATGTTTCATGAGAGCAAAAAATTTGACATCTCCCTCCTCATTTCTGACAATTTGAAAGACTTCATTCTGTCTTCTAAGTGTCTTATTTGCTCCCAGTGACAATCTAGTTCAACACAAACAACTAAAACACATTTGTTCACTAACATGCGATTTTCTCCCAAGAATGTCCATGCTTTAAGCTACAAGGGCTTAATCATTCCCATAACCCTGCAGAAACTGAAGCCCAGAAAAGCATGACATGGGTGAAGTTAGACTTTACATAGAGGTTAACACAGAGGAGAGACAACTGAAATCAATTACCAACACATGTAGCAAAAACTCACTGCTGAAGTCTCAATGTCTGTTTCCACTTTACCCCCACCCTAGGCTGCTACCTATGCTAGGCTACCTGTTTTCTCCTAGAAATACTATCCATGAATGAAGGTAATAGAGAAGGGAGCCTGGACAACCCACAGCCTTGGAAGCTAGACAGCTGAATGAAAGAAACAACAACAGCAAACAAAAAGAATACAGGATGCCAGTGGACAGGATCATTCTTGGATCTTTTTCCTCCCCTGTCCATTGAAATACGTGAATGAGCTGCCTCTATTACCTGCATTACACAGGTAAAGTAAGGAGGATTTAATGTGATAAGTGTCACAGAATATTTAGTATCACACCTAGCAAAGGATGTCAGTCAATACTTGCTAGATGTCATCAACATCTTCCTCATCATCATCTCCTTGTACCACAGGATGTGGCAGTTCAGATATGACTGGAATATAGGTTCATAAAAAAGCCACTCAATGCAAACCATTCTCTTTACAAATGACAGCTGCCCCAGGGTTGCAGAGATGACTTGATGCCTTTTGAAATTCAGCAATACAATTTCCATTGGGGGAAAAGAAGTCATAAGGCACATTCTCATTTAGCAGGTGGAAAACAGGCCAGTTAAAGAAGGCAAAGTCTACTGAGCATTTTCTTAACTGGTTAAGGAGGAATGTGCGAGGTAGGAAAACTCCTAGTCTTCATGGCTCCCTTTTGTAAAGGTGGCGTGCCAAGATCACCATAGTTGATGGGAGCTAGCCAGCACTCATAAAAGAGGCTATAGGGGCAACATTATGCCCCATAGCAAGAAGCACGAATTCTTAAGCATAGCTACACCAGAAAGCAAGTAATCCCACTGAAAGCAACCACTGTTCTGTATGGCAAGAACCAGACTCTCATTTTATTTCATTTTTCACTGTTCTCAGATTCCCCTCCCCGTCTCCCAAGGGTGGGTTCATGGCCATCCAAGATTATACCATTGTCACAAATGCTCTCAAAAGTGGGACTCTGATTCCCATTGTTCACAGTGGGACTTTACCCTTGGACTACATCTAGTTACTACACAACATGTAGGGGAAATTTAAAGGACATCTATAGGTCTGAAATAATACACTCTCCTAAGTGAAAATAACAGATGGCCTGGCAGATAATGATCTTTAACTGAAGGGCTAACCAGTAACAAGGCCGGTTCTGGGAGCACTTGGCTATGGCAACAGATGACGCATAGGAATCATGTTTCTTGGAGGTCGAGGCAGACAGTATCTAAAGAATAGGGAAAGCTGGAGGAAGAATGCAGCACCCTACTTCCACGGAAGTGGGTTTCACCCATTGTCTTTCTCCTGCAGACATGCTGGTCCGTAGAGAGCCTTGGTACAGGTGATGGCTTTTGTGACTTAGGGGACCTGGGATGTGTAGGAAGCACAGATCATTTTAATGTTCCTTCTTGCCCAGACATTGGCCAGACAGCACATTGAAGCAGCCATCTCTTCCCCAAAATAACTGCTGGGAGAGGTAGCATGACCCCTCCAATAGCAAACTTTAAGGATTTACAGCTACTATATAAGGACGAGAGGGTAGAGGGATGGGTGGTAGATGTTAGGAGCCCCTAAGGGAACAGGACATTCTGGGCCCTTCTAGATAACCTCTCTGATTACCTGTATATCCTTTAACCACATACAGCTAGATCAGCCTCACAGCTCTGGATTCCTGGAGTTCTGAGGAGGCTTCAAGACACACACAGCTGTAGCTCAGCCTAATAGTGCAACCCAAGATATTAGCAGTTTGACGTATTTTTATGTTTCAACATCCTTTTGCTATAGAGTTGTTTTTTTTAAAAATTTTTACACATTTGCAATATGATTTCATGGCAATTTCAAAAGGGGTTCACAAGAGTTATTGTTTTAGCTAAGTTTACTCTCTAGATTTACAGATCTTTCAGCAAATGTACCTAAATATTCCAGAGAAGTCGACAAAAGTTGAAATAAATTGGTTTGCTTGCTAGGGCAACAATGCTCTTTTCAGAAGAGACTTTTGCTTGCTCATTTTCCAAGTTAAAATATCGTTTATATTATTGGAGGAAATGAGGCAAAAGATATTCACATGACATGTTAATGAAATCAAATGAGTCTTGACATAAAAACATAAACATTACTATAAATATTGCCTGCTACCTGCTAGTACTGAACAGTGTTCACAGCAGAAAACTCAGTATCTCATCTTGTAAGTAATTTATGAGTTGGCAAATCATTTTACTCATATTTATAGTACAACTGATAACTTCATTGAGATTATAATATGCAAAAAAGGCTGACTAGGGGGTTAGGAAGGAAGAAAAGAGAAAAAAAAACAAAGACAAAGTACTTACTTTGAGTGATATTTTAAAAGTAATCCTGAATTTCAAATTAGGCTTTTTTGCTCAAAAAGAAAGACTGATCTAGTTCTACTCCCTGGGTCCTCAGGGTATGCTTCATTACTCAACAGGACAAATCTTTGAGAAATCTTCCTTTTATATTTATTTCTTCAAATGTCCATGCTTTACTAGAAATAGTAAAAAACAAAGCTGCCTTTAAAAAAAAAAAAGCAAATCCAGGATGTAAGTAACAAAAGAAAAATAAATCCTCTCCAAAGCTAGACTCTAATTCAGAGTGTAACTGTCTCCGCTATCTCTGTTTGAAGGCGTCCTCTTGTATTCCTTGTGACATTTCTCTTCACTCAGCCCGGTGCTGTTTTACAGCAACGTGAGGATGTCTGAAGAGAAATGAACTCATTCTCTGAAGTCCCTTGTAGTAAAGGAAAACAGATGGAGGATTTCCTGCTGAGGACTCCCTACCGAGGCACAAATTCGAGGGGGTGTGGAATTGACTTGTTAAGGCGCTCGGTTTTCTAGGCTCAGCAGAATCAGCTCAGCAATGAGCCCATATATGCTGTCTCTGCGCTACAGAGAACTCTGTCATCCTGCAATAACTCCACCGAAAGCAAGTGGCGGAGGCGGCTCAACAACATTATAGGGCCCTGTTTGTCATCACCCCTATTGCAACCACATCTTACCTCAGGACCAGAGAAATGCACGTAAGGACGTTTTGCTAGATTCAGTCTTCTTTCCCATGACTTTCGTTTCTTTTTTTTTTTTTTTTTAACCGTTATTTGAGGCTCAGGGGTACATGTGCAGGTTTGTTATAGAGGTAAATTCACGTCAGGGTTTGGTACACAGATGATTTGGTCACCCCGGGTACTAAGCAAAGTACTTGATAGTTATTTTTCCTTCCTCTCGTTTCTCCCACCCTCCTCCCCTTTCTTGGCTTTTCACATTCATTTCCCAGGTTTCTTATCTGATATAAGCAGTTTCCAGTTCCATGCATTTTGTGAGTGCATTCCTAAAGATTAATTTAAAATGTTATCAGCATTTTCTTTCTCCTACCACCCCTTTTCCGTATGAAAGTACACTTTTCAGCGAAGCACATTTCAAAATATGTGATGAAGATACTGCTTTGCTCAGGAACATTAAATTACACATATGAAGAAAGCAGGACTCTGCATAAGCTGCTTACGACTGCAGAGCCCTGACCACAGATTGAGACTTTTTAACTTTAAAACAAAAACAAAACCAGAAATAGTGAATAGCCCAAAACTCACTTTTTTAATTTTTATTTTTGAGACAGGATCTCACTCCGTTGCCCAGGCTGGAGTGCAGTGGCATGATTTCAGCTCACTGCAGCCTCAACCTCCTGGGCTCAAGTGATCTTCCCACCTCACCTCAACCTCCCAAGTAGCTGGGACTACAGGCACACTCACCACACCCAGCTAATTTTTGTAGAGATGGGGCATCACCATGTTGCCAAGGCTGGTCTCGACCTCCTGGGCTCAAGCAATCCTCCCACACTGACTCTCCAAAGTGCTGGGATTACAGGCATGAGCCACCATGCTCAGCCCCAAAACTCACCTTTAAAAGCACTATTAGGGCCCAGCACAGTGCTGTAATCCCAGCACTTTGGGAGGCCAAGGCGGGCGGATCACCTGAGGTCAGGAGATCGAGACCAGCCTGACCAACATGTGGAAACCCTGTCTCTACTAAAAATACAAAATTAGCCGGGCATGGTGGTACATGCCTGTAATCCCAGCTACTAGGGAGGCTGAGGCAGGAGAATTGCTCGAACCTGGGAGGTGGAGGTTGCGGTGAGCCGAGATTGAGCCACTGCACTCCAGCCTGGGCAACAAGAGCAAAACTCCATCCCCCCCCACCCAAAAAAAAAACACTATTTGGAGTTATTTCCTTCCTTATCACCAAGAATAAGGATACTCCTGCCCATCAGAGCCCTATTAATCTAACAAAGCAGTAACCGTGTATTAATTTCAGTTATCCTAACAGTTCACTCTAACTCCCTAACTATCTTTCATATTACAAATGTGTGTTAAACATCCTTCTAGAAATAAGTACCACACAGTCTTTCTTTCCGTGTGTCTTGGTGCAAGAGTTAATTTTTGTGGAGTAAAAGTTTCCATAAGCACAGGAAAATGACTATGAAAAATTAAGAGAGGTAAGGAGGGTTATTAGGAAGAAGATGTGTAAATTGTGTGTGCGGAGCTATGGCTGATCCATGAGTGGTGAGGACAAAAAAAACTTTTATAGACTCAATAAAAAATTTAAAAATCATCTAGAAGGCTGTTCTACATCAGGGATCCACAAACTATGGCCCATGGGCCAAATTAGGCCCATTGCCTATATTTGTAAATAAAGTTTTATTGGAACACATAAAAATTGAGAAATTCCTCTGTAAAGGAACAGATAGCAAATATTTTAGGCTTTGCAGGCCATGCAGTCTCTGTTGCCATATTGTCTACAGCTGTTTTCCTGCCACAACGGCAGAGTTGCACGCTTACGACAGAGACTGCATGGTCTGCAGAGCCCAAAATATTTGCCATCTGTCCCTTTACAGAGAAAGTTTTCAGACTCCTCCTCTGTATGATAGAGGGTCACCAGATAACTCCTGAATATTTTGGCCTTTTTTTTCTGAGCTGTGCAGTCAGAGGTGTATCACCATAATTGTATTCATAGATAATTCTCATCACTCAATGTCCTACCACTACTCATGGGGCAAGTGTGACAACGGGGCTTCTTGGAGGCCTGGGGTGGGGGTAGAACCCCCAAGATCCCAGGGGGCAAGATGGATCAGGTGATGTAAGAGTGTTGCAGTATGACACAATCAGAGAAAGAATCCAGACACTGTCAACGAGGGAAGTCAGAGAAGCAGGGCTGAGAGTGAGGATTGGGAAGCACAATGAAGCCACAAGGGGAGGGCAAAATAACAAAGATTAGTTACAAGTGAGTAAATGGAGTATGACATGGGCTGAAGCAAGCTGGTCGGACTGAGACCATCAGCAAAAATAAGAATGAAGCCACCTTCTTTCTAGTGCCCCCATGGAAAGATGACTGTACTCTGATTTGTTCCCTGGGTTGTTCCGGTTTTAAAACTGAAGGCCCCGTATCCAGGAACCTCCCCAGTTCCAAGGAATCCAGATGGTTGGCCATCCTACCTGGTGGCGCCATGCAAAAGCATGAAAGTCAAGCCTTCCCAGTGCTTAGCATCTTCCATCCTTAGAGAACTTAAACAAGGAGCAGGAAGCTGCTCTTAGAGCTACTGGGAGCACTGGGGGCCACTGCAGAAAGACAGAGGTCTCTGCTCTCAGTGAGTAAGTGATCTCACTGTGAGCAGGAAGATCACTCACTGGGAACAGGAAGAGAACAGCCTCAAAATAACCTGTAAACAAGTGTGAGATCATGTGTATTACTGGACAGTTTTTGGCCTGGCCTTTTTACCCCAATGCCAGCCCACATTTTTTTTCCCAGAATAGCTGACCTGTATGGTTTGATGACTGCCAGTTGCCTTGAACTCTCTGCTTTAATTTTCCTAAACTCCATAGCTATCCCAAATAATGCTTCATTTTTAGGTTCAATTTCTTTCATCTAAATAATGAATGCAAACCTGACTTTCCATGAATGTAGCTATTTTTAAAAAATGTACCAATCTGTCAGTAACAGCTCCTCAACAAATATTTCTTGAGCTCCTGCTATACGCAGGTGCTGTGCTGAGTTTGGGGTAAAGCACTGAGCCAGGTAGGCAAGGCCTCTGGTCTCATGGACAGGAAAGAGAAACACACAAATGTATACACAGGCTAACTTCAGATTGTGATAAGTGGGGATAAATAAGCAAAGCAATATGATGTAGAAAAACTGGGCTGAGGTGGGGATTTTATCTTAGGATTAGAGAGAACCTTCCTGAAAAGGTAGCATTTTAGCCACATGCCGGAAGCTGAGAAGGAACCAGTTGAGCAGTGAGCTAGGAAAGCTCAAAATCAAAGACAGAGATAGGATGGAACTTGTTATGCTCCAAAAAGCAGAGAGGACACTGATGTGGCGTAGTTAGCAAGTGGGGAAGCATCAGAGATAGGCAGACACCAGATGGTGCGAGGCTCTTGTCAGGATTGATGAGGAGGTCTGGCTTTTTTCCAAGGGCAAGGCAAAACTATGGAAATAATCTAAGCAGGGGAATGTGTGTGAACTGATTTGTGTTTTTCAAAGGATTTCTCCAGATGTGCTGTTGAGAATGGATTGAAGGGAAGAAAGATGGGACTGAGTGAGAATGTTCACTTGTTAATTTCTCGTGTCTGTTCACTTGAGGGAAATCAAAGGGCAGGGACCTTGTCTTCCTGGGTCAGCACTGTATTCTGATCTTCTAACACACACCTGGTGCAGAGAAGATACACACATGATTCTGCCAGCTGTCTGTTGAGTGCTGTGTATAGAAAGCACTTAGCTGGCTGCAACAGGGGGGGTCTGTAAGTGAGAAGAGAACCAATTGCTCTGCAAAAAATTATCACTTGGGTGGATACAGTAGATAGACTCAGTCAGCATTTTTTTTTTGGAATTGTTTCTTTTATTATTATTATTATTATACTTTAAGTTTTAGGGTACATGTGCACAATGTGCAGGTTAGTTACCTATGTATACATGTGCCATGCTGGTGTGCTGCATCCATCAGTCAGCATTTTTGCAGCTCCTTCTGGAGTGTTTCCTTCACCGCAGAGCCTGGACAGCTAACAAGGACGTTCCTCAGACTCCCTTGCAGCCAGGGCCCTGCCTCCCAGTCTTCCAGAGTCTCAAAGTCTTAAACTCTCTGCTGACTCAAGTGAGGAAGAGTTATAGTACAGGATGCATCCATGTTGATCCCTTTTGCCGATGTAGATTATCAGGCCACCATGGCTCTGAAGCCAACAGCTGGGGCCAGCTTTATGGGAGGTGACCAGAGCAGTCACACAGGACTCCCATGATTAGAAGGGCCCCATGCTTGGCTTAATGCTCTGTTGCTGCTGTCTTGGGTCTTAATAATTGTGAACATGGGGGTCTGCATTTTCATTTTGCACTGGCCACATGAATATGTAGCTGGTTCTGCTAACGGTTCTGCTATCAGCTTTTTCATTCTGAAGAGAGCGAAGCAATGTGTTCCCAAAAGCCGGGAGGCATGGCAGGGGCTTCCAGTTCCCTGGATAATGCATCAGGTGGTGAGATACAAGAGTGGACATCTGGGACAGCAGCTTCCTGGTCCTCGTCTTCCCGGTCTTGACAGAGGGCACAGTTCCCCAGGAGCCAGCTCTGCTCAGTGGTGTCATTTTAGGAAGCCACTTTTGGAATCCCAGCCTAGATCCTGATCTTCTAGCCTTTCCAGTGATTTTGCGAGCAAAATTCCTTTTCTGTTTAAAATAGAGTGGATGCTGTCATCTTCTACAATACTCATCCCTAATTAAAGACACTCTTGCAGGAACAAACTGGCTTCCTTAAAAAGCTTTTCTACTGCTTTGTCATCAGATTTGGTGTTGTTGAGGTGGCAGAATTTAGTAGCACTTTTGAGATTGCATGTTCTGGACATGCTCCTTGTTAAGTAAAGAGCCTGAGCTGTTGCTTACCAGGAATGGACTTGGGCACATTAGTTATAACCTTAAATTGTGAAGATGCTTTTCTAAAAATAGGTATTATTTTTAGAAAATAGCTATTATTTCCCACTGGTGGACCTAGATGTCTACAGTCTCCATTGAATGCCTGTGTGACCGGTAGAATATGATCAAGCTGTATGTCCGGGTCTAGGGGTTATCCCTGGCTACTGTAACACGTTGTCACAAACTGAGTGGCTTAAAGCAATAAGAATTTACTCTCTCACCCTGGAATCAGGGTGTGTCATGGTAGGTTCCTCCTGGAGGCTGGAGAGAGAATCTGTTCTGTGCTCCTCTCTTGCTTCTGGGGGTTACCAGCAGGCCTTGGTTTCTCACTCCAATCCCTGCCTCCTCTATTTTCACATGGCATTCTCCTGTGTCTCTGTGTGGCCCTTCTTCTTATAAGAACACCAGTCATGGCCAGGCGTGGTGGCTCACGCCTGTAATCCCAGCACTGTGGGAGGCTGAGGCGGGAGGATCATGAGGTCAGGAGATCGAGACCGTCCTGGCTAACACGGTGAAACCCCGTCTCTACTAAAAAAACAAAAAAAATTGGCCGGGCATGGGGGCGAGCGCCTGTAGTCCCAGCTACTTGGGAGGCTGAGGCAGGAGAATGGCGTGAACCCAGGAGGTGGAGCTTGCAGTGAGCCGAGATTGTGCCACCACACTCCAGCCTGGGCGACAGAGCGAGACTCTGTCTCAAAAAAAAATAAAATAAAATAAAAAAAAGAGCACTAGTCATTGGAGTTAGGGCCAACCCTAATTTAGTATGATCTCATTTTAACCAATTTACATCTGCAAGGCTCAATTTCCAAATAAGGTCACATTCTGAAGTCCTGGGTGGACATAAATTTTTCAGAACACTATTCAGTCCACGACACCAGGCTATATACTTGAGCCTATGGAATAAAACAAAGCCATCCTGTTCGCACAGAAATAAAACATCTTGGCCTCATGACCATCTGTTCCTGGGTGGTTGAACCAACTGGCTACAGATGTGTGAAGTTAGAAAGACTTAGAGGTAGCCTTAATTTTGTGGAAGAAAGTAAAGCTAGTTGCATTTTCTTTTGTCTTTAAATATGCCCTACTATTCAGGATACCTCAACATATGTAGTGACGTTTTACTTTCTTCCAATGCTTTTGTTGGCAGAAAATCTTAAAATTACAGGAAAATGTCTGTAATTAACTCAAATCAAGCATCTTGATGGGGTGCAGTGGCTCACGCCTCTAATCTCAGTACTTTGGGAGTCCAAGGCAGGAGGATCGTGTGAGCCCAGGAGTCTAAAACCAGCCCGGGCAACATAGTGAGACCCTGTCTCTACAAAAAAACAAAAACAAAACAAACAACAACAACAACAACAAAAACAAATTAGCTGAGTATGGTGGTGTGTGCCTGTGGTGCCAGCTACATGAGAGGCTGAAGAAGGAGGATCTTTTAAGTCCAGGAGGTCGAGGCTGCAGTGAACTGTGTTCACACCACTGCATTCCAGCCTGAATGACAGCCAAGACCCTGTCGCAAAAAAACAAAACTCAAAAAAACTAAGCCATCTAAAAATACAAACCCCTTCATCTGAAATTTTTGCTGCAAAAATACACCCCTCTGATTTTTTTTTCTGCCTGCAGACATTTCCACAGAACCATCAGCAACGGACAAGCGTTTATGCAGAGGAGAAAAAGGTCAGTGAAGTTGCTCAAATGAATGTGGCTTCACTTATCCACAGTGAGGACTTTTTATATTTCACAAATCAAAAAACATTTTAAGCTATTTTAGATAGTTTTTTCTAGTTCAATGAGATCTAATTCCTTAAAGCTGAATAAGCAAGGATTTTTTTTTCCCCCAAAATGAATACCTAAAATGACACTACAAAATATAGCCTTAAGGACGGAGATATCTTTTTTTACGGGCACAGAAGAGAATATTGCGTTATTCAACTAGACAAAAAGCCATTCCATCAGAATTCTTTTATCATGTTTCAGTGTACATATCTTGCCATGGGAGAATTACCTTTATTAGGCAGAATTGAAACTATTTATTCCCTTTTTATTCCATTAATTAAACTGTAACACAATCAGTTGGGTTATCCATAGCCAACCTTTGGAAGATTAATACAGGATATTATTCTTTTGCTCATATTTGGCTTCTGCATGGTAATGAGACAGCAATAAAGTTTATGTTCCCATAATGTATAAGAATTGTATTTTGTACCAAATAGCTAACATCAAATATAACTACTGGTATAAACAAACCACACAATACAATCATTCTTGGCGTACATTAATGTGTCACTGAAAATATTAATACAATGCCCTCTGTAGCTAAAATCTGAATATTTAAGTTATAAGAATGCATAAAGAAAAAAATTACTAAAAATATGTCGTAACTGAAAAAAATAACTTAAAAATAGATTTTGGTGGTTGGCTATCAAATTATCTCAGTTTTAATATGCACTTTGAGGAAACTAAAACCTGCTCTGCTCTAACCTGAGTATTTTTTCTCCATATAACTTAAAATCCAAATTTACAATGCAGAAACATTTACTGGCATAATGAGCACTTAAAACTTATGCCGTTTTGCCATTGGGCAATATTTCACATTTATTAATGAGTTATTTCTCACAGGGCTGTTCAACAAAGGTTTCTAATCCATTTGTTTTAGGTAGAGAAATTAAGACAAATACATTTTGAGTTTTTTTTTTTTTTTTTAAGGCCCACAGAAGGAATCAAGGCCAGGAAGACAGGAAAGAAATTACTGGGCAGGATTTTGCATAAATGTGCCTTAATCTGAATACATTTTTCTTCTGTAGCCACATAACTGCAACATTTCATTTCACCACTCAAGGGATGCCAAATACTTTAAATTTGTATGTTTTTGTTGTTTAATCATAACAATCATTAATAGTGCATATAATAGTACACACAGCCTCCTTTGAAAAATGAATCTGCATTTTTTTACTATTTTTGGCTCCCCACGAGCACTGAATAAAGTGACAGAATAGACTAATTTTAATAATACTTCTCTCATATGGATAAGAGAGAACTCTGAAGATCTGTGCTGATACTTTGCTATAATTGATACAAATGTACAACTAGTTTGTCTTCGGACGAAGACAGAGATGAACTAATTTACCAACATGGAAAGTGAATTAGGAACCACCATTTTCTTATACAAACTCAAGTAATTAAGACTGTCTCAAAGTCCATTCTCATCTATAGTTATACCAGAGCCACTTTGCACTTGATAGGTTTGTAAACAATTATTAACCAAAAACAACATCAGCTACGCATAGTGGCGTGCCTGTAGTCCCAACTACTTGGGAGGCTGAGTTGGGAGAAACCCTTGCACCCAGCAGGTCAAGGCTGCAGTGAGCAGTGATCGTGCCACTGCACTCTTGCCTGGGCAACAGAGCGAGACGTTGTCTCAAACAACAACAAACAAACCATGACATCAATAACAATCTAATAGAATTTTTATTTCCGTTTTGATCGATTCCAAATCCATCTCAAACCAAATCCTTTATGACTGTCATGTTGACAGCTACTGAATTCTTCCTATATTTTTTATATCCCCCAAACATTGACTTCTTATTCCTCGTTCTTTTTACATTTATTCCTGGACTTATCTTTCCTTTCACCATTCTTCCTTTCACTTTCAAGCACTTTTTTCCTCTTTTTTAACACTCTTCAATTTCCCTTGAATGTCCATCTGGATTTCTGTTGATTTCAGATCCCCATGAACTTACTTCCTACCCCACCCTCCAGTTTCCATCTGTTCATTTTTCCCCTGGTTTTCTCCAGTGCAGTTAATCCACATAGAGAATTATTGACAGAAGATAGGAGCCGTACAAAGATCATAAATCTATAGCTCAATGTAAACGTTGCTCAGTAATCTATCTTGCAAACATGTTAATCAAAAAAAAAAGAGACCACAGTTCAACCAAAAAGTTAATAAATTCAATTAACTATATAAAACAAGATAGTTATCCCAATTTAAAAAAAGGCAACTGGGAACACAGACAAAAGAGTTAGCGTCTTTCCATCTGTGACATTAAATAATGTAAGCACCCCTAGTGGCATCGTTTGTTTGTTTTGTTGTTACTCATGGTGTTGATCCATCTCTCTGATCATTAGTGAAAGGAGTGACAAATAAAGTGAAATTCAAATATACCCAGTCTTGGCCAGGCACGGTAGCTCATGCCTGTAATACCAACACTTTGGGAGCCTGAGGCGTTGGATCACTTGAGGTCAGGAGTTCAAGAGCAGCCTGGCCAACATGGGGAAACCCCGTCTCTACTAAAAATACAAAAAACAGCTGGGTGTGGTGCCACATGCCTGTAATCCCAGCTACTTGGGAGGCTGAGGCAGAAGAATCGCTTGATCCTGGGAGGCGGAGGTTGCAGTGAGCCGATATTGAGCCATTGCACTCCAGCCTGGGCAACAGAGTGAAACATAGTCTCGAAACAAAACAAAACAAAACAAAGTTTTGAGAACATGTTGATTCCTCTTGTCTCCCCAATCATTCATTATTTATTATGTTGCCTAGATTCCCATCTACTTTCCAATTGAGGGGCCATATTTAGATCTTGGCATGATTGAATAGACTTATCAAGTATCATTCTGTGACATGACAATAATAGCTGCTTCTTGAAAGTTCAGATATATTACATCGATTGCATTCTCCTCATCCATTAATTTTATCATTCCATAAAAAAGCCATTGAGTTAGTAAAAGATGACTCCTGATCCTCATTTTTCTAATCTTTAGTTGACTTCAAGGTTTCTTTTCTCTTGCTATTCATTTAACTATTATACAAAGGACTCAAGCCACACTTTCTGGGCAGTAAATTCCAAGATATATTTTGTGAATATGTTTTAAAACTGCAAGTACCACATTTAAAAATTTTCCCTCCAGCCCTTATTTACTATACAACCTCAAAAGTCTTTTCAATCTTAAGAAACCCCCAATCATTGAATTCTAGTTAATAACATGGTCACCAGGCATTCTTATCTGTTTTTGCTACCGAAATATTTTTGGCTGTGAAGTAATCCTAGAGTTTCTGCCTCTGCCTCAGTGGAGGTTAGCATTTTTCTGAAGATGTGTGATTTCTTTCCATTATAAACAATTCCTATGGTTACACAGTCACTCACACCTAGTATATAAAATAAAATAGCCTTCCTTAGGATGAGAAGTCAAATCTAACAAGTGCAGGCTTCTGGAACCTTCTTGGCTACTTCTTCCCTCTTCCTTGCTTTGACCTCTGATGCTTGTTGTGTGCCTGTAGACTCTTCAGATGAACCCCCAGACCTACCTTTACCTGGACAACCCCATCCTGCCACCTACAATGTCACAGAGTAATGTGATCAAACCATTAATATTTCATTTTTTTTCTGCTTCACTTGCTAGTTCTATACCTATAAAAGTGACTTAAAGCTGATAACCTAAACAGTATTTTGTTAGTACTGTTCTTCCCCTTTGCAGCACTAAGCAACACTTTCATCCCTTGTGTGAGTACAAGGTCTGTTAAAAGATTCTGATAGTGTTGTTAAAAATTGTTAGAAGATTGGATTTAGCCAGACATTCACTTCCAAGATGGATAATTTTAGACTTGGTGATGTTCTCAAAAGAAGACATATGTGTGGCCAACAAGCATATGAAAAAACGCTCAAAATCACTAATCATTAGAGAAATGCAAATCAAAACCACAATGAGATACCATCTCACACCAGTCAGAATGGCTATGATTAGAAAGTCAAAAAGTAACAGATGCTGGTGAGATTGCAGAGAAAAGGGAATGCTTAAACACTGCTGGTGGGAGTGTAAACTAGTTTAGCCACTGTGGAAAGCAGTTTTCAGATTTCTCAAAGAATTCACAACAGATCTACCATTTGTCCCAGCAACCCCATTACTGGGCACATACTCAAAGGAGTATAAATCATTCTACCATAAAGACACATGCACACCTATGTTCATCACAGCACTATTCACAATAGTGAAGACATGGAATCAATCTAGATGCCCATCAATAGTGAACTGGATAAAGAAATGCAGTACAGATACACCATGGAATACTATGCAGCCATAAAAAAGAATGAGGTAATGTCCTTTGCAGCAACATGGATGCAGCTAGAGGCCATTATCCTAAGTGAATTAACGCAGCAACAGAAAACCAAATACTGCATGTTCTCACTTATAAGTGGGAGCTAAACACTGAGTGCACATGGACAAAATCAAGGGAACAACAGACATTGGGATTTACTTGAGGGTGGAGGCTGGGAGGAGGGTGAGGATTGAAAAACTACTTATTGGGTACTATGGTCATTACCTGGATGACAAAATAATCTGTACACCAAACCCCCATGACATGCAATTTAGCCATGTAAAAAACCTGCACATGTACCCCTGAACCTAAAAGTTGGAAAGAAAAAACAAAACCAACCAACCAACCAACCAAACAACACAACAACAAAAAAGAATTGGTGATGAAATAACTGGTGGGGATTTTCCAAAGGACAGGCATCTGGTCCTGTCTTTTATATTTAGGCAGAAAAATTATGAAAATGGATGAGACAGTTGAGATGCATTCTGCTGTACATCTGGTATAGAATGCTTGACAACAGTAAGGTGGGATAAGCTGGGATACTCAATGACCTCCTGATTCCTGGCACGTCATTCAGCTGTAGGTAACTGAGATTCCAACTCCCATCACTGAGGCATAAACACACAAGGGTTTTTTTTTCTGTCATGTAAATGAAGTCAACTTAGGCAGTTAGAGCTTGAATGGGAAATTCATATAATCAGGGACCAAGTCCCCTACAGGCTTTATAATCTAGTAGGCTAGAGTGGACTTCCAGCCTCCAAGTCACCTTATGGTTCAAAATGGCTGCTGCAGCACCATCCATTTACTCTACATTCTAGGCAGGAGGAAGGAGAACAGGAAGAAGATGTTCTTACCCTCTCTTTTTAAAGATATTTTCCTGAAGTCCTGTACAACTGATCACTTATATCTCATTGGTTAGTCTCCAGATAATTACATGGCTACACCTAATTGCAAGGGAGGTTGAGAAATGCAATCCTTTTCTAGGTGCCATCGTCCCAGCCAAGCATCAGGGTCCTGTTACCAAGGAGGCAACGGCAGACAACTAACTGCCCCTGCCACCCTTGTGTCCTGGAAATGATTACACAGAACATATCACATACACTGCCACCATCTGATATGTGGTGTGGTATTGTCAAAATCCCATTGTCAAAATCCCAGCTGCACAAAATCCCATTCCATCACAAGGTTCCCGGTGCTTAGAATTGGTCTCCAACTTCCTAATAACTTCTACTCTTCTTTTAGGCCTCACTGACTCCCCACGCCCTGGGAAGGCCTTCCCTGCCTCGATCAAGGCCCTCTTTCCACAATGCACAGCCCAAGTACTTTCCTCCCCCAAGGCTCCACTCAGGGGAAGTTTCCACACGCATGCATGCCTTGTGGATTGATGGTTGCCATAGCTTCCATTCTAGGCCGAAAGCCCCATGAAGGCAGTAACCTGGTCTTTTCATTTGTTTCTTCACCATTGCATCCTAGAAGAATGCCTGGAACATAGTAGATACTCAATAAAGATTTGCTGAGAAATGAATGCAACTATTCTGCTCAGAAGGAATGCAACCTCACAGAGGACCCACTAAGCTCCAAGGGAGACAGCAGAACTGCAGCCCCTGCAGGCCATGGAGATCAGTGGACCAGGAATAAAAAGAATCTCAGTTCTAGATGAGAACAGATACCACTGGTTTCTTGAGCAGGAGGAACTAGAAGCTTATTTATGCCTGGCTCAGCTCACTGCTGTTAGGGACATTTCATCCTCGCCTGTGAGATGGGCTGAATGAGGGACATTAAAAAGCTGCTACCTTTGATACATGAATATCTCCCAGTACATCCTGGCTTCCACCTGCTCTTCCTTCTCCTGCACCTACTCCGTCTGGCTGAACCTGATGGCTGAGTCTTTATATTTTTGCTGTCTACCAGACTTGAGATTTTTGCAACTTGATGCTTTGTGCTATTCAGGTGTTCCCTGAGTCAGTTTTTCTGGGATGCTTGAATTTTCTCTTGCTCCTTACTTTTTTTGCCTCTGTGAGTCGCTAGAATTTCAACCTGGACCCAAACCTAGGACTCCATACTTATATTCTAGTTAGTTGGCATGCATCTCTACAGTTACATAACTATTAAGTATTCATCATCATCATCATCATCATCATCATCATCATCTTGCAGTGGGAAGTTTCATCATTTTGAACATTTTCTTTGGTATCTTCACCAAATTCCAAGTAGAAAATTACAGAATCTAAACAGACAGGAAATGTGTTTGAGGGAAACCACTTTGATTATTCCAGGTAAAACCAGATGAAGAGCATCCTTAATAAAATGTGGCTTTGCCAACTTTAGAAGACATCCTTCATCATTTTTATAAGTACAGATAAAATTTTTAAATCACACTTTACTTTTTAGAGTAGTTTTAGGTTCATAGCAAAATTGAGCAGAAAATCCAGAAAGTCACCGTCTACTTTTTGTCCCTACATGTGCACAGCCTCTTCTACTGTCAATATCTGAATCACAGTGGTACATTTATTACAATCAACGAGTTTACATTGGCACTTCATTTTCACCCAAAGTCCATAGGATGCTCTCTTGGCATGGTACATGCTGTAGGTTTTGACAAATGTATGATTACCTGTACTCACCATTATAGTATCATGCAAAGTATTTTCACTGCCCTGAAAATCCTCTGTGCTCCACCTATTCATCCCTCCTTCCTCCCAGAACCTGACAACCACTGATCTTTTTTTTACTTTCTCCCTAGTTGCCTTTTCAAGAATGTTGTATAGAGACCTATGTCATATATTTGGAATCAAATTGGCGGCTTGTTTCTCTTAGTAGTATGCATTTAAGATTCTTTCATATCTTTTCAAGGCTTGATAGCTCATTTCTTTTTAGTGCTGAGTGATGGTTCATTGTCTGGATATACCATGGTTTATTTATCCATTCACTTACTGGAGGACATCATTGTTGCTCCCAAGTTTTGACAATCATGAATAAAACTTCTATAAACAACTGTGTAAAGGTTTTATGTGGATAGAAGTTTTCAACTTCTCTTTGGGTAAATACCAAGGAGCATGATTGTTGGATCACATGGTAAAAGTCTGCTTAGTTTTGTAAGAAACTGCCAAACTGCCTTCCAAAGTGGCTATAGCATTTTGCATTCCCACCAGTAATGAATGAATCCCCACAATGTGTGGGGATTATGGGAACTACAATTCAAGATGAGATTTGGGTGGGGACACAGCCAAAAATATCACCCATTATATTGGCTTTGCTCCTTCCTCAAAGATCAGTTGAATATGTTTGTGTTGGTCTATTTTTGGGGGACAGAGAATTCATTCTTTTGGCTGAACTATTTATCTATTCATTCACCAATACCATGTTATCCTGATTACTGTTGCTTGAAAGTAAGTCTTGAAGTTGGGGAATGTCTTGACTTTGTTCTTCTTCAATATGGTGTTGGCTATTCCATTTCCTTGTCAGCATTTGGTGTTGTCAGTGTTCTGGATTTTGTCCATTCTAATAGGTGTGTGGTGGTATCTCATCATTTTAATTTGCATTTCTCTAATGAAATGTAGAACATCTTTTCATATGCTTTTTTTCTATCTGTATATATTCTTTGGGGACATATCTGCTAAGTCCTTTGGCCCACTTTTAAATTGGGTTGTCTTATTATTGTTGGGTTTTAAGAGTTCGTTGCATAATTTATATAATAGTCCTTTTTCAGATGTGTCTTTTCCAAATATATTCTCCCAGTTATTGGCTTGCCTTCTCATTCTCTTGACATTGTCTTTCAGAGAGCAGAAATTTTTGATGTAGGCTGGCTTATCAATTATTTATTTCATGGATTGTGGCTTTTTTCTTGTATCTAATAAGTCATTACCACATCTAAGGTCATCTAGGTTTTCTTCTGTGTCATCTTTCAGGAGCTTTATTGTTTTGCATTTATATCCATTTTGAGTTAGTTTTTGTGAAGGATGTGAGTCTGTGTCTAGATTCTTTTCTTTTTTTATTGTATGTGTTGTCTAGTTGTTCCAGTACCCTATTTTAAAAAGACTATCTTCCCCATTGTATGAGTCTGTTCTCACACAGCTAATAAAGACATACTCAAGACTGGGTAATTTATAAAGGAAAGAGGCTTCATTGATTCACAGTTCCACATGGCTGGGGAGAGCTCACAGTCATGGTGGAAGGTGAATGAGGGGCAAAGTCACATCTCACATGGCAGCAGGCGAGAGAGCTTGTGCAGGGGATCTCCCATTTATAAAACCATCAGATCTCATGAGACTTAATCACTGCCCTGAGCACAGTACGGGAAAAACCCGCTCCCATGATTCAATTACCTCCCACCAGGACCTTCCCACAACACATGGGGATTATGGGAACTACAATTCAAGATGAGACTTGGGTAGGGACACAGCCAAACATATCACCCATTGTATTGCTTTTGCTCCTTCCTCAAAGATCAGTTGAATATGTTTGTGTTGGTCTATTTCTTGAGGGGAAGGGAATTTATTCTTTTGGCTGAACTATTTATCTATTCATTCACTAATACCACATTATCTTGATTACTGTTGCTTTAAAGTAAGTCATGAAGTTGGGGAATGTCAGTCCTTCGACTTTGTTCTTCTCCTTCAATATGGTGTTGGCTATTCTGGGTCATTTGCCTCTTCATATAAATGTTAGAATCAGTTTATTGATATTCATGAAATAACTTTCAGGGATTTTGATTAGGATTTCATTGAATCTATACATCAAGTTGGGAAGAACTGACATCTTAACAATATTCAATCTTTCTATCCACAAACATGTAATATATTTCCATTTATTTAGTAGTTCTTTGATTTCTTTCATCAGAGCTTTGAGTTTTCTTCATATAGATCTTATACATATTTTGTTAGTTTTATACTTAAATATTTCAATTTTTGGTGCTAATGTAAATGACATTGTGTTTTTAATTTCAAGTCTCAATTGTTTATTGCTGGTATATAGGAAAGCAACTGACTTTTGTATATTAACATTTTATCCTACAACCTTGCTATAATTGCTTCTTCATTCCAGGACATTTTTTTGGTTCTTTCAGATTTTCTATGTAGATAATCATGTCATCTGTGACCAAAGACAGTTTTATTTATTCCTTCCCAATTTTTACACCTTTGGATTTTTTAAAATTGGGATATAATTCACGTACCATAAAGCTGAGCCTCTAAAAATGTACAGTTTAGTGGCTTTTGGTATAGTCACAGAATTGTGCAACTATCACCACTATCTAATTCTGGACTATTTTCATAACCTCCCAAAGAAATCCCATATCCATTAATTATTTTTCACCCTTCCACTCACTGGATATGTCACATTTTACACTAAAAATCCAACATCCAAGATAAATAAACTACTGTTCAGACAATTTAAAAGTATAAAAAGCAAAAAGCAAAACCAGAACCAAAACACAATGAAAAGCACAAGATGACTAATTTCCAAATGAAAATACTAGGCTAAACATTATGAAATTATCATTTTTACAAGCAAAAACGACCTAACAATGTCAATTTCATATAGTCCAATCTAATATTTGCATCAGTATATCGAAATCATTGAATTTCTTCAGAATACCTTGACGAGTATAGCTTTCAATGTAATTCATTATTAGCTCCCAAGTATAGCAATAATAATGTGCAAACAGAATATGAATAAATGAAAACAGCAAACATTAAAAAATCATTTTCAAATCCTTGATTTAAGCGTCCACCAGGGCTGTCATACCCTCACAGGAATGGATGTCCTTGCTGGTTCCCAAGCATGCATAGAAAGGGAATCCAAATACTTAAAAACAAATTTTAGAACTTTTTTTTTACATTATTTAAATGTCTTAGACAATTTTATGAATAATTTAGAATCATAAAACTCCACTAATAACCATTAGGGAAAAAAATGAAACTTGTGCCAATACCGTGTGGCCACTGCTAATGATCTTCTCAGATGTCCCATCAGCTGGGTTTCTGCAATAATGTATGCTGTTAACACAGGAGTGCTTTTCTTCATCAAGCCATGGCTGTATTTTGACCTTGACTCCTTTTGTGATTTGACTCCAAAAATTGCAGTTTGTTGTTTTAGTTCTTTTTAGCAATGGTAACGTGGAATACTGTTTTTTGTTTTGTTTTTGTTTTGTTTTGTTTTGTTGAGAAAAAGAAACACCATAAAAAGCAGCTTAAAGGATGTTTGTTAGCAGGGCCACAAAGTGGCCACAAAATTTCTGATACAAAACATTTATCCCAGGTTCCTTGGGCATATTTTTTCTATATATTTTTAGGGCATTTAATAATAGGAGTATATTGCTGAATTTTTATTTTCCTAGTTCATTTTATGAGGAAAATAGAAAACAAACAAACAATATCTAATTTCTCTAAAGCTGACATGAAAAGGAAGAAAATAGAAAAGCAAAATACCTAAGATAATTAAGATCTAAATAATAAAAACTGCAGTCATACTAGAAATATATTCTATAGTATGAGAATTGATTTCCTTGCAAAATAGTTTGAAAAGGGAAAAGTTGATAATATTTATTGCCTTGAAGGCAACTGTCTAAACTGGGCCAGGACACAAACTAAATGACAGCCTTGCTAAAAGCAACATTCACTTTAAGTATTAAGTGCTTGTCTTACATAAGACACAGAGTGAGAAAGCACCCTATTTACAGTCAACCTTGTGGATCAGCAGACAGACTTGAAAAAGGGCCTATTATGATAGGGTGATGGTTAGTTATGTTGATTTTACTGTTACTCTTTTGTGATAATTTTCACACCCAAAGTAATTAATGTATTTAAATGTATGTTACAAGTTCACTATTGCTATCTCCTGGGCTTCATACCGAGTCACAGAGTGTCCTCTCTGGCAGCTGCATACACCCAATGGGTCGCTGTCTGCACAGAAACCTTTTATTCTTAATGAAACAGATGTGCAACCTGCTGGGCTCAGACTTTATTGACCAAGTAGAGTAGCAACTTCAAGCTTATTACCAACCTAACTAACATAATAGCAGCCTCAGACCCTTGTTTCTTGGTGGAGTGATGAAAACAAACAAAAAAAACCCTAAAAGGATTGAAGACCAATGAAATGAGACACAAAGACTTATTTTGCTATAGTGAAGACAGGAGAGGGAGGGGAGGAGGAGGACAAATAAAAGAAAAGGGCTGTCCCAGTAATGCAACTGCAGCCACCTCTTATCAGGTGGAATATTATTGGCAGGCAAATAAAAGACAAGGAAATCATATCAAGTCTCCTTTCAAGGCAGGTGAAATGAGGCAGCATTTGAGGTGGGAATCATCTCTGCAGTGGCAAAACTAGTAACCTATCTACCCCTGCAGTGTCGCAAGGACAAAAAAACCAAACACCACATGTTCTCACTCATAGGTGGGAATTGAACAATGAGAACACTTGGACACAGGAAGGGGAACATCACACACCGGGGACTGTTGTGGGATGGGGGGAGGGGGGAGGGATAGCATTAGGAGATATACCTAATGTAAATGACGAGTTAATGGGTGCAGCACACCAACATGGCACATGTATACATATGTAACAAACCTGCACATTGTGCACATGTACCCTAGAACTTAAAGTATAATAAAATATATATATATAATATATATATATATATAAAGAAAATGTGGCACATATACACCATGGAATACTATGCAGCCATAAAAAAGGATGAGTTAATGTCCTTCATAGCCACATAGATGAAGCTGGAAACCATCATTCTGAGCAAACTATCACAAGGACAGAAAACCAAATACTGCATGTTCTCACTCATAGGTGGGAATTGAACAATGAGAACACTTGGTCACAGGAAGGGGAACTTCACTCACTGGGACCTGCCGTGGGGTAGGGGAATGGGGGAGGGATAGCATTAGGAGAAATAACTAATGTAAATGACGAGTTAATGGGTGCAGCAAACCAACATGGCATATGTATACATATGTAACAAACCTGCACGTTGTGCACATGTACCCTAGAACTTAAAGTATTAAAAAAAAAAAAGTTTTTGCAGGAGAAAAAAATAAAAATAAAAATAAAAAAAAAGAAAAGGGCCTTCCCAACTTCTTCCTGGGAGCCGGGAAATGGATTTGCCCAAACAAGGGTGGGGACTCCTGGGCAAGATTAGAGAGGGTGCCTGATGGCTTTTCTTGCTGTTGTTTTTTCTACAGTGGTTTAGTGAGTGGACTGAAGTGGGTGCAGTCTGGTCTTGAACTTGAACCCTCTGTCACCCAGGCTGGAATATAGTGGTGCAATCACAGCTCACTGCAGCCTTGAACTCCTGGTCTCAAGCGATCTTTCTGTCTCAGCCTCTCAAGTAGCTGGGACTACAGGTGCATACCACCATGCCTAGCTAATGAAAACTTTTTTTTTCAGAGACAGGGTCTTCCAATAGGCATTCTTTCCCTGTGTGTCTGTCTGTCTCTCTCTAACACACACACACACACACACACACACACACACACACGCTCCCCTTCAGAGGGGAGGGTTACAGGCTGCTCTCTTTGAGATAGTCAGATAGTCTGAGCAGACTAACAGCCTATGAAATTTACCTTAAATCCATTCCCCAACTTCCCACAGAGCTCAGAGAAATTTGTCTAGTCCCTGAGCTGCCAGAAAGTGGCTTGCATGGACCCTGCCCCACAGAGGGTATCAAGGCTGTAGCTTTTGGCCTTTGGTCTCTAGATATAGCTGAGTAGACCCTTCTCCACTCACAGAACAGAGCAATCCATCTAGAGCCTCAGTGAGCTTTTAGTGTCCCCAAAGTCCTGGTTTCTTTTCTGTTTGGGGTTTTGCAAACTTCAGTTCCATATTTCAGACACTCTGCTTTCTCTATACTTTGTAGTCTAAAGCCACTCTTTATTTTTCCTCTAAGTGTAGGATGGGCAAAACAGTTGTATCTCCTCCACAGTTAGGTGCGAATCTCAGCTCACACCTAACTGTGAAAGTAGCAGCAGGTCTCTGGAATTTCTCCTCGTGTCCCACACCTCCTAGGGCCCTTGCAGCTTTTCTGTTTCCATAAGATCCCATATGCTTTACTGAGAGCTGCTCTTCCTCCTTTGCCTCAGAAAACCAAAGGTCATCAGGTCCATAACCCACATGCTCACAAGCACGGCTTTACGTTCTGTGGGTTAACTGGCCTTTTTTCTGGGTCTCCTCTGCCAAAGATCAGCGGCAGCTCCAGGGCATGCAAGCAGAAAAGGAGGCGTGTTGCCCCTGGAACACAGAGATCCGTGGCCTGTAGTTCCAGGCAGTTTCCCTAGAGGAATGCAGGTACCTCCCCATTGGTGCCGTGGCTGTTCCTGCCTATGAAATGTGGCCTGGCCTTGGCACAATTCTGCCTGAAGAAAAGGAGACCACCTGCCGAGAAAATTATCTGCATAAATAATGATTTCACTTCAGCTTTCCTTGCAGATGGTCCTGATTTGGAAGAGGTATGCAGACAGTCTTTGAAATATGACTTCTGTTTTTTAGGCCACTTGGAATTCTTCACAAGTCTCTCCATCACCGTGACAATTTATTGGCCTGGAATCATTAGCTGCCTCTGAAACCCAGTTCTTTTCTTCTTAATTTCTTACTATTTAAAAAATTTCCAGACTCTTCTTTTCTTTTCTTTTCGCCTTCCTCTCTCTCTCTCTTTTTCTTTCTAGAGATGGGGTCTCATCCTGTTGCCCAGGCTGGAGTGCAGTGATGTGACTACAGCCTCCACCTCCTAGGCTCAAGTGATCCTCCCTCCTCAGCCTCCTGAGTAGCTGGGACTACAGGCATAAGCCACCACACTTGGCTAATGTTTTTTTGTGTTTTCAGAGATAGGATCTTGCTATGTTGTTCAGGCTAGTCTTAAACTCCCAGGCTCAAGGGATCTTCCTGCCTCAGCCTGCTAAGTAACTGGGATTATAGGCATGAACCACTGAGTCCAGCCAGATGCTAATCTCTGAATCTACTTTTTCCCTTATTCCTTTGAAGTACAACTAGTCATCAGATCCTATAAATTTTTCCTCTTCCTATTGTCACCATTCTAATCCAGGCTATATTCCTCCATGCCTGGCCTATTACATTATAATAGTGTTGTTGGTTTCCCCAATCTTTCTTGCACATGATTGCCATGTTAATGCTTTTAACACAATCCCCAGTGTCTTTCCATGCACGAATGCCTTCAATGGCCCACCGTTACCTATATACAATGTATTGTACTGTGTGTTACTCAGCTGATTACCTTAACTTGTTTTTCTGTCCAATAGATATTTATGGAGCACCTGCAGATATTTATTGAGTATATACATCATCCTTGGCTCTAGAAAGCAATGAATAAGCCTGACCCACTTCTTTCTTGCCTTTTAGAGAAGAGGGGTTGATAGGAAAAAATAAATGCTCAGAAAGAGAAACTATGAAAGCATGTAATAAGGGAAGCAAATCTAGTCTCTGGAGTCACGGGAGGCAGAAGTGGCATTTCAGCTGAGGCCTGAGGGTGAATAATGATGAATTACTGAAGGGCAGGTGAGGAACACAGCACATGCAAAGGGCCTGAGGTAAAAAAAATTTGCTGCAGGTCTGGAAGGAGACAGAGGGAGATGGGGAAGTACACAGAGGATAAAGGTGGGGAGGTCACCAGGGGCCAGACCCTGCAGAGCCTGGTAGGATGTGCTCAGGAATTTGACTTTATTATAAAAGCAATGGGAAATCACAGCAGGCCTAAAGCAGAGGAATGCAACAATTTATTGTGTTTCAAAAAGATTATCCCAGCTGCAACGTGAAGGAGGTTTGCATAAGAGCCTACTGGGTGACTAAATAGGAGGAGGAGTGCAGATAAGAGGTGGTGGCACCCTGGACCAGGGTAGTGCCACTGAAGTTAGTAGAAAAGGAGAAAATACATGGATTCAAGAGAGAATGAGAATGATCAGCCATGGGGGATCTGGATTGGAGGGAAATGACAAAGAGGGAGATTAAGGATAATGTCTAAGCTTTTAGCACAAACAACAGACAACCATGGTCACCTTTAAGGAGTTGGGAACCCAGAAAAAGAAGCAGGCATGGGTGTGGAGGTTGATGCTGAGTTTAGAATAGTTTAGTTTCATTTTGTTTTCAAGACAGGATCTCACTCTGTCACCCAGGATGGAATACAGTGGTGCAATCACAGCTCACTGCAGGCTTGAATTCCTGGTCTCAAGCGATCTTTCTGTCTCAGCCTCTCAAGTAGCTGGGACTACAGGTGCATACCACCATGCCTAGCTAATGAAAACTTTTTGTTTTTCGGAGACAGGTCTCATTATGTTTTTCAGCCTGGCCTCAAATTCCTGACCTCAAGCGATCCTACCATCTTGGCCTCCCAAAGTGCCGGGATTATTGGCTTGAACCACCACGCCAGGTGCAAGTTTAGTTTTGGACAATCTAGTACACATTGGATACCTCTAAGAGGTATCTAAAAGGTATAATAGAAACATAGGTCAGTCTGGAGTTCAGAAGAGGAGCCAGTGTGAGAGGTAAATTTGTGAGTACTGGCATATTTGGTAGTTGAGACCATAAGAGTGATAGAGTTTGTCTAGGGAGAACTTGTAGAGAGAGAAGAGAGAGTGGCCTGGGTCTGAGAATCAAAGAACAGCATCATGGAAAGGTTGAGTAGAGAAGAAAGAACTTGGGTCTGAGAAAATGAAGCCAATGCAGTGGGAGGAAGGCTGGAGAGGGTGGTTTCTGGAAATTAAGAGAAGAAGGTGTGTTCAGTGGGGTGGGGTGTCACAGTATTGGATGCAGTAAGCTATGGACTATCAAGTCCTCATGAAGCTATAGAGGCCATTAATACCATTAGAGGGCTGGAGCCATGATGGCCGAATAGGAACAGCTCCGGTCTACGGCTCCCAGCATGAGCGACGCAGAAGATGGGTGATTTCTGCATTTCCAACTGAGGTACCAGGTTCATCTCACTAGGGAGTGCCAGACAGTGGGCGCAGGACAGTGGGTGCAGCGCACCCGTGCACGAGCAGAAGCAGGGCGAGGCATTGCCTTACTCGGGAAGCGCAAGGGGTCAGGGAGTTCCCTTTCCTGGTCAAGGAAAGGGGTGACAGATGGCACCTGGAAAATCGGGCCACTCCCACGTGAATACTGCGCTTTTCCGACGGGCTTAGGAAACGGCGCATCAGAAGAATATATCCCACACCTGGCTCGGAGGGTCCTATGCCCACGGAGTCTCACTGATTGCTAGCACAGCAGTCTGAGATCAAACTGCAAGGCGGCAGCCAGGCTGGGGGAGGGGCGCCCACCATTGCCTAGGCTTGCTTAGGTAAACAAAGCAGCCGGGAAGCTCGAACTGGGTGGAGCCCACCACAGCTCAAGAAAGCCTGCCTGCCACTGTAGGCTCCACCTCTGGGGGCAGGGCACAGACAAACAAAAAGACAGCAGTAACCTCTGCAGACTTAAGTGTCCCTGTCTGACAGCTTTGAAGAGAGCAGTGGTTCTCCCAGCACGCAGCTGGAGATCTGAGAACCGGCAGACTGCCTCCTCAAGTGGGTCCCTGACCCCTGACCCCCGAGCAGCCTAACTGGGAGGCATCCCCCAGTAGGGGCAGACTGACACCTCACACGGCTGGGTACTCCTCTGAGACAAAACTTCCAGAGGAACAATCAGACAGCAGCATTTGCGGTTCACGAAAATCCGCTGTTCTGCAGCCACTGCTGCTGATACCCAGGCAAACAGGGTCTGGAGTGGACCTCTAGCAAACTCCAACAGACCTGCAGCTGAGGGTCCTGTCTGTTAGAGGGAAAACTAACAAACAGAAAGGACATCCACACCAAAAACCCATCTGTACATCACCATCATCAAAGACCAAAAGTAGATAAAACCACAAAGATGGGGAAAAAACAGAGCAGAAATACTGTCAGGAAACAACAGGTGCTGGAGAGGATGTGGAGAAATAGGAACACTTTTACACTGTTGGTGGGACTGTAAACTAGTTCAACCATTGTGGAAGTCAGTGTGGTGATTCCTCAGGGATCTAGAACTAGAAATACCATTTGACCCAGCCATCCCATTACTAGGTATATACCGAAAGGACTATAAATCATGCTGCTATAAAGACACATGCACACGTATGTTTATTGCGGCACTATTCACAATAGCAAAAACTTGGAACCAACCCAAATGTCCAACAATGATAGACTGGATTAAGAAAATGTGGCACATATACACCATGGAATACTATGCAGCCATAAAAAATGATGAGTTCATGTCCTTTGTAGGGACACGGATGAAATTGGAAATCATCATTCTCAGTAAACTATTGCAAGAACAAAAAACCAAACACCGCATATTCTCAGTCATAAGTGGGAATTGAACAATGAGAACACATGGACACAGGAAGGGGAACATCACACTCTGGGGACTGTTGTGGGGTGGGGGGAGGGGGGAGGGATAGCTTTAGGAGATATACCTAATGCTAAATGACGAGTTAATGGGTGCAGCACACCAGCATGGCACATGTATACATATGTAACTAACCTGCACATTGTGCCCATGTACCCTAAAACTTAAAGTATAATAATAATAAAATTTAAAAAAGTAACCATTATAACTGAAAAAAAAAAAATTCTTAGTTGAGTGCCAAGTGCCGTGGCTCACACCTGTAATCCCAGCACTTTGGGAGGCCGAGGTGAGAGGATGGCAGCAGTCTAGGAGTTTGAGACCAGCTTGGGCAACATAGTGAGACCTTGTCTCTACTGAAAAAGAATAGAGCCGAGAGTGGTGGCTCACACCTGTAATCCCAGCACTTTGAGAGGCTGAGGTGGGTGGATCATCGGAGATCAGGAGTTCAAGACCAGCCTGGCAAACATAGTGAAACCCCATCTCTACTAAAAATACAAAAAATTAGCTGGGCATGGTGGCAGGTGCCTGTAATCCCAGCTACTAGGGAGGCTGAGGCAGGAGAATAACTGGAACCCAGCAGGTGGAGGCTGCAGTGAGCCGAGATGGTGCCATTGCACTCCAGCTTAGGCAACAAGAGTAAAACTCCGTCTCAAAAAATAAATAAATAAATAAATAAAAATAACTGGGCATGGTGACACGTGCCTGTAGTCCCAGATACTTGTGAGGCTGAGGTGGGAAGACTACTTGAGCCTGGGAAGTCGAAGCTGCAGTGAGTCGAGATCATGCTACTGCATTCCAGCCTGGGCAACGGAGTGAGACCTTGTCTAAAAAAAAGTCTCAGTTCATATTTCATTTTGGGGTGCCTCTACATCCTGATTTTCTTTCACACACACACACACACACACACACAACACACACACACACACACACACACTATACATACACACAGTAAAATTCACTTTGTCCTGTAGAGTTATATGGATTCTGACAAATACAAAGAGTTGGCTATCTACCATCACAGCCATGATACAAAACAGTTCCATCACCCTGACATTTTACCATGCTATCCCATAGTAGTTCACTCTTCTGTCTCCACTCCTGGAAACCTACTATTTGTTTCCCATTCCTAGGTTTTTGTTTTTTTTTCATAACGTTATCAGTGAAATCATATGGTACATAGTTTTTTGAGCCAGGTTTCTTTCATTTAATGAAATATATTTAAGAATCATTCAAGCTATTGCATGAGTGAACAGTTCAGTCCTTTCCATTGTTGAGTAGTGTTCCATGGTGTACACAGACTGCAATTTGTGTACCCATTCATAGGTTGAGGGACAGGTTAGTTATTTTCAGTTTTTGTTGATTACAAATAGAGCTATTAGAAACATTTGCATACAGGCTTTGTTTGAACATTAGGTTATTTTTGTTGGGAGTGGGATTGCTGGGTTATATGGCATGGCTATGTTTAGCTTTATAGTCCTTAGTATCTTGATAATGATAGTAGTTTGGTGAGGTGGTAGGATCAAAACAGGAGTGGAGAGGGTTAAGAAGAAAGAGGGAAGTGAGGAGTTGGATATAGTGAGTGAAAGCAATGCTTTAATTTCAGCTGACATGGATAATTTCAGCTGACACAGGGAAGCAGGGATGTGGTTGGAGGTGGCATGAGGTTTAGGGAGGGAAGGGTTGTCAGAGTTAAAAGATACTTGAGCATGTTTAATGATGATGGGAAGGAGGAAGCAGACAGAGAGGATGGAGATAAGGGAAAGAGAAGGACGTTGGGGAGGAAGGAGATAGTGAGGTTTCTGGTAGGATGGGAGGGACTGGCTTTTGATAAAAAGGTAGCTCTTCCATGTTAATGAGAGGGCATAAATGCAGTGAGCCTTTCCAAGCCCTAGTCTGACCTTCACGTGATCTTTTAGGGGATGGCAGAAGACAAGTTCAGCCCTTTCAAACTACATGCCTGCAAAAACTCTTGGCCCCAACCAGACTGTCTCATGATGACATCATGTTCACCCTGTTATTTAAGAGCCAGTGGATGTTTGGGGTTTTGGGGGTGTCAGTAGAGCACCTTTGCTTGCCTAGCAGCGGTGAAGCATTTGCTATGGAAAAGAAGCAAAGCTGCAAGTTCAGCAGATTGTTACTATTTATCCTCAGAGGTATGTTTTACCCTAGTTTCTACAAAAACACTCTTATGATGTTCACAATTGGATCCCAGTATCACAGTTACCACCCAGATCACCAGGACCTGGGTAGGTACAGGAGTTGGGGACAAGCAGCATGCTCATGAAAGTTCCCTTACTGTGTACAGTTTGGCAATTTGTTAACTTTCTTGATAACGTAAACACATTTCCTTGCTAGAGATCTTGACAATGACTCCTGATAATTAGAAGCAGTGGGGACTTTTCCTCTGACTCATTAATGAGTAAAACAGGCTAGAATTTTTCTCCCTATATTCCATCTGTTAAAAAGAAAATGGTATCTACCATAAAGACAGAATAAGAAAAATAGCAGTTGTTTTAGCCAATATGATGAGGATGCCAGTCGCTGGGTGCATTGTTTAAGAAGTTGCCATTTTAAGACCTTCAGGGAAATACCTGAAATGACTCCAGCTGATCACTCTGATCTGTAAAACCTCGTTTTGTTATGTAGCAGAGCAATTTGTGAGGCAGGACTGATAATAACACAGTCAGTTGTTGGATATCAGATTTAACGCCTTAAAAACTCATAGGAACCAATAAATGTTTTGTGGAATGGTTCTATACAGAAGTACTTACTGTGGTAATCTCATCTTAATAGATCTGAAAATGCTACAAGTTTTAAGTCAGAAAATGTACTTTCTTATTTTTGGAAAAGGCTTTGAGACCATCATAAGTGTAATATAATCAGGGAAGAGTTTTGCCGATGGTGAGTTGGGCTGTGAATCCAGACATAATCTACATAGGTAACTAGTGTTTCAATGACATTTGACTATTGTTTTCCTTTTCTCAGCTGCCATGTTATTTATTGGAAGGCTGCCATATTAGAAATAAGATTGCTATCCTTTTGAGAAATTTATTCTAGAATACTTAGCACCATTGATACCAGAGTTAAGAATGCTAGGAAGCAGCTCTGCGATTGTGAAGTTGTTGCTTGATTTTGACTCATTTGCAGACTTTTACAGAGAAGTTGGTCTATGCTGGGGAATGGGGATCCACTGTGGATTAAAGATCACTTCTCCTCTTCGAAATGCTCACAGTCCCTCCTCAAAAATGCTCTTTGAGAAAAACTGGAAAGCAGAGACTTTGTGTCCACTGTGATTTGAGTCCTTGGGAGCACAGAAAGGAAAGATTAGCTCTGTTTGGAGATGTGTTTAAGAAAGTTTTGGCTGGGTGCAGTGGCTCATGCCTGTAATCCTAGGACTTTGGGAGCCTGAGGTGGGAGGACTGCTTGAGGCCGGGAGTTTGAGACCAGCCTGGGTAATATAGCAAGACCCTGTCTCTTCAAAAAAAAAAAAAAAAAAAAAAAAAAAAGAGCAGGATGTGAGGGTGCATGCCTGTAGTTCAAGCTACTTAGGAGGCTAAGGAGGAAGGATTGTGTGAAACCAGGAGTTCAAGGCTGCAGTGAGCCACGATCATGCCACTGCACTCCAGCCTGAGCAAGAGAGCGAGACCCTGTCTCAAAAAAAAAAAAAAAAAAAAGAAAAAGAAAAAGAAAGAAAGAAAAAAGAAAGCTTCCATGACTACTAAATTCCAGCAACTGAGCAGGATCTCCCCACTTTAGACGGCAGAGGAGAGCAAGAAAGACAATCAGAGTGGTCAAGATGTGTTAAAATAGAGAGCCTGATGCCTCCAGCTTTGTTCTTTTGGCTTAGGATTGACTTGGCAATGCAGGACCTTTTTTGGTTCCATATGAACTTTAAAGTAGTTTTTTCTAACTCTGTGAAGAAAGTCATTGGTAGCTTGACAGGGATGGCAATGAATCTATAAATTACCTTGGGCAGTATGGCCATTTTCATGACATTGATTCTTCCTATCCATGAGCATGGAATGTTCTTCCATTTGTTTGTATCCTCTTTTATTTCATTGAGCAGTGGTTTGTAGTTCTCCTTGAAAGGGTCCTTTACATCCTTTGTCACGCTACCTGACTTCAAACTATACTACAAGGCTACAGTAACCAAAACAGCATGGTACTGGTACCCAAACAGAGATACAGACCAATGGAAAAGAACAGAGCCCTCAGAAATAATGCCACACATCTACAACTATCTGATCTTTGACAAACCTGACAAAAACAAGCAATGGGGAAAGGATTCCCTATTTAATAAATGGTGCCAGGAAAACTGGCTAGCCACATGTAGAAAGCTGAAACTGGATCCCTTCCTTACACCTTATACAAAAATTAATTCAAGATGGATTAAAGACTTAAATGTTAGACCTAAAACCATAAAAACCTTAGAAGAAAACCTAGGAAATACCATTCGGGACATAGGCATGGGCAAAGACTTCATGACTAAAACACCAAAAGCAATGGCAACAAAAGCCAAAATTGACAAATGGGATCTAATTAAACTAAAGAGCTTCTGCACAGCAAAAGAAACTACCATCAGAGTGAATAGGCAACTTACAGAATGGGAGAAAATTTTTGCAGTCTACTCATCTGACAAAGGGCTAATATCCAGAATCTACAAAGAACACAAACAAATTTACAAGAAAAAAACAAACAACCCCATCAGCAACTGGGCGAAGGATATGAACAGACACTTCTCAAAAGAAGACATTTATGCAGGCAACAGACACATGAAAAAATGCTCATCACCACTGGCCATCAGAGAAATGCAAATCAAAACCACAGTGAGATATCATCTCACACTAGTTAGAACAGCAATCATTAAAAAGTCAGGAAACAACAGGTGCTAGAGAGGATGTGGAGAAATAGGAACACTTTTACACTGTTGGTGGGACTGTAAACTAGTTCAACCATTGTGGAAGTCAGTGTGGCGATTCCTCAGGGATCTAGAACTGGAAATACCATTTCACCCAGCCATCCCATTACTGGATATATACCCAAAGGCTTATAAATCATGCTGCTATAAAGACACATGCATACGTATGTTTAATGCGGACTATTCACAATAGCAAAGACTTGGAACCAACCCAAATGTCCAACAATGATAGACTGGATTAAGAAAATGTGGCACATATACACCATGGAATACTATGCAGCCATAAAAAATGATAAGTTCATGTCCTTTGTAGGGACATGGATGAAGCTGGAAACCATCATTCTCAGCAAACTATCGCAAGGACAAAAAACCAAACACCGCATGTTCTCAGTCATAGGTGGGAATTGAACAATGAGAACACTTGGACACAGGAAGGGGAACATCACACACTGGGGCCTGTTGTTGAGTAGGGGGAGGGGGGAGGGATAGCATTAGGAGATATACCTAATGTAAATGACGAGTTAATGGGTGCAGCACACCAACATGGCACATGTATACATATGTAACAAACCTGCACGTTGTGCACATGTACCCTAGAACTTAAAGTATAATAAATATATATATATATATACACATATATGTGTGTATATATATATATATATATGTATATTAAAAAAACAGAGCCTGGGAGGACACAAGTTTGGGATGTTCCTTGAGCCTGGGCAGAGGAGATCCATGTGCCTCCAGGCATCTCTGACTTCTCAAAGTCATTAGCTTCTTCTGCATGAAAAAAGAACTCATTATCTACATAACCCTTAGAGTTTACTGTATGCAATATAGTTGTAGGACCACTGTGAGATGTGGAATGGGAATGGCCCAGTAAGCCCAGAGAAAGGACTACTTCATTTGGGCTACCATCTGCAATGGATGGTCCACTAACTTGGTTTGGGAATCTGGTAGATGCCCTGCTCTATTTACTTTTCATCATGGGAAGGCTTGGGAGGCCACCACAGCTCTGATCTGGCATAAAGAGAAAATCCACGACACACTCTTTCTAACACCGCTGCAGGCAGGAAGTGTACGCATTCCCTAACTCTTTGATTAGAATGCATAAGTGTGGAAAGAGTGCTGAAGTCTGTCACTGTGAGCAAGAAGACTACCACGATGGAATAAACCCCACATCTCATTGCAGTCATATGCTTTTCTTCATGGGCTAGACTGTACAAATGGCCTTTGCAAATGGTATTGAATGGGTGTTCAGGATCAGGGATTCTGTCTCCACACATAGAATAAAGTAAGGCTAACTATGAGGGTTAGATCTACAGCCTTTCGCTAATTCATTTATTTATCAGTTAACTCAAGCATTTATTATGTTTGCCAAGCACTCTGTGAGCAGAGAAAACCTGTAACAAAACATAAAAGAACCACAATAATAAAACCTCATGTATTTGGGCCCCTCTAGTTAAGAATTTTAAAAAGTACATAAAATTTAACATTAAAATAATTTCTTAGTAAACCAATGACACCGTACATATGGTTGCAGAAGAAAGCTTAAATTATGTAAGGCAGTTTTCATGAACCCTCACTTTAGAAGCACCTTCAGAAGAATGCAAAGACAATATATTAAAAACAGACCATTCTTAAAGATGTGTCAAAGTAGTTTCTGTGAAAAAATTGCCATTAGGCCAGGATTTAACTTGATCCTAGTTAACATGAATCTTTCTAAGTAATAAAACTACTGTCTTAAATTTTTTTCTGAGTCCAACTAAATCTCACTAATTTTTTCTCCCATTCTAAGTCATCATTGGTGTTAGAGATTTTCCTACAAAGCAGCTTTCATTTAAGGATGAGTAGACTTACTGAATTTGGATACTATGAATATCACACGAGTCTTCTGCTCAGAGCCATACTGGACAATGGGGGCATGAGGATGACCTAAGGCCATGTCATCTGCAGGACTGTTACAACTTCCCTGTACCAGCTGGAAATCTAAATGTTACTTAATCAAATGAATATTACAGTTCCCACGGGACAAATGGAGGAAACAGGCATGAAGCAGTGGAACTGCTGGGTCAAGGTTACCCCATGAGTCCCTCATAGGAAACCAGGAGCAAAGATCAGACTGTGTCTATTTTAATGCCTATAATGATCTCCCTCCCACTCCTGATAAGAAACTTCTATTTTTATTGCTAATTTTGATGTTTTCAAGCTTGAGATGGCATTTCTCCATTATTCTCTCTTCTTCCCTTCATTAATGTTTGGCAAATTTATTACATTTAAAAAAACATACTCTCCATTAAACAGCCAAGTTATGACATTTATGGAACATTAGCCAGAAAATATGAAACTAAAGCTTTCTTCCAAGTTCACTTAGACTGCATCCTTGATAAGATTCAGAATTCTTACAGTAACAACAACAACAAAATCAACCTGGAAGTATTCCTTATTTAAAATCTGATACACATGGAGACTTCCAAAGGGGACATAAGAAATAATCAGGCCAACAATCATTCACATGTCTTTGTTGACATTAAAATATTCTGGCTAATGTCAGTCTGATAATGAACGAGTGTCTGTACTCTCAAAACATGAGGGTGGCTACTCCAGTTTGAAATATTGTCAAAAGCAAAAGGAATGTTTCATTTGCTCAACTGCTGAAGGCAGAGCTGACCCTAGATAAAAGCCTCCCTTTGTTGAGGCTCCTTTTCAGAGTCACTTCCACCCTGTTTTTAGTAATCTCCTTTTAAAGCCTTCCTCTATTAACAATCAAGACCAGGCACCATGTCACATAGAATCTCACCTGCTCAGGTGTGGTGCTCCAATTTCTAAGTAGGAGGCTGAGGGGCATCAATCAGGGGTGTTTCTGTGTGGTGGGGGTGTGTAGTGGGGCAGGGAGGAGCAGTCAGGGGATTTGTCTTAAAGTGACTCAACAAACACTTTTTTTTTTTGAGACAGGGTCTCGCTTTGTTGCCCAGGCTGGAGTGCAGTGGCATAATCTTGGCCCACCGCAGCCTCAACCTCCTCTGCTTAAGTGATCCTCTCACCTCAGCCTCCCAAGTAGCTGAGACAACAGGCACATGCAGTTATGCCCAGCTAATTTTTGTATTTTTTGTAGAGACGTGATTTTGCCATGTTACCTAGGCTGCTCTCAAACTCCTGGGCTCAAGCGATCTGCCTGCCTCAGCCTCCCAAAGTGCTGGGACCATAGGCGTGAGCTACCATGCCTCCCAGCCAGCACTTTTTTTTTTTTAACTGAAATTGTGTGTATTTATCTGTGGTATGGGGTGAAGAGGCTGATAGATATTCATGGTCAAGGGTGCTAGAGACTTTCCAGGCTATTCCTGGGCACCATGATGAACAGAGTAGCAGGGCAGACACAGTACCCACAATGGGGCCCATTATTGGTGGCCGTGGGCTAGAAATCTTACCCTTTCCAATAAGACTTTTGACTTGCACTGAAGACCAGAAGGCAAGACAAATGGTCTTGACTGGGTTTCACATCTCCTGAACAATTCTCAGTTTATTCGTTTCCTCTGGTCAGGTCATCCTTAATGAATTGAGTAGAATGATTCAGAGGACTGGTAAGTTGGTCTATTATTTCAGTGACTCCCTTAAACCCCTCAAATGTTATCAGTTTATGAAATTCCAAAGTCTGCGAACCACTGAACTATCTATCATCATCTATGTCTTGCTTAAAAGTAAACTCTGGGCCGGGCGCGGTGGCTCACGCGGTAATCCCAGCACTTTGGGAGGCTGAGGCAGGCGGATCACGCGGTCAGGAGATCGAGACCATCCTGGCTAACACGGTGAAACGCCGTCTCTACTAAAAATACAAAAAAATTAGCCGAGCGTGGTGGCGGGCGCCTGTAGTCCCAGCTACTCTGGAGGCTGAGGCAGGAGAATGGCGTGAACCCGGGAGGCAGAGCTTGCAGTGAGCCGAGATGGCACCACTGCACTCCAGCCTGGGCGACAGAGCGAGACTCCGTCTCAAAAAAAAAAAAAAAAAAAAAGTAAACTCTGCCATTTATAGCTTTGCAATATACTCTGTCAGAGGAGATAGTAATAAAAATAGTTCTACCTATTTTGGTGAGAGGCTTGTCGGCAGTGAATCTGAGTCAGATGCGGCAAAGGAAGGCAGAGGGGCTTTGCTTGTACTTCTCTCTCAATTACTTTTTGCTCCTTACCTAGTCTGACACCTTGGATCACTTCCTCCCTTTGGAAATGTTCCCTCAGTTCATTGCCATAGCACCACAGTAGCCTGGTTTTCCTCCTCCTCTCTGTGTGGCTTTTTGTGACTTCCTCTGCAGGGTCCATTTCCCTTGCCAGTCTCTAAAATAATAGTATTCTTTAGGTCTCTGCTCTCAGTCTTCTCTTTTTTGTTAAATACTCTCCTTGCAAATCTCATTCATTTTCATGGCTCTCATTACTATCTATAAACCCATTGCTTACTTGGATTAAATGAGATAATACACAAAAAGCACTTCGTGTCAGGCACATAGGAAGGGCACATTCTCTAATTCAACAAGTATTTCTTGAGTGATTATATGTACCTTTCTGGCTACTGAGGATAGAGATGTAAACGAAATACACAAAAACACAAAAATCCTTGCCCACGTGGGGCTTACATTCTAATAGGTGAAACATCGTGAACCAAATAAGTGAAAGTAAGTAAAATATATAGTAGGTTAGATAATGTTATGTCTACTATGTCAAAATATAGCACAAAGAAGGTAGAGAGGAAGAGCTGGGGTAGCAAGCATTCTGCATTTATAATTGGGTGGCCAGGAGAGTCTTACTGCAAAGATGATGTTTTGAGCAAAGACCTTGAAGGATATGGGGAGTGAAATATGCAGATACCTGGAGAAACAGTGTTCCAGACCAGAGGGAGAGCAAGTGAAAAGACCTCAACAACTCTCTGTAATATTTTCTTAGCTCTTAGGTTTCTCTCCTGAAGCCTAGCTCCTCATTAGACATCTTCAGGTGTTCCAAGGATGCCTGAAATGCGACAGGCCCTCAAAGGAACTGATCATTTACTTGCTTGACCTGCTATTCCCTGGTGGTCCTTGGCTTGGTCAATTGCATCATCATGCACTCATTACACAAGGCAGAAATCTAGGAGGCAGCCTCAATTCCTCCCTCTCCCTCTCCCCACTATCTAGTTAATTGCATGTTCTTAATGTAGTAATTTTATAATTTTATTTTACTTTAAATTTCACTCAATGCCTTCACCTATTAGGCCACCATAATCTCATTAACATTGGATGGAAAACATATTTAGAAATGTGTGTCAAAGTACTCCAAAATTTAAAGTGCTATTTCTCCATTGCAAAGAAGTGCTAGATAAGAATGTGGAAATTAATTCTTTGCCAGCATATATGTATGTGTATATATGAAGAACCACAGATTACCCTAAACCTTAAGCCACAAGGCTAGCAAGCAATTATTGAGCACTTCCTCTTATTTTATGTAATTGCACTTTTTCATAAAACCAATACCTTCACCAAGAGATGAAATAAATTTCTGGAGGCTATTCAAATAGTGAACATTAGGGCCTGGATTTGAACTTGGTGACACCCATGCACCAGCAATGTCCTCTGTGCCATGGTGCCCACATTGGCCAAGAGCCCAAGATTGGAATGAGGCATGATAATAGTCATCTGTGGCACAAAAGACAGCAGCAACAGAGTGTCCCTGAGAAGGCCCCTTAGCTCCTCCTTGTTTCCCATCCTGCTCCTCTACAAAAGGTTGATTTCAGTATCTCACATGTGCCTCAATTTCATATAAGATGAAAAATTACAAAACGGCAGCCAAGATGCCAAATAGCAAACACATTAAAAATGTTGATGCCCAAAGGATATGAAAAGCCACTTATCAAAAAAAGACATACAAGCACTAACAAACATATGAAACAATGCTCAACATCACTGATCATCAGAGAAATGCAAATCAAAACCACAATGAGATACCATCTCACACCAGTCAGAAAAGCCATTATTAAAAAGTCAAGAAACAACAGTTGCTGGTGAGGTTGCAGAGAAATAGGAACACTTTTACACTGTTGGTGGGAATGTAAATTAGTTCAACCATTGTGGAAGACAATATGGCAATTCCCCAAAGATTTAGAACCAGAAATATCATTTGACCCAGAAATCCCATTACTGGGTATATACCCAAAGAAATATAAATCATCTTATTATAAAGATACATGCACACATATGTTCATTGCAGCACTATTCACAATAGCAAAGATGTGGAATCAACCCAAATGCCCATCAATGATAGACTGGATAAAGAAACTGTGGTACATATACACCATAGAATACTACGCAGCTATAAAAAGGAAAAAGAGCATGTCCTCTGCATGGACACAGATGAAGCTGGAAGCCATCATCCTCAGCAAACTAACACAGAAACAGAAAACCAAACACCGCATGTTCTCACTTATAAGTGGGAGCTGAACACGAGAACACATGAATACAGGGAGCGGAACAACACACACTGGGGCCTGTTAGGGGTGGGGGTTTGGGGGAGAACATTAGGGAAAATAGCTAAGGCATGCTGGGCTTAATACCTAGGTGATGGGTTGATAGGTGCAGCAAACCACCATGGCACATTTTTATCTATGTAGCAAACCTGTACATCCTGCACATGTACCCTGGAATATAAAAAATAAAAATAAAGAAAAAAAAATGATGTCCAAAAACAATGAGAACAAAGGCCCAGCTGGCATCCTGGGGAAGAGGCACAGTGAATTCCTCTGGGGTGAAGTTATCCACAGCCATCAGTCATTCCTAACCAGAGGCTGAATTACAAAAGGGGACAAAGCACTATCACCTTCAGCAGCAGAAAGCATCTTTTCATCTTCCCTTACAACCTCCAGCGACATGAATGCCAGATTGAGTCCCATCTTAACTGGTTAGCAGATTTGTCAATATTGTGCCTCTAGTAGACTTGATCCTGTGAGGTCAAAGAAGCACTTCTGGGGCCAGGTGGGTAAGGGTGCAGCTTCTACAACAAGGGACACTAGAATGTAAGTAGCTTCCAACTCATTCTAAAAACCTGCCTTAGTTTTCTTGCTCTGTCCTTTTAGACCAAGCTTGTCTAACCCTCAGTCCCCAGGCCACATGTGGCCCAGGACAGCTTCGAATGCAGCCCAACACAAATTTATAAATTTTCTTCACACATTATGAGATTCTTTTTTTCTTCCCCATCAGCTATCACTAGTGTTAATGTATTTTATATGTGGCCCAAGACAATTCTTCTTTTTCCAATGTGGCCCAGGGAAGCCAAAAGATTGGACACCTCTGTTTTAGACTGTGCAGACCATTTTAGGGGGCCAGGTGAAAAGCAAGGCAAGAAGCTGAAAACAGCCAACTTAACAGGAAAAGGAAGGAACGAGGAGGAAGAGGCTCCATCAGCAGATAAATGTCCGGCATGAGTCAGGCTGTCTTGGGATCCTCAGCAGGTGCCATCCCAGGGTCAGGTCAACTGCTGTGCCCACCTGTCTCATCCCAGCATTCATCCGTATCCCCCACAGAACACAGACAGAAACTCTGCCTTGGTAGCCCAATGCAGCTCACATCGGGTGTCCTGATGAGACATTCCTGCAGGCTTGACATTAGCGTAGCCATTTAAGACATCTCTATTCATAAAACCAGTCTTGGCTTCCTGGCACGTTTTCTTCAGGCTTTATAAACAGCAAGTAAACATCAGAAGAAATGATTTGGGGCACCAAACATCCTACTGCAGGCTTATTTGTTTTTACCCTTGTCTCTTTGTAAACTGGAACCATGGTGTAAAAATCACAGCATTATCAAACATGCAGGAGAAAAGATTTTCAGCTCATCTACAACACAATCATTCCATCAGACTCTTAAATAAATCAGCTTCATTTTCAGTGCAATGTAAAACCCTCAGTAAGATGTAGAAAGCTTCAGAATAGGTTTGTGTGACACGTTAACTCCTATCATTCATTTCCCTAAATATTGTCATATTGATTCAAAAGTACAATAATCTCAGTAATTCTGGCCCTACTTGTTTAAAAATAATTTTGACAAACGTTAAGATTAAGTTAATCATTGTGTTTTCAATCTGAAAAAACACTTACTAAACTATTAATATTGTAAGAGTATAAGTAGAATGCTTGAAAGAACAAGCTGTTTCTTAAAGACACTTTACATACCAAAATGCATATATTAAGTTGATGTGCTATTTAGAAATAATTTTTATTTACACATCAAGTCAAATATACTTATTAGTGTAATTTAAATGACTATGCAAAGTTGGAAGGAATTAAAATGTTGCTTCTTTTTGAATCTTAAAATGGAGACAGGCTTTTTTTCCTAATTATGGTTAATTAGTGAGGTTTTATTGTAATAATAAATCACAAGGGGAGCTTCTAGTTTCATGGGTGGTTGATGCTGATTCTAATCAGGATTGCTGACCTAATGCTTGAGGAAAGATTGGCTGTTTCCGGAAGGATCCATTAATGGCTTAGGAAAACAGATGTGCCATTGAACAATACTAGTCACGCCAAGGACAGAGGGTCCCTTCTTCTTGTTCCGTCTTCTTAAATAAAACCAAGGACAAACACTGACCCAGGAATGCCGTATAAACAACCAAACAGCTTACAGCCAGTATCATCAAGCTCTGGAAGGTCCTGCTCAGCCAGCAGCCATCTCCAACAGAAGGGACCTGATTTCATCCCTCACCATGCTAAGATATCACCAGATCCAATACACGTACAAGAAACCTTAAACAGAAATGAGAAAGGAAAAGAAGGTCTTGGAAGCCACTCAACACTGGTTTAAATAGAAGAAGGATTTGAAGGATGTGGGGGCACTGCCCACAGGACACAGGCCGGAAGAACAGAAGGGCCACAGAAGGCCTGGATTCAGCCTTTTCATTTGTCTCTGTCTGTCTCATCTGTCTCTCTCTGTGTGTCTCTTTATTTCTCCCTGTAAGCCATCCTTCTCTGATTATGCACTGGGCCAGTCTTGGATGTGCCAGGATGTTGTGGTTTAAGGACCAACAACAACTCCCAGTGCCTCTCAGATCCAGTTCTAAATTTTCAGAAGAAACTGTTACACCAGTGTTTCAATTCAGTTGTGCGTGGCCTTGGGGATGCAAATTTTGCTACAGTGCCATGACTGTGAGTGATGGGGATGCAGACGTGTGCTTTGCCATCATCCCAAAAGTTATCACAACCATCATCAGGGGTGGCCCTCCCTTTTGCAAACAAACCATTTTCTGGGTACAGAAAATGTTGCATTATGGAATGGATAATGTCTTATGCAAGATCGACCATAGAGCTTTCACAGGAAGCATGTTTCAGAACTTCGAAGGAATGAGACTAATCAGATACCTTACTTGTATTTAAATTGGCTGATCATATTTCCTTTTTATGGCAATACAATACCATTAATGGGTGGATGGCATTATCCCATTTATTTTCTAAGGGAAATGGAGACTTTCATTCTGCTTATACAGAGACAGTGTACCAGGAGAGCGTGGACAGAAATTACCTAACCCTAACTCTGGTGCTCAGAACTGCCTCATGGCCCTATAATAGCTTCAAATGGCCCTCCATGGGGGCATAGGTGATCACTGTTCTCCCATTTCCCTGATGCTGAGCCTCTACTGTAAACCTCAGTTACACATCACAGAATATCTCTGCTTCTCTCTATTTCAGTGTTTGTTTTCTTTGCTCATTCATCTTTCATAGTTGTCTTTTCCCATAATCCCTGCACATTGTGGCTACTTGATGAATCCTTTTGTGAATCAATCCAGTAATGGAGGGTGAAGTGCGTTAACACAAGTCTCCTGTATCGTCAGGTTTGAAAGGTCCTGCTCTGCCAGCAGCCGTCTCCCACAGAAGGGACCTGATTTCATCCCTCGCCATGCTAAGACGTTACCAGATCCAACACACCCATGAGAAACCTTAAACGGAAATCAGACAGGAAAAGAAGGTCTTGGAAATCAGGGTGTTTTAACGAGGGATCCTTTGGTTGTAAGAACCACTTGCGCTGGTTTAAACAGAAGGAGGATTTGAAGGATGTGGGGGCATTGCCCATAGGACACAGGCAGGAAGAACAGACGGGCCACAGAAGGCCTGGATTCAGCCTTTTCATTTGTCTCTCTCTCTCTCATCTGTCTCTCTCTGTGTGTCTCTATTTTATTATTTTACTCTTGCATATCTCCATATGCAAGAAGAACCTGAAATGCCTCAGCACCAGATCACTGTCTCATGGAACAAGAATGCTGCCAAAAGAAATTTAGACATCAGCGCCCCTTCATTGTATAAGAGAAGACACAAGTTCAGAAAGATGAATGGTCACACAGCTGCTTGGAGAGAATGCCAAGATTAGGGCCCAAGTATTTGCCCACACATCAGCATTGCTGGTGAACGCACAATGGGATAATAATTCTCACTCAAGAGAAAAGTGTGCCGTGTAAAGCTAATGGATTTTATCTTTGCTGGGGAGAAATCCTGGAAAGCTGCCCATCTATGTTAGGGACATGAAGTGGAAACATGTCCTCCCCTCTCAGCTGCACGTTCTTTCTCCAGGTACCTGACTTCCCAAGGTCACCAGGGCACTGCTCCATCACGGCTTTACCCTCTGCACTTGCGGCCAGTCCTCCAAACCCCAAGGCCCAGTTCAAATCACTGGGTGAAATCCTTCCCTGAATAATGAGTCTTCTCTTAACCTCTATGGTACTTTACACCTGAATCTCCTTTAAAAAGTGTTTTTATTACTAGTTTTAAATGGTAGTTTTACAGACAACCTACAGAATGAGAGAAAATGTTTGCAATCTACCCATCTGACAGAGGTCTAATATCCAGCATCTTTAAGGAACTTTAATAAATTTACAAGAAAGAAACAACCCCATTAAAAAGTAGGCAAAGGACATGGACAGACATTTCTCAAAAGAAGACATTTATGCAGCCAACAACGATATGAAAAAAAAGCTCAACACCACTGATCATTAGAGAAATGCAAATCAAAAGCACAGTGCGATACCATCTCACACCAGTCAGAATGGCTATTATAAAGAAGTCAAAAAACAAGAGATGCTGGCCACATTGTGGAGAAAAAGGAACACATTTCCTGCTGTTGATGGGAATATCAATTATCAATTAGCTGAACCATTTTGGAAGATGGTATGGCAATTCTCCAAAGCCCTAAGAGGCAGAAATACTATTTGATCCAGCAATCCTGTTACCAGTTATACATCCAGAGGAATATGAATCATTGTATCACAAAGATACACACACGGGTGTGTTCACTGCAGCACTATTCATAATAGCAAAGACATGAAGTCAACCCAAATGCCCACCAATGGTAGACTGGATAAAGAAAATGTGGTATGTATACACCATAGAATACTATGGCACCATAAAAAGGAATGAGATCATGTCCTTTGCAGGGACATAGATGGAGCTGGAAGTCATTATCCTCAGCAAACTAACACAGGAACAAAAAGTAAAATACCATATGTTTTCACTTACAAGTGGGAGCTGAATGATGAGAACACACGGTAGGTAACAACACACACTGGGGCCTGTTTGAGGGTGGAGAGTGGGAGGAGGGAGAGCATCAGGAAGAATAGCTAATGTATGCAGGGCTTAGTAACTGGGTGATGGGATGATCTGTGCAGCTAATCACCATGGCACACCTTTACCTGGTAACAAACCTGCACATCCTGCACATGTAACCCTGAACTTAAAATAAAAATTGGAAATAGGCCAGGCACAGTGGCTCACACCTGTAATCTCAGCACTTTGGGAGGCTGAGGTCAGTGGATCACCTGAGGTCAGGGGTTCAAGACCAGCCTGACCAACACGGTAAAACCCTGTCTCTACTAAAAATACAAAAATTAGCCAGGCATGGTGGTGCATGCCTGTAATCCCTGCTACTTGGGAGGCTGAGGCAGGAGAACTGCTTGAACCTGGGAGCTGGCAGTTGCAGTGAGCCAAGATTGCACTGTCGCACACTAGCCTGGGCAATAGAATGAGGCTCCATCTCAAAAAAAAAAAAAAAAAGATGGAAATAAAAAATTAGCAGTTTAACTTCTTAGATCTGAAAGTATAACAGCATCTTTTTCTTTTAAAACAATCTCTGAACTCATAAGAATGTATGCATCTGTACCTGTTTTTCTAGAATTCTCTTAGCATAAAAAAGAGAACAGCCTTTTATTTTTATTTTATTGGTTAGGACAGAGCAGAGCATGGACTTTGGAGACAGAGAATCCTGACTGTGGGTTGCAACTCTGGCATTTTTGAGACCCTGAGGTAAGGCACTCATCTTTTCCAAGCTGTGGTTTCCTCATCATAAATGGAGTTGCTGTGCAATTGAAAGAGAGAATCTGTGCACATGGAAGTGGATGTGATTTCTGGAATCATAGAGAGGCAGGAGCAGGGCATCTTCCTGCTCTCAGACTCTACATGCCAGAAACAAAAGGATTAGATAGCTATGCTCCAGAGAGTGGCACAGACCACGAATGCCAAGGATAAATGTCTTTTCTTCATGGCCACAATGCAAAGATGTCTGCTTATATCCCAAAAAAGCCACACTGCCAGGCTATGGGGCCCTGCGCCTCTCTCCACTCTGTATAATATCAGTAAGTTCTCCAAGCACTAGATACTGAGCGTTCAGTATTAAACATGGCATAAACGCTGTGTATCAATCTTTAGAATAGCCAGCAGGAAAATAACCCCATGGCCTGGTGTGACTCATGAGTTGGCCATGCCAGCTTGGGAGTGACCGAAGGCAGCCCAATATCTGCCTTGGGTCTCAATGAAACCAATACACAGATTAGGTCCCACAGGTTGTTCATCAGGCCCTCAGAGGCCCTACTCCCCCCAAGTGATTCCTCTTGCAAAATGGCTCCAGATGCCTGGAATCACAGAAAAATTCTCAGGCTTCTGTTACAGTTTAGGCTATCTTCAGTAATGACCTCTCAGAATTTGAAAAAAAAAATTAAGGTTCATTGATAAGCACAATAAAAATAGATTAAGGCTGGGAGTCGTGGCTCATGCCTGTAATCCTAGCACTTTGGGAGGCCGAGGCAGGTGGATTACTTGAGGTCAGGAGTTCAAGACCAGCCTGACCAACATGGTGAAACCCAATCTCTACTAAAAATACAAAAATTAGCCAGGCATGGTGGCAGGCGCCTGTAATCCCAGCTACTTGGGAGGTTGAGGCAGGAGAATCGCTTGAAGCCAGGAGGCAGAGGTAGCAGTGAGCTGAGATCCCGCCATTGCACTCCAGCCTGGGCAACAGAGCAAGACTCCATCTCAAAAAAAAAAAAAAAGATAAAATGCTTTTAGATTTGGAGACAGAACTAGCATTTTCAGGTTACTTGGGAAGCCATGGAAGGGACGATATAAACATAAAATGATCAGATTGAGGACCTAAATTGCTCAGTAAACATAGATAACATATCAGTCACTGAAATGAATCACTGCTACAGCAATTAAGGAAAGGAAAAAGAAAACTGGAAAGAATAAACTCAAAATATGTAGTAAAAACAGTTATGATGGTGCCACTGCACTCCAGCCTGAGAGACAGAAAACCCAGAAATAGCTCTTAAAGAGTTGTAAAATTCATTCATACAAGGCATAGAAAACCAATTATAATTTGGAATGATACGTCTTTCAGGATGGTTTCTGTTTTTGCAGGGAGGACTGCCTTCATTTAGGGAATGAAGTGCCCATTTTGGAATTTGAGGCTGTAGTGAGCATGTGAGGAAGGGGTGTGTGTGTGTGTGTGTGTGTGTGTGTGTGTGTGTGTGTGTGTGTATTTAGGGGGAACAGAAGGACTTTCTCAGCTTTCTTGATCCTGCAAGAGGTTTTATCATGTAGAGCATAGAGGAAGGTATGGAGGGTGCTAGGTATTACATGAGATGAAATAAGAATCCCAGGCTGGGCATGGTGACTCATGTCTGTAATCTCAGCACTTTTGGAGACCAAGGCAGGCGGATTGCCTGAGCTCAGGAGTTCAAGGCCAATCTGGACAACATGGCAAAACCCCATCTTTACAAGAAATACAAAAATTAGCCAAGCATGTTGATGCAACCTGTAGTGTCAGCTACTTAGGGGGCTGAGGTGGGGGATCACTTGATCCCGGGAGGTAAAGGCTGCACTGAGTGTGCAGGCCACTGCACTCAAATCTGGGTGACAAAGCAAGACTCTATCTCAAAAAAAAAAAAAAAAAAGAAGAAGAAGAAGAGGAAGAGGAAGAAGAAGAAGAAGAAGAATTCCAGAATATAAGAACAGAAAGCAAAAAAAGAAACAAGACATTGAACCTCAAGGAAATATCATATGACCTGCCTCTCCTTTCTCTGCCCTTTTATGTTTGGTTTCTTTGACATTTTTTATGTAACAAAAAACAGTTTGTTACTGACACATTCTTAAGGAGAACCATATGAAGAGAAGGGAAAGAATCAGAGAGGAAGGGGGTAATAGAGGTTAATATGGACAGAAAATGAAAATGTCTGCAACACCAAAAGCACGTTTTAAAGTTAGGTGTTTTTTTTTGTTGTTGGTTTTTGTTGTTGTTGTTGTTTGAGACAGAGTCTTACTCACTCTGTTTCCCAGGCTGGAGTGCAGTGACACGATCTCAGCTCACTGCAACATTCACCTCCCGGGTTCAAGCAATTCTCCTGCCTCAGCCTCCTGAGTAACTGGGATTACAGGCATGTGCCACAACACCTGGCTAATATTTGTATTTTTAGTAGAGATGGTGTTTCACCATGTTGGTCAAGTCAAGCTGGTCTCAAACTCCTGACTTCAGGTGATCCACCTGCCTGGGCCTCCCAAAGTGCTGGGGTTACAGGCATGAGCCACCATGCCTGGCCTAATTTTTTTTTTAAGCACCTTCTTTATAGAGACAGTCCAATTATTTTCTGTTATCCTGGAATTTTGCTGCATTTTGTTCTACTGCAGTACACAATGTATCCCCAGATCGGAGAGTTGAAAGAAGCAGTGAAATCCACCCAATTATGCTCCCCACCTACTACAGAAACCCTGTTTTAACCTCCACTTCCCTGTGTCCTCCCACTGGGAACCTACCTACTTCCTAGGGCAGTGTCTGTGTGCTGTGGCACTCTAGTCATTCATTTGGTCTCCTGTATACTAAGCTTGAAGTTCCCTCCATGAAGTTCCCCCAGTTGGTCTCAGCTCTGCTCTGGAAGTTCAGAGGAGTCAAAGCCTCCACACAGCACATTCCTATTGGAATAGACTTCATCTCTCCATTCCATCCTTCTAGCCAATTCCTGTATCATAAGTTGCTCCAGTGCATCGCTGTCTCTTCCAACATGTAGCAGCTAGAGTAAGACCATCTCAAATGCCAAGTGCTAGACCTAAGCCCTCGACATGTTTTCTGGATGATTTTATCCTTATGCAAAGCTCAAATAAGCTGATAACTTCCAAATTTACATATGCAGCCAAGAACCCTTGCACTTCAGCTCCATCTATATCCAGCTGGTTCCGGGACATCTATGTGAGTGTTCTTCAGATTCCTCAAGCTCAATATGCCCTTGACTATTTCTAGTGCCTTCCTCCAAATAGGCACCTCCTCTTCCACAGCTCTGTGAACGGCTCGCTACTCACATGCCTGCCCCAGCCGCCCAGGAAATCTAGACCCCTTCTCCTTGTTCACCTCCCACAACCCACTGTTTTCTAAAGACGTCAGCTCTGCTTCCTTCTTGTTTCTCTTCTTCTGCCCCAGCGCTCGCTCCCGAATTCAGGCCTGAGCTGAGTATATAAATTGAGTATGCTTGGTTCTGCTTTGTCAATGGCTGCTAATATGTTTGAAAAGCTAGTGCTTCTTTCTTTCTTTCTTTCTTTTTTTTTTTTTTCAAGACAGAGTCTCATTCTGTTTCCCAGGCTGGAGTGCAGTGGCGTGATCTTGGGCTCACTACAGCCTTGACATCCCAGGCTCAAGTGATGCTCCCACTGCAGCCTCCTGAGTAGCTGGGATTACAGGCATGCACCATGATGCCCAGTTAAATTTTGTATTTCTGTAGAGATGGGGTTTCACCAGGTTGCCCAGGCTGCAGTCCTTCTTTCTGACAGGCTTTATTAGGGACACCTCCTCTCTGCCTGTATTCTTCATCTCCACCCCCAATCTTTCAAACTGCTTCCAGAGTTACCTTGATAGTGTAAATTTAATCATGTCATTCCCTTTTCTCAACATTCTTCAAAGGTTTGCTAGAGTATCAGTGTTCTAAGCATAGCCTAGGCATCTGTGGTGGTGGCTGCCCAAGAATGGCCCTTATCATTTGAGCTTTGAAGGACTTAGTGATCCTTGAACCTACTTGACCGCATTTGTTAGGCAACACACACTGCCCCTCCATGGATCCCACAAATGTAACAGATTATTGAGAACCTGGGTATAAACATCTAAACAATAGCCTGAAAATAATCATGCTTATTATTATTTATGTTTACCTAATACATGCAGGACAAACTTATTTATTTCTTCTTCTCTAATTTTTTGACCAATCTTAAATGTAGCATATCCACATTAAGTTACTGCTTCTCTAGTTATCTGTCCTCTGGAACTTGGCTTTTATTATTAAAATAGAATAGATGGGTGTGGTGGTTCATGCTTATAACTCTAGCACTTTTAGGAGGCTGAGGTGGGAGCATTGCTTGAGGCTAGGAGTTTGGGGCTAGCCTGGGCAACATAGTGAGACCCCCATCTCTACAAAAAATAAAAATAATTAGCTGGGTGTGGTGGTATGTGCCTTTAGTCCTAACTCCTTGGGTGGCTGAGGCAGGAGAATTGCTTGAGCCCAGGAGTACAAGGCTGCAATAAGCTATGGTCACACCACTGTACTCCAGCCTGGGCAATGGAGTAGAACCTCATCTCTAAAAAAATAAGTGAAATAGAGTAATATTTTCCTATTTTGTTTTTCTGTAACAGTCATAAAAAATAAAGCTGGGGAAGTACTTCCTAACCAGGATTCTGTACACTAAGTTAAAAGATGGTGAAATAATAAGAAAAATAATATTCTATTATTTTTGTTATTTTCTAAATAAATATTTTTCACCTCTCTACTATCTGTCCCTCTGTGTTATAGTTCCCCATTTTATCTTCAACACTCACTTTATTTTTCTTCTACTTTCTAATGATGGGCAATAATGCCTCTTCAGGGTCATTGCTGCAGTCACAGTTCATGTTTCTCTCATCTGGTAACTGATGGCATTTAGTTAAGCATTCAACACAGTGCAAATATAATCTTCATCTGAGTGAATCCATACTAGGCTGGACTTAACCGTTCACTCACCATTTGGCAACATAGATCACTGAAGCAGAAATGTGACTTCCCAAATCATGTACTTCAAAATGAGAAATCATTAAACATAGTATCCATTTAATCAGATATTAAGTTGTAAAGAAAGAGTTCTTTTTTTTTTAAATTAACCCTATTCTCTTCTTTTTCTGATTTCAATAAGCAATTAAGGCTGATACCTGGAGAAATGCTGAGATTACTTAAGAACAAATGGAAAGAGGAAAGCTAACATTAGGATATCCAATGTGAAGTGCATTAACTTCAGCTGGATAAAGTCGTAAATATATAAATGACCCACTAAGTATAATTGTACTTTTCAAACCATATTTTTTCCCAATGAAGTTTTCACAAACAAACAAAACTCGCAATGTTTTGTTCACTTCTAAAGTACTGATAGAGAAGAGGATTACATAATTATCTGCACAGTTTTTAGAATTTCTAGCTGTTTAGCTGGATAATTCAAAAAGAAGCAAGCTTCATATTATCTTCAGTAATTGGGAATTATCAATTAAGGGAAGTTCTTATTCTCTTGATGATGCCACAATGTTCCCTTCAATTGGTCTCATTAGGTATGCTCACAGATAGAGTGATTTGTTTAGTAGATATACTATCTACTTTTGTGAATATTCAAAAAATGATAATTGTAGAAATACCCTTAAAAATATTAACAAGGGTACAAAGTCACCCAACCAACTTGAATACTCATTGCATCCCACAGAGACAAGCTTTTAGTGATCCATATACATGTTCTGAATATAAAACAATGATCATCTAGAATTCTATTTTCTACTGTCCATTTGCATAGTGTTCTCTAAATAGTTTTTCCCCTTTTCGCAACCTTTCCTTTGACTGATAATGTGCAAATGAAAGTGAGTTGAAAACACTTTTAGCAAAAACTGAACAAATTACCACTAATATTTCTTCCTTCTCCCCCTCACAGTGGGAAAATAGGTTACAACTATCAGATTTGACCCTGAGACTTTTAACTTTTGGGTTTCTTCAAGAAGCAAGATATGGTTATAAAACACACTTCTCTCAAATGTATTTGGCTTAATTATAATAGAGTTGGAAACTGATTATATATTAATGAATTATCCAAAGATTAAAATTGATTATTTGTATTACTTGTATTATTTGTATTACTATTGTATACCAATCTATTACCTGCTGTTTGATGATAAACCTACGTATAGACATAAAATTAAATCATTAGTTCTTACTATTTTATGTCTAAGTGTAGGGTTTTATTGTTTTATTCATTTTTTTCAATGTATTTTGTTTGGGAATTGATGGAGTTCTTGGCTTTGGATATTAATATCTCTTTTTTTTTTATCAATTCTGATATAGTCTCAGCCATTATCTTTCAAATAATGCCTCTTTCTTGGTTTCTGTATGGTCTCCTTCTGGCCATCTAGTTAGACCTCTGTTGGACCTCTCACTCTATTGCTTATTTCCTTTAACCCCTCTTTTATACTTCTGATCACTTTGTCTCTAAATGCTACATTATAAGAAATTTCACTGGGAGGCCAAGGTGGAAGGATCGCTAGAGGCCAGGAGTTTGAGACAAGTCTGGGCAACACAGTGAGACACTATCTCTACAAAAAAATTAAAACTTAGCCATTTGTGGTGGTGTGTACCTGTAGTCCTAGCTACTCAGGAGGCTGAAGCAGGAGGATTTCTTGAGCCCAGGAGTTCAAAGCTGTAGTGAGCTATGATTGCACCACTGCACTCCAGCCTGGGAAACAGAATGAGACTCTGTCTTGCAAAAAGAGAAAAGAAAAAAATGGAAAGAAAGAAAAATTTAAAAGTTTATCTTGGAGTAATATCAGTAAGATGACAGTATAGGAAGCAATGGACTTTTCTTAGCTTCATGGATACATTGATTCAACAGCAATAAATGAATTAATTCCCTTTGTAAAATTCCAGGAACTAGTTTAGAGGCTCCTGCACCCTTTGGAAGTGTAAAACCAGCCAAATTAAAACTGGTGGGAAAATTGGAGGCAAACCTCTTCTATAACCCCTACCCCCAGCACAGCACTATCTGATTGAGAGATGTCTCCTAGCTCCCAGTTTCTTCAGGAGGAGGGGCAGATTTGAACCACACATCCAATATTTCAACTTTTCTGGGTGCTGCCCAAAGGAAAAGCTTCTATTCCACTTGTCTCAGAGTGCTGATGGGACCTGCCTTATGCCAGACACCTGGGGCTACAGAGAACAAAGGTGGCAGTTTGAATCAGCAAGCAGGCACTCATTACAACTCCTCTGCCTGGTCCAGCATAGAGTAAGCAGATAAAACAAAAACGAAAACCCACTTCTCAGCTTTTCCCTGGAGAGAAAAGAGTTGAACCACATGTCGAACATTACAACCTCTACGGTGCTACCTAAAGGACTGGCTTTTGTCTCACCTGTACTGCAGTACTGTTGGGGTCCAGCAAATGCTCAGCCTTTGATGACTCCAGAGAAAAAAGGCAGTGGTTTGAACTAGCCCATGAACACTTGCCGTAGCTCTGCCCCCTGGCTCAATGCAGAGCAGGTGGGTAAAAAGTCAGCTCCTAGTTTTTCCCTGTGGAGGGAAGCAGTTGGATTGTGTGTCAAATGTTCCAACTTTTCTGAGGGTTGCCTAAGGAACTGGCTTCTGTCTCATTTGTCTCAGAATGCTGATGGGACCTAGATAATTCTACATGCCTGAGGGCTACTGAGAACAAAGGAGATGGTTGAAACTAGTATGCACAAACTTCCCATAGCTCCTTCTCCTAGCACAGCACAGAATCTGCAGAAAAAATTCCAGCTCCCAGCTCCCTGAGGAAGGAAAGAGTTGGGTGCATAGTCAACTTCTGACCTCTCTGGGTGCTGAGGGACTGTCTTATCTGTCACCTGTCTTAAAACACTAATGAGATCTGATATACTCTGGACACCTGTGGGCCACTAAAAACAAAGATGGCAGTTTGGAGTAGCACAAAGATTTGAGAGGCCAACAGAGGTTTTAGCTGGGTTGATGTCATGCTAGGATCTTCTTCTGTAGCAGTCTTGTCCATGAAGACTGGGCAAAGTGGTAGTTTTTTCTACTTTATAGATATCAACAGAGTCAAGGAAAATGAAGAAACAGAAACATGATTCAAACTAAGAAACAAGATAAAATTCGAGAAACCAATCCTAATGAAACAGAGATATATGAATTATCTGACAGATAATTCAAAATAACTGTCACCAAAATGCTCAGTGAGCTCAGTAGAACAGTACATAAACAAAGTGAGAATTTAAGTAAAGATATAAAAAATTAAGGAAAAAACCAAACAGAAATCTTGGAGCTGAAGAATACAATAACTGAGGGTGTGGAGCTAAGATGGCTGAATAGAAACAGCTCCAGTCTACAGCTCCCAGTGTGAGCGACGCAGAAGACGGGTGATTTCTGCATTTCCAACAGAGGTACTGGGTTCATCTCACAGGGGAGTGCCGGACAGTGGGTGCAGGACAGTGGGTGCAGTGCACCATGCATGAGCGGAAGCAAGGCGAGGCATCGCCTCACCCGGGAAGCACAAGGGGTCAGGGAATTCCCTTTCCTAGTCAAAGAAAGGGGTGACAGACGGAAACTGGAAAATTGGGTTACTCCCACCCTAATACTGCACTTTTCCAACAGGCTTCACAAACGGCACACCAGGAGATTATATCCTGCACAAGGCTCTGAGGGTCCTACACCCATGGAGCCTCGCTCATTGCTAGCACAGCAGTCTGAGATCAAACTGTAAGGCAGCAGTGAGGCTGGGGGAGGGGCACCCGCCATTGCTCAGGCTTGAGTAGGTAAACAAAGTGGCCAGGAAGCTCGAACTGGGTGGAGCCCACCACAGCTCAAGGAGGCCTGCCTGCCTCTGTAGGCTCCACCTCTGGGGGCAGGGCACAGACAAACAAAAGACAGCAATAACCTCTGCAGACTTAAATGTCCCTGTCTGACAGCTTTGAAGAGAGTAGTGGTTCTCCCAGCATGCAGCTTGAGATCTGAGAACGGACAGACTGCCTCCTCAAGTGGGTCCCTGACCCCCGAGTAGCCTAACTGGGAGGCATCCCCCAGTAGGGGCGGACTGACACCTCCCATGGCCGGGTACTCCTCTGAGACAAAACTTCCAGAGGAGCGATCAGGCAGCAGCATTTGCGGTTCACCAATATCCGCTGTTCTGCAGCCACCGCTGCTGATACCCAGGCAAACAGGGTCTGGAGTGGACCTCCAGTAAACTCCAACAGACCTGCAGCTGAGGGTCCTGTCTGTTAGAAAGAAAACTAACAAACAGAAAGGACATCCATACCAAAAACCCATCAGTACGTCACCATCATCAAAGACAAAAGGTAGATAAAATCACAAAGATGGGGAAAAAACAGAGCAGAAAAACGGGAAACACTAAAAATCAGAGTGCCTCTCCTCCTCCAAAGGAACGCAGCTCCTCACCAGCAACGGAACAAAGCTGGACGGGGAATGACTTTGACGAGTTGAGAGAGGAAGGCTTCAGAAGATCAAACTACTCCAAGCTAAAGAAGGAAGTTCAAACCAATGGCAAAGAAGTTAAAAACTTTGAAAAAAAATTAGATCAATGGATAACTAGAATAGTCAATGCAGAGAAGTCCTTAAAGGACCTGATGGAGCTGAAAACCATGGCATGAGAACTACGTGACGAATGCACAAGCCTCAGTAACTGATGCAATCAACTGGAAGAAAGGGTATCAGTGATGGAAGACAAAATGAATGAAATGAAGTGTGAAGAGAAGTTTAGAGAAAAAAGAATAAAAAGAAATGAACAAAGCCTCCAAGAAATATGGGACTATGTGGAAAGACGAAATCTACGTCTAATTGGTGTACCTGAAATTGACGGGGAGAATGGAACCAAGTTGGAAAACACTCTGCAGGATATTATCCAGGAGAACTTCCCCAATCTAGCAAGGCAGACCAACATTCAAATTCAAGAAATACACAGAATGCCACAAAGATACTCCTCGAGAAGAGCAACTCCAAGACACATAATTGTCAGATTCACCAAAACTGAAATGAAGGAAAAAATGTTAAGGGCAGCCAGAGAGGAAGGTCAGGTCACCCACAAAGGGAAACCCATCAGACTAACAGATAATCTCTCGGCAGAAACTCTACAAGCCAGAAGGGAGTGGGGGCCAATATTCAACATTATTAAAGAAAAGAATTTTCAACCCAGAATTTCATATCCAGCCAAACTAAGCTTCATAAGTGCAGGAGATATAAAATACTTTACAGACAAGCAAATGCTGAGAGATTTTGTCACCACCAGGCCTGCCCTAAAAGAGCTCCTGAAGGAAGCACTAAACATGGAAAGGAACAACTGGTACCAGCCACTGCAAAAACAGGCCAAATTGTAAAGACCGTCAAGGCTAGGAAGAAACTGCATCAACTAATGAGCAAAATAACCAGCTAACATCATAATGACAGGATCAAATTCACACATAACAATACTAACCTTAAATGTAAATGGGCTAAATGCTCCAATTAAAAGGCACAGACTGGCAAATTGGATAAAGAGTCAAGACTCATCAGTGTGCTGTATTCAGGAAAACCATCTCATGTGCAGAGACACACATAGGCTCAAAATAAAGGGAGGGAGGAAGATCTACCAAGCAAATGGAAAACAAAAAAAGGCAGGGGTTACAATCCTAGTCTCTGATAAAACAGACTTTAAACTAACAAAGATCAAAAGAGACAAAGAAGGCCATTACATAATGTTAAAGGGATCAATTCAACAAGAAGAGCTAACTATCCTAAATATATATGCACCCAATACAGGAGCACTCAGATTCATAAAGCAAGTCCTTAGTGACCTACAAAGAGACTTAGACTCCCACACAATAATAATGGGAGACTTTAACACCCTACTGTCAACATGAGACAGATCAATGAGACAGAAAGTTAACAAGGGTATCCAGGAATTGAACTCAGCTCTGCACCAGTCAGACCTAATAGACATCTACAGAACTCTCCACCCCACATCAACAGAATATACATTCTTGTCAGCACCACACCACACCTATTCCAAAATTGACCACATAGTTGGAAGTAAAGCACTCCTCAGTAAATGTAAAAGACAGAAATTATAACAAACTGTCTCTCAGACCACAGTGCAATCAAACTAGAACTCAGGAGTAAGAAACTCACTCAAAACCGCTCAACTACATGGAAACTGAACAACCTGCTCCTGAATGACTACTGGGTAAATAACGAAATGAAGGCAGAAATAAAGATGTTCTTTGAAACCAACGAGAACAAAGACACAACATACCAGAATCTCTGGGACACATTCAAAGCAGTGTGTAGAGGGAAATTTATAGCACTAAATGCCCACAAGAGAAAGCAGGAAAGATCTAAAATTGACACCCTAACGTCACAATTAAAAGAACTAGAGAAGCAAGAGCAAACACATTCAAAAGCTAGCAGAAGGCAAGAAATAACTAAGATCAGAGCGGAACTGAAGGAAATAGAGACACAAAAAACCCTTCAAAAAAATCAATGAATCCAGGAGCTGGTTTTTTGAAAGGATCAACAAAATTGATAGACCGCTAGCCAGACTAATAAAGAAGAAAAGAGAGAAGAATCAAATAGACGCAATAAAAAATGACAAAGGTGATATCACCACCGATCCCACAGAAATACAAACTACCATCAGAGAATACTATAAACACCTCTATGCAAATAAACTAGAAAATCTAGAAGAAATGGATAAATTCCTCGACACATACAGTCTCCCAAGACTAAATCAGGAAGAAGTTGAATCTCTGAATAGACCAATAACAGGCTCTGAAATTGGGGCAATAATTAAGAGCTTACTAACCAAAAACAGTCCAGGACCAGATGGATTCACAGCCAAATTCTACCAGAGGTACAAGGAGGAGCTGGTACCATTCCTTCTGAAACTATTCCAATCAATAGAAAAAGAGGGAATCTTCCCTAACTCATTTTATGAGGCCAGCATCATCCTGATACCAAAGCCAGGCAGAGACACAACAAAAAAAGAGAGTTTTAGACCAATATCCTTGATGAACATTGATGCAAAAATCCTCAATAAAATACTGGCAAACCGAATCCAGCAACACATCAAAAAGCTTATCCACCATGATCAAGTGGGCTTCATTCCTGGGATGCAAGGCTGGTTCAACATATGCAAATCAATAAACGTAATCCAGCATATAAACAGAACCAAAGACAAAATCCACATGATTATCTCAACAGATGCAGAAGAGGCCTTTGAAAAAATTCAACAACCCTCATGCCCAAAACTCTCAATAAATTAGGTATTGATGGGATGTATCTCAAAATAATAAGAGCTATCTATGACAAACCCACAGCCAATATCATACTGAATGGAGAAAAACTAGAAGCACTCCCTTTGAAAACTGGCACAAGACAGGGATGCCCTCTCTCACCACTCCTATTCAACATAGTGTTGGAAGTTCTGGCCAGGGCAATCAGGCAGGAGAAGGGAATAAAGGGCATTCAATTAGGAAAAGAGGAAGTCAAATTCTCCCTGTTTGCAGATGACATGATTGTGTATCTAGAAAACCCCATCGTCTCAGCCCTAAATCTCCTTAAGCTGATAAGCAACTTCAGAAAAGTCTCAGGATACAAAATCAATGTGCAAAAATCACAAGCATTCTTATACACCAATAACAGACAAACAGAGAGCCAAATCATGAGTGAACTCCCATTCACAATTGCTTCAAAGGGAATAGAATACCTAGGAATCCAACTTACAAGGGATGTGAAGGACTTCTTCAAGGAGAACTACAAACCACTGCTCAATGAAATAAAAGAGGATACAAACCAATGGAAGAACATTCCATGTTCATAGGTAGGAAGAATCAATATCATGAAAATGGCCATACTACCCAAGGTAATTTATAGATTCAGTGCCATCCCCATCAAGCTACCAATGACTTTCTTCACAGAATTGGAAAAAAACTACTTTAAAGTTCATATGGAACCAAAAAAGAGCCCACATTGCCAAGTCAATCCTAAGCCAAAAGAACAAAGCTGGAGGCATCACGCTACCTAACTTCAAACTATACTACAAGGCTACAGTAACCAAAACAGCATGGTACTGGTACCAAAACAGGGATATAGACCGATGGAACAGAACAGAGCCCTCAGAAATAATACCACACATCTACAACTATCTGATCTTTGACAAACCTGACAAAAAGAAGAAATGGGGAAAGGATTCCCTATTTAATAAATGGTGTTGGGAAAACTGGCTAGCCATATGCAGAAAACTGAAACTGGATCCCTTCCTTACACCTTATACAAAAATTAATTCAACATGGATTAAAAACTTACATGTTAGACCTAAAACCATAAAAACCCTAGAAGAAAACCTAGGCAATACCATTCAGGACATAGGCATGGGGAAGGACTTCATGTCTAAAACACCAAAAGCAATGGCAACAAAAGCCAAAATTGACAAATGGGATCTAATTAAACTAAAGAGCTTCTGCACAGCAAAAGAAACCACCATCAGAGTGAACAGGCAACCTACAGAATGGGAGAAAATTTTTGCAACCTACTCATCTGACAAAGGGCTAATATCCAGAATCTACAGTGAACTCAAACAAACTTACAAGAAAAAAAAAACAACCCCATCGAAAAGTGGGCGAAGGATATGAACAGACACTTCTCAAAAGAAGATATTTATGCAGCCAAAAAAACACATGAAAAAATGCTCATCATCACTGGCCATCACAGAAATGCCAATCAAAACCACAATGAGATACCATCTCACACCAATTAGAATGGTGATCATTAAAAAGTCAGGAAACAACAGGTGCTGGAGAGGATGTGGAGAAATAGGAACACTTTTACATTGTTGGTGGGACTGTAAACTAGTTCAACCATTGTGGAAGTCAGTGTGGCGATTCCTCAGGGATCTAGAACTAGAAATACCATTTGACCCAGCCATCCCATTACTGGGTATATACCCAAAGGCTTATAAATCATGCTGCTATAAAGACACATGCACACGTATGTTTATTACGGCACTATTCACAATAGCAAAGACTTGGAACCAACCCAAATGTCCAACAATGATAGACTGGATTAAGAAAATGTGGCACATATACACCATGGAATACTATGCAGCCATAAAAAATGATGAATTCATGTCCTTTGTAGGGACATGGATGAAGCTGGAAACCATCATTCTGAGCAAACTATCTCAAGGACCAAAAACCAAACACTGCATGTTCTCACTCATAGGTGGGAGTTGAACAATGAGAACACATGGACACAGGAAGGGGAACATCACACACTGGGGATGGTTGTGGGGTGGGGGGAGGGGGGAGGGATAGCATTAGGAGATATACCTAATGCTAAATGACGAGTTAATGGGTGCAGCACACCAACATGGCACATGTATACATATGTAACAAACCTGCACCTTGTGCACATGTACCCTAAAGCTTAAAGTATAATAATAATAAAAAAAGAATACATTAACTAAACTAAAAAATTCATTAGGTTGGTGTTTGACAGCAGATAAGAGCAAGCAGAAGAATCAGTAAAGTCAAAGCCAAGTCATCTGAAATTATCCAGTCAAGTACACACTATGAGCATCATGGAGGTTCCAGATAAAGATGAAGGAGAAAGAATCGGAAAGCTTATTCAAATGAATAATGGTTGAAAGATTCTCAAATGTGAGGAAGTAAATGACATCCAGATCCAGGAAATCCAGAGGACTCTCAATAAGATAAACCCAAATAAATATACACAAAGGCACGTTATAATCAAATGGTCAAAAGTCAGAGAAAAAGAATTTTGAAAGCAGGAAGAGAAAAGAAACTTGTCACATACAAGGGAGCTTTGAGAAGATTTTCAATGGGTTTTTCAGCAGAATACTTGCAATTCAGAAGGGAGTGGGATGATATATTCAAAGTGCTAAAAGAAAAAATGCTGCCAACTAAGAAGATTATGCTGGTCAAAACTGTTCTTCAAAAATGTAGAAGAGATAAAGACTTTTCAGGACATACAGAGCTGAGAGTTTATCACCGCTTACCTGCCTTACAAGAAATACTAAAGAGTTCTCCAACTTATAACAAAGGACACTAAACAGTAACACATTATCATAAGAAAGTAGAAAAATCACTGGTAAAGGTAAATATATAGTCAAATAGAGAATACTGTTATTACTGTAACATTAGTGGTTAAATCATTGTATTTGAAGCATAAAAGTTAAAATACAACACTATTAAATTTACTATAACTGAAAATATGTTAATGGATATACAATATAAATAGATAAAAATTGTGACATCCATAACATAAATTGTGAGGGGAGAAGAAGTAAAAGTGTAGAGGTCTTATGTGTGATTGAAGTAAGGTTGCTATCAGCTTAAAACAGACTGTTACAATGTTAAATATTTTATGTAAACCTCATGGTAACCACAAAGAAAATACCTACAGAAGAAAAATACACACAAGAAAAATAGAATGGAATCAAAACATATTAATTTTTTAAAAATCAACAAAACACAAGAAAGACAGTAAGAGAGGAAAAGAGGGACAAATGAACCATAAGACATACAGAAAATGATTGTCAAAATGGCAATAGTAATAGAACAACCAGACAGAAAATCTACAAAGATACAGTGAATTTGAGCAACCTTTTACAACAAATGAACCAAATACTTATACAGAACAATAGCAGCAGAATACACATTCTTCTCTAGTACAAATAAAATATTCTTCAGGAGAGACCACATGTTAGGTCACAAAACAAAGGTCAGTATATTTGTTTTTTTTAAACAGGGTTTCACTCTCTCACCGAAGCTGTGACAAGGCTGTGACATCCTTGTGACACCAAAGATGTGGAGTGCCATCATAGCTCACTATAAACTGGAACTCTGGGGCTCAAATAATCCTCCTGCCTCAGCCTCCCAAGTATCTAGGACTACAGGCTTGTGTCACCACGCACATCTCATAAAAAAATTTTTTTGTAGAAACAGAGTCTTGCTATGTTGCCTAGGCTAGTATTGAACTACTGGCCTCATGTAATCCTTCCACCTTGGCCTCCTAAAGCAGTAGGACTGCAGGTATGATCCACTGTGTTTGGCCAAGTCTTAGTAAATTTAGGAAGACTGTCTTTTCCAACCATAATGAAATGAAACTAGAAATCCATAGCAGAAGAAAAATTTGAAAATTCACAAATATGTAGAAATTAAACTACATGCTTTTGAACAACCAGTGAGTAAAAGAAAAAACCAGAAGGGAAATCAGAAAATATCTTGCAACCAACAAAAATGAAAATACAATACACCAAAACTATGGAATGCAGCAAAAACAGTGCTAAGAGAGAAATTTATAGGGATAAATGCCTACATTAAGAAGAAACTAAGTCTAAAAGTTGGCAGAAAGAAGGAAATAAAGATTAGAACAGAAATAAATAGAATAGAGAATAGCAAAACAATAGGAAAAAAAATCAATGAGATTAAGAATTAGTTTTCGAAGCAAAAGACAAAATTGACACACCTTTAGCTAGACTAAGAAAAAAAAGAGAAGACTCAAAGACAATCAGAAATAAAAAAGGAGTCATTACTTACACCTGCTGCCACAGGAAAAAAGGATCATAAGGGACTACTATGAATAGATTGTAAGAGACTACTGTATGCCAACAAATTGGATAACCTAGATGAAATGGATACATTCCTAGAAACATACAGCTTACCAAGACTGGGTGATGAAGAAATAGAAAACTCGCATAGAGGCCAGGCGCAGTGGCTCACGCCTGTAATCCCAACACTTTGGGAGGCCGAGGTGGGCGGATCGTGAGGTCAGGAGATCGAGACCATGGTGAAACCCCATCTCTACTAAAAATACAAAAAATAACCTGGGTGCAGTGGCGGGTGCCTGTAGTCCCAGTTACTTGGGAGGCTGAGGCAAGACAATGGCGTGAACCCGAAAGGCAGAGCTTGCAGTGAGCCAAGATCACGCCACTGCACTTCAGCCTGGGTGACAGAGCGAGCTCCGTCTCAAAAACAAACAAACAAACAAACAAAAAACTGGCATAGACATAACTAGTAAGGAAATTGAATTAGTAATCAAAAACCTCTTAACAAAAGCTCAGGACCAGATGGTTCACTGGTAAATTCAACCAAAAATTTAAAAAAGAATTAATTCTAACCCCCTCAAACACTTCCAAAAAACTGAGGAAGTGAGAACATTTCCAAACTCATTTTATGAGACCAGCATTATCTTCATACCAAAGCCACATAAGAACACTACAAGGAAAGAAAATTGCGGGCCCATATTATTGATGAACATAGATAAAACAACCCCCGACAAAATACTAGCGAACTGAATTCAACACCACACTAAAAGGATCACACACCATGACCAAGTGAAATTTATCCCTAGGGTGCAAGGATGGTGGAGCATACAAAAATAAATTAATGTGATACACCACATCAGCAGAATGAAGGCTAAAAATCACATGCTCATCTCAATAGATGCAGAAAATGTAATTATAAAATTGAAACCTTCATGATAAAAACTCTCAGCAAACTAGAAATAGAGGAAAATTACCTCAACATAATAAAGGCCATATATGACAAGCTCATGGCTAACATCATACTCAATGGTGAAAACTTGAAAACTTTTCTTCTAAGATCAGGAGGAAGACAAGAATGATCACTCTTACTACTTCTATTCAATAAAGTAATGGAAGTTCTAGCCAGAGCAATTAGGCAAGAAAAAAAAGGCATCTACATCATAAAGGAAAAAGTAAAGTTATCCTCCTCTGCAGATGACGTTACCTAACACACCCTTAGAAAATCCTAAAAACTTTAAGAAAAAAAAGGTAAACTAATAAGTGAATTTAGTAAAGCTGCAGGGTATAAAATCAACATATGAAAATAAGTTGTGTTTCTATACACTAACAAACTACTGCAAAAGGAAATTAGAAAATTTATCCCATTTACAATAGCATCCAAAAGAATAAAATACTTAAGAATAAACTTAAGAGGTGAAGGATTTGCACACTGAAAATTAAAGACATTAATGAAAGAAATTAAAGAAGACACAAATAAATGGAAAATTTATTCCATGTTAACAAATAGGAAGACTTAATATTGTTAAAGTGTTCATACTGCCCAGTAATCTACAGATTCAATGCAATCCTCATCAAAATTCCAATGAAATTTTTTACAGAAGTAGAAGATACAACTCTATAATTCACATGGAATCATGAAGGATCCTAAATAGCCAAAATATTTTCAGAAGAAAGAACAAAGCTGGAGGCATCATACTTCCTGATTTCAAAATATATTAAAAATCTACAGTAATTAAAACAGAATGGTGCTGGCATAAAGACAGACATATAGACAAATGGTACAGAACTGAAAGCCCAGAAATGAACCCATGCATACACAATTAGCTGATCTTCAACAAAGGTACTAAGGTACACAATGGGGAAGGGACCATCTCTTCAACAAATGGTGTTGGCAAAATTAGATAGCCACATGCAAAATGAAATTGGACCCTTAACATACACTGTACAAAAATGTCAACTCAAAATGAATCAATAATTTAAACATAAGACCTGAAACTATAAATTTCCTAGAAGAAAACAGGGAAAGATTCATGACATTGGCCTCAGCAATGATTTAATGGAAATGACAACAAAAGCACAGGTAACGAAAACAAAAATAGACAAGTGGGACTACATCAAACTAAAAGGCTTCTGCACAGCAAAGGAGGCTATTAATGGAGTGAAAAGGCAACCTGTGGAATGGGAGAAAATATGTGTGAATCCCATATAGCTGGGAAGGGATTTTCCAAAGTAGGTAAGGAACACCTACGGTTTAATAGCAAAAAAACCTAATAATCTGATTAAAAATGGGCTAAGAATTTGAATAGACACGACTCCGAAGGAGACATACAAATATCCAGTAGGTATATTAAAATATTAAAAGATGGTCAGCATCACTAATCATCAGGGACATTCCAATCAAAACCACAATGAGATATCACCTGTAATGTGCCACGACATGGATGAAACTTGAGGACATTATGCTAAGTGAAATAAGGTAGTCACAGAAGGAAGAATACCATATGATTCCACTTATATGAGATATCTAAAATGGTCAAGCTCATAAAACAGAGAGTAGAATTCTGGTTGCTTGGGATTGAGGGGAGAGACAAATGGCGAGTTACTATGTAACGAGTGTAACATTTCAGTTATGCAAGATGAACGAATTTTCTAGATCTGCTGTACATGTTGTGTCTATAGTTAATAATATTGTATTGTATACTTAAAAATGTGTTAAGAGGCTAGATCACGTGTTATGTTGCCATAATACATTTTATTTATTTTTTATTTTTTTGACACAGGATCTTGCTCTGTCACCCAGGCTGGAGTGCAGTGGCAAGATCATGGTTCACTGCAGCCTCCACCTCTTGGACTCAAGCAATCCTCTCACCTCAGCCTCCTGAGTAGCTGGGACTACAGGTGTGTGCCATGATGCTTAGCTAATTTAAATTTTTTTTTTTGTAGAGATGGGGTCTTCCTATGTTACCCAGGCTGGTATTCTGTTAGGATTACAGGTGTGAGCCACCAAGCCCAGCCAAAATTGTTTTTTAAAGTATACCTTCTATTTTGTCAGTTTTCTCTTCATTGTATTTACTCTGAATTTTAATTATAATTATGTAATTAAATACAACCTTTAATTATTACATTTTTCATTTCTAGAAGATCTATTTTTAAAATACCACAGTTCAATATTTCTAGAATCTGTTCTTTCAAAATATAATACATTTATTTTATATTCTGTATCTGATAGTTCTAATATTGGGAGTTTATGTAGATCAGATTCAGCGGGGTTCTTTTCCCTTCCTGCCTCTTACTCATGGTCATTTGTTTCCTTATGTATTCAGTGAAATTTTTATTGGGAACTCATGTTTTCGGACCTTCATCTGTTGGAATTCTTAGATGGCTGCATACAAAGTGCTTTCTTTCCAATAGGATTTTCATTTTCTGCCTCCAGGTAGCTGGGTACATGGTCAAACTGGAAAAATTAAATAGCATTTTTGGCTTTTGGATTTTTTTTTTCCTGTCGTATGATAATATAACTTTAGACCTGAGGTTAGACGTTCTTAGTACAGTCCTTTCTTTTATTCTTCTCCACCCAGACTCGAGGGTGAGCCAAGAGTTTTCTCCAAGGTCTCCCACTGCAAAGCGGGTATGCTTTTTCTTCATCCCTGATGGTGTCAACACTGGCTTTGTTTCTTTTTGTTTGTTTTTTTGAGATGGGGCCTCCCTCTGTCACCCAGGCTGAAGTGGAGTGGCGCGATCTTGGCTCACCGTGACCTCCATCTCCCAGGCTCAAGCGATCCTCCCATCTCAGACCCCCAAGCATCTGGAACTACACCCAATTTAATTGTGTTACCACTATTCTTTGGACTCAAGATTTCCTTATTGTCAGTGAATGTGTCTTTTAAACTCCTCTAGGCAACAGGGGATTGAGAGAGGCCACTAAAGCAAATGATGGCTCCAACTTTCACTTAGTCCTTTGCATTGGAGCTTTTTTTTTGCTTTTGCCTCAGAGGAATTTCTTTACTTTCTGCCAGAACAACCAGGCATTATAAAAGACATTTGGGGTATTTTTTTTTTTTTAAATTTAGTGTTTTTAGCTTTAGCCTTCTGCAAGGGCATTCTCTGAACATCTATTATGTACAGCTCCTGTTATTATTTGTTGATGATTCTTCTATTTATAGCTATCAAAAAATTTTGTGAAATAACTTTAATAAGTAGGGCACAAATAGAATAGATTTGAGATTTTCCTAGTGTGTTGTATTTAAATATTGAAGATGCTTCTTCACAAATCTCTAAAAATGTAAATAGAAGTTTTATCGGAAAAAAAAAATGACTTTACATTGTGCCAGAAATTGAAGTAGCAAATAAGCCCTCACCTTCTTAGAAAGAACTTCATCATCAAAACCAGAAAACTCCATTCTCAAGGAGAGAGGAAGGACAGCCACACAAATACTAACAAACCATATAAAATAATTATGTCATGCAAATCTGAAATTACAAGTAAGAATGGAAGGATGCTGAAAGCCTCTAAATGGCTCCCCATGGCTGAGTCTTTCTTCTTCAGGAGGAGTAGGGGTCCCCTTAGCAATGTGTGAGAAATATTTGTGGATACTTGAAGCTATAAATTAAACATGGTAGGAAACATTTTAATTCTGATGGTAATTTAGTTAAACATAGTCTAATATTAAACAAGACATTATAGACTAGATTATAAGACTTCCATCATTTTAAATATAAATTTCCAAGAAAATTCTTTTTCTTTTTATTTTTTGAGACAGGGTCTCACTCTGTTGCCCAGGATGAAGTGCAGTGGCACCCTCTCAGCTGACTGCAGCCTCAACTTCCTGGGATCAAGCAATCCTCCCACCTCAGCTTCCCGAGTAGCTGAAAGTACAGGTGCATGCCACCATGCCTGGCAATTTTTTTTCTTTTTTGTAGAGACAGGGTTTTGCCATGTTCTGTGGGATGGTCTCCAACTCCTGAGCTTAAGCAATCTGCTTGCCTCGGCTTCCCAAAATGCTAGGATTATAGGTATGAGCCACCATGCCCAGCGTCTAAGAAAATTCTTATTTGGAGTATAGTCATGTGCTGCATAACAAAATTTTGGTTAAGGACAAATCACATATACAACAGGAGTCCCATTAGATTATAATACTGTATGTTTTCCTGTACCTTTTCTATGTTTAGATGTACAGATACTTACCGTTGTGTTACAATTGTCCATAGTATTCAGTACAGTAATCTGCTGTACAGGTTTATAGCCTATGAGCAGTAGGCTATACCATATAGCCTAGGTGTGTAGTAGGCTATGCCAACTAGGTTTATTTAAGTATACTCTATGATGTTTGCACAATGATGAAATTGCCTAATGACATATTTCTCATAACATATCCTCGTAATTGAGTAATGTATGACTGTATTTGTTTGCAACTGCAGAAGGGGCAGGCATGAATTTGTTTCTGTTGGGAGGAAATGCGTAGAATACCCTGGCCTGGAGTTTTAAAAGACAAGTTAGTGCACACAAGGCTTAATACTTTCATTCTATCTTTGCTCCTGCTTTGAAGCTCAAATCTTGGAATATCCCAGGGTCCTGGGCTACTTTCTCTCCTCAGAGATGGGCCACATTCTCTTTTCTATCCCCCTCCATCTCCCTAGGTGTTCATCCAATCCCATGGCTTTAAATAGCACTCATATACTGGTGATTCACATTATTTATGTCTATAGCTTCTGTCCTGCCCTGATCTCTAGATCCACGTATTCAACTTCCTATCTGGCATCTCCTCTTGAATGCTTATAGCTGTGCCACATTAACATCACAAAGAAAACTTGATTTTCTCAATTACCAAAACCTGCTCCTTCCCTGTTTCTCATTACTCTCCATCACTTTGCCTTAATTTTTGTCACAGAGCCCACAGTTAAACCCCGTGGAACCACAGCCTTCATCTCTCATGGCCTTCATCTTGGTTAGATCCTAGAATAATGCCTGACACTTAGCCTAATAAATGTTCACTGATGGAAGAGAAACATGAACAAACTTTTTTTTTCCCTTGAAATTATTTCAGTCTCTTCCTCTCTCCATGTTTCCCTCACCAGCCACACAGGTCTACTTTGCTGTTTCCTAAATGCAACCAACATGGTCTATTATGATGCTTCCTTTCTCATTCTACCTGGTGAACTCATATTACCTGGGGGAAATGGCCTGTTCTTCTGTGCATTCATGCCATTTTGTATATAAATATATTCAGAAAATTCCATTTAGATATCCAGATAACCTGGTTATTTCTATCACTGTATAATACTCCTCAGGGCAAGAACAATGTTTTACTTATTTTTAACTTTCCAGTATTTAGCACAATGCCAGACACATAGGAGATGGTTAAATAGGTTTCTTTCTTTCTTTCTTTCTTTTTATTTTTTGAGTGGGCAAAGGCATTGTAGGAATCATAGTTTCAGAAAACAACCTAATCAACAGGGTAAAATATTAAAACATTGGCTCAAGAAAAGTCTAACTAATGTATATCCTACATATATTGAAAATGGAACTACTTAAGTTTATTAGCTCCAAACTAATGAGTATGTTAAAAATGTAATATACCAGCATAATGCTATATATATATATTCATAACGCATATGATAAGCTGTCAGACACAAGCATAATATTCTACAGTCTAAATAATTGTGTTTAAACCATGAATGTCTGTTAAAGTCTAACTTGTGTATCATATTTATAAATATGAATTACCCAGAAATACAAAATATAACAAAAGTTATCTGTGTTCCTGAGAGATATATTTAACCAATGTTTATGGTATATAAGAAGGGATTATTTACTTACTTATAGTTTCCTCTAGGTTATTTTAGTAATGGAATTGTATATTTTGGAAACACGGGGAACAAAATTGCACTGAATTCAACTGAATTTTCTCCTGTTACAAAACAAAGGGAGAAAACCATGCAGGCAGACTTTGTGGTCTGCCTTAAAACTCTAAAGATTATTAACTTGAGAAACCATAATAGTTAACTTGCTATAGCACTGTCACCAGGAAGAAGGTTCTTCTTTTGTCTAGATTTCCAAATTCTCAGATGCCTCTCCTACCCATATGTGGCCATGAGCTAGGAAGGTTGGTATTATGTGATTATAGAAGAGATGGGTAATCTAATAGGCAGATTGATAGCTAGAGAGGCTCGTGATAATTTGCTCCTAAATAGCCAAGATTGATAAAACTACCCTTAAGAACATATATAGCATATAACAATATAAGAAAATGATTTATTTGCTTGGGAGACATAGCCCCAAATAAAAAGGTAATCACATACTCTTTCATCTATACTAATTCTGGTTATTTTTCAAATGGCCAAGTTCCGATTGCTTAAATGAATGTAATATAATAGAAGTATTTTAAATGTAAAGTGGCTCATTAGACTTGAAAACTAAAAGTTGGAAGCACCAAGAACTGAATACAAGGAAATTAAATGAAAAAGTAGTTTAGATAGCAAAATATTCTACTGGAGTTGGCTAAAACTATAATTTGTGATTCTATATAATCTCTTAAGTTCTTTACAAAGAAAATATTTCCCTGGGACATTGATCTAAAGTTTGGAAGGTACTGACTAGTACAGATTTTAGGAAAATATTTATAAAAATAGAGCTTGTTAGTTTCCACTCTAGTTAAAGCAGAAACAGAAAATCATTTTGTGATTTTTTAACGTTATTGAGATAAGGAAAGTTTCTTTATCAGATCCATTAGAGATAAGCCACCAAAAACAAACCTGTGTCTTATAAACATAATAAGAGATACTGCTCACATGTTATCAGCATTAAAGGATCCCTGATTATAACTTAGTTACATAGATAAAATCCAATAAAGAATCGGCACAACCATTGCCTGCTCAATACACACTCTTCTTGAACTTGGAGTACGCAAGTAGCAACAGAAAATAGGAGTGCAGGTAGCAGAGCACGAGAGACACAATATATCAGAGGTTAATAAGAAGCCATGCCAATTGGCTTAGGTAGAGTTCATGACCAAGAATCAAAAAGTAAATGCAACAAAAACAAAGATAAATAAATGGGACCTAATTAAACTAAAAAGCTTCTGCACAGCAAAAGAAATAATCAGCAGAGTGAACAGACAACACACAGAGTAGGAGAAAATTTTTGCAAAGTATGCATTTGAAAAAGGACTGATATCCAGAATCTACAAGGAACTCAAACAAATCAGCAAGAACAAAACAAATAATCCCACCAAAAAGTGGGCAAAGGACATGAATAGACAATTCTCAAAAGAAGATATACAAATAACCAACAAACGCATGAAAAATGTTCAACATCACTATCAGGGAAATGCAAATCAAAACCACAATGAGAAACCACCTTACTCCTGTAAGAATGGCCACAATTTAAAAATAAAGAAATAACAGATGTTGGCGTTGATGGGGTTAAAAGGGAAAACTTTGACACTGCTGGTGAGAATGTAAACTAGCACAACCACTATGGAAAACATAGAGATTCCTTAAATAAGGAAATATGTTTATAGTGGAATCTCTACAGAAAACATAGAAATTCCTTAGGTAACTAAAAGAAGAACTATCGTTTGATCTAGCAATCCTATTACTAGGTATCTACCCAGAGGAAAAGAAGTAATTATATGAAAAAGACACTTGCACATGGATGTTTATAGCAGCACAATTCACAATTGCAAAAATGTGGAACCAGCCTAAATGCCCATCAACCAATGAGTGGATAAAGAAAATGTGGAATACTACTCAGCCATAAAAGGCATGAAATAATGTCATTTGCAGCAACCTGGATGGAGTTGGAGACCATTATTTTAAGTGAAGTAACTCAGGAATGGAAAATCAAACATCATATGTTCTCACTTATAAGCAGGAGCTAAGCTATGAGGATGCAAAGGCGTAAGAATGATATAATGGACTTTGGGAACTCAGGGAGAAGGGTATGAGTTGGGTGAAGGATAAAACACTACATATTGGGTAGAGTGTACATTGCTTAGGTGATCAGTGTACCAAAATCTCAGAAATCACCACTAAAGAACTTTTCCATGCAACCAAACACTAACTGTTCCCCCAAAATAAGTGAAATAAATAAAAAAAAGAAACCATGTTAAGAAGTGGACATTTGAAGGGAAACCTGGAGGTGTTCTAGCAGTTTTTGCTTTTTCTGCTAAGGATACACAGAAGGAAAAAAAGCATTGAGTTAGAAGACATTGATTCAAACTAGTGTACCTCTAGTCTTGACCAAAACAACTAACTCTGGCTTTTTCCTTAGATATTTTAAGAGAGATAATTTACTTCAAACTATACTACAAGGCTACAGTAACCAAAACAGCATGGTACTGGTACCAAAACAGATACATAAGCCAATGGAATAGAACAGAGCCTCAGAAATAACACCACACATCTACAACCATCTGATCTTTGACAAACCTGACACAAACAAGCAATGGGAAAAAGATTTCCTATTTAATAAATGGTGTTGGGAAAACTGGCTAGCCATATGCAGAAAACTGAAACTGGACCCCTTCCCTACACCTTATAAAAAATCAACTCAAGATGGATTAAAGGCTTAAATGTAAGACCTAAAACCATAAAAATCCTAGAAGAAAACCTAGGCAATACCATTCAGGACATAGGCATGGGCAAAGACTTCATGACTAAAACACCAGAAGCAATGGCAACAAAAGCCAAAATTGACAAATGAGATCTAATTAAATTAAAGAGCTTCTGCACAGCAAAAGAAACTATCATCAGAGTGAACAGGCAACCTACAGAACAGGAGAAAATTTTTGCAATGTATCCATCTGACAAAGGGCTAATATCCAGAATCTACAAAGAACTTAAACAAATTTGCAAGAAAAAACAAACAACCCCATCAAAAAGTGGGCGAAGGATATGAACAGACATTTCTCAAAAGAAGACATTTATGCAGCCAACAAACGTGTAAAAATGCTCATCATCACTGGTCATTAGAGAAATGCAAATCAAAACCACAATGAGATACCATCTCATGCCAGTTAGAATGGTGATTATTAAAAAGTCAGGAAACAACAGATGCTGGAGAGGAAGTGGAGAAATAGGAATGCTTTTATACTGTTGGTGGGAGTGTAAATTAGTTCAACCACTTTGGAAGACAGTGTGGCGATTCCTCAAGGATCTAGAACCAGAAATACCATTTGACCCAGCAATCCCATTACCGGGTATAAACCCAAACGATTATAAATCATTCTACTATAAAGACACATGCACACGTATGTTTACTGCAGCACTATTTAGAATAGCAAAGACTTGGAACCAACCCAAATGTCCATCAATGATAGACTGGATAAAGAAAATGTGGCACATATATACCATGAGATACTATGCAGCCATAAAAAAGGATGAGTTCATGTCCTTTGCAGGGACATGGATGAAGCTGGAAACCATCATTCTCAGCAAACTATCACAAGAACCGAAAACCAAACACCACATGTTCTCCTAATGTAGAAATACCTAATGTAAGTGACAGGTTGATGGGTGCAGCAAATCACCATGGCATGTCTATACCTATGTAACAAAACTGTATGTTCTGCACATGTACCCCAGAACTTAAAGTATAACAATAAAAATAAATAAATAAATAGAGTTAAAAAAAGAGATAATTTATACGATCTTTAGGTTTCTATGCCACTGTAAAACTCGGAGACTGTTAATTCTCTTTTCCACAGTGATTCATGCTTCTCTAATGCAAGTGCATTTAGTTTTTCATCACATTTTTGAGTTATTGATCTCTCTACCCTAAGCAGGCTATGCCAGGGTAACCAAAACTACAGATCAGCTCAGAGAAAACCCCAGATTAACTTTAAGAGGTGACTCTATACTCCTTTCCTGATATACTGAATTTCAACAGAATCTAGGAAGAAAATAAAGTACGGTAAGAAGAATTACTTATATTTATTACTTCTCATTCATTAGTAGGTGGGATAATTTTTTTTTTTTTTTTTTTTTTTTGAGACAGAGTATCACTCTGTCGCCCAGGCTGGAGTGCAGTGGCACAATCTTGGCTCACTGCAACCTCCGCCTCCCAGGTTCAAGCAATTCTCCTGCCTCAGCCACCTGAGTAGCTGGAATTACAGGTGCCCGCCACCACACACAGCTAATTTTTGTATTTTTAGTAGAGATGGGGTTTCACCATGTTGGTCAGGCTGGTCTCGAACCCCTGACCTCGTGATCCACCCGCCTCGGCCGCCCAAAGTGCTGGGATGACAGGCGTGAGCCACTGCGCCCGGCCAATATATTTTTTTTTTTTTTTGAGACAGAGTCTTGCTCTGTCACCCAGGCTCGGGTGCAGGGGTATGATCTTGGCTCACTGCAACCTCTGCCTCCCAGATTCAAACAATTTTCCTGCCACACCCTCCCAGGTAGCTGGGATTACAGGCGGCTGCCACCACGCCTGGCTAATTTTTTTATTTTTAGTAGAGGCAGGGTTTACCATTTTGGCCAGGCTGATCTCAAACTCCTGACTTCAAGTAATCCACCCGCCTTGGCCTCCCAAGGTGCTGGGATTAAAGGCGTGAGCCACCGTGCCCAACCTGGGCGAAAATTTTAAATAAGATTAGTCAAGAAATGGAAAACTCTAGAAGTAAGTGTAATTTTTCATATTCACACAGTCATAGCTCATACTATATTTAATTGGAGAAAAGTTGCCATTAAATATTCTTAAGCAAATTAAGTATGTTTACTTTTCATTTGTACAGTGGCTACTCAGAGTAAGCTATGCAAATTGTAGCAAAAGTATGAGGAGAAATGTAATGACCCATATAGATATGTAATACATGGATCTGGACGAACTGGTCTCAGTAATGAGCCAAAACTATGAATTTAATAACTGTGAGCATAAGTTGCCAGTGCTCTGTTGATTACATACTGTACCCTTGACCTCTGATCTTCTCAGCAAATGAGTGGAATTGGTCCTAAAGGCAGTCAGATAAAGAAAGGCACATAATCAATATAAATCCATTGCTGCTTCTGGAAAATACTAGAAAAAGTATAAGTCCTATCAATGGATGATACCCATTGACTGGTATTATCAGCTTGCTCCTTATTATTAGGAAAAAGCCATACACTGAGTGCACCTTTTCAAGACATTGCCTATCCACAGCCATGACTGCCTTCAGGCTACTTCACTGTGCACTGGTCTAAGATAACTACAGTCATCAGCAGGGTCCAGAATAAATTTGAGTGCCACTAGCAAGAGGACACACTTTTTGTTCTCCAAGTATTAATATAGAGGTGGACAATGTTGAGCTCCAGGTATCTAAAGGTGATCTCAATCTACATGTGCTATAGAAAAGGAGATGCATGTAAGTTTACTCCTTAAACATAAAGAATAAGGCAAGGTAGCAATCAACCAGGGGCTGATAATAGAGTTTTCCTGGTATGGGTACATGCATAGTATTTGCAACAGAGTAAGATTTTATTCTCTATAGCAATTGTAGGTATGTAAATAGAGACCCCATTGTGCTTGACTTAGAGTATTCATGCAGGATATGAGCTCTTGAGAACACTGGACACACATTAACTAAGTCATTAATCCTCACCACTACTTCTCCCCATAAACCACATATTATTATTCTTTAATGGTTGACGAAATTCAATCCAGAAGGATAATTGCCTTGCTCAAGGCCACAGAGGGAGCCTGTGTCAGAAGAGAATTAGACTTGAGTGATTTTTGGCCTGCAGGCTTGTACTAGGACCACCAGGTCATGTGTGATGGAAGAGCCTTTCTTGAATTGTATGCTGTGTGTGCATGCATGTGTGTGTTTGTGTGTGTGTATACTCATGTCTGCAGGGATAAGTATACATATTAGGACAGCAAGGCCCTATAGACAATGTATCCTTTAATTTATTTCAATATTAGAAGAGCATTTACAGTTTTGTGATGCATTTATTAACTCTGAAATTTGTTCTCATCCTTTCCCACTTCTTTGTTTTGTTTAAGATACAATAATCCTGGGCAACAAATACAAATGCTGAAAGCAGAAGAGCTTATTCTGAATTGCAGAGTGCCACCAGAAAGATTTTTCAGGAACTAGCTAACCAATCACAAAGTGTTAACTCATTTTATTAACTTATCTGATGAGTGAATTGCTTTTTTGTGTAGAAAGGTGGTCTAGCATCACGGTGAAATGTGCAAGTACAAGGCTCAAAACCACTGGAATTAGAATTCCGGCTCTACTTCTTATTGTCTGCATCATCTTGGGAAAATAACTCAAAACTCTGTGATATGGTTTGGCTCTATGTTGCCATCCAAATCTTTTGTCAGATTGTAATTCCCATGTGTCAGGGGAAGTGCATGGTGGGAGGTGACTGAATCATGGGGGTGGATTTCTCCCTTGTTTTTCTTGTGATAGTGAGTGAATTCTCATGAGATTTGATGGTTTAAAAGTGTGGCACTTCCTCCTTCGCTCTCTCTTTTTCTCCTGCTTCACCATGGTAAGATGTGCTTGTTTCTCCTTCGTCTTCCGCCATGACTGTAAGTTTCCTGAGGCCTCCTCAGCCATGCAGAACTGAGTCAATTAAATCTCTTTTCTTTATAAATCTCAGGTAGTTCTTTACAGCAGTGTGAGAATGGACTAATACACTCTCTGTCTGTTTCCTTATCAGCAAAATAGGAATAGCAATAGGACTATGACACAGGATTGTTGTGAGGACTATATGAGTCAGTGTATTTATAATGTGCTTAGAAGTGTGCTGGCCACATAGGAAGAGCCCAATAGAGGTTAGGTATCATCGTCATCGTCATCATCATCATCATCACAAATATATAAGAGATGGAAGCTATTTTTCAAACCAAGGTTGAAGTCAGTATATCCTCTTCTAAAGAAAGTTGTTCTTTAGAACAGTTAAAAGTTAAACATAACTAAAATAAATAAATAAATAAATAAATAAATGAAATCAGGACAAAACAATTTAGGGTCAGAGGAACCAGAAAGCCCAGGAAGAAATGCCACATTCTAAGATATTGGCTCATATCCTCATCCTGAATAAAATTATTGACATATATCAACACATACACTTCAACATTCACTTTCCATTTGGTGGGTTTGTATCATGAAAAAATTCTCCATAGGTGAACATGAGTTTCAAGGCTGTTGTCCTAAGGATTATTGATTGCCAGGCTCTTCTGTTCTAGGGCTCAATTGAGACCATTGGTTCAGAATAAAAACACACCAGTATCACACTGATATGGTTACCCTCATCATGAAACATGGGTATATGGTGCCATCAGATTGGAACAGGCAAAGATAAGTACATTAGGTAAATGAAGCACACGAATATATTGCTTATATACAGAAAATAATGCCATGTGTTTTGGTCCCCAAATAATCAGAATTTTAAAAGCTTCTTGGAAATTAAAAATATGACGATGATCAAAACTAGATAGCAGAAGAGTTGGAATATAAGATTAAGAAAATCTCCTAGAAAAACTCAAGAGATAAAAGCTTAAAAATATAAGGGAAAGATGAGTATCAGAAAAATTGGTGGGGTAGATTCAAGAGCCAACTCCTAGGAGGTCCATAAAGAGAGAACTAGAGCAAATACGGAGAAAGAAATTATCAAAGAATTGATAGGAAAGAATACTCAGAACCGAAGGCCATTATTCCTCAAATTGAAAGAGCCCATCAAGCCAAAATGAATGAATAAAACACCTATACTTTTAAATACTTCAGTGAAATTTCAGAACATCAAGGATAAAGAAGGAGATCCTTAAAGCTTCGAGAGAGAGAGAGAAAAAAATCACCTACAAAGGAAACTGAATCTTTGAACAACACAGGACTTCTCATCAACACTTCTAGATCTCAAAAGACAATGGAGAAAGGCCTTTAACATTATGAGGAAAAAATTATTTTTGGTCTAAAAATCTATGCCTGTCCAAAGTATCATTGAAATGTGAAAATAAAATAAAGATGTTTTTTGGACATGCAAACATTTAGAAAGTTTACCTGTCATTTAGTTTTCCTTAAGCTTATTGGGAATGTGCTTTCACAAAATAATAAAAGAAAGTAAGAGATACCTGTTCAGGAGTTCTAGAAATCAGGCAAGAAAGAGCAGGGCAGAAGAACTGAGGAATGCAGAGAAAAGCATCTAGAAAAAAAGGGGCGTTCTATGACTATAACCATGACCATACAGTCCTTTGGAGGATAGAGATGCTGAGGACAGAAGACTAAAGACTTTAAAACTGTAAGAGAAAATGATTTAGCACACTTTTCAGCTTAGTAATGAAAGGATTTATGAGGTCATATTAGTTACACACTGTACTGATTTTCAACTTTTAGAATTAGCCTATAGATGGATGATGGAAAACTAATTATGATAACCAAGCATAACTATTATCAATATTTTAATACCCAAATAAAAGTACGGAAGAGAAAATTTAAGAAGCAGAGAGGGGAGCATGGAAAAGAGGTGAAAGGAAGGGTCACTACACTAGTCTAAGAAATACACTAAATGGGAGACACACTTAAAAAAAAAGTCAGAAATGTATCAGGGTGCCCTCATTTAACAAATTACACAAGAAAGAAATAAAATCTGACACGTGATAAGCTACGTCAAGATTAAGCTAAACCTTGTGGACCAAATGAAATAAACATTCTAAAGAACTAACACAAAAATCTTAGTGAGGAGGACAAAAACACCATATCAATTCAACATAAATCTCAGATGGTGTGGCTATTATTGGATTTCTTGATCTTACGACAACCACGTTCCGTGAAAGCCTAATGCAACAGAGCTATCTTAGAAAGAGACTCATAGTCCGATTTGCCAACTATTAAAGGTTTCTATTGGTGCTATATGATACAATGTGTTGGATTTAAAAAATACTGATTAAAGAATAAAAACAAACATGAGTGATGATGATGTCTTTCAAAAATAATCCAGTCCTGCTGCCAGTATCAAAATGTCTTGTCATAGAATACTTCCTTTTCCTCTCAGAGAAACTCAAAAAATCCCCCAACTCATTATTTTATAATTTATCTCCAGTTTATTTATTTATTTACAAAAATATGTCTTATTTATATTGATCTTGGACTTTAATACTCACTCTTGGTTTTAAATGACTTTGAACTAATCCCAACCCAGACCTTTTATCAAAGAAAATTATTTTCACCCACTAAGTCTATTTAAAAATGATCTCACAGGTCGCCATGAAAAGGTCAGCATTTTGAATAAATCTTTGGAATAAGCACCGAGCCTCGGATTGTTTGTTTAAAAAAGGATATACTCTGTATAAATGTTTGGATGCTCTTTAGGTTGAGGTAGTTGACATTCCTTTTCTAAGAATTTTTCATGTCTTTATACATAGTCTAACAGAAAAGAAAGTTTTTCTTTCATGCAGCCAAAATTCATTCTATTCAGCCACTTCTGTCAATACTTCTAAGGTCTTCTAGTGTTCATTGCATGTGCCTTTTATGAAGCATTTTGGTCTCTGTTTTTTATACAAGCATGTCATTGATCACAGTGGATGAAACAATAATAATAAAACTAAGGGAAAACTTAAAATTTTCCAGACAGATACTTACATCTTCGAAATAGTACAGGGCACAAAAGTATATCATTGCGTATTTGTTTGTCATAGTTTTTAATGGAGAAGAGGTCAGGTTTAAAATTATAAAATAGACTTTTTAGAAAATAAAAACTCCCAGTTATAAGAATGAGAATATTAAAACAATTTTTTATCTTACTATAAAATCACAGGGCCAAATATTACATTTGTAGTAGAAAACTCAAACTCTATTAAAGTAAGTATTATAAATGCTGCTTATTGTTTTAATATGTAGTTCTTGGTACAATGGGGGAAATTACTATTATATTTTTAGCAGCTATGATTTCATTGCCCTCTGTGATTACATACGCTAAAATAACAGATAGCTTAAGTTACTACATTTCTCAATTCCTGGGCAAATATCCACCAACACTCTTGCTAGGTGAAACATTCCAACATTCACCTGAGAAGGCTAATTTAAATGCTCCAGGTAACAACACTAGCAGGAATTTTTATCACGCTTTTCAATGAACCATACGTTAGTATTTTCAGATACAATTCATTTTTAAAAGAGACTAAACAATTAAGCATGCAACACTTCCATTGCTGGTTAATGATGAGGTTTTAGAGCAATTTCCTTCTTTTTTTTGTTTCTATTCATATAGGTAAAGGGTAAGAAACTTTGAATATGATTGGATTATGAAAGGCTACAAAACACGACCAAGAATAAAATCTGTTATTCTGGAAGACAAGTGAAAACAATCAGCATTTCTTATCTCATTCATTAATTAATGACAGAAAGTTCTATCACCTCCATCTTCCTAATAATTATTGGTTATTTTTAGCAACACACTCCAGGATTTTAGAAAATTTCACATTCAATCAAATGGATAAGTTTTGAAGCCATGAAAGTCTCATTCATTGAAGTTACCGGTCAGTATTGTTAAGCAGGAAGTTTCTAAGCAAACGTTCACAAAAGCAGTGGATTTCAAACATTACCTTTGTGTGGTGTAGCTTTCCGCTGTGCAGGAGTTGCCGCCGTTTGCACCTGCTGCTGTTTGACCAAATTTCCTTCACTCCCAGTTCTCAAAATCTTCTCACCTAAGCTGTTTTTTTTCTGTTTGCTGTTCAAATCATCCCGCCTAGCTGATGGCAGCTTAGAAGCTGCATTAGAGAAGAAAGGTCTAGCCAAGCGAGAGGGTTTGGACATTTTAAATGGCAGAAAAAACAACAAGAAAAAAAAAAAAACAACAAAACTCCAGAATGTTACCTGCTGGGGCAGCAGATTCTAAAAAATCCTTTGAGCTTCACTTTTCAACGGACACAGTTACAGTATGAAGTGCAGCTGGACGGAAAGTGCTGGGCTGCCCCTTGGATCTCTTTTAAACACAAGGCATCATGCAGCCCCGTAGCCCATTTACGGGACCTGTGGAATGTAAATCTGTGTTTCTAAGATGCCGGTGACAGTTCTGCAATGGTAAATGCTCCAATTCAGAGCAAACGGCAGATGCTGCAATAGGGAATATGAAACGCACACACACACACACACACGATACTCCCTTGCATGCACAGACTACACACCAGACAGCCTAGAAGGGGAAAAATAATGTAAATATTATCCCACCCACTCAGGTACAATACATAAAAATGAGCCAGATGTGTGGTTGATATTATTATGAAGTGCATACCACGTTCAGTTTCCAGGCATTAGTTCAAGCAAATATTTCCTTGCTTTAGCACATTCCTATAGTATATTCCAAGAGGTGACCGTGAAACGAATGCCCACCTTACATAATTACTTCTCCTGCTGTTTACAGAACAGGCACAGCACCATGACAAAGTAAGAAAACAGAAGAATGTAATTTCCAACCTCTTTGGGCTGCCATAGGGTACCGACTAACTGATAAAATGGGCAATTGTGTGTCTGTGTGATGTGTTATGGGATGTGTATGTATGTGTGTATGTGCATATGTGTGTGCATCAGAGAGAGAGAGTCAGGGAAAGAGATATAAATTATTTTACCTTTTAAAGAGTTCGGAGTTTATTCTAACAAATACTTGTACTTAGCGTGCTTTACAAAAAACAATAGTCATGATGTAAAAATCAAATGTGTTCAAGGGGTCACATTTTTCAAGGCTGAAAACATTCCTTCCACCAATTGAACATGTAGCACATACCAGAAGCATACAACCTCTCCTCCACTAAGGATAACCATTTTCCCTCTTAGTTTCCCACGTCAGTGATTTTTATGACTTGAGGTTAAGCTGTTTCCAACCTCGATTATTCTGTGTTCCCTTGGGGAGAGTCTATACAAACTCTCTATGAACTATAAAAAGGTTCTGGGAAGATGTGGTCATATAACTCCACTCCAAGTGTAAATACTGTGCTATTCCCCATTTACAGTTGATAAATGTGAAGCTACTTAGCACTTTATCAGACACAGTTATGTGCTGGAAAGAGCATAAATTTTGGAATCAACGGGAACAGGAGTTACCTCTAAATTCTAAATGTGGGCCCAGTCCTGGGCAAGTTACCCTCCCTGGCTTTTCGTTATTAAAGTCGGTATAGTAATTTTTGCCATGTAGAGTTCCTACATAGATCAACTGAAATGACAACTCTGCACCTTGTCGGGCACATGGTAGCACTCAATAAATACTTTCCTTAGCCCGTCTTTTTCAAAACTTCAGTTTTAATGATTCCTAACAGGTCTAGCACAGCCTTATGAAAAATGTCAGTTACAAAATCAATTCTTCACTCAGACCACAGAGTCCATAGTAGGATCACACTCATAATCTCAGCCCTATAAACTGGGAGGAAAAAATGTGGGAGTAAACCCTTAATATTATGAGAAGTGTCCTGCAAATGTAATGAACCACCACGTTTGCAAATACTGCTGTATCATAAAATCCACTCCATTAAATTTAGTAAAGCATAACTACAAAATTTAAGCTAGCCCTTTTACTCTTCATAATTCTGTCCAAATAAGAAAGTCCATGCTTTCATTTCTCCAAATTATCTTTTATGTCTGCCCAAGAACAATTGCTTTCTCATGCTTCTTCAGGTGTCTTCAGTTCCTTCATCATATTAGCAGTCGCCTTTCTTTTCAGGAATAGATTTCACAAAGAAACTAACCTTGGCTACTTTATAGGCTGTCAAATGAAGAGCATTCCAATTGTGCAGGGATGGAGGAGAGAGGAACCAGTCAGGATTCTCCACCCACTAGCCAAGTGGCTACTCCAGAGACCAGGCTCACATTTTAGATTCATGCCTCAGAATAATGACTGACAGTGACATAGCTTGGACCCTGGCGGATACAAATCACATGACTTCGAGGGCTGTGGCACCTGGCAAAGGACTTTGGCCTGGGAAGCTGACTGGAAGGATCAGTGCCAGGAAAGAAGTGTGACTGCATCTTGACACCATTTAAAACAGGTGGTTTTATCCCATGCAGTGTGGATAGAAGCATTTCAGAGGAATAGAATGACGTCTTATTATAGCACACTTTCCTTCTCTGGGAGAGCCAGTGTAATTAGACTAATTTTACAAGGGAAAGGGGAAAAATCAAGGGGATTATGCTATAGGCCACTTGTAGAGTTGGGAATTGTACTAGTCAGGGTTCTCCAGAAAAACAGAGCCAGTGGGAGATTATATCTATATCTATATCTATATCTATATCTATATCTATATCTATATCTATCTATATCTATATCATGCCAATAAGATACATATGGATATGTCCATATATAAATATGTATATATATTCCTCTGTATGCATACATATGTATATACAAATGTCCCTTGACGTACAATGGGGGTAGGTCCTGATAAATCCACTGAAAGTTGAAAATAGGGTAAGTCAAAAATGCACTGGATGTACCCAGCTTACCAAACATCATAGCTTAGCCAAGCCTGCCTTAAACCTGCCCAGAACACTTACAGCAGCCTACAGTTGGGCAAACCGTCTGGCCACACAAAACACTATAGAGTATCTGTCATTTACCCTCTCAATTGTGTGGCTGACAAGGGGGTGTGGCTCACTGCTGCTGCCCAGCATATCGAGGGAGTATTGCGTTGTATATCACTAGCCTGGGAATCGACCACATTTCAAAATTCAAAGTATGGTTTCTACTGAATGCATATTGTTTCCCCCATTGTAAAGTGAAAAAATCCTAAGTGGAACTATCATATGTTGGGGACTGTGTGTATATCAACAGAATATACACATATGTATGACATAGATGTCTGCACTGCTGGGGTGGGGGTGGAGTGGAGTGTGGCTAGGGCAGCTGTCTTTAGGCCAGGGTGGTTTTTCCAAACCTGAGAGACTATAGAATCAGCTGGAGAACCTCTAAAAAAAATTGGCATATCTGGGCTCCATCTCAGGCCCAGTGAATTAGAATTTCTGGAAAATGCCCAAGAGAGGGTCCCAGAAATTTACAACAACAATTTTCAGCTGGGTGCGGTGGCTCATGTCTGTCATCCCAGCACTTTGGAAGGCCAAGGTGGGTGGATCACCTGAGGTTAGGAGTTCGAGACCAGCCTGGCCAACATGGTGAAACCTTGTTTCTACGAAAAATACAAAACTTAGCCGGGCATGGTGGCACATGCCTAGAGTCCCAAGAGGCTGAGGCAGGAGGATCACCTGAGCCCTGGAGGCAGAGGTTGCAGTGAGCTGAGATCGTGCTACTGCACTCCAGCCTGGGTGACAGAGTGAGACTGTGTCTCAAAAAAAAAAAAAAAAAAAAAAGCAATTCTCAGGTGATTGTCATGCCCAGTGGGCTTTGGAATCAGCTGCTTGTCTGAGCCACTGGAAGCCGTCTCCCTTCCCTGTGCCGGTGCTAGCAACTACTGGATCCAATTTTCCTCGGCTGCCCTCCCAGGTGCTACTGCACCTTAGGGGGATAGGTCACTTGCAGGGCTGCTTGCTCATTTTTGCTCCTTCCATTTTGTAGGGACTACCTGCCATAAACAGGTTATGTCCCTTTATGGAGACACTGGGGAACCTGCCCGAGAACACCAAGCTCATTTCACTTGTCACCTAATCAGTGTTTCAGTGACCATGCTTGGTTTGAGCTGTAATACTTAGGGTAAATGTATCCCCTGTCACTCAAGAAACAGACTTCACATGTCTGTACCAAAACTCATGCATCTGTTTAAGTAAAGCTGGTTCATCCACAAAGTCAATATTTTAAAGCGCATTGAAGAGCACCATGTGGTTTATTATTTTTCCTCTCCACTCAGTGGAGGTTTCCTGAAATGCTTTGTCATTTTAGTGTATATCAAACCCTCAGGCCATCATAAAGGCTGAACACAGGGCCATGGTCAACAGTGCATGGTATATTTTCATTTTAAACCAAAGAAAGAATAGAAAGTTGACAGAGAAACATTTGCTTGGTCATGCAGTTTCAAGCCTGCCCAACAAAAAACCCTTACAAAAATAAAAGGCAGAAATAAAGAAGAGAGGTTTTATTAATTTGTTTCTATCCTTACCTCATTCCTAACAAAGGATGTGAGTTGGCTTGCAAAATACATACACTACTAAGATAAAATTTGTGTGACATTAAAATAAGAAATGAATAATCATAGAGTCTGGAGGAAAAGAAATTTGGCTGTGAGCTTCCTAGCACCAAAGCAAAAAAGGAAAGAGAAGAGTTTGAAGAGTCTATGTTATTTTTATCATTAGTTTGAGTCCAAAAATAAGGAAGTAGCCATTAGATCACAATGATATTGTTTGAATTGTGAGTAATCTCAGGGTAAAAGACCAGTTTCTAGAGAACAAACCCTGTCTCACTCTGGGAATGGTACACACCTATAAAGCTTATTCCAAGAATGCTGCTTTAATCTGGAATAGACAATCTGTCTCCTGTGATCAACAGGCAACTTGCCCATCTACTCCAGAGCCTAAGACTTCCATACTGAGATCATTCACCAGCTGATCAGGTTTGCTCTGAGGTTTACTTTGAATTCGTGGGCTATGTTCCATTTTTTTGCTTTTTTGTTTTTTTGAGACAGAGTCTTGCTCTATTGCCCAGGCCAGAGTGCAGTGGTGCGATCTTGGCTCACTGCAACCTCTGCTCCCTGGGTTCAAGTGATTCTCATGCCTCATCCTCCTGAGTAGCTGGGATTACAGGCACCTGCCACCATGCCTGGCTAGTTTTTTATTTTTTATTCTTTTTATTTTTTATTTTTTTAGTAGAGACAGGGTTTCACCAAGTTGGCCAGGCCAGTCTTGAACTCCTGACCTCAGGTGATCCTCCTGCCTTGGCCTCCCAAAGTGCTGGGATTATAGGCGTGAGCCACTGGGCTGGGACTGGGTTTTATTCCTATGTGTGGTCCCTTCTAGGCTAGTATCTCCCCACAATGACCTAATCCTAGCAGGATTCAACACACTGAACCTTGACATTTGCCTTTTACTTAAGACTTTGTAACAAGCCTCCTGCATGTGCTGGTGACAGCCTCTGCTCTCCAGGGCCCTACGGATCTCCTCCCTGAGTCTCACGATTTCACTGTCAGCACCTCTGGAACTGGCCTGATCATCCTTTGGCCTATTCAGAAAGGATAGGACTGGAAGTTTTCTCCCTGCTTAAAAATTCTAAGTGCTTACCCTGTTGATTTAGTTTGGATGTGTGTCCCTTCCAAGTCTCAACCTCCAATGTTGATGGTGGGCCTAGTGGAGGTGTTTGGGTCATGGGGGTGGATCCTTCATAAATGGCTTGTTGCGGTCCTCGTGGTAATGAGTGCGTTCTCACTCTATTAGTTCACTTTATTAGTCCACGTGAGATCTGGTTGTTTAAAAAGGGTCGGGGCCCTCCCGTCTCTCTCTTGCTCTCTCTCTTGCCCTGTCACTTGCTGGCTCCCCTTCACCTTCTGCCACGATTGCAAGCTTCTGGAGGCCTCACCAGGAGCAGATGCTGGCACTATGCTTCATGTACAGCCTGCAGAACTGTGAGCCAAATAAACGTCTTTTCTTTATAAATTACCCAGTTTCAAGTATTCCTTTATAGCAATGCAAATGGACAAATACCCTGTTCCAAATGCAGCTGCCATGACTTTTTCAGCATGAGAACATCTTCCTGAACCATCTTCAGTGATATCACTATTGAATTATTCATTGTACTTCTGGGCCTCCCTGACCCCCTCCCCACATATATCTCTATTTAGTTTCGTGACTGGATGCCTCCACACCTGTCTGGAAATCCTTTCTGTTGACGTAAATCCTCACCAAAGAGAGAGAACACTACCGTATTCCAAATATGGGGCTAGCCCTTCCCATGAACTCTCTTCCTGGTTTCTGAACCTTTGCTAAAGCTCCCGGATTCTGCTTTTGTAACTGCCTGAGCTGCCCTGGCTTAGGGATGATCTTTGGCTACCCCAGTGAAGGAGGCAGCTGTTGGGGATCTCCTCCCTGGGGCTGGTTCGAGGCCACAGCCTGCAGTAACCCTGTGCTCCGCTGGCCTTCACCTGGGCTCTAATGAGCAGCTCTACCTGGTAATGCGCACTTCTGTTTTCTGGCAGGATTTGACACCAGTGGTTGCTCATGCATGACTGCTCCTTCCATCCATAGCTGGGGGCTGGCTCTGAGGATCTCTTGTGCTCTCCTGGTTCAGCAATGCCTAGCTTTGAGCTGCCTCACACCTCTCTGACTCTGTTCTGTTTTCCAAATCCCAAAGGCATAGCCAACTTCGCTTTTTTGGCAGCACATGAAATCTCCATGTTTACTAGTTCTTTCTTGTAGCTAACCTAAATTCTTCCTATGGGCTTCAAACAAACTTTCTTGCAGTTTTGAACATGGAAATAGAGATCATGTATAAGGGAATACCCTGCCTCATTTCTTCACAGTCCCTAAGAAGAACCTCACGTGACCACCTCACTGTGCAGCGTCTAACTGGGGTTTCCATCATGAGCTGGTGATACTAATCGGCCCTGAAGCTACACTCTGCCTCAGAAGCTGGAGAGATTAGTCTCTTCCCAGTGTATCAGCACATTGGTGTTGCAGATATGGAGTGTTTTTTCCAAAGTTCTATCTGCTTTCCAATCTTCAAGATGTGAACAAATATCTTGGTGACAGTGTACATCCAACTGAGGGTATAAAGGCATCAGGTACCCCAAGACAAAAAATTGCCTCCCAAGAAGAAAATGCTACAGGCTGTGGCAGGGCCCTAGCTCTCCTTGAGATAGTAATGATCATTAAGAACAATTGCTAGCATTTATTGTACACTTACTATATGCCCAACACTGTCCTAAGTCATTTATCCTTCATGGTGACCTGACAAGGTAGACACCATTATTATCTCCATTTAACAGATGAGCAAACTGAAACTCTCAGAGGCCCAGAAACTCACCCAAGATCTCACGGATACTAAGTACAGGAGCGGGAATTGAACTCAGTCAGTCTGGCCCTAGAATCTGCCCTCTTCTCGACAAAGCAAAAAGTCTGGCCGCAATCCACACAAACACTGAGTGTGAACACAGACTGGCTGTTCAGTCACAGCGGTGACCTGGGAAGAGTGCCTCTGTCATCTTGGATGCTGTGTGCCAGACCCCAAAATGCACTGCACTTGGGTGGCTGCAAAGCATCCCCAGATAGGATGTGTGCATGAGCGTCGTGTCATGGGAATCCAGCAGCTCTGATCTGGGAGAACAACATCCTGTGTTGAAGAGCAGATGGGAAGGCAGCAGCCTGGAGGATGTGAGCAGAACAGCTTCCTGTGTGCAGCCAGCAAGCCTCTGCAAAGGTCAGTGGGGAAACACGCTCCAGGATGTCTGCGTCTTCTCCTGAGGTGTAAGGTGCCAGAGCACAGTGTCTGCTGGGCTTCTTGAACTTTTCACCTTTGCCCCGCCTCCTGATCTTGCTTTCTGGCCAGATGTCAAGACAAACAACCTGGTAGCTTGGTAAGCTTTGTCTGACTTCTACTTTTTTTTTTTTTTTTTTGAGACAGGGTCTCATCTTATTGCCCAGGCTGGAATGCAGTGGTGTGCTCATGGCTCACTGCAGCCTCAACCTCCTGTGCTCAGGTGATCCTCCCACCTCAGCTTCTTGAGTAGCTGGGACCACAGGCATGTGCCACCATGCCTGGCTAATTTTTTTTGTATTTTTTGTAGAGTTGGGATTTTGCCATGTTGCCCAGGCTGGTCTGGAACTCCTGGGCTCAAGCAATCCACCCCACCTTGGGCTCCCAAAGTGCTGGGATTACAGGTGTAAGCCACAGCACCTGGCTAGCTTTGTTTGGCTTCTAAGCTCACGGTGCCAGAAGACCCCCACTTGTTATGTAATCCAGGAGAAAACACTTCACCTCTCAGGGCCAAATCACTTTGAAAAAGGTGTTGTGGCAACTACGCTGTTTATATTACAGGGTTCTTCCAACAATCAAGTGGGATAATGAATACGAAAGCACTTTGACAATTGTAAGAATGCATATGAATTAAAGGTAATAATTTTAATGGCTATAAAATACCAATGTCCTACTTCATCCTGGCTTAATCCAGTTTTTTTACTTGGTCCTTCCTTAAGATTGCCTTGATATCCTAGCAGAATGTTCTATAGCAAACTTTTTCTGTAAGGAGCCAAACAGTAAATATTTTCAGCTTTTTGAACTGTATGGCCTCTGTTCAAATATTCAGTGTCACCACTGGAGTGTAAAAATAGCCATAGACAAAATGCCAGTGAATGGGCAAGGCTGTGTTCCAATAAAACTTTGTTTGTAAAAACAGGTGGCTGGACAGATTTGGTAGTACTTTGTTGACACCTGTTCAGTAGCAGCCAGTTAAAACCATGTATGCATAGTATTCTGATTCCTGTTTCCTTGACCAATACCTGCTATATGGATATTTTGCCTCCCTTTGTGTCTAGATGGGTGAACTCTGTTCTGGTTCCAAACCTAGATGTGAATAATTTCTTAAATTTATCTCACTCTACTATTTGGACATTATATCACATTGAGGGACTTGAGGTAAGTGTCATGATGGTCTCCAAGAACAGCCAATATTGATTCTAACTTAATTATAAAACACAGTGGGAACAGGAGCAAGGTCCACCCCTTTAGCTATTTGGATTATGCCACGCTTTGCCACTTTACACTGATAGTGACTTTATATAGGTGGCCATATGTAGAGAGGCATGGTTTGAGTGCTTGGATAACTGAATTTGTGGTCTGCATTTATCCTGTAAGATTTTTCATGCTTCCTAGATTCAAGACAAAGGCTTGTAAGTTTAGATTCCTCAATTTTATAGTCAAATGCTACAGAAAGATTTCTTGATTTAACAGCTCTAATTTCTAAGAACCCTTTAAAAAGCATTTTTTTATTTCAGTAAAAGTTGCTTTATACCATGATGTCACCCATCTGTGCTTCTATATTGTAAAAGAATCTTAAAATTATTTAGGACATGCTTCATTATGTTATAAAATTGTCAGTGCCAAGAGGAACTTTTTTGGGTTTTTATTGCAAAATACTCCCTTACATAGAAGGCTGAACGACTTATCTGAACCAACAGTGGATTTAGAAGCAGTTTGAAAAGTTGTACAAAAATGTGTTAGACAGCCAGGTTGTGATGGAGGCTGGAGTTTTGTAGTCACAGTTTTTCCATGTGCCATTTTAAGAATTATCTTGGCTCTCAGTGCAAGTTAAAATTTTATATTTGAGAGTAGAATCCTGAGGTAAAAATAAGCTATTTCTTATTAGGGTGGTCTCCAGAGATATTATTGAACGTATAATCTAAAGCATTAAAGCACAACAACCCCAAAGCGCTGGGTGACTTAAAAGTTATTCTTATGACTAATTAGTAATAACAGTAATATATATTCAGATTTATCCCTGAGGCTTTACATACTTGTGACTCTAGTGGGCATGACCTCTTACTTACTTTGAAATGCAAGCGAGGCTCCTGTCTCTCTTTAAAGGATTCTAATGAGACTTACATAGTTCTGAGGAGGAAAACAAACAGACAAAACTCATGAAGAGGCCAGGCATGGTGGCTCATGCCTGTAATGCCAGCACTTTAAGAGGTGGATCACTTGGGCCTCGGAGTTGGAGAACAGCCTGGGCAACATAGTGAGATCCCATCTCTACAAGAAATACAAGACTTACTCCTGAGCAGTAGTCCCAGCTATTTGGGAGGCTGAGGTGGGAAGAATGCTTGCACCTAGGAGGCCGAGGTTGCAGTGGGCCATGATTGCACCACTGCACTCCAGTCTGGATGACAGAACGAGACTCCATCTCAAAAACAAAACAAAATGACAAAACAAAACTATGAATACTTAGGCAATCAGATGGGCTTATTAATTCTTTGACTGTAACTTACAAGGGTAATGGGATTTCATTGGTATAATTTCAAGTTTTCTTCTTCAACTTCTTAGTTATTATAAAGCATTCAACATATTGAATTTTTCTGGTTACTGAAAGCCAAATATTAAAAAAGAAGAGGTTATTCATAAATTGTAGGTACTTGTGAAAATGTGGGATGACATGTAATTCAATGCACATTTGCTGTTTTTTCTGAGCTACCTATAGAAATCCTTTGTAGTTTCCAATGCTCTGATTTAATGGCAGTGGGAAGTATGCAAAATCATGAGCAAAACTGAATAAACCTAAGAATGTGCTTAGCTTCTAGGAAAATTCTACATATTTAATTAACTTTTGATGGAGCTTGAGTAAGGAGAAAGTGAGTCCATTAAAGATTTTGAAAATCATGTGATCATCAAGTTTAATGTGTTTAAAGATTCCTTTTCCATTTTCCCTCTTTACTCAAACCACATAAATTTTACACATAAGTGATAAAGAATTGACACACCCACACACACACACAAACAGTGAAATTAAGAAATGGCTTTTTGAATGTGAAATTGCACAGCTTTAAAAATTATTTAAGGCCAATAAGCTCATAAAAAGATGCTCAGCGGCTGGGCATAGTGGTGTGAGCCTGTAATTCCAGCAGTTTGGGAGGCCAAGGTGGGCGGATCATTTGAGTCCAGCAGTTTGAGATCAGCCTGGGCAACATGGTGAAACCCTGTCTCTATGAAAAATATAAAAATTAGCTGGATGTGGTGGCATATGCTGCGGTTCCGGCTACTCGGGAGGCTGAGGTGGAAAGATCACTTTAGCCTGGGAGGTCAAGGCTGCAGTGAGCAGTAATTGTGCCACTGCACTCCAGTCTGGGAGACAGAGCAAGACCCGACTCTAAATAAATGAATGAATGAATGCTCAGCGTCACTAATCATTAGAGAAATGCAACTCAAAAGCACAATGAGGCTCTACATTCATGAGAGTGGATGCTATGAAAAAAACAAAAAACAGAAACAATAGAAAGTAAGTGTTGGTGGGAATGTGAAAAAGTTGAAGCCCTTGTGCACTGTGGGTGGGAATATAAAACAGGATAGTCGCTGTGGAAAATGCAATGGTAGTTCCTCAAAGAATTAAACTTAGAATTACCATAAAATGCAGCAATTCCATTTGTCGGGATATACCCCCCAAAAAATGAAAGCAAAGATTCGAACAGATATTTGTACAGCCATGCTCATAATAGTATTATTAACAAGATCCAAAAGGTAGAAACAACCTTAATGTCTATGGATAAATGAAGAAACAATGATAGATGGATAAAGTGTGGTATATACATAAAATGGAATATTCTTTAGCCTTAAAAAGGCAGGAACTTCTGACATGTGCTGCAATATAGATGAACCTTGAGGACATTATACTATGTGAAAAAAGGCAGTCACCAACAGACAAATATTTTATGATCCTACTTATGTGAGGTTCCTAGAGTTGCCAAATTCATGCAGATAGAAAGTAGGATGGTGGCTATCAGGCACTGGGGAAGGGGAAATGAGGAGTTCGTGTTTAATGAGTACAGAGTTCAGGTTGAGGAAGACCAAAAAGTTCCAGAGACAGATGGTGATTATAGTTGCACATCTGTATTAGTCCTTTTTCACACCGCTACAAAGAACTGCCCAAAACTGAGTAATTTATAAAGGAAAGAGGTTTAAGTGACTCACAGTTGCACATGGCTGAAGAGGCCTCAGGAAACTTACAGTCATGGTGGAAGGCGAAGAGGAAGCCAGGCACTTCTTACGTGTTGGCAGGAGAGAGGCAGCAAAGGGGGAAGCGTCACTTTTAAATCATTAGATCTCATGAGAACTCCCTCATTATCATGAGAACAGCAAGTGGGAAACCACCCCCATGATCCAGTCACCTACCATCAAGACCCTCCCTCGACACTTGGGGATTAAAATTTGAGATGAGATTTGGGCGAGGACACAGAGCGAAACTATATCAATGACAATGTGAATACACATAATGCCATAGAACTGCACAATTAAAAATGCTTAAAATGGTGAATTTTATGTTATGCCTATTTTATCACAATGATAAATTATTTGAATTCATATTTTCATGTAATTGATGCTTGAACTTCCTATGAAATGAGGGTTAGATAATGGCCCACTCTCTCTCTGTCTAGCTTTCTGTAGCCTGGGCAATGCCTAGATGCAAGCTGTGTTTTCACAAGGTAGGTTTAAGATGGCCAGAGTCACTCTGCGATCAGAGGAGGGACCAGGTTTTCTCTCTGAGGCCTAACCATGGCTGCCCAGCAGATCCACCATGTTCCCTTGCATTGTCACACAGCCACATTGCAATACAGAGATGATACTACATGCCCGTGTGAGGGAACTTAAAACTTCTCTCTCTCCCCACTTTAACAAAGACAAATGCAAACAACCACTCTACGCATCATGGGCAAGGCTAGAGATCAAATGGTCTCATAAAGACTCTGAGAAGATCTTTTCAGAACTTGTCTTCTGGCTCCTTGGCTCTCTGGCCCTGGCTTTGTACTTTTCTTGGAGATTACTTCTTTCTTGAGAGGTGTAGTAAATCCTTCTTAAAATGGGGGAGAAATTTCCCCCAGTTGGCTTCAGAATCCTTGCTAGTAAATCCTCTGGCCTTTCCAAAATTTGCCCAGAATTATATTACAGAGGGTCCTGAACTAGAATGTTCCATATTTTTTAAATGAGTAAATAAAGATCCACTGAGGACCCTGCACTTGTTTTTATGAGCAAAAAGCAGCTCACACCAGTCCCTGAATACTCCTTAGAGTAGATGAAAGGAAGAATTTACGGCATGATGTGTGAGAATAGTCTATACCTCTCATATGTCTGCAGGCTCATGTTCACAAAACAAGGCAATGAAGATATTTATGTAGAAAAATAGAGCAGTGTCCATTGTAAAGAAAGGTTTGATGTTCCTCCTCCTTTCAGACAGTTTTAATTTACAAAACCAGATGAGGTCCTTAAGGTCTGTTTTTGAGATATCATGCATCTAATCTAAGGTAGGATTATTTGGATGATTACATTATTTTTCTCCCTAAAAAAATCATAGACAAAAAAATTTATCCACTTATGGGCAGCTAGGAAAACTGTGAAGTATAAATTTATTTTTCATTATGTTCTAATGTTATTGCACAGCCCTTGGCTCCCTGTATTTCTTCCCACTTACTGGACATCTCTTTTATGTCCTCAGGAGACCCCTAATTCTAACCCATTGAAAGCCTGCTTTCTGGAAAGAATTGTCCAGGGATATTTATAACTCAGAATTTTTTTAGGTTAAAGCAAGAAGTTAATTTCACAATGATACATTTTAAAATATTCAACATAACACTTATTTACAGAAGCATAAAACTATTGGTATAGCACCAATAATAGTCATTCAGATTTTTTTGGTACTCCTCAGATGATTTTGAAATAAAAAATTTAAAATACAGCAGACATAAAGAGGATATGTGCTAAAATGTAAAGATAAAAACAATGCAAAGAATACACATGTACCCATTGCCAAGCTTAAGCAATAATACATTTCCCTTTGAAGTCTTTGAAATCTTCTAAGTGCTTCCAATTGGTCACATGCTCCTTGGACCCTGATGTGACAGCTTTCCTGGATTTAATTTGAATGATTCTTTTATGTTCTTTCATAGTTTTACAAATGTGCATATATCTCTAATCAATATATTGTTAGTTATGCTTTTGAAAAAGTCGACATAAATGTTATCAAGTAAGTTGTATTTATTCTTCTGTGACTTTTTTTAGGCTTGGCATTATGTTTTTTGAGATTTATGTATGTATGTATCTGATATGCTGTAATTCATTTTCACTTTTTATGGTTGTGCATGGCATGAATATATTATAATGAATGAATATATTACATTCTACAGCTGATGAACATTTTGTTTTTAGTGTTCATTTTTTCCTCATGGATAATCAATTGATCAATCATCCCACACCATAACCCACCCTTTCCCATAGATCTGAAATCTCAGCTTTGCCAAAATTCCATTTTCGTGGGACTCTTTTCTGGGTTTCTTAATATGTTTTGTTTGTCTACTTGTCCATCTCTATGTTTGCTGTCTTAATGATTTAGAGCTAGATAATAAAAATAGCAAATATATGTTTATGATATGCCAGCCATTGTCCCAAGCACTTTTCACATGTTAACTCATGTATTCCTCATCATTACCTTGCAAAGTGGGCACTGTTATTATATAGATGAAGAAATTGAGCTCAAAGAAATGGATTGTAGGTACCTAAGCAAGACTTGAAACTCAGGCAATCTATTCACCCAGATTGTGCTATTAGACACTGTGCAAATCTGACTCATTATAAATCATGATTTCTGATTGGGCGATAGGTCTTATTTAGGAGTTTCCCGGGAATTCTTAGTCCTTTGTTCTTATACACAAATGTTATAAACATCTTATTAAGTTCCATGTGAAATAAAACCTATTAAAATTTTCATTGATATTTTATTGTCTGTAAATAATTTTACACTATTGAGTTTTCCTATCTATTAACATGGTATTTTTCTTCCATTTGTTTAGGTATTAAATAATGTGTTTTTAGCATGTTTTATAATATTCCACAAATTGTATATCCTTTGTTAAATATGTTCCTAGATATATTGTTTCAGCAACTGTAAATGGCATCATTTTAAAGTTGCATTTTCTGTTTGTTGGTATATGATGAAACATAATATGACTTTAAATAGTTTTTGACTTGTTTCTGGCAATGGTAGAGCAAAAAGAACCAGAACTACCCCTCTTGTTTAAACAGCCAGGAAAACAGACAAAATATATGAAACAATAGTTTTCAGATATTGCGCAATATATAGCACAGGACAGTGATTGCTAAGAGAATACAAACAAATGTGGTAAGCCCAGTGAATGCCCCAGGTCACCATCTGAAGAGTTTCCAGGTCATAGTGCAGGGAGGGGACACCCAAACAGAGCTCAGCAGTCTCCCTGAGTTAAGGAAACAGAGTTCCTAGTTCAGAGAGGCAAAGGCATAATTTTCAGTCAGAGGAGGTGCTGCACAGAACTATGAAGATATATGGAATATTTTCTCTGATAACAACAGAATTAAATTAAAAATAAGTAACAGAAAGATATTTTTTAAAGCCCCAAATATTTGGAAGTTAAACAACAAACATCTCAATAACCTATGGGTTAAAGATGAAAAAAGAAAAATTGTAAAATACTTTGAAGTGAATGAAAATTAGAATGACATAAAAATCTGAGTGATGTTACTAAAGCATGCTTAAAGGTAAGGTTATAGCATTATATGATATTATATAGCTTATACCATAACTATTTATGCTAGAAAATAAGAAAAGTCTCAAGTCAATGATCTAAGCATCCACCTTGGAAAAAATAAATCTAAAATAAGCAGAAGGAGAAAAGTAATAAAGAGCAAAAAAAAAAAAAAAAAAAAATCAATGAAATAGATAATAGAAAGCAATGGAAAAAAAAATCAATGTAACCAAAATCTAGTTCCAGGCAAGAATCAATACAATGTATAAGACTCAAGCCAGCCTAACTGAGAAAAAAAGGAGAATCACACAGATTATGAATATCAGGAATGAAAGAGAGGATATAATCATATAAATAAACAATTATGAATAGCTTTATACCAATAAATTTGAAAACATATATAAAATTTACAACTTGTTTTGAAGATAGAAGCTACAGGAATTCATTCAAGAAGATATAGGTAATAGTCCTATATCTACAAAAGAAATTGAATAGTTGATTAAAAATCTAACCAAGATGAAAGCTCCAGGCTGAGATGGCTTTATTGGTAAATTTTACCAAACATTTAAGAATAGTATAACACAAATTTTATTTATACTCTCTCAGAAAATAGAAGCAGAGGGAATACTTTCTAACTCAGTCTGAGGCCAGAATTATCATGATATCAAGACCAGAAAATGACATTATAAGAAAATAAAACTACAGATTAAAAGTTATCATGAACATACATGTAAAAGTCTCTAAGAAAATATTAGCAACTTGAAACTGGCACTATATAAAAAGGATAATACAAGTAGACCAAGTAGAATATATCCCAGAAATGTAAAGTTGCTCTAACATTTGAAAAAAGGTACTACATTTCCCCTTACCATTTCTATTCAGCATTTTACTGATGGCTTTAGCTGGTACGATAAAGCAAGAAAATGAAATAAAATGCATTCCAATTAGAAAGAGAAAGTTACAACTATTGTCATTTATAAATAACGTTATTGTCTATGTAGAAAAATCCAAAATAATCTACCATAAAGCTACTAGGAGCAGTAAGTAAGTTTAGTAAGGTCACGGAAGATGAGGTAAATATATAAGACTAATTGTATTTCTGTATTTTAGTAAAGAATAATTGGGAACTAAAATTCAAAATTACCATTTAGAATAGTACCAAAAAAGTGAAATACTTAGAGATAAGTTTAACAAGATATGTGCAAGAGTTGTACACTAGAAACTTCAAAACTTTGCTGAGGGAAATTAAGAAAGACACAAATAAATGGAGAGACATACCATGTTCATGAATTGGAAAACTATTTATTGTTTTGCTTTTAATTGTCCCCCAATTCATCTGTAGATTCATTGTAATCTCAATTAAGATTTTAGCTAGATTTTATGTAGAAAATAGCAAACTGATTCTAAAATTTATATAAAAATGTAAAGACCTCAAATAGCCAAAAGAATTTTGAAAAGAAAGAACGAAAGTGGAAGAGCTAACTCTTCATAATTTCAAATCTTATACAGCTACAATTGGCAAGAAAGTATGTTTGGAATAAGATGAGATATATAGATCAATGGGCCACAGTAGAAATTCCAGATATAGACCCACACATATGTGGTCAATTGATTTTTGAAGAAGGTACCAAGGAAATTTTATGAGGAAAATAACCTTTAAAATAAATCACACTAGAATAGTTGCATATTTTTTATAGGCAAAACATGAGCCTCAATGCTTATCTCAGACCAAACACAAGCATCTAATTCAAGTTGATTACAGACCTAAATGTAAGACCTAAAAAGATTCAAACTTTTAGAGAAAAACACAGGAGAATATTTTGTGACTTTAGGTTACACTGAGATTTCTTAGAACACAAAAAGTGGGAACCATAAAATAAGAAAGTATTGTTACACAATTAAAAACATTAGCTCTTCAAAAGTTAAAGGTAAGGAAATGCATAGGTAAGAAATAGATTGAGACATATTTTCCAAAATATATTCTGATAACAGACTTGCATCTGCAATATATAAAGAATTCTTAAAAATCAATCATAAGAAGATAAATTGATTAGAAATGAGTAAAATATTTGAAAAGTCAATTCACCAAAGAAGATTTACAGATTGTAAATAAGCACATGAAAAGATGCTCAACATCATTGCTCATGAAGGATATGCAAATTAAAACATTATTAGAATGGCTGAAATTAAAAATACCAAATTATGGTGAGAATGTGGAACAAATGAAATTCTCATACATTGCTGGTAGAAATGCAAAACGATACAACCACCTTTTAAACAGGTTAGCAGTTTCTTATAAAATTTGATATGTATTTATTTATGACCCAGCAATTCTACAACTAGGTTTTTATTCAAGAAAAATTAAAATTTATATCCACATGTAGAATTACTCAAATACTCATCATAGGTATATTTACAAAGCCTTAAATCAAAAGCAACTCAAATATCTATCAACTACTGCGTGGATAAAAATAATGCCCATATAATACTATTCAGAAATAAAAAAATAAAATTCTGATCAACAAAACAACTTGGATAAAGTATTGTTATGAGGGAAAGAAATCAAACACAAAAGACTACCCAACTTTATGATTCCATTTATTTAGGACCAGGATGGATGAAGGACAGTGACTGCAAAAGAGGACAATGGAAATTTTTGGTGTGTTGGGGATGCTTTATATCATCATTATGCTGGTGGTTACAAAACTGCATGTATTTATCAAAACCTATAAAATTGTATATTTAACATTTGTGAATTTATTATTAATATTTATAAATTATAGCTCAATAAAGCTGATTAAAATAAAACTTAGGAGATTTTAACATTTAAAATTTAAAAAACAATAAATTGAGGTTGATTTTTACACATGTATACACCTGTGTAACCACCACCCAGACCAAAATATAGATTATGTCCAGCCTCTCAGAAGGCTCTAGCATTTACCTTCTGAGTCAATACTGCGTCCCCTCACCTTGGAACCTCTAATCTGATCTCCATCAACAGAGATTAATTTTTCCTTTTTTTCTACTTCATATAAATAGGATCGCATGGAATGAACTTTTTAATCTCTGCCTTCTTTGTTTACAATATTGAGTCTGCAGGATTCATCCATGTTGTCATACGTATTTGTGTTTTTTCATTGCTATGTGGTATTTATTTATATAACAATATTACAATTTGATTATTCTGTTTTCATTATTTTGTATTATGACTAAAGTTACTATGAACATTATTTTATATCTTTTGAAGGACATAAGCACTTATTTTCATTGATTACAGTTGTCTCTCAGTGTATGCAGGAAATTGGTTCCAGAACTCCCACATATACCAAAATTCACATATCCTTAAGTCCCACTGTTGGCCCTACAGAAATTGCATATATATCGAAAGTAGGTCCTCCAATTGGTATTTCCAGTACACAGCTTTTGTACCCAGTGAATACTGTATTTTCTATCCATGTTTGGTTGAAAAAAGCCCACTTACAAGAGGACCTGTGCAATTCAAACCTGTACTGTTCAAGGGTCAACTGTGTATACATAGATGGAAAACTGCTGGTTATAGGTTATATATATTATATATTTAGCTTAATAGATACTGGCAAACAGTTTGCCAGAATGGTTATAAAATTTTACTCTTCCCTCGTCAAAGTGTGAGAATTCCAGTTTCTTCACATGTTTGACTATACTTGGTATTGAAAGTTAACTTTCAGCTTGATTTTACGTGAAAGAATTTTACTAAATTGCCAATTCTAATAATATATGGACTCATTTGAATTTTTCAGAGAAAAGTAGTAAATAATGGCAGTTTTGTTTCTTTCTAATCCTTATGCTTCTTATTCTTGTCTTACTGTGATGGCTAGGCTCACTAGTAGAATGCTGAAAGGAAATGGTGATAGCAGTTGGGTCTTGTTCTTGACTATAAAGAGAATTCCTTCAATATTTCACCATTGGCTATAGTATTTGCTGTAGGTTTTTTATAGATATCCTTTTTTTTTTTTCAGATCAAGTATATATCCTTAAGTTCCTGACTGTTAAAAGTTTTGACTAGGAATAATTGTTGACTTTTATCATATACTTTTATTTTTGAATCTTTTGGGATAGTCATAATTTCCTACATGTCTTTCCATGGCTTGATAGCTTGATTTTTATCACTACATAATATTCCCGTTTAGGAAGGCACTACAGTTTATTCATTCATTTATTGAAGGACATCTTGGCTCCTTCCACATTTTGACAACCATGAAAAAAACCTGCCATAAATATTTATTTGTGGGTGTTTGTGTAGACATAAGTTTTCAACTAATTTGGATAAATACCTGGGAATGGGATTGCTGGATCATATAGTAAGTCGATGTTTAACTTGGTAAGGAATTGCCAAACTGTCTTCAAAAGTGGCTGGACCATTTTGTGTTCTCTCCAGCAATGAATGAGTTTCTCTTTCCCCACATCTTTGTTAGCATTTGGTTTGTCAGCTTTTTAAAATTTTTTTATTTTAGGTATTCTAATAGGTGGGTAATTGTATCTTGTTGTTTTAATGTGTAATTTCCTAATGACACATAGTATTGTGAATCATTTCATATGCATATTTCCCATCTGTATATCTTCTTTAGAGAAGTGACTGTTTAGGTCTTTTGTTTACTTTTAAATTGAGTTGTGTGGTTTTTTTAATTGCTGAGTTTTAAGTGTTCGTTGTATATTTTGCATGCAAGTTTTTTTTAAATCAGATATGTGTTTTGCAAATATTTCTTCCAGTGTGTGGCTTGTCTTTTCATTCTAGTGACAGTGTCTTTCACAGAGCAGGAGTTTTCATCTTAATAAAGTCCAGTTTGTCAGTTTTTTTCTTTCAGAGTCCTTGCTTTTGTGTTGTATATTTTATAATTTTAATCTTTTAAGATTAAATCTTAAATGATTAAAAGATTTTCTCCTATATTATCTTTTAGAAATTTTATAGTTTTGGGTTTTACATTTAGGTGTAGGATCTGTTGAGTTAATTTTGTGAAAGGTGTCAGAACTGTGTCTAGATTCATATTTTTTTTTTGTATATTGATGTCCAGATGTTGAAAAGGCTAATCTTTCTTCATTGAATTGTCTTGTTCCTTTGTCAGAGATCAGTTGACTATATTTGTATCGGCCAATTTCTGGGCTGTTCATTCTGTTCCACTGTCTATTTATCTATTCTTTTACAAATACCACCCTGTCTTGATTACTATAGCTTTATAGTAAGTATAGTAAGTCCTGAAGTTGGATAGTATCACTCCTCCAGCTTTATTCTTCCCCTTCCATACTGTGTTGGCTATTTGTATCTTTTGCCTTTCATGTAAACTTTAGATCAGTTTGTCAATATCCACAAAATAATTTGCAGGGATTTGCATTGGTATTACACTGAATCTGTAGATAAAATTGGGAATAACAGACATTCTGACAATATGGAGTCTTCCTGTCCATGAATATGTATCTCTCTTCATTTATTTATATCTTCTTTGATTTCTTTTTGAGTTTATAATTTTTCAGATAAAGATCATGTGTATATTTAGTTAGATTTATACCTAAAGTATTGATTTTTTTGGTGCTAATGTAAATGGTGTTGTGTTTTTACTTAAAGTTTCAATCGTTGATTGCTGGTATACAGAAAAACAATTGGCTTTTGTATATTAACCTCATATCCTACAATCTTGCTATAGTTGCTTATTAATTCCAGTATTTTTTGTTACTGTTGCTTCTTTGGGATTTTCTACATACATAATTGATTATTTAAAAATAATTTCTACTTATCTATTGAGATTTTGTATCTCTTGTGCTGTTACTAGTCATATGTTCCTTTAATTCTTTATACATTTCTTTCCCTGAATTCTTTAAACATAATTTCAGTAGTTGTGTTGACATCATTGCTAAATTTAACATCCTGGCTGACTCTGTAAATTAGCTTCATTGACGACTATTTTTTCTGAGTATAGGTTGCAGGTAGACTTTCCTGTTTCTTTTCATACTTTGTTCCATTTTGTTGAAAACTAACATGTTAGATCATAAAATACAGCATCTTTACTTTTTCCCCCAAGGTTGTTGTTTTGTTTTGTTTTGTTTTGTTTTAGGAACTTGCTAGGAATTAATCTGTAGAGTCTGTCTCCTCTGCTTTGTGTAGCTACTTATTTTTTGCTCAGTCCTTGTGTTCTTATATTTATATTTTTCAGCCTGGCTTCCTAGGGATCATCCCTGTGTCTTCTCAGCTCAGTGGTCAACCAATGATTGTGCACAGATTGTACTCAAACACCTCAAGCGATAAGGCTTCTACTTTCAGTGTGTGTATATATGTGTATTGGGGAACATGTTAAAACTTTGAGCATTTTCACCTCTTCTTTGACTTGCACTTTTCTGTGGTCTCTCTGAAAGGCACCCGTGCTTCCCAATCAGCCATGGCTGTGTGAAGCTTATATAGCCCTTTCTTCCAAGATCTCTTCGTTAAGTTTCTTGCTTGTCCACTGCCCACCCAAATGAGACCACAACCTCAAGCTTATGAGCAGCAGATTTTACTCATTCATTTCTTATCAAGTTTGCTACTTTTACTGACAATGCTACTTAGTGTGGTTTTTACCTTTCATTCCAAATCAAATCAGTCCCCTCTGACAATTAAGTTGCTGATTTTCACAGCCAACTTCCCTCTTGTAAAACTACAGCATCAACCATGCATCTGCTGATGGCTAGGTGATGGGGGTAGCCCCAGGAATGAAAGTCACGGACTACTATTCTCACCCAACGCTCTAGAAGTTTTTCATAAATAAATGCTTCATAATTTTTGTTTGCCTTTGGTTGATTTCTGGAACCATATGTGGTTATTTTTGACAATTTTGTCTGGTGTCTACATAATTTTGGGGGAAAGAATTTACTGACTTTTGTGGCTACTTTTAAGATCTTCTCTTTATCATTCTTGTTATGCAGTTTCACAGTAATGTATCTTGATGTGGATTTATTTTTATTTTAACTCACTTTGAATTTTGGGGGTCCTTGAATCTGAGAATCATTTATTTTACTTATTCCTGAAAAATTCTCAGCCATTATTGTACTTTTTCTTTTTTTCTTTTTAGAGTTGTTTTATTTTTTAGATTATCTTGATTGAGGTATAATCCATTCTCTTCTCAAATTTTATTCTGCTCTGATTTTCTATGATTTCCTAGTCTAGGATTTAACAAACTATCATCCAAGGGCCAAATGTAGTGTGCTGCCATTGTAGAAATAAAATCTTCTTAGAATGTAGCCGGGCTCATTTATTTACATTACTACTTATGGATGATTTTGCACTGCAACCTCAGAGTTAAGTATTTCCAAGACTCTATGGCCCCTAAGCCTAAAACATTTACCATCTGATCTTTCACAGAAGTCTGCCCTCCCCTGCCCCAAATCTTCAATCTGAAATGTGTTCTATCTTCCCCACTATATTTTCTTTTTCTTCAAATGCTTCTTTCACAATTACCTCCACTCTGTCTTTTTAAGTGGCATTTTAAATTATTTTTATTTTATTTTTTAAATTTTTTTTGCATTCCTTAAGTATGTATGTATTTATTTATTGAGAGTTAGGTCTCATCATTTATTTGTTTAAATTGACAAATGCCAAATTGTATATATTTATGGTATATAACAATGTTTTGATATATGTATACATAGCAGAATTATTAAATCAAGCAAATTAACATATCCATCAGCTCACCTACTTATCATTTTTCTGATGAGAACATTTTAAAATCTACTTTTTCAGTGATTTTCAAGTATACTACACACATTATCATTAATTATAGTCATCATGCTGTACAACAAATCTCCAAAATTTATTTCTCCTGTCTAACTGAAACTTTGTACCTTTTAAGTGACATCTCCCTGCTCCTTCAACCCCTGCCCCTGGTAGCCACCATTCTACTCTCTGCTTCTATGAGTTCAATTTTTTTAGATTTCACATAATTGAGAGCATACAGTATTTGTCTTTCTGTGCCAGGTTTATTTCACTTGCCATAATGCCCTCCTTTATTCATGTTGTAGCAAATGACAAGATTTTCTTCTCTTTGAAGGCAGAATAGTGTATATATACCATATATTCTTTAGCCATTCATCCATTGATGGACACTTAGCTTGATTTCATGTCATGGCTATGGCTATGGTGAATAGTGCTGCAATAAACATGATAGTGCAGTTATCTCTTTGACATATTGATTCCATTATCTTTGGATATATACCCAGTAGTGGGATTGCTGGGTCATATAGCAGTTCTAAGTTTAGTTTTTTGAGGAATATCTCTACGGTTTTCTAGAATGGCTATACTTACTATATGCTACTTGTTTTTAATTTTATTTATTTATTTATTATTATTATTTTTTATTATTATTATGCTTTAAGTTTTAGGGTACATGTGCACAATGTGCAGGTTTGTTACATATGTATACATGTGCCATGTTGGTGTGCTGCACCCATTAACTCATCATTTAGCATTAGGTATATCTCCTAATAAAAGCTCTTTCAGTTCACAAATCCTCTCTTCAGCTAAGTCTAATCCGATGATTAATGTAGTTCCTACTTTCAGTTATTATTTCACTGTTTAATGTTATGTAACTCTACTATACTTGCTATATGCTTTTAACTCCTTGAGCATGTTAGAGATCAAACTTACATATTCTAGGTCTGATAACTCCAATGTCTGAAATTCTCCACTTTGTGGTTTCTCTTGGCTTTTGCTAATGGGTTCTCACTTTTTTGTGTTTGGTGACTTTTTGTTTGGGAGCACATACTCCTTATAATTTTTTTTTTAATATGAAGCTTGGGTTTAAGGTGCATTCTTCCAGAAAGAATTTGTATTTCTTCTGTAAAGCAGAAAGAAGCTGGGATACTACAAACTTGAGGCCACTTTAAACTCGGATCTTACTTTTTGGGGGGCTACAAAGGTAACCTGGTAGAGTTGTGGTTGGAGATATTGAAGGAATACATTTTCTTTTTTGTGCTCTCCCTAAACAGTGAGGCAAGCAATTATCTCCATGAACTCTGAATGAGATGTGCACTTGTCCTTACACTAATCTTTCTTGCTTTCAATGTATGTTGTTCCACATTGCTATGTCTTTAAGCTTTGTTTTTAATCCCCTGGGTGAGACCTTTGGAACCCAGGTCTGGGTCACAAGCAAAAGGTAAACTCCCCAGGGTAAGTGGCTGTGCTTCTGTGGAACTGCATTTTCATATAATTTCTGGCCTTTGCAGGAGTTCTACTTTTGCAACAGTGCAGTTATACATATAAAATTAAATTTTTAAATTTTATCCAGCTTTTTAGGTATGTTGTATCAGGAGGTGTTTCACTTAAAGTTGAGTATACTGTGTTTAAATGGAAAATTATAGTGTGAATTTAAGCCAGTATGTTACTTTTTCAGGTTTATTTGCATTTAACATTGATTCTTCATTCTGAATAAAAATATTACATCTTAATTAAGGTTGGCATCTGTGTGGAACTAGAGGAAATACATTGGGGAAGGAATTTTTTATAGTCCCCTTACATTGAAGTGAAAGGCTCTCTACTTCATGCATCAAAAATATGATTTCTGGCTGGGCACGGTGGCTCATGCCTGCAATCCCAGCACTTTGGGAAGCCAAGGCAGGAGAAGTCCTAGAGGTCAGGAGTTCCAGACCAGCCTGGGCAACATAGCAAGATCCTGTCTCTACAAAAAATGTAAAATGTTAAAGTTAGCCAGGTGTGGTGACACATGCCTATAGTCCCAGCTACTTGAGAGGCTAAGGTGGGAGGTTCACTTGAGCCCCTGAGTTCAAGGCTGTAGTGACCTATGCTGTGCCACTGCACTCCAGCCTGGGTGATAGAGTGAGACCTTGTTTCAAAACAAAAAATCAAAAAAAAAAAAAAAAAACAAAAAAACTAACTAACCAACGAAACAAAATATTCATGATTTCATTCAGTAAACATTTATTGTGACCTACTATGGGTAAGTCTATAATGCTACCAGCAATAGAAGATTCAAGCAAATAAAATCATAGTTCTATATTGTATTACTCATTATATTTAGCATCTCTTGAAGGCTCACTGCACGTTTTTTTTAAATGCTTGCCAGTTTTAGTGCTTTATATATTTTATCATGTTCAATCCTTAAAATAAATGTATGAGGTTGGTACTTTAGTTACTATGCTTATTTTTACATGAGGAAACTGAGGCAGAAAGAGGTTAAATAACTAGGTAAGGTAAAAAGCAAGTAAGTAATGAACACAAGATCCAAACCCTTGCAGTCTGACTCCAGAACACACATCCTTAATTACTATAGTTACAATATTATACTATACTACAATATACTACACTATATAATATTATTAAACATAAGAAGCTTAGCTTGAATTCTTTAAACATAATTTTAATAGTTGTGTTGACATCTTTGTTAAATCTAACAACCTGGCTGACTCTGTAAGTTAGTTTCATTGAACACTATTTTTTCTGAGTACAGGCTGCAGGGTAGATTTTCCTGTTTCTTTGTATACTTTGTATAAAAGGTGTTTGAATATAATCTCTGCCCAATCGCTGGTTGATCACTGAGCTGAGAAAACACAGGGATGACCCCTAGGAAGCCAGGCTGAAAATATAAATATAAGAATACAAGAACTGAGCAAAGAAATAAGTAGCTACACAAAGCAGAGAAGAACTGAATTCTTTAAACAGGAAGATAACAGACATAATACACAGAAAGAAAGAATACAGAGACATATTTGATAAATGTTACTATAGCAGCCTAGAGGAGACCATCACCAGAAAGCCCAGTTAGATCACCAGGGGAGCTTCAGAGGAGACTTGGAACTTTAGCTGTGCTTAACACCAACCTCAACTATGCATGCTGAGATACATAAATTAAGGTGTCAAATGGTACCTTATTTTCCTCTTCCAGTAAATTGTTCAGCTCATTTAATGGCATGTTAAGAAATAAACTGAACATACTGGGAAGTTTAAACCTTTACTTGCTTTGAAGAATCAAGAAAGCATATCCTGGTTTTTTTTTTTACCCTACGCAAACAGGAAGAGGGCACATCCCAGTACACTTTGAAGTTACTTTGTGGCCTTAGGACTAGGTTCTGGTCTTAAAATGGAAGTGGATTTTACGTTTCTATTTCTTTCTTTCTTTCTTTCCTTTTTTCTTTTTCTTTTTTTTTTTTTGAGTCAGAGTCTCACTCTGAGGCCCAGGCTGAAGTGTAGTGGCACAATCTTGGCTCACTGCAACCTCTGCCTCCTAGGTTCAAACATTCTCCTGGCTCAGCCTCCTGAGTAGCTGGGACTACAGGCACCCACCACCATGCCTTGCTAAGTTCTGCATTTATAGTAGAGATGCGGTTTTACCACGTTGGCCAGGCTGGTCTTGAACTCTTGACCTCAGGTGATCCACCTGCCTTGGCCTCCCAAAGTGCTGGGATTATGGGTATAAGCCACCATGCCTGGCCTTATGTTGCTATTTCTAGACCTGGTCATAAACCTCCCTAACAATCATTATAAAGTCTTTCTCTTCTACTAAGACTGAGGAGGCTGCAACATGGAAGAAACTATTTAAGAGGGACCCCAAGAAGAGCTACCTGATTCTTATGGAAGGATCACATCAACAGTAAATCTTCATTGTTTTAAGCTACTGATATTTTGAGGTTCCTTGTTATAGCAGTTCATTTTAATTACCAATGAGTGGAACAGATAGGCATGTAGACTAAGCAATCTCATTGTACAGCCCTTTATAGGAAATGATTTGGAGGAATCAGGAAAGCATTATTGTTGTCCTCAACATTTCTTTTTGCCATTTACTTTGTTGGTTCTATCAGTTTCCAAGAGTGGCATGGTTGTAGCAATGACAGCCAACAGAAAATGATATTTTGTTTAGGACAATTTTGATAACTACATGCTTTTTTAGGGCCAACATTTACTCTACCAAGAATATTATTATATTTTTGAATAATATTATTTTAGAATTATATTTTTGATCGAAGATATTATATTAATTTTTGTTCCATGTGCTGTATTCTGTTTAATTCTCAAAACAATATGAAAGGGTATGACTATTACCCTTTAACAGCAATTCAATGTGGTTTTAACACTGCTTAGAAAAACTCTCAGCCCTCAAAATGATTTTCAAACTCCTAGAAAAATATAGTACATTTTTCATGTGTGAAGATATAACTTGGCCATATTTCAAAAACACTAATTTTTTCCAAAGTTTTGAGACTTTCTTAAGATACTAAAAAATAGTTTTCCATCAGACTTGAGATTTCTAGCTGAAGCTCACGAGTTAGATGCTGTATTGATCTAATATATCATTAACTGGCAAAATGGTACAATTTATCATGTCCACATGGCATTATGGGAAATTCTCTCTACTGCTTTGGGTCCTTGTATGCACTTTCTCATTTTTTCACATAACAGACTAACGATAGAGGAGCTCTCATTTCAGTCTTTTGTTTCCAACAAGCAAATGCATGTAAACAAGCAATTATTTTTGAAGTAGTGTACTCTCTCCTACACTGTTTAAAGCAGTGATTTGTTTATTTCAAATTGTAAACTCTATTTTCTGCGTGTAAAACAAATTACCTTATGCCTGAATATGAGAACACATAGTTTCTCCAATGGTAGCTAGTAAAAACATCTTTCTTGCCAGAGCGTATTAAATAGATTATTAAAGTCCATTAACTTAAGTGCATGAAGTACCCTTTATTTAAAAACACATTTCTACAGATACTATTTATCCAAAATCAAAATGGCCTTTTCTGGGTAGCCAGGAGACAGAGTCATAACCTTATATGAAACAGGAAAAGCAAATAAACAGGCTCAATTTACATTAAAATGATGTCATTAAGCTCTGCAGAATGTGTTGGTATCTCACCTACTGCCTGTCAAGAAAGTATAACAAATGACATTGTACACACATTAATTTTCCTGTTCCATACTTTGGTGGAAGGAGTAATGTTGAATATTCTCAGACAGTGACACATCCCACAATTAAGAGCACTGTCTAAGGTGCTGGCTCTTGGCGTCACTGTGAGCACACACATCTTTCCCTCTACTTTTGGTTTCCTCTCTTCAGCTTCTTCCATATCTCTCCTTCCCTCCCCTCATGGCGGCACTCCCCATAGCGCATGGCCAAGTTTCCCTTCTCTCACCACACTCCAGAATCAGCGTCCCATTCTTTGACTCAGGTGTAAGATTTTATTTGGATTCTCATCCAGTCTATGTAACTCCTAACTTACCTGAAACCTGATCCTGAATATAGCAGGACATTTCTGAGTCACATTAAAGATAGTTGGAGACTATGTCTGCACATAATAGAGCCACTCAAGTAACCAGATGGCACAGAGCTTTCAATCAAATGCAGTTGATTCTGTTATTCACACTAATTATGATCTATAACACAGACATGGATGTTGAATTAGCAAATACTGAATCATTGCTCCTAGAGGAAATACGGGGCTTGGTTCCTATAAGCCTTTGGCTTTTGTCCACTGATTAATGCATAACCTTTTTTATGTGTGTTTCTGCTTAAAGACACCTTATTTAATATATAATTAATATATAGATGTATATTGAAATAACATAAATATTCAATATATATATTTTGATTTATTAACATTGAATCATGGCCAAAAACACTATAACTCATGCCCAAACGAAGCTTGTCTAACAAGTGTATTTTTTCTCTGTAAGGCACATCTTGGCCTTCTTGTGCTTAGATACACTGGACGGTACTTCAGTACATTGCTTAGGGGCGCCATTTTTAAACAGTGAAATCACCACTGAACATGCAAAAGGCATAAAAATGCAAAAAAATATGGCACCAAATAGATCGTGAAAGGGACACTTGTTTACAATGTACTTTGAGTGACTCAAATTTATTGTCACTCTGTGCTTATCTGCAAAAGTACCATGAGTACTGATTTGAAGATTATAAATACATTTTAGCGAGTATTAGAATTTGCAGATACAGAATCCACATGTAATGAGGACCAACTGTCTTTAAATCATAAAAATGTTATGCGTTAGGATGTGATTTATCATCCTCCCCAAAATAGTTCTGTTTATAAAAAGGTGTATTTTCTACCAACAGAAGCATGAGATCAGTAATAGCTTAATCCAACCAAAGTTTACATTTTTTGTTAAAGCTGTGTTAAGAAACAACCTTGACTTCTCTTGTCTCTACAGGGTACTTCTAAGTTACAGTTCACTATAATAGGCATTATATTCCAGCTTCCTCTGAAAGTTCTGCCTTTTAAAAAAGTCCCCAGTCTCCAGGGTTCCAGCAACTAAATACAAACTTCAGTATTGTGTTTAGGGGAAATCCCTCATTCAAAGGCACAAGGGAGAATTTTACCCACCAGCCTTGAAGGAAGAGACTACTATCTTATAATCAGACACCCTAGTTTTCTGTGACTGGGGAATTCCTTTCCTACTGCTTCTCTTTATCCTGCTTAGTAGTTCTATGCAAAATGACACTCACTGAGCTTTTGCTTCTTGGCTCAGTTTTAGCAGGATCAAGGAAGCCCCAGGCTGTGGCTAGTGAGGATGGGCTTAGAGGTCTTAAGAGAGTTGTAAGAATAACCTGGGCTTCAAATTGTGAGGTTTGATGTGGAGCCAAGACCCTAGGTTTACCTGGCTTGGTTTTCTCTTTAGGATTTATATTGTGACCCATTTCAATGGGAGTTTAAAACCACCATTTTGGAGTCCTTTGAGATGCTGAGTCCTGAAATATTCTCAGAAAGTCAACATAATCCTTTTCATAAAGGCTCACAGCAGAACTGCAACCAGCACCACCTGTCTACAGATACACCTTAGGTCTGCTTTAGATCGTAAAATGGAAATAAGCTTCCAAAGTGTTTTTCAAATTGCCTTTGGGTTCTGTTAAATGTAGAAATGTTTCTTTCTTTCCTTTTATTTTTCCTTGGTCAAATGAAATGTCACTGTCATTTCCATCTGAACATGAAATAATGCCATTGGATATTGGGGAAGGAAAATCCACATGAAACATCTTCACAGATGTTATGGGGGAAATGCTGGTTTGGAAAAAGCCTTTGTTCTGTGGCAGAGACTGCCATGATTGTTCCACCACATCAATTTTTACTTACACCATTTAATAAATAAAAACATGCTGACTGTCAACCCACGGGAACAACCCAACACCAATTACTGAAGAACAGAACTGTTTCAGTGAGAGGTGAAGAAGGGCAAAGCATCATGAAATGACTTTTAAATTTCTTAAGTTGAGTGTTAAGTTGAGAGTTCCATTTTCCCTGTAATTGATTTCTTTTGCTTCAAGAGAAACTCACAACTTGTTTGAATCTGGTTTCTGCAATGTTAACATGGAGGCACTAGTACTTGCCAGTAAGCTGTTGCTTTAGGATGTTAGGAGACTCTTTCTCTGCTTTTTTTTAAAAAGACAATTTTATTTATTTAATTTTAAGACAAGATCTCACTCTGTCACCCAGGCTGGAATGCAGTGGCATGATCACAGCTCACTGCAACCTCAAACTCCTAGGCCCAAGTGATCCTCCCACCTCAGCCTCCTGAGTAGCTGGGACTACAGGTAGGCATCACAACGTCTGGTAAATTATTAAATTTTTTTGTAAAGATGGGGTCTCGCTATGTTGTCCAGGCAAGTCTCAAACTCCTGGCCTCAAGAGATCCTCCTGCCTCAGCCTCCCAAAATGTTGGGACTATAGGTGTGAGCCACTGCACCAGGCTGAAGACAATTTCTTAGATGGAAATACCTATCCAATGTTCTGGAGGTTCCATAGGTAATGCTACTCATGAAATACTACACTCACAGGCTCTGGTATTCTTCCCTACCTGGCTCACTAGCTATGTGACCTTAGCCAAGTGCCTTAGTCTGCTAAAAGTCATGTCTCAACTGCAGACTGAAGTTTATTACCAATCATATTGGAGTGTTGTGAGGTCTTAAGGAGAGATTGGACTTATAGCTGTTGGATGTCTTGGCTTCAAAAAGTAGTTGCTGTAGATTTATTATTTCTGCATCCTAATCCCATCTTTTGGTCATTCTGCACTTCCTTTGCTTCCCTTCCATGACCAGCTGGAACCCCCATCCCGGAGAGGCAGTATTTGGGGTGACAGATGCCTTGCTTCCTGTCCAGGGCCAGAAAAGCCTTCAGGCCCTGGAAAGGAAAAGAAGTTAGCAGAATGCAAGTGTATTTATTCTAACTCCACTGGTTTTAAAGTTCCCTTTTTTTTTTTTTTCCAGCAAATGTGTTTTCTTCCTCTCATGGAACCGAGAACATATGTGATCCCTGGCAGATGATTTTTGCAACTCTTAAAGTCAGGATTGGAGAAGGCTGACTCACAATTTCTTACACTGCACGTGTGAAATCTTTCAAGAAAACTTGAAGGGGGGGAAGATCTACAGTATTTTGGATGATGTTTTCAATTGCTATGAAATTGGTAAAAAAAAAAAAGGATCGATCAGTTATTTGCTTTTATTTCTGACTTTCAAAAAACTTTTTATTTTAAAACAGCAGGAAGAGATGGGTTGAACAAAGGTAGTATCACTGAGAAGAACAGAAAGAAAGTAATATTTATAGAGCATTGTAGTTTTCCAATCATCTTAATCATTTGATCTTGTGGCATTTCTGTGATGCAGTTTTTATCTGTGACAAGAACAAAAGATCTCAGGGATACAGAGCCATTGAGACTTTATTGACTGTAATCATTGACTTTTTTTTTTTGCATTTTACCCTGTCATTTTTTTTAAAAAGCGTTCATACAGTCCAGGTTTTCTGAAACTTAAAGTAAGCTAAAGGATGGGAAGCTAGAACATGATTCCTGTTAAAATAATACATTTGAGAAAATGTTTCTTTAGCTATCACTGTAATTGATCAAGTATGCAACAGACATTCTTTTATAAGATATCCAACCCCTAACTTCCAAAATGCCAGATCAAAAGTCTTATCTATGCAATGTTTTATGAGTAATTAATTCTGACTGCCTATGGACAACCACAAGGACAGAGCCCCCATACAGATACACACATTCAGCTCAGACAGAGTAAGTCTTAATCACAGAGTAAGTCTTTGAGAGCGAATCTCCCAAGCTCAGAAAGCAAAAGAGTTCCAACAACTCCTGCAGCAGAGACTAGAACAAGTGTCAAGAGCCAGAAATATTAACTACAGGCTAAGAGGTAGTCATTTCCACTTCCTTCCAGAGCTCGGTTCAAATCCTGGGCTTACCACTTAGTGACTGTGTGACCTTGAGCTAAGCATTTCAACTTTGCAGGGTCCTATTTCCCTGTGTGTAAGTGGGGATAACCAACAGGTCAACCCCATGCATGGTTGTGAGATGAAAAGATATCACATACACTGCACAGCATGTGACATGCAGCAGACATCAAATAAATAGTAGCTATTGTTTTGTAGCATTGTGATTATCCATAATCCTGGGTTTGCAACATCATTAGTGCTATAATTTGAAACACATTTATTCTTTATATTCTAGCAAACTAGTTCAAAGCCTGTTTTTCAAATACATTATCTAGTTTGGGCTTTAAAAAAAAAAATCCCTGTCGATGTTCTGCTCTGCTTATCAAAGGCTCTCTCTAACGCTTACCCAAGGGTAAGTAAATTACACAGGATTCTGTTCTGCCTTCTATTATTCTTCTCCAACCACATTCCATGTGATAATGGGCCAATTCCTTTACTTCCTCTTTCCTCCTACCACATTCTATACCCAAAAAAGATGCCAGTTAAGTTTTAACCCTCCTTTAAAAGTGAATTTCCAGCTTTATTTTATTCTTTAAAATTATTTAAAGTGGTTGCAAGTTCTTTTAGTGCCCTCCAATCCCAATTCAGGCAACAAAACAGTCACAAGAGAGAATGATTAGTGCTTTTGCCAGGGTCTCCTCCCACGGATGACTTTGTAATGAACTATGCATCCATAAAAGGTTGACTCTTTGATCTCTTGCTGCTTGTACAACGCTAAAGCGCAAGGCATTCCAGGGCAAACCACACAAAGAGAGAGGAACACAGGTTATTTATGGTAGTCTGCTGACTCTAAGTTTAGCCTAGCTCTTTAAAGATTCAAATACACACATCATATTGACTGCCAGGTCTGCTCCCTCGTGTTACGGCAGCATCTAATGGGGCGGTAGCGTAGGAATGTCTGATCCCTGGCTTCTCCCTGGGGTGAGAAAGGTAGCTGGTTTGGCAGAGACAGTCACAACAGTATTTATAGAGACAGCAGAAAATAGAATCCATATGCTTACAAAGGGAAGTCAGGGTAAATCACCGGGAGCTGAGAGGACTCCTGAACTCCCTTTCTGAAGCTTGCTTGGCTTCTGGCACAGACTAAACAGGACCTACCTACCAGCTTTCTAGCTGCACAAAATCCAGCACCCGCATGCCCTCCTTCATCTGGTGGTTTTCTACCAACAATATCACTTTACAGAAGGAGGGGATACAGCCTCTTTGGTTGCTTGAATTCAGAAGCTATTTTGCAAACTTTCTACCGTCACTCAGGGAACTTTTGCCATCATTAAGCGAACTTCCTGTGTCAGAGCTGGTGCAAACATTCTGACATTGAGGAAGCTAAGTTTAATGCTTCCTGACAATGATTCTCTGACCATGATGTCGAAGGCCCTTCTATCCCTCTGTGATGTGGCTGAGTGCTGATTTATACAGCTCACTAAACCAAACACCAAGTTGAATGAAGACGGTATTGAGACAAGATAAATAATCTATCTATCTATCTATCTATCTATCTATCTATCTATCTATCTATCTAATTTCCTACCTTCCTATGGATTAAATACCAAAATTTTACATCTTGCAGGCAGAATGTTGAGGGCTGTATGAAAACTTTGTAATGGGAGAAAATGAAAAACGTTAATAGTTTTTATTAGCATAAAATATTGAACTGGTGGATTTATGAACAGAATTTAGGCTGAATGAATATGCTAAAGTTGGGGATTAATTGGTCATCTCACCATTCCAGACACTCAAGGCCACTCATGTAGGCTGATTTGGGGAAAGCAAAGGGATCTCAATGAAACTGGAAAATTAATTTTGCTCTTTTATGGGATCCTGACTTTGATCAAGATCATATAATTGGACTGACCCAAAAACAACTCTTATTTCTGATTCATTCTATTCCCTCCATAGACACAGGCAGTCATCAGGTATCTACACCGTTCCCTCTATCCTTTGCCAAAAAGTTCATGTTCTCTGAGCATTTTCGTATTCTTTAGTCATTATCATGGCTTTGAGCCAGAGTCTGAACACAAAGACAGGCATATAAATGGATCTAATACATGGTCTGAAAAATAACACATATGTGCTAACCCTGTCCGCAACACCAAAGGAAGAATGACTGAAAAATAAAGCAGCTACATATCAGAACAAATACCTGTGGGAAGATTGCAGGGTTCAATTTGGACATTTTGTTCCACTGAGCTCAGAGAGGGAATGAACAGAAGCCAAGTTTTATAGATAGGCCTACAGCTCATAATTCACTCACTGTCAAGATGATGGATGCTCATTTTATGATTTAATAAAAAGATAGACCTTACCCAAAAAGAAAATAAGCAGGAGGAGGAAGACTCCATGGAGAAGTAATGCAGTCTTTCAGGGATGATTCCCAGGGGCTCTGGGCTGTGGTTCCACTCCGTCTCCAGGACACAGTGCAATCGGCCACAAATTTAGGACCCCAGGATCTCCGTCTGTAAAATACAAGTCATAATGGAATTGTTCCCACTGCAGAACTGCTGAGTAATTAAAACTCAAGTGGATAGCAAAAAAAAAAAAAGCAGAAAAAACTGAAGAATAAAATACCTCTATGATATACAGCCTGGCTCAGGATGCTTTGTAATTACACACAGGGCTTTATAGTTATCCAAAGTTAGAGTTCAAGTTAACTTCAGTTTTCCAGTATTTTCCCCAAAACATTAGTTGGACGCTATAAAGGAAAGTAAACACATTCGACTAAGTCAACCATGAAAATAAGAGTTGGCTTAGGTAGTTGGGGGCGGAAGGAAATGAAGAGAGGCCAATTGAGAATCAGAGAGGCTGAATGAAAAGCTGAACCATTGCAGACTCGCATCTCTAATCCCTTTATTAAGGATGATGTGCAGCTGCAGTGGCTATGCCGCTCCAAGAGCCTGCTACACAGAGATGCCTGGTTCCCTCAGCCATGCCAAACAAGACATGGTCATGGTCATGCTCATGGGAGTAAGGACAGGTAGGAGAGCCTGGAACATTGGTGAACATGAATTGCCCAACATAAAGGTTTCTGTCTAAATGGAATTTTGAAGCCTAAAGATTTCAAAATTATGGATGATGCTGAGAGGCACCTCTTCTGTGGAGGAGGGTTTTGGGATTGTTGAGGAGACCCAGAAGAATGAACTTGACATTGCAACCTCCCCCTGCACTTGGTAGATTTCTATGCTGTGGGAAACTATAGTGATTTACTTGATGCCAGAAAACTGGGGGCTCACAGAATAAGGCAACTGGTTAAAACAGTATTTTTCCCAATAGAAATTTGTTTCTGTAAACTCCTCTTAGGATCCTGAGAAACATATTTTAAGGAGAAGGAAAATGATGGATAAAAGTATGGAAAAAGGTAATTGAACACACTTATGTCAGAAACACATTATTGAGTTTTGACCATCATTTAGTAGCCAGGCTATTAAAATGTGAACTATGCCTCAATTAACACATATCACAAACATTTTGTTGAGTTTTCACCCTGAAATACTCATGCTATTATACTTTTAAAATATTGGCTATGACCATACAATTTAAATTATTTCTTGTGCTGAGTTCAATAGTTATGAATATTGTCATACTTAAAGTTTTATTTTCAAGCTCTTTTGGGCATCAAAGTGGTCCACTGAAACCGTATAACACAGGAGAGATGAGTAGCCTTGATGTCAGGTGAAGTCTAGGTTCCTGGCGAAACCATTTGATTTCTGGGCTGTTTCTTTACCAACAACATGAAGCTATAAGTTCTTGATGAGTAGAGGATAGGGTCCCAGCTCTGCTAATCTATATTCGAGGTTCTAGTGTTGATTCTGTGACCACTTCGTCATAAAACTTTGCACACATTCTTACCTACTCTGAGTTCTTGTTTTGTCTAATACTTAGAACAACATTTTCTCCATTCACCACACTAAGTTCCACTGGCCACTGAATGACAACAAAACTGTGAAATACTGAAAATTGAATATCACTACAATGTGCCAACTACCTGGCACTCTAACAAGACACCACACTAAATCCATTGTTATCACTTTTAGTAATAACAATTCTCTGGAAAGGTAGAAGTGATCTCACACATTACTATAAAGGAAAGTGAGTTTCCAGATTTAAAATTATTTTCCTGGTGAGTAGCAGACTCAGGATTTGAACCCAGGTCAGTGTGACTTCAAAGTCTGGGATCCTTCCACTTACATAAACCAGTGACCAGGTGAAGGAGTGATTATTTTGCCCAATGACATAAACATAGCTGTTTGATTGCTTCAAATTATTATTAGAATAATGGTAATAGTAATCAATTGCCTGACTGTCCCTGTAGTGAAGTCCTCTAGGGTCAAATCTGGTGAATTTGAACTAATTAGGGGAGGTAATTGAAAAATGTATATAAAATAATATAGACAATAACTAGCTTACATTGAGTGCCAAGCATTGTTCCCCATACATTATCTCATGTTATCCTCAGGACAGTCCTGCCAGCTAGGCATTGTTAGCCCAATCCTGCAAATGAATAAGCCAACACTTTTAAAGGTTAGTTACATTGTCCAAAATCACGCTGTAAGTGGCAGAAGCCTGATCCCAAATCCCAGTCAGTCTAACTCCGTAGCCCATTCTCTCCATGGCTACTCTTTTTCTGTGCGTGTAATAGTTCACAATTCTATGTGAATAAGTTTACTCTTTGGGACAGAAAGTTCTAAGCTGCTCCCACCATCCATCTCTTTTCCTTGAGTCCTGTTGTCGAACCTTCCCACTTTGGTCCTCCAGGACACCAAACAAGGCTTCTGGTCACTCCTGGTTCCACAGCTTACAGCCCTTCCTTCCCACTAGATTGGCCCAATTCTATCCCTGTTCCAAACATTTGTATTCATCTTTTCTGCTCTTCTTCCTCCAAATCTTTGCCTCAATGGCTACAGTTTTGCTCTCTTCTTTTCCCTTTCTGCATGTGAGAGAGAAGAAGAAAAGAGCACCCTGAGAAAGTTGTATATGAGAAGGCAGACAATTTGTGCATGCACAGTGTGGGCACTGCAACAGGACATGAAAATACACCTTGAGTTATTTGCTGGTCACTGGATCTTGTTGAGAAGTAATTAGCAATAATAATCCATTGCTTGGATCTCTTCGTAGTAAGCAAAATTCTCTAGAATCTAATCTGGAGAATTCAGACTAATTGGGGAGGTAATTGAAAAGTATATTAGAATATAGTTCCAAATATAGTTTTATTATTTTTACACAAATAGAGTAATTCCAGTTATACTACTAAAAATGGCCAAGTGGAAGTTCTTAGTGAATTTTGTTATAATGAATGAATAAGAACATTTGTGATCAGTCTGTGGGTTTTTTTAAAAAAAGATGAGTATATCAAGACCACTTGGCTTAACCTGAAAAATCTTGTCTTTGAATAAAATAAAAAGCCCTCGGCCGGGTGCTGTGGTTCATGCCTGTAATCCCAGCACTTTGGGAGGCTGAGGTGGGTGGATCATGAGTTCAGGATTTCGAGACCAGCCTGACCAACATAGTGAAACCCCGTCTCTACTAAAATACAAAAATTAGCCAGGCGTGGTGGTGTGTGCCTGTAATCCCAGCTACTCAGGAGGCTGAGGCAGGAGAATCGCTTGGAACCGGGAAGCCGAGTTTGCAGTGAGCTGAGATCGTGCCATTGCACTCCAGCCTGGGCAATAGAGTGAGACTCCTACTCAAAAAGCAAATAAATAAAATAAAATAAAATAAAAAAAGGTCTCTGAAATATTTTGGATGTTGCTACCCAGTTCGTAAGACTTTGGAAGAGAGGGTTTATTTAGTAAATATGAACTTCAAATCAGTTAAACTCCAAATTATTTAAAAATTAAAATACTTTGGAAACAATAGGAATATGAAACCCACTGAGTCTGAATGAACACAATTTTCCTGTTTGACTACTGCAAATTACTACAGTAGTAGAATTATAGAAACATTCTGTGATTCAAAGTGACACATTAAATCATCAGAGTTATCCTGTGATAGCGCAGTATTTGTGAGAAAAGCAGTTGTGAAACCCACCCCTTTTTGCAAAAGACTTTCTTCCACTGGTGCCCTGGCAACCAGTCAGATTTTCTCATTTGAGAAATTCAACTTGGCTGCATACAATAGATAGAAATGCAAGAAAGTAAGGTGCATTTTCATCAAATGTGAAACAGTTGATGATATTCAGAGTTAAAGAAATACTATTTGAAGGACATGAACAGACAATTCTCAAAAGAAGGTAGACAAATGGCCAAAAAACATAAAAAAAAGCTCAACATCACTAATTATCAGTGAAATGCAAATTAAAACCACAATGAGATACCACCTTACTCCTGCAAGAATGGCTAAGCTATAATTAAAAAATCAAAAAATAATAGATGTTGGCGTGGATGTCGTATAAAGGGGACACTTTTATGCTGCTAGTGGGAATGTAAACTAGTACAACTACTATGGAAAACGGTGTGTAGGTTCCCTAAAGAACTAAAGGTAGATCTACCAATCAATCCAGCAATCCTACTACTAGGTATCTACCAAAAATGAAAAAACAAAAAACAAAAAACAAAAAAACACTTGCATGCACATGTTTATAGCAGCACAATTCACAATTGTAGAGATGTGGAACCACCAGAAGTGCCCATCACCTAGTGAATGGATTAAGAAAATGTGGAATATATACACCATGGAATACTAATCAGCCATAAATAAGAACAAAATAATGGCATTTGCAGCAATCTGGATGTAGTTGGACACCATTATTCCAAGTGAAGTAACTCAGGAATGGAAAATCAAGTAGCATATGCTCTCACTTATAACTTCGGAGCTAAACAATGAGAATGCGAAGGCATAAGAATGATATAATGAACTTTGGGGACTCAAGGGGAAGGGTGTGAGGGGGGTGAGGGATGAAAGACTACACACTGGGTACAGTGTTCACTGCTTGAGTGACAGGTGCACCAAAATCTCAGAAATCACCACTAACAAACTTATCCATGGAACCAAAAACCACCTGTACCCCCAAAACTACCAAAATAAAATTTAAAAAATAGCATTTGAAGGATATAAAAGAGAGGGGTTTGGGTTAATTTTGTCCTTATTAAATAATACATTTAATTGCCAGTGATTGCTGGTTTAATGTGAAGCAAGGTAACATCTGAAGTCGGATGGAGCAGAGGTCCCCGCCAGAGCCTCTGGTGGACCCACTGGGCATCTGAGGAGGCCTGGAACAGCAGGAGCAATTTTTGTAAAGAAGGAGAGAGGCAAGTTCTCTGGAATGTTCTAAAAGTGCCTCCGTGGTTAGAGGTGGGGGCAATCTGAGTAAAGTGTGTGACCTAAGACTTGGAGCTGACCCAGGCCCAGCCCTGGACAACCTATGCCTGAGCTCTGTGGAGAGAGGAGACTAAGAATGAATTGGAAAGAACCACAAGTGACTGTGGCCCTGACTAGAAGTTGCTAGTTACCAGCTGTAAGGAGAATTAGGCGGTAAGAGATTGAGGGCAATTGCCACAAATCTGCTCATCTCCCCTCCTTCCGTGGCTCTTCACCTTCCTGAGAATAATATCCACAGCCCTGAGAGCCCCGTGAGATTGTTTACCACAGTCGGCATCAGCTGCCTGCCTCTTGGTTTCTTTTCCCAGCCTCATCTACTATCACAGACCCCATAGGGATCCAATGCCCAACTCACGGCTGAACTACTGGCAGTTGCTTATTCAACTATGTTCTCTCATGACCCCAGCTTTGCTGTGTGTGACACCCTCTGTCTGGAATATCCAGTATCTGCCTGAAAAAAAAATCACCTACACAGCCTGCAAGATACCAGAGCAGCACTCTTTCTTCTGTGAAAACCATAGCAAACTCCTCCTTGTTTAAGTATGGCATGAAGTAGTGGCTAAGAGTGTGCCCTCCAGATGAGATGCTCAGGGTTTGAGTTTAGACATTCCCCTCGCTCAGGCAAACTTCTGTTTCTTACAATCAAGAACTTTCTCTGGTGCAAACACCGCCTTCATACTATTCTTTTGAATCTTCCTATTCAAATCACCACTTTCTATATCAGTTAACCTCTCAAAGACTGTTTCCTCATCTATAAAATGGAAATGATAATGATGGTAATAAAAATACACACATGCCATTTAGTTGTCTTAATAAAATAACTATCTGTGAACCATATAGTAACCTCCCTGGTATACAGTAAAGGCTCAATAAATGCTAAGAATATTTTCATGTATCTCTTATTATAGCATATCTTATGTCACTTAAATACTTGTTTACTTTCTATCTTATCCACTAGAATCTGAACTCTTTGGAGGAGGACCTGTGCCTTACTCATTTTGTGTTTCTCACACCAGAAATAATATTTGTCGCATAGTTCAGTTTGATCATTCATGTAATAAGAACTCACCGAATGGCTGCTCTGTGACAGACATTTGCATATGAAGCATGGCAGATGTATGAATGAATGGGGTCAGGAAAATAGTACATAAGTAACTCCAATTATTACATAAAGACAGTGATTATATTATGTAAGATGAGCCATATTAGTTAAATTATAAGTAGAGCAACATTTCAATTAAAATATACTCACATTGGCGATTAAAGCAGCTGTGTGTGTGTGTGTGTGTGTGTGTGTTTACTTTGCAGTCTGGCCCTATTCTGCAATATCTTTATTGTTAAGGTTTTAATTCAACAAAATCAAACCTCAATGTACTAAAGAACTCCAAGAGATTATCTGGTCTTCATTCAAAAGTTCAGGCCATCAGAGTCCACACATTTTCCCCCACATAACCAATTTCCAGAATGCTGTTTCTTTTTCCTGCCTCTCACTTGCCCTCAGTGCCCATTTGAACACACAGGAGGCCCACGGAGGGCGAGCAGTGCTCGACCTGGGGTGAAGCCCCAATTTGTAGACAAGGCACGGCATCCAACAGCCAGAGGAAGCTGTGTACTTGAATAAATCTGACAGTGTTTTCTCATGCTCATCAATCTTTCCAGCGTGTTTGGTACAGTTGAAAAGCCAGTTGGATTTCCATGACTGTTCAGATCACCACTTGTGCCCCAGGATACTGCATGGCACAGAAATGACATCAGACCTACAAGATACACATTGTGTTACTCAATGCCCGATGTTAATTGCATTAGTCTGTTCTCATACTGCTATAAGGACATACGAGAGACTGGGTAATTTATAAAGGAAAGAGGTTTAATTGACTCACGTTTCCGCAGGGCTGGAGAAGCCTCAGGAAACTTACAATTATGGCAGAAGGCGAAGCAAACCTGTCCTTCTTCACATGGTGGCAGCAAGGAGAAGTGCCGAGCAAAATGGGGAAAAACCCCTTATAAAAACATCAGATCTTGTGATAAATCACTCACTATTACTAGAACAGCATGAGGGTAACTGCCCCCCATGATTCAATTACCTCCCACTGCTTCCTCCTACGACACGTGGGGATTATGAGAACTATAATTCAAGATGAGATTTGGGTGGGGACACAACCAAACCATATCGCTAGTTATATAAAGGTATACTTTTACTGAGTTGGATTTTAAAAGTATACAATGCTAGAAATTATGATAATATATGAACCATGCTTCCAACACTTTTATGAGGTTTACTGTAATCATTTGCTTGTTTGTTAGATAGGGTCTTACTCTATCACCCAGGCTGGACTGCAGTGGTGCAATCACAGCTCACTGTAAGCTCAAACTCCTGGGCTCAAGTGATCCTCCCACTCAGCCTCCTGAGTAGCTGGGACTACAGACTTGTGCCAACATCCCCAGTTATTATTATTTTTTTTAATTTTTAGTAGAGACAGGGCCTTGCTATGTTGTCTAGTCTGGTCTCAAATTCCTGGGCTCAAGCGATCCTCTCGCCTTGGCCTCCCAAAATGCTGGAATCACTTGGGAGGGATCACTATAGTAATCTTAATAAATCAATAGAGGGCACATGATATTTTTATTAGTCAGAGTGTTCTAATACATTTCCCCTTCTATACTGAATATTGCGGGAGAGTCCACCATTCAAAACTCCTTCGCATTATTGGGAAATTCTCTGCCATGTCAGCGAATCTACCCCCTCATCCCTTAATCTAAGTGGAAAGGGTAAGACCCTTCTCAGACGTTTCCCTCCGCCTTCCCCATCTCTGCACCATCCCTGGCCACCAGTGTCCAGGTAGGTGATGTGGGCTCTACTCTAAACCCTGAGGGAAGGACTCAAGATGACGCGAAGGGTAGAAGTAGCAGTGGCAGCAGTGTGAGAGTGGCTTGTGGCAAGAGATGGCAGTGGTGGTTCCCTGGCCACATTGCTCCTGCTCCTTAATTGTCAGTGCCTACTTGGTGCTGCCAGGGTCCAACACTGCCTCCAGCTACTCAAGAGTCAGTGAGTTCTCTGTCTCCTATCCCAGGTCCTGATTCTTGCAATGAGGCACCCTCCCTGGGGCAAACACACAGGTTTCACCCTGTTCTTTTGAATCTTCCTAATTCAAATCAACCAACAGACTAAACAAAGCAACCAACAGCAACACCAAATATACATACAACCATGCAAACCGCTTTATTTGTATTCTGATTTTAAAAGGCAATGCAGTTGTTTTCTTATAAATTGTGTAACAGTGCCCAGAAGAAAAGCAGAAAAAAACTGTATATGGCTATTTTTAGTGATAGTTATTTTCAGAAATATTAATATAAAGCGATCCCAATGATAGAGATCTAGTCTGCATATTTGAATATATATCCAAATATACCATCTGTTGTGCTGTAACTTTTACAATGCCTTCTTTCTGTCTTGAAATATTTCTAAATAAAAACCATAGCCAAACATTAAATCTGGAGTGTACACTCAGCTTTGAATTGCTTTTAAATCAGTAACCATGCTCAATACGAACCATGCTTGTGTTTTTGCTCACAGAATCAAAGTATTTTCAATGCAATGCAAAGGCCCTCTGCTTATGAGAATTCTCTGTTGAGCCAGAGAATCAGTAAGACCTTTTGTAAGTGCCCAGTTTCCCCAACTAATTCTCCCCTGTTGTTCAGAATGAAATTCAGAATATAGTGTCATGGAAATTGAACTGGCCTTTTTAACTGTATCAAACATGGTAGAAAGATTGGTGAGCATGAGAAAACACCAAAAGATTTATCGAAGTACACAGTGTCCTCTGGCTGTTGGCCCCTGTGCCTTGTCTGCAGATTGGGGAATCACCCCAGGTCGGGCAATGCTTGCTCTCCATTGGCCTCCCATGTATTTGAATTAGCATTGAGAGCAAGAGAGAGGCAGGAACGAGAAACAGGGTCCTGGAAATTTGTTCTCTTGGGGCAAGTGCATGGCCACTGATGCCTGAAGATTTGGATGCAGACCAGACAACCTCTTGGGGTCCTTTTCTGCATTGAGGTTTGATTTTTATTGAGTTAAAATCTTAACAATAAAGATATTTTAGGATGGGGCCAGACTGCAAAGTACATAAAAGTCAGGAAGGAGAACACAAAGAAATAAAGGCACCAGGTAAAGGATATTTGTTTGAAGACTTTGCTAAGGTTAAGTCTTTTTTTTTCTTTTTCTTCTTTTTAAAAATATAAGTGAATTTACTAATGTTTGAAAGCAAAGGAGAAAGAGCCAAACGGAGGGTAAAATTGAAAATAGTTGAGAGGACATTCCTGGGGAGTTGGTATAAATGGGATTCAGAGAACAGGCAGTTAGATTAGTTTTGGGGGGAAAAAAAAAAAGAAAGCCCCCTTCTCCATACCTCCTGGCTTCAGGGAGCCATGAACAAAACCAGTCAATGTTCCCTGGAGAAATCACTCCAGGTATAGGCATGGCTGTGCCCTTCTTCCAACCTCCACCATTCCCTACACCTCCCATATAACTGAACTGGCACTGAGAGGGAGACACAAGTAAGAAAGGGAAACAGGGCCCCAGAGATAGGTTCTCTGAAAGAATATACAGGGCCCTGATGCCTGAAGCCTTTAATTCCCTCCATGGATAGAAGGCCACCAAAATGCTGCCAGACAGTGAAAGGCCCAGGTCTGTTACATCTCTCTATCTAGAATTAGATGTAAAGTATATGTTTGAATTCCAAGGAATAAAATGACTTCTCATGGTAGAGAAGGTTTCACATAGAAAATATTATCCTGAAACCTTCCAGCCTGAGCGTCTTCCTATAGCTACCTACCACAAATTATTTTTGTAATAAAAATAAGCTCCCAGAACAAACTAATTACATGGGAGAACAACTTACATTTCACTGCAGTTTCCACAATATATATTTTTCCCATCAAATGTGAGTTAGCCAAAGTAATTAGGAAAAATGATTAGCGAAGCTCTTTATTGAACATGGACCCAAGCAATTAAAAAATTAAAGCATTTCTTTTCATAGTGGCCTTAAACTCTATTTTCTTTTAAGAAGTCCTCAATTTTCCCTTCAATGATACTTTTTGGGGGGACATGTGATAATGTGGGAAAATGTAACCCTTCTCCTGAAAATAATACTAAGTTCTTTTATCCTTCTTTCACAGTAGAACTTCCTGCAAGTTGGTAGGAATCATGAAATGTGGCTGCTTCTTCCTTAAGAAACACTAAAAGCACAAACAGTTGAAATCCCAGTACAAAGCATTCATAGAAGAGACTTGGGAATCACCTTCGAAACAGGTTAGACCATGAAGCTGTGCTGTTTTTCAATTCTCAAGTCATCCTGGGCTTCTAAGAAGTAACAGTGAGTTTTGAAGGCATTTGTATCTCCTCTTTATGCCTTTACATTTTAAAATACTGGGATGCTCAGGAGTAAATAAGAATAAAAACCATGTGACTGAAATCCCATTTTCCCCTGTGAGCTAGTTAAGTATTGTTGGAGTTTCCGCAATACAAGGGTAAACTAGCATCTCTCTTCATTCTTTTGAACTGTGGGAATTCAGGCTTATAGAAAAATCTACTAAAAACAATAAAGATCAAAGTTAAAGTTCATTTTTAAAAAAGCCTTTTAAAATATATTAAAATTTTATAATTTTGTACATAAATTTAGACATGAATGGATTAGTATTAGTTCCAATTATTTCATGGTTGTTTTATGACTTAGGATCTTCATGGAAAATGCAGTTTTCAAGTACTTTGGTATGACAATTAGCAGTTTCAAGTGAAACAGTGGATTTTTTTTCTCAACATTCTTTCAGCGAACATTTACTGTAGGGCTACGGTGTACCAGGCACTGTGACAGGTGTTGGATACACAGTAAAAAAGAAAATAACAGTTTCTGCCGTTGTGTTTGCTGTCTAGGGAAGAAAAACTCACCACAAGGAATTACCGGCCCAGTGCTCCCCTTTCCACATGGAGAAATTGTCTCCTTCCTATATCATAAATCCATTTTGCGGTTATGGTCCCCAAATGCAATACCTTCCCTGTCAATCCGAGGCAAGAAGGCGCATAAGCACAACTACAATAACTTGATTTTCATGGTTCCTGCTTCCTGAAGAGCATAAAGGCAAGATGCTTTCTGAATATCTTTGAAATGACTGCATTTGGTTTGTTTAAGGGCAAAAATGGCTGAATAATGATCTTGGTGCTTCTAGGCATATGCAGAGGCTAGAAGTGGGCAAAAAAGGGAGGCAGGGGAGTTGCTTCTCTATGAAACCAGACACATACCTCTTTGCTATGGGCTAGCACCAACATTTCAACCCCAGTTTGAATTTGCAAAGCATATTTCCATCATCTGTGACATTCATCACGGTACCCCAGTGAGATGGACTGTTTCATGGCTTCCATTTTACTCAAGAGAAATAAGAAACAAGAGGCGAAGTGACTTTCCCAAAGTCAAGAATAGACTGGGGACCAGGATTCAGAGTTTGCAAATCACTGTCCTGTGCTGAGCATGTTCAGCCATACGCTTAACCTTGCCAAAAAAATAAGGGCTCCATTTTTACTGTTTAACTAATTAGAATCAAGACACATCAGGCAGGCAGGCAGCACCTGGTTCATAACACAGTGACATTATTTTATTGCTGTTTCAATCTAAAAACTTAATGTGCTTCCAAACTTCTCAATGCTTTTATGAGACAGTCCCTGGATTGCCGCTTCAACCTGTATCTATTCCCGGGTATCTTACATTTGCAAAATTGCACTGAGAAAATATTACTTAGGAAATAATGAAAACTCAAGTAGGAAGGAAAAATGCTCTCTTAATAATGAGGAAGCCATTTGCCCTAATTTCGTTATATATAGACACAACACACACACTCACACACACACACACACACACACACACACACAGGCCATAATTGGCTGTAATGGAATTGATAAAGTAGGAAATTTGCTTTGAGGGGTTTTTACCCCAAATCCTGCAATTATGAACATGTCAGGTTTCCTAAGCAGTGGTTTTTCCAGAAAGGATTCTATTGTGTTTCTTTTTCCCATTTACCAATTTGATTAGCTTTTTGCCTAAAAGCTAAGAGCAGCATTCTAATTACTCCAGAGCACAGGGGACTTGGTCTTCTGTTATTTTGTAGGATCTTCCAGGAGACCATGATCTCCCCGAGGAACAGAGCCACCCCTGTACTCCTAGTTCCCAGGGCAATGCTTGGCACACGGCAAGTGCTAAACAAAAATGAATCTGAGTGTGAATCTGTTCTCTGCTATTACCAATGCTGCTCTTGGGCTCTTTTAAATTTTAATAACATGGATTGGAGGCAACACTTTAAAAGACACGGAAAAGCAAGTTTTTTTAATTTTTATTTTACAGCTCAGGGTAAGGGTATTACATAATTGTAAATAATGCATTCATATTTCAGATCTTGAAACCAGTGAAAAACAGCCATTTCAGACAAGAAAATAAATGATGACATGCTCCCAGCAAAATTGAATCCTGTATTGGTTATGAAGAGAAAATCCAACCTACGCTTAACAATGCTTCCATATTCACTAAAAGTTTCTACAGTTTTAAAGTTTGAAATGTTGCCCAAGGGTTTTAATGAAGCTCCGGTTCAAGGACAGAAAAGTTGTATGGTTCGGATTTGACTTTGGTCAAGATGAAATGGTTTGTGCACACAGCTTCCTACTGCCCCCTGGTGGGATGATGCTGAACTATGCTCAGAAACCTTCCATCAACCTTAGGGTCAATCCCAGACATGATCTTGGCTTCCACAGCGACACCTTCAAAAAAGGCTGCTGAGTTTAAAGTTAAAACTCTCCTTGACTTTCTGTCCCATTTCTCCAAAGCTTGACCTGGGTAGTAGAAAGAAAGGGCAACTGCTTAAAAGGGCGATGTTAGGACTCCATCCGGAGAACCCAACGATCACGATAGTCCCATGGATAAGGTGGTGTTGGGCTGTGGGACTGTCCTGAGACCTAAAATCAGCACAAAGGAGATTTCCACTACATCAGATGTCCCTGGTCCTCAGCTACCTAATCCCCATCCCTCAAACTCCCACATATCCACACCCCAACCCAAGTGTAATATGCCAACTAAAAGACCATTGAGGTCATGTTCAGCTTCAATAGTCATCAACTTATGGTGTAGAAACCAAGAAAGGCTTGTCAATGGGAGGGTTTTTCTAAGCCAGGTCAGGAACACAGCACAGTCATGACCAGGTTAGACCAAAGACGACTCTAAATCATTCACATTCTCCTCTTTCCCTCTAGGGATCCCCAGATCTGCTCACAAGCTAGAGTAGTCGCTAAGCCTTGGTACTTGCTATCCCATCCACTGCATCAGGAGAAATGCGAAGGCCTGTAACCTCAGGACAGTTTCTCTGTTCTCTTGAATGTTTAGGAGCCTGAGCTGAGACTTAGGCACACCGGGAAGACTCATCCCAATTCACATCTCTTACAAAAGGTGGACTACAGACTGGGTGCGGTTGCTCATGCCTGTAATCCCAGCACTTTGGGAGGCTGAGGTGGGTGGATAACTTGAGGTCTGGAGTTCAAGACCAGCCTGGCCAAAATGGTGAAACCCCGTTTTCTGCTAAAAATCCAAATGTATTTTTGATGAAAACACAAAAATTAGCTGGGTGTGGTAGCATGCACTTGTAATTTCAGCTACTTGGGAGGCTAAGGTAGGAGAATCACTTGAACCCAGGAGGCGAAGGTTGCAGTGAGCTGAGATCATGCCACTGCACTCCAGTCTAGGCAACAGAATGAGACTCTGTCTCAAAAAAAAAAAAAAAAAAAAGCTGGGCTATGGAGAGCCAAACTCTTGGACTCTGGGAAATCTGAAAGAGTTGGATAATCTCCTGGATATCTTCCATGGAGCTTCTGAAGGTATTGACTATTCCTGATTAGGATGAGGGGACTAAGCAATAGCCTAGAACAAGAGAGGAGAGAAGACCATGAAAGTCCTCAAGACTTGCTGTTTAGTCAACTTACACCAGTGGGGATAAAAAGGAAGCTATCAGGCTGGGCGCAGTGGCTCACGCCTGTAGTCCTAGCACTTTGGGAGGGCGAGGCAGGTGGATCACTTGAGGTCAGGAGTTCAAGACCATCCTGGCCAACATGGTGAAACCCCATCTCTACTAAAAATACAAAAATTAGCCGGGTGTGGTGGCTGGTGCCTGTAATCCCAGCTACTTGGGAGGCTGAGGCAGGAGAATTGCTTGAATCCGGGAGGCAGAAGTTGCAGTGAGCCGAGATCTCACCACTGCATTCAAGCCTGGGCAACAGAGTAAGACTCCATCTCAAAAAAAAAAAAAAAAAAAAGGAAGCTATCAGAGTACCTTTGTTCATGGGGACAAGTGACTGCAAGTGGCTCTTAAATGACATATAAGCAAAGAAAAAGAAAGTAAAACTGGCGGTGGTATCACTTATTCCATTGTCCCGCAGTGTTGGTTCAGTTTATCTGGCTGGTTAAGGGTGGCCTTTCTTCCTCCTGCCACCCTCACACTCCATTTGTGTCCCTCCTAGAGTTGCAAGCTCAGTGAAGGAGGATAAATAGTGTGACTCTGTCACAACACAGAAACTCTCCTCGTGCATTTGTAGGGGCCAACAGGCATGCCACTTTGACAGTGTTAGGGGCCCTGTGTCAAATCAGGGCCTGACCTTGAAGCTTCCTTCTAGACCTTTGGCTGGGATGCGTTCCTTCTTATCCCATCACGAGGGCTTCCAAAAAAAAAAAAAAAAAAGAAATGATGGCCCTGTTCTGGCCTTTCTTGTTTGCCAAATAAACATATCTCATGCAGAACACTTCTTATCCTGGGGGGTCTTCAACCTCAAATCAGGACATGAGCATATTCTAAATGATTCCTTTCTGCTGCTTTGCCTTTGTCAGCCTCCATCCCTCTCCTGTTACTCTTGGGTCTCATTCTTGACTTTGAAAAGATGGCAATGGGGTAGGCAAGGATTGCATCTCCTTCTGGATCCATCACGTGAAACACTGATATCTTTGCTAGAAGTTCAAGCCTCACCATTTCTATTTCTATTTCTTGGCTGCTCTGTGAGCTGTATTAACTTTTTAGATTCTTCACTTAGTGAGTTTTTCCTTTTTGAATGGACTTCTGAATACATATTTGCCAAAGTAATTTCCACAATGAATTATCAATAAAAAGAAAACTTATAAATCTACATGGGTAGCAAAATCCAAAGCACTCTAGTTGTCTCAGTTTTGTGGTTTGGGGAGTATTCTTTTATGGTGTTACAGAGTCAGAAAAGTAATTTTACCAGAAGAGAGCCCATAAAATGATGCGTTTTGGGGGGCAACCAGGTAATCATGTCATAATATTAATGGATTGCAAGACAATTTATGTTCTCTACTCTCCACCATGAAAAGTTGACTTACTCATAGGCTTGTAATGAGCAGCCTTGCTATATTTAATGGGATAATGTACTCAGCCTAGTAGTCAAGTTCTCCTAAAACACACCCAACCAGCTACTTCCTATCATGAATCCCCCTGCCCCCAACAGATTATTTTCCTATCTGACACTGGGATATGGGGTGTTTATTACCAACTTAAAGTATGTGTGCATGTTATCGCCTTCCCTAGAATGCCATTCCCTGTCTGCTTCATGTAATTATATCGTACGTCATGGTTGTGATATACTGATATATCATATACGTGAAATGCGGATAGATACGTTCTAGATATATGAATATCTAGATATAGAATCTATGTAGATATCTGAACATATGAACATATATCTAGAACCTACCCCATTTTACAGTCCAGTTCAAATCCAGGGCGGTGTATAGAGATTACTCCCTTTTCTGAACCACAGCACTGAATATATTACACTTGCAGATACAGGATCTATGATCTCACTTCTTCATGCATCCATTTATTTCTTAATTAGAGAATAAGCTCCTTCAGGACCTTGGCTTGTACTTTCGTGTTCCCACTAACCACTTAACTCAGGGCTATGCATATCTGAGTGCTTAGCCAGTACATGATGGGCTACGTGAAAAAAGAACTGAGAAGTCAATGGAAACAGGATGGCAAGAAAATGGTGTCTCAGCACAAAACTGAACAATCGAGTGTACAATGCTAAAAGCTGTTCAAGTGGCTGCATGGGAGCAGGGCCTGAGCTGCATTTTGCTGTAGACCCACAGACTGGGTTTGCAAAGCATGGCTTTTAGCAGAGATTAGGAAAATACCCGACTAGTTTGATGACCCAATCAACATGGATGCAGAATTTGACAATCCTGGCTCTAAATGTCATTTAAGCAGAAAGGCACCATTTCACACTTGGCTTTGCATGTGTAGACAAAGTCACTTGTAACTCTTTATTTTCAAAGGGTAGGTTCCAAGTTCTATTGTCACTTTATCTCACTTGCCTGCAATTCCCTCGCTCATAAAATGAAGGATTTGGGATATTAGGTTGTTCTCCAACGTTCTTTCTACCTCTAAAATTCTATACTCTTATAACCCACTTTCTTAATCTATAGCCCTTTCCTCCCTCTCTGGCTGCCAACCCCTAAGACAGTAAGTCAAGTTATTTTTTAACTAGGACCCTTTGTAGAGATGTCATAGTGCAGCAATTTAAAAATATTAAAGCACAGTTCCTTACATTTTTATTTGCTCATGACTCTTTGCTCTTCCTATAGTAATTTAATGTTTTTGCAAAGCTAGTGGTACTTTAAACAGATATGCCTACTTTGAAAAAAATCAGAAAAAAACAAAGTGCATGCTTTCCTAAAATATATTTTAGAAAATCTTTTTCTCTCCCAGCACCCAAAGATATGACTAATCATTAGAAGAGTGGAGGAGCACCCACAGAAACTGAATTAGGAGAAGGGTGTGGATTCTTTTGATTGAGCATGAATAAAAATCCACCTCATTAAAAAAAGATTATTAACATCAATAATTTAATGGTGAAGGATACTATTTTGCTGAAAAGAGACAAAAATGATTTTTGAGGCCTTCATGAAAAGAAGTAGAAAAGGGAAAGATTTAAGCAGAACTGACAAATAGAAAGATGAAACTTGAAAGTCCAATCCCTTAACGTGTGTGCAGCTTTTTCTAGCCCTTGCTTGGTTGGGATATATGTTGCATGATTTACCTTTGAGGTTAGAAGAGAATACATTTAATCAAATAGTTCTCCTCCTCTCTCTGCCTTGCTTATAATCAATGAATTAATCCCAATGAAGATACTTTTGCAACACACCCAACTCCTTAGCATTCATAAGCTTCATCAAATATGATACCATAAAAAAGGGGACACAGGATCAACTCTCTCCCAAAGCTTGTAGCCATGTCCTTTAAGTGGGACATGTGAGAATAGTACTGTTCTTTGGTGTGTACTTTGTGCTAGATCTGACCAAGGCACTTGCCATTCATTTCTTGGTTTAATCCTTGCTAAAGTCTTAGCAGGTAAGAATGGTCACCTCTTTTTTTCTGACTAGAAAAGAGGCTCAAAAAGATGAAGCAATGTGCAGTCACTAGTGTGTGCAGTAGAATTAGCCTCCCATAAACCTAAACTCTTATCTTCTCAGGTCTGTAGAACTAAGGGGATGTAAACTACTCTGTTAAGTAACTTACAGTTATTTGAAGGTAGTTCTGACATCAAATGTCTTTCTATGATACCACATAGTCTTCCTAAATAAAAATCCCTAATTAAAAGTAATGGGGGTACAGGAACTGATACCCCAAAATATGGCACCTTGGAATATCGAGTATTTTAATCCGAAGGACTTAAGAAAACCACAGAAGCAAAAAGTCTCTCTGATCCTCCATCTTAAAGACTCTCATGTGACAGGTGACCTGCTCTATATTCAGAGGGAAGGAATGTTACAGAGAGGCCAAGGAGAATCTGAACACACAGGCCTTGCTAAGTTCCCCAAGTTTATCAACATTAGATCATACCCCTTTGTCCCTCATACTTCTCCATGACTATCCACTTCTTTATCAAAGCTAACATAAAAAAATACATAGTTTTACACATGTTGGGGTCTCCATTTCTTTATGAAGTATCCTGCGTCACATAAAACTTACATTAAATACATTTGTGTGCTTTTTTCTTTTATTCATCTGTCTTCTGTTATAGAAGCCTCCTCCATGTACCTAGGATGAGTGAGGAAAAGACATTTCTCCTCCTCCTCAATGGTAAATGTTGCTTATTTCTGCAAAGCTGAGGTACAATATGTTTTGTTGTTGCAATCTGAAGTTTCTGTTCCAACTGTTGGAAGTTATGCTTCATATAACTTAGATTATGCTGAGTTTTCCAGAAGAGTCAATGAAATAGAAAAATGTTCAGAAATTAAAATAAAAATTAATGAAAATTGTGCTTTTAATTAATCACATCAGCAAATCGGTGTTTTATATCAAGGTATTACGTAATGAGATTCTAAATCATGTTGCCAAGAATTTCTGTGTAAAACATTTCCATATGGTAAGAGTCTGTAAAATTTTATAGCACATTCACAAATCATTGTGACAAGGAACACTGGTGTTAATTTCTTAAAAGTCAATGTCATTTTCCCAATATCATTTTCTGATTTTATTTTATGGTGCCTTGAAACTTGAAAAACAAACTACATGTTTTCTTAGAAAATCAAAAACAGATACATAATTATTAATGTAAGTAAATAGGCTGACACTGTATAGTTCTCATATACTTAGGGTGTGTTTTAATACATCTTAAAACCTAACAATGAGGCCTATATTATGATGCTAATTTTATTTCTCTTGTACTTCACATGGTTTGTATGCATTTTGCATATTTATTTGTTTGTTTGGTCTTTCTCTGATGCTCCAACCACAAAGTAAGATGGTTCAGAAATATATAAACTCTCCAGTTATTCTAAGCAGAAAGAGATATAAATCATAGAATTCAATGATTAAAGAAATGTTGAAAGGGTGGGAGGAGAAAAAATGTAAATTTGCTACTAGCTTTAAGAGGGTCAGGAAATTTCAGAGACCCCAGGAAACTATTGGTTATAATTATAGTTTTATGAATCTCTGAAACCAGTCATTATAGGAACGCCTTAAAGTGCTAAAAAAATTCCACATCTGCTAAAGCCCAGACGCCTGCTCGCGGAGCAACAATCTGGCTTCTGCCTGTCTTCCAAACTTTGTGAGAATGCTTCTCATTGGCAGAAACTAATCTGGAGCCCTCCTGGCAGAGGATTCTAGAAAACGGAGTTCTCAGGCTTCTAGCCCCTGCGACAGATGGCAAGGGAGTGCTGGACAGCCTACAGATAATTTGTTGAAAGTTCTGAATGAGAAGGATCCACGCTGCTTTTTAAAAAAAAATAAAAATAAAAAAACACTTTTAAATATTCACAGTTTAAATTTCCATTATGGTAAATATTGATAGAGAGAACCCACATAAACAAAAGCTCTCCTTGGTATCCTCAAACATTTTAAGAGTGTAAAGTATCCTACGACTTAAAAGTTTGCAAACCACCTTTAAAATATTTTCAAGATAACAATGAGAGGTTTTGTGAACAGTTAAAAGTGTTTATTTACTAATTAATTCACTTAAAAAACAATAAGATGAGAGGAGCTGGGAAGATGTTGGTCAAAGGATACAGACTTGCAGCTAGATAGGAATACGTTCAAGAGATCTATTGCACAACGTAGTGACTGTAGTTATAAAAATATATTGAATTCTTAAAAATTGCTAAGAGAGTAGATTTTAAGGATTCTTACCACACACACACACGTACACATACACACACACACACACACACAAATAAGAATGTGAGGTAATGAATACATTAATTTGATTTAGCCATTTTGTGATGCATACTTTTTTCAAAACAAGTTGTACATGATAAATATGTATAAGTTTTGTCAATTAAAGTGAATAAATAATGAAATTATTACACATGAACATAAGTACCATATTTTTAAATAAAAATGATGGGTTTTTTTTTAAAAAAACAAAAGTAAGAAGGGTGGCTTTTTTTTTTTTTTTTGAGATGGAGTCTCGCTGTGTCGCCCAGGCTGGAGTGCGGTGTTGCAATCTCAGCTCACTGCAAGCTCCGCCTCCCGGGTTCACGCCATTCTCCTGCCTCAGCCTCCGGAGTAGCTGGGACTACAGGCGTCCACCACCACACCCGGCTAATTTTTTGTATTTTTAGTAGAGACAGGGTTTCACCATGTTAGCCCGGATGGTCTCGATCTCCTGACCTCGTGATACACCTGCCTCTGCCTCCCAAAATGCTGGGATTACAGGTGTGAGCCACCACGCCTGGCCCTTTTTTACGTTTTTGGAAACCTTTTTAACATCTGGCATAACAGATGATGGGTTCACTCTGTGATCATGAAAGAATGGGCAACGCAAAGAACTTTTAAGTATTCTTGTGGAAATAGCTTGGTCTGTGAAGGCCCCCTGACAATTTCTCAGGGCACTCAGGGTCCCAAGACTACACTTTGCTAACCGTTGTATTCATACATACCTAGCCACTAGCATTGACTCTGACGCATGACAGATTCACAGAAGATATTTGTTGAATGAATTAAGGAGTAAAAGGACATTACATTCTTGTATTGTACACTGCACAACGTGTGTAGGCAACAGTCTGTAGATATTTTCAAAGGAAGACTTTCTCTCACATTCATTCTCAGTCCTCATAATTTTGTTGCAGAAAGAAAGGGATTAGCACAGGAAGCCACATTTGCGACATGACATAGAGTTGGCCTTCTGTATTCACAGGTTCCACGTATGTGGACTCAACCAACTGTGGATCAAAAAAATTCATAAAAAAACAACAAAAAATAGCAGTACAGTCATAAAAATAATACAACTAAACCAATACAGTGTAATAACTATTTACATAGCATTTATATTGCATTAGATATTGTAAGTAATCTAGAGATAATTTAAAGTATACCAGATGACATGCATAGGTTATATGCAAATACTACACCATTTTATATCAGAGACTTGAGCATCTGTGGATTTTGGTATTCACTGGAGGATCCTGGAACAAATTCCCCACTGAAACTGAGGGACAACTGTAATTTGATTCAGGCCAGTCTAACACAAAATTGCAAATTGGATGAAGTTTGCGTTCAGTGTCTCCAATTCATGGTCATAGAGTCAGAGAATTCTTACTAGAAGGGACCTGAAAGGTCCCTGTCCCTCTAATATGCTCGAGGCACAGTTTTATGAATCCCTGCTTTTCAAACTGGACCACATGTACTCCTGAGGGACTCTTGGTAGAGTGTGGAATATTCAAAACCATGGAATGATCCTGGGATATCAACTTTACTTGAAGGCTTTGGGGATAACAATACATTAAACAATTATATTAGAACGAAGATACATTCTGAAATGCATTATAAATTGTGTTATTTGTCTCACTTCTTCCCCTCTTTCTGCCATGGGACGCACAAGGCAGTAGAATAGTCAGAGCATAATTTCTGCATCCATCGATTTGGAGTTTAGTCATGTGATGTGCTTTGGACAATACAAGAGGGGCAGCCTACAGATAATTTGTTGGAAATTCTGAATGACAGTGACAACCTTCTCCTCTAAGGCTTTATGAGAAGAAAGGAAGCCATTGGACCAAGGAGAATAAGGAAACATGCAGCAGACTTGAATCCAACCTCAACCTGGAGCCAAGGAAACCCAAAGAACCAAGAAAACCACATACTTGTTTCAGCCATTGAGATTTTGACTTTGCTTGTTATGCATTGAATATCGACTAATACAGAAATCAGTACCTAGAAGTGGAGTGCCTCTGTAGTGCTTCTACTATGCAGCGTTGATGATGAGATCAACTGACAGGAACTAAGGAAACCATTATAGGAGAATGGAAAAAATAGGGACCTATGTTAGGTAATTGTCAAGCCATTTGGTAAGTCTGTCCTCTGTGGTAACTCAGAACATGGAAAAATATTCATAACAACTTGTGTCAGGTGAGAAGCTTTTGAGGCAAAAGGTTGGCAGAATGAGTTAGTTCCTCTGGCAAAGTATTACAAGAGTCTGATGAACTCCAAAAAGACCAGTGTGCAAATAGAAGAGAGTCCAGAAATTCTAGGACATGTAGAGTTGACATATGAAAGTGTTTCTTATTAAATCAAAGATGTAGCCATAAACACACTGTGTCAGGAAAAGGTCTACTAAAGGGCATTGTATATCATTAATATACAAGCTCAGGACAAGCACAAAATCAAGACCTTGGTATTAGTACCCTTTTTAAGATGGCTGAAAGAATTAAAGTGGCTCTAAGAGAAGGTTTTAGCTGGAAAAGTGCCTCTATACAGATTGAAGGTATAGTCTCCTAGAAGCCTGTTCAGCTCAAAGGACTTCTTTTAGTCTATAGAGAGCCATGTCCCAAAAGAATGGTGGTTGTGGCTTAGGCACATAGAACTGACTGGAATCAAATACATGGAAAACATTCAAGGCTTTTTTTTTTTTAATACTTTAAGTTCTGGGATACATGTGCCAAACATGCAGGTTTGTTATATAGGTATAGATGTGCCATGGTAGTTTGCTGCACCCATCAACCCATCATCTCGGTTTTAAGCCCCGCATGCATTAGGTACTTGTCCTAATGCTCTCCCTCCCCTTGCCCCCAACCCCTGACAGGCCCCAGTGTGTGATGTTCCCCTCCCTATGTCCATGTGTTCTCAATGTTCAACTCCCACTTATGAGTGAGAACATGTGGTGTTTGTTTTCTGTTCCTGGGTTAGTTTGCTGAGAATGACGGTTTCCAGCTTCATCCATGTCCCTGCAAAGGACATGAACTCATCCTTTTTTATGGCTGCATAGTATTCCATGGTGTATATGTGACACATTTTCTTTATTCAGTCTATCATTAATGGGCATTTGGGTTGGTTCCAAGTTTTTGCTATTGTAAACAGTGCTGCAATGAACATACTTATGCATGTGCCTTTATACCATTTGACCCAGCAATCCCATTACTGGGTATATACCCAAAGTATTAAAAATCAAAGCTTTTGAGATAGTTAAATTGACAAGGTACTGCCAGCTTTAAATGAAAGAGACTGTGACTGTTTGGCTGTAAAAAGACCTATAGGACACCAACAGTATATAGGCAGGAATAGACAGAGATAACTTCTTAGTCACCAGGAAGGACATATTTGCCAATGCCCTCTTAAGATGCAGCTGGGAAAGAGGATGGAAAAGGAAGCTTCTCTCGTAGGGTGGAGTGAAGAGCCATGGAGAACAGTGTGGTGGGAGCTGCTTTCTGGGGATCAGAACTAGATGTAATCAAAGAATATTCTTTTACCTATGCCCTGGCAACCTTTGTCCAGTGGATTTTGGAACTGCAGTGGACTAGTGACTGCTATGTACCTCCCAGTCTTAACCTTTTCAAATGGGATTGTTTTGGGTTTTTGCAAAATTTAATCTCTGCCTCTTTTACTATTACGTATTAGGTACACAGTGATGGGTGTGTGGGCATTGGGCATAAGCAGTTAACTTGCCTTTTTAGTTTAAAAGCCCATATTAAGAAGAGCAACATATGGACCTAATGTCAATCATGAGATTCAGGACTTGGATCCTGTTCTTGGGATAAGATGAAACTTTTTGGAGTCTTAGCATGGAGGTGAATGTATTCTGCATGTGGGTCACAGGGTGAATGTTTGCAGTCAAGAGGGAAGGCCACTGTCTACTAGTGATCTGGTTTGGATCTGTGTCCCTGCCCAAATCTCGCTGAACTGTAATCCCCAATGTTGGAAGAGGGGCCTGGTTGGAGATGACTGGGTTGTGGGGGCGGAGTTCTCATGAATGGCTTATCACCATTCCCCCTTCCCTTGGTACTTTATAATGGGTGAGTTCTCGTGAGATCTGGTTGTTTAAAAGTGTGTAGCACCTTCTCTCTCTCTCTTCCTTCTGCTCCAGCCATGTAAGATGTGCCTGCTTCTCCTTTGCCTACCACCATGGTTGTAAATTTCTTGATGCTTCCCCAGAAGCAGAAACCACTATGGTTCCTGTATAGCCTGCAGAATCATGAGCCAATTAAACTTCTTTTCTTGATAAATTACCCAGTTTCAAGTCTAAGGTATTTCCTTGTAACAGTGTGAGAACAAACTAATACAATTGGATTACTTGTTTCAGTTTTTTACTTCCTCTGCTATGAGACTTTGCAGTACAGTAAAGCAAGCTGAATATGCATCCCATCCCACTGAATTTGGGCTTCGCTCTATGATGTACTTTAACCAACAGAAGAAGGGTAGAGGTGACAGCTGCCTTAAGAGGATTGCCTGTTTCTGCTTGTTCTTCTTGCACACCTCTGATCTGCCATGCATAGAACATGCCCTGGTTCACTGCCAGTCTTGGGAGAATGAGAAGACCTCTGCAGCAAACCTGAACCCAACCCAGCCGAGATCAAGGCTAGGCAATCCCAGCCAAGTCCACACAACCATGGTCAACCCACAGACCCATGAGTGAGAAAAATAAACCGGATATCATAAGTCCTGAGATATTTGAGTTGTTTGCTACAAAGAAAAAACAGAGGCCGGGTGCTGTGGCTCATGCCTGTAATCCTAGCACGTTGGGAGGCTGAGGTGGGTGGATCACCTGAGATCAGGAGTTTCAGACCAGCCTGGCCAACCTGCTGAAACCCTGTCTCTACTAAAAATACAAAAATTAGCTGGGTGTGGTGGCGGGTGCCTGTAATCCCAGCTACTTGGGAGGCTAAGGCAGGAGACTCCTTTGAACTCAGGAGGTGGAGGTTGCAGTGAGCCGAGACCACGCCATTGCACTCCAGCCTGAGCAACAAAAGCCAAACTCCAGCCGAGAGAGAGAGAGAGAGAGAGAGAGAGAGAGAGAGAGAGAGAGAGAGAGAGAAACAAAAAACAGAGCAATACAGAGGAAATACAAAGTTTCCACTATTTTTAAAGATAAAACACAAGACTTTAGGGAAATCTCACACTGGCTTTGGGTCTCTTGAGACTGTAACTTCTGACTTTAGAGGCCAGCGTCACTCCCACTGCTGTCCAGGGAATCATCGGGGAAAAACACAGTGTTTAGTGAAGAGCCCTAGACTAGAGTTAGGCAAACTGGGTGCTAATGCTGATTCCACTACTGATCATTAATTGTATGACTTTGAGACCATTGCACAGATTCCCTGATACCCAGTTTCTTTCTTTAACAGTTGTAACTTGTTCTCTTCATAAGATTCATTGGATTATGAATGAAATAATGGATCTGAAAACAATTTGAAAATAGTACTGCACTATGTCACTAGGGGCACTATTATTATTACAGAGTCACCACAAGATTTCCTGCAGCTTCTGCTTGAATTTTTCCAGGCACATGGCTCACCACTACTACAGCAGCCAGTTCCATTCTCAGCTTTTGGGAGGTTCCTTTTGCTCTCTACCTCTCAACTCTGCAGCGCTAGGCAGTGTTTAACGTACCATCATTTTCTTTGGTTTGGTCCCATTAAAATTTTATCTGTCCCAGTCTCCTAAGGCCCTGGTGAACTCAGCTGTACTAATTTTCCTGAGACAGAAGTAGCTGAAAATGTTACTGATATATTTGCATTTTAACTGGAACTTTCATGAGCAAACCCAAGAAATGAATAATAGTGAAAAGTGGAGGCCCAAGCACAGTTCTCTTCTGTGTTAGGAGGCCAATAAGTCTTGTCAGAGTACAGATTGTCCACAAACAGGGCTGGTCTTGACATGTGTAAAGGAAGTTATATATTTCCAGGGGGAAAATAGAGCCGACTCCAGGCTGAATAACAAGCTCCTTTGTTCTGACCATAAAAAATTAATGTTGTAATCCTTACAGAAAATAAAAGAAATGCATTTTTTAGCTTATTATTACCTGCTCTGAAAATGACCCTCACTTGCGTATAGACATGACAAAGACTTGCAGACTCAAAATTAACCTTTGAATTAAAGGTCACCAGTAGCTTCTTTATGTTAAAAATACAGAAACTTCCCAATCTGCCCACGTTGAACAAAGACTGTGAGATAACATTTTGGTTGACTAAATCTAGTGGATGCTTTCTAAAGGTAAAATTGTGGTTGTAACTCAGAGATGAAGCTGTTAAAACTTCAAAGCAGCTATTTCAGGAAAATATCTTTTAAAATGAAGATTTATCTAAAGTATTATAATTTCAAATGAATACCTAAATTAAACAAAATTTCCTTACAATTTCAGAAAGTACCAAAATAAATTGTATATAGATATTATTGATAAATATCTTCAACAGTTTCAAATCATTGCTACCTGAGTAAGCAGAAATGTTCTGTGTTTGTAAAGGCTCCAATGATGCCTTAACTAAAGTTTATCTCTGCTTTGGTGCAAATACGGTTTTATTTTTAAACTTTAAGCAACGGTGAACAATTGACCACGCAACTAAAGTTACTTGATGGACATATTGCCTAATGTTGAGAAGACAAATGAACTCCATAGATTTCAGAGTAAAAATAGCAAAGGTAACCACACCCATTGATCTCTATTTCAAGACCCAAAAGGCATTAACCATACGAGAAAGAGAATTGGAGGAGATAGCTACAGATGAGAAGTTTTAACAGATATTAGACATGGGAAAGAGAAGTAAAGATGATAACAGATTGAGCTGAACGGAATTGTGACCCAAGTCATAATTTGCCATCAAGGATGAGCTGATTCGCCTGTAGAATCAATGAACACCAAGCTCTCAGAAACAACAGGTATCAGGAATGTGAGGGGTTTAGAAGGCAAATGAGGCCAAAGTAGGGGGCTGGTGGAAAGAGGAATTGGTTTTTCTGATGCCTTACAACATGGCTGTCTTCCTCCTTTTTTCATCCACCCGGCTCAACATACCCTTTCCACACAAAACCCGAGGGACACTCTCCTGGTGATCCAAGGTCTCAAGGCACCAGACACCGTGATTGTCAGATAGAGTCAGGCTGATGCAGGGGATGAGTGAAACCCTACATGTAGAAGGCTGGACTCCTCAGACACCTTCCTTAGTCCTGCTTCCAGAATGCTGGCAGCAAGTCAAGTTGGATGCTTTCGCTCTGAGGAAACTTGAGACCTCAGAAAAACAGTCTCCAGATAATGACATCTGACATTTGTTTGATCAGTCACCCTATCTCCTGACATTGAAACCTGTCAGCACACTCAGCCCCTCCCACCATGAGCTCAGTCAAGCATGTTTGAGAGTGTCCCATTCTCGGGACAGACAGGCAAGGTCATTAGACACGGAGTGAAGTCTCCTGCCTGAAAGGGACAGACCAAAACAAACAGCAGGAGGAAAGGATCACACAGGAAAATGAGAATCTGCAAAGGACCAAGGAACACTTGAAATAGACACATTCCTGTCATCAGAGAGGAAGAGGAAAATATATGGTATTCGTGAAATGACCAAAGGATGCTGTAAAAGAAAAACAATCAGTGATAAATACTTTTTGAAAAATAAAATTAAAATAGCCCATCATCAAGCTGGATGATAAAGTTTAAAAAAATCTTCCAGGAAGCAGAGCAAAAGATATGAGAAATAAGGAACAAAAATTAGAAAAAAAAGGAAAAGAAAATCAATTGAAATCAGCAAAGGAAGGTCCCAGTTTGAGAGCTTTGCATCTACAAATAGGTGAATTCATGGATTCAGAAGGGAGTGAGGGGAGAGAGTAATCTTGCAATTTGGCTTCCACACTACGGTATCAATTGGCAGAAGGCAGACAAGCCTGTGAGAGAGGCTGGGCAGAGAGGGACAAGCACACCTCACCTGTGAAGGGTCAGGAAAGAGGGCTCCAAGTCCCTCTTGGGAAAACAACAACAGCAAAATTTGTTTTGTATGATTTTCCGTATCAACGTTTTATTTTATAATAAAATGGTTTTTAAAAGTATCCTAAGTCAGAAAAAAAAGAATGACATACACAAAACTTTATTACAACATATATTTCCCTTAAGAAAGACATGAAGAGGAAGAAATTAAGGAGACACGAAAAATGCGGTTGTTTGTGTTTGGGGAATCCAACACTTCTCCACCTTAAAATATAAATTCTCCTAGAGCAGGAAGGAGCACAGCAGGATTTGAGCATTAGATCTTCCACTCACTGGGACTGGCTATGTCAACTTGGGCGGGTGAAGTCACCTCTTTAGGACGCTGTGTTTGCACCTGCAACGTGACTTTTATGGTTCCACTTAAATCCTGAGTCTTTAAGTCTAAGGAATGTTGGGAAGAATGCATTTTAATTCCTCTTCTTCTATTTTCAGTGGCTCAAAGTGATTTGATATAATAGCAATTTAATCAAGACCTTTTGTCATTCATTTGAGACTTGTCTTTGAGGAGAAGACACAGGTAAGTCTCAGTTGCAGTATTCCTTACCTGATGATCCAGGTAAGGCTCATGGGAACATGAGGCTCATTCACCACCCATGTGCCCAGCTTACTTTGCTTCCCAGGTGACATGCAAGTAGGAATAATTCAAAGAAAATACATTCAGACTACTCTTCTTTCCATAACCGACAGAGCCACCAGAGAGAACATGGCAGGTAGAACACGTTGGTTAGCTCAGTGGCCTCATAGGAGAGCTTTAAAACCTCTGGTAAGGAAGAAATTAAATTACTTATTGAAGTACAAGGAAAACACAACTTCTATTTATAGTTATTTTGTCTTTAGTTTGCACTTTCTGTGTATGTTTTAAAAGCATGTCACATACTAGTATGTATTTGCAGTGTAGCTCATGTACATTATATATATAAAGATTGTGTATAGGGTATTATATATATATAGTTTAAATATTATTGGCAACATTCAGAGTCTATTAATTCTACAACCAGTCCATTAACTTCCTGTAATGTTGTGCTCTAAAAGCAGACCCAGAAACTGACAGGAAAGGGCCAGGGTCATACGAAAGCCTGGCATGAATTCAACATAAAAGATTCACTGCACTTGAGGAATTCCACTCTAATTTAGGCTAATTTATCAGAATAACTTCAAGCCAGTATCAGAAAAGACACCCACACATTTTCCTTGTTTCCTAGTCACAGAAATAATTATGTCTCTGACCAGAAGAAAGAAAAAATCACCAATAAACCTGGGAACTTTTAGGAGGTTCTTCCTTCCTCGAGGAGGTCAGGTTGAAGATTCAAGAAGGGTGAGTTGAAGCTTCAGCTCTTCCAGCATAAAGACAGAACATGGAGAGTTTGCAGAATCTGGAGGAAGTCTCTGAATATTAAGCTTGGGTCTCCGACTGAGGAAGTAACCATTCCTCATCCGAAATCACCATGATGAGGATCATTGCCATTTTATGAGCAGAATGTGTCACCCAACTCCCTTATCAGTGCTGGAACAAACAGTCATGTTTAAAGAAAATGTTTTTAAAATGGAGAGTGGAAGAGAAACTCAGTGGGAGTACTGTGATAATGGAATTCTATTCTACAATTACTAGGAGCTGCAAATTTTTCTGAAGGATAAGAAACAGGGGATGTTGTTCTTAAGGAGTAGCCTGTGTACATCTAATAACCCCAGACAAGGTCCCAAAGGTAGTAACTACTCCTGAAGCTCTCTTTTCAAATTAGAGGGCTGCTGAGTGAGCAGTCTGAGCTGCTCCTCCTGGTCTATTTGGTCTCTTCCAAATTACCTGGCATCTGCATTAACTTAAAAGGGAAACATCATTGGGAGCAGCTATTAATACAGAAAATAACATTAACTTTAAATTGTGGCCTCAGAGAGCTGGGCAATGAAATCTTTTACAGGTGCTCATTAATTTTTCATTTTATATAACACTGTGAGGGCTTTAAAAGATAAAAACAGAGTAGATTTTCTTTTCCAACTGTTTTACTTTTTGGAAAGCTGGGATACCCTAGGAAGTATCCATTAGTCTCATTCCTTCTTTTTTCTTGTTACTTTCCCCTTTCTTGTTCCTAGTTCTCAAGCATGAAAGTGTGACAGAAAGAATATCAGATGAAATCAGCAAAGACTTCACTCTCATCTAACTCTGTCACTTATTAGCTGTACAACCTCAGGCAAGTCACCTAACCTCTCTGAAGTTTAGTTTCTTCATGTATAACATGAAGGTAATGATATTTGCCCTCCCTTCCTCTCTAAGCAGGAAAATGAAAGTGTTTTAGAAACTTCAGGTTATAGATTTATGACATTCTAAGAAACTAAGCATGAAAGATGGCACTTTATTCATTAAAGAAGTTTGACAAAGTTTGAAATAACTTCAAGATGTGCTTCTCTTCTTACAACCAAATCAAAATTCTTTTCAAATTTTGGGTCACAAATCATCCTTATGGAACCAAGAAGGATCTAATTCTAGAGATAACATTTTTTTAAGGATACTCATCATTCCATTTAAATGTAAAACATACATAAAAAAGATCTCCGTCAGCAGAAAGGCTCACAGACTAAAAGTCATAATCATCTTTAACTTTTCACTGTTATTCTGCTGAGAAAGAAAGTGGTGTCGTATGGGGTTTTATTAGCTCTCTGACTGCAAATGACTTTGCTCCTCTGCTCCTTTAGAGCAAGTTAAATGCACATACAGAGTCCTTATTTAAGCAAAGTAAAGTATATTTCATCTTAAAGCATCAAGAATTTTCCCTTGACCTGGTCAATGTGAGATAGCATTGTCTTCAGTAGGACTTTACAGAAAATCTGTGTGCCTTTCCTCCCACCTGCCTATCAGCAGATATTGGCATTTGAGAATACAGAATGTCTTTGAAGACCAAAGCCTTTAGACTTCTTCCCTCCAAATTTCCTCCACATCTTCATTTTTCTAAATCTGTCCTAATAATTCTTTTTCCTCCACTCTCTGCTGTACCTGGAAGACTGCAGAGAATATAGGAGGTACATATTAAATCTGTACTGGTTGAGTATTGAGGAATATCGTCTTGTATACAAAATATTATGTGAGCCTGAGTCAAGAGGGAGAGTTTTGGCATAGGTGTGTATGTGTCATCTGCCTATAAATAGAAGATGTGCCTGTGGGTACAAATTATCATATTTTAATATGCTTAAGTTGCTATGAACAAGTTAACAGTTGCAGTTTATTTGAGAATAGACCATTTATAATCTTGTAGAGGAAGAATGTGTCCAGCTAAACTTCTGCTTAGTAAATTCCCATAGCTTAGGAAGAAGGGCAGTCTGGAATGATGAACAGAGATTTTCTAGTCCTAGTTTTGCAACAGGCTGCTTGGGTGACTGGATAAATTGCTTTATCTCCTTAAGATGCAACTCGATTCTTCATCAAAAAGTGAGAGGATAAAATCCACTGATCTGCGGGGTTCTATTTAGTTCTGACATTGAGCAATTCTTCATCAAAAAGTGAGAGGATGAAATCTGTTGCTCTGTGGGGTCCTATTTCGTTTTGACATTGAGCTGGGAGTCTCTGAATTCATTCTGGATCTGTGGATGATAGGTTGAAAGACAGGCAAGGAGTGCTAACAAGAGCAGTCCCTACATAGACTAGTGAGCTCCTAGAGTTGAATGGCCAGCCCTGACAGGTCATCAAGAAAATGGGTGCAATGGATCAAAAAGAGAATTGGGCATGGAATTCTAACAATTGCCATGGAACTGCCTCTTTCTAGATAAATAATTCATGTCACATGGGGTCCATTGTAACATTTTCAAGTAGAAGGAAAGCAAAAAGAATAGACATCCCTGACTCCAGGAACACAAATATAATATGGAGGAGGTGTGTTGTTCAGTGGTAGTAGGCACCCGTGAGGCTCTGAGTATAATCAATGGTATCTCAAAGTTAGCATGGAATACTTGACCTTCACATTCTTTCCCACCAACAGCATGTGACATGGGAAGTCCCTTCTACCCTGGTAAGTGCTTTGAAAGTGATCTGAGCTCCTCTTTTTGAGATCCTTTGACTCACTCATACAAGGAAGTTAAGGAAGCATTGGCCTGTGCATTTTAATCAGAACCAAGGAAATGTTTCATTATTTACCTTTTATTTTCAAAGAAAATTTGGTGTTTCTCATTTAGTTTGAAGGTTAGGAAGAAAAATTTGGAAGAAGCTCCTGCTGGGACAGCAGGTTGAAATCTTAATTTCAGATACTAGCTTTTTATACAATGTGTCCTGCCTGCCCGCCAGCCAAGCATTTCCCTGAAACGAGATCTCACTTCCAGTCAGAAAGGAGTGCGGGGAGCCAGACAAGAGACCCACGGAGCAGTAAAATCAGCTAGCAAACAAAGTTTGAGGGGCCAACTTCTCTTGATAAAAATAGTATCTGCCTCTGGGGCCAGTGACTTCCATGGTGTTTCTAAATTGAAAATACACATTTCCCATGTAAAAAGTAGGGACATTGGCATGCCATCTCCTTAGCTCTTTTCCTTCTGTGTATATCAGCTGTATAAATCACTGACCCAGGAAAGGCATGCTGTCTGCAATGTGCATTGAGTAATTCAACTAAAACTCTGAAATTAGCTGCTAAAGAGAAAGAAATAGCACAGCTACACCCAGGGCTCGTGAAAAAGAGCCATAAATATTCCACATTTGCATTATGGCCAAAGAGCAGATGCCTATCTATGGGGGGGGGAAGGATAATCATTACCCTTATGAGTATTCTTTCATATTATAAAGTAGGGAGAAAGAAGTAGCTTATACTGAGTTCCTACTTTATGGCTGGCGTCGTACTTGGTGTTTCACATAGTAGCAGCAGTAGCAGTGGTCATAATGATGACAATAAACAATAAATGATGCACACATTTTTCAGCATATAATATGAGCTGAGCAGGCTCAATTTATTTATTTTTTATTTTTTGCAGACACGAGGTGTCACTATATTGCCCAGGATGGTCTCAAGTTCCTGGGCAATATAGTGATCCCAGGAATCACTATATTGTGATCCTCCCATCTCGGCCTCCCAAAATGATGGGATTACAGGTGTCAGCCACTGTGCTGGGCCCAGCCTTAATTGTATGTGCATGTTATCTTACTTCATCCTTATAAACCCTTTTAAATTAATAACCGCATTTGTAGAAGAAAACAACTGAGGTCCAGAGAGCCTAGCTATTTGTCCAATATCACACCGTTGAAATAAAGGAAGGAACCAGGATTAAACCTGGAAATAAGCTAATATAAAGCCCAGGCCCCTGGTCTCTTGAGGCTATGTATTGTATAGTTGTTAGCATCCTCATTCTATAGACAAACTGAAATTTGAAGAATTTTGTAATTTCTCCAAGGTTAGCATCTTAGGAGTTGTTGGGCATAGACTTCAAACCCACTTTCTCACAACACACGCTTTCACTCCTCTGCCCAATAGTAAAACCTCCATCATGCAGCATTAGTAATGAGGTGCCTTACAGCTAAGAACTAGTCCTCTACATCTGTGTTTTTCAGTCTGGGGTAGATGCATAATCAATACAAATGCATCTTTCTTTTGGTTAATGAATAAACCCAAATTGTATTCCAAAGCAGTCTCATCCTTTTCCATTTTCAACATTTTAAACATTGTTCATGTATTTGGGGGCTATTTGGTTAACATCTGATTCTAGGATTGTCCCAGAGAGTTGAACATGCAGGACTGGTCGGAAGGTGTCTTCATTTCCTTCTAGAGGTGAAATGAGAGGGTTTTTTTTTTCCAAGTCATATTTTTTTTTCCTTGACTAGAAGTGGTCCTATAGGAAAAAAATTGCTGACAGACATGTGAAATCTGATTTGAGAGAAGCAAATAGGCATTCAACATGAACCACAGTTTCTCGTCATTACCTCTGATTCCCGGTGATAAGGAATAACCTTTGCAGAAGTGAACACAGTGCTTGTTTGAAGTATATTCAATGACATAAGAATTTGCTAACTGATCTTCCTCGATGTGGGCAAATAATGTCTTTTATCTGCACAAATCCATGTATTTGTTCTCTAATGTATGATGCTTTTCATAGAATTTCTGCACAATCCCTATGGGAGGTTGGGAACCACTTCAGGAATGAACGGTAATCTATCTTTGGGTTTTAGATTCAGGTAGATCTGATTCTGAATCCCAGCTCTACCATTTACAAATAGCATGACTTTGGGGATATTACTTAATCTTTCTAGTCTCAGTTTCCTAATCTGTGAAACAGGTTGTTTTTAAAATCAAACACAATAATAGATGCAAGGCAGAATAAGTGCACAATAAATGGTAGCTACGATTATAACGATAGGCTAAAATTCTTCAATAATTCTCTTTTCCCTCTTTAGAGCTATTTTTTTCCCTCCTAAACTTAATTCTCTGCATCTACATAACAAGGATGCGGAAAAAAACTTTAAATTCATCAGTATTAGCTGACAAAGTGATATCACAATTTTGAAGTGAAAGAGAAAAAAATCAAAGATGGCTTTTCAAATGGAAACTTTTCTTTTCTAAAATTTTTTTTAAATTTTACTTTAAGTTCCAGGTTTGCTACATAGGTATATGTGTGACATGGTGGTTTGCTGCATCTATTGACCTGCCATCTAAATTCCCTCCCCTCACCCCCAAACCCCAACAGGCCCCAGTGTGTGTTGTTCCACTCCCTGTGTCCATGTGTTCTCATTGTTCAACTCCCACTTATGAGTGAGAACATGCAGTGCTTGGTTTTCTGTTCCTGTGTTAGTTTGCTGAGGATGATGGCTTCCAGCTTCATCCATGTCCCTGCAAAGGATATGATCTCATTCCTTTTCATGGCTACATAGTATTCCATGGTATGTATGTGCCACATTTTCTTTATCCAATCTATCACTGATGGGCATTTGGGTTGGTTCCATGTCTTTGCTATTGTAAATAGTGCTGCAATAAACATATGTGTGCATGTGTCTTTGGGTTGGTTCAAAGAGAACCTTTTCAATTCAAGCAGAATCTTTTTTTCCAGGTTATTGAAGTATAATAAAATTTACATATATCTATATTTATTTATAGTGAGTGAGAATACATAGTGTTTGGTTTTCTGCTCTTGTGTTAGTTTGCTGAGAATGATGGCTTCCAGCTTCATCCATGTCCATGGAAAGGACATGATCTCATACGTTTTTACAGCTGCATAGTATTCTGTGGTGTGTATGTGCCATATTTTCTTTATCCAGTCTATCATTTATGGGCATTTGGGTTGATTCCATGTCTTTGCTATTGTAAATAGTGCTGCAATAAACATACATGTGCATGTGTCTTTATAGTAGAATGATTTATATTTCTTTGCGTATATACCCAGTAATGGGATTGCTGGGATAAATGGTATTTCTGGTTCTCGATCCTTGAGGAATTGCCATACTGTCTTCCACAATGGTTGACATGAAGAGATTAATTATGAGTTAAATATGAGTGACCAATGGCCCATGACACAGCCACAGGAGATCCTGAGAACATGTACCCAAAGTGGTCAGGCTACAGCTTGGTTTTATACATTTGGGGAGACGTAAGACATCAATCAATAAATGTTAGATATTCATTGGTTCAGTTCAGAAATGTGGGAAAACTTGAAGTGGGGACTTCCTGGTCATAGGTGGATTCCAGAATTTTCTGATTAAAGACCTGGAATCAATACAAGAGAGTGTCTGGGTTAAGAAAATGGGTTGTGGAAACCAGGGTTTTTATTATGCAGATGAAGCCTCCAGGTAGCAGTTTTCAGAGAGAATAGGTGGTAAATATTTCTTTTCAGACTTAAAAAGGTGCCAACCTCTTAATTTTCTCCTGGATCAAGAAAAAGACCTGGGAAGGGAAGGGGATTCTCTACATAATGTAGATTTTCCCCACAAGAGATAGCTTTGCAGGACCATTTCAAAATATGTCAAAAAATAAATTTTAGGGTAAAATACTTTGATTTCTCTCAGAGTCTACAATCTGTCATGTTGGTATCCAATTGCTATAGAGTCTGTTTTGTCATTCTTAAGGTCTCTGTTTTAATGTTAATACTGGTCAGCCATGACTGAATTCCAAGGGAAGGAAGGTATAGTTGTTACTGTAGGTAGTGAGGCAGACATGAACAGGGCAGAGGAGGTTCCCCCCCAACCAATCAGGTAGGTGATGATCACACATTTTTTAGCCATCTCTCTAAAGTAATAATTTGTTGCCATGGGGGCCAGGGAAAGGTTGTCTCCCAATAGATAGAAACACCTGAAGCTGGTGATCAGCAGCTTCCCAATAAGATCTCAGGAATTGGGCGAGTGGGCTCAAGCATGAGCACTAAGATGCAAAATGGTGGAGTTTAACTGGCAAATGACCTTCTAGGAATATTCAACTGGTAAGGGAAGAGCGCCTCAAAAGAGCATGTGTACAACCTCATAAACACACTGTGCACGCGGCCCCTCCCAAGGGCGGGCAGGCCACTGTGCACACGGGAAAACAACCCCAAGGGAAGACTCAGGGGAGAAGTAATTTAACCCTGGAGTATGCCAACATGTAAGACCCTAAGTCAAAGGTCAAATCATTCACTTGATCTCTCAAGCGCCCGCTTGGCCCTCTTCCAAGTGCACTTTATTTCCTTTTGTTCCTGCTTTAAAGCTTTTTAATAAACTTTCACTCCTTCTGTAAAACTTGCCTTGGTCTCCTCACTCTGCCTTATCCCCCCCTCAGTTGAATTATTTCTCCTGAGGAGGCAAGAACTGAGGTTGCTGCAGACCTGTACAGACTTACCGCTGCTGACGAAATGAGGTATGTCCAGCCACCTATGCCTATCATGGCCTGAACTAGTGTTTTAGGTTTACTGTAGAATGCCCTTGGCAGAGAGGAGGGGTCTATTCAGTTGGTTGGTGGCCTTAGAATTTTATTTTGGGTATACATTCACATTCTTCATTTCACATAGTTATCATTTTTGTGTGTGTGGAAAGAACATTTAAGATTTACTGTCTTAGCACTTTTCAAGTAGACAATACATTATTATTAACTATAGTCATCATGCTGTGCAATAGATTTCAAAAACATATCCTTTCTGTTTAACTGAAACTTTATACCCTTTGACCAATATTTACCCCTTCCAAGCAACACCTCGCCCAGCTCCTGGTAACCACTGCTCTACTCTCTACTTCTACAAGTTTGACTTTTTAGACTCCACATACAAATGAGATCATGTGATATTTGTCTTTCTGTGCCTGACTTACTTCCTTCAGCCTAATGTTGCCCAGGTTCCTCCAGATAGCAAATGACAAACTTTTCTTCTTTTTAAAAGTTGAATCATATTTGATTATAGAACATAGAACTAAATGTAAGAGCTAAAACTATAAATCCCTAAGAAGAATACTTGGGAGTAAACCTTTGGGATCTTGCATTTGACCTCTAATACAAGAACAAAAGCACACATGATAAAAGAAAAAAATCAATTAATTGGTGATATGGTTTGGCTGTGTCCCCACCCAAACCTCATCTTGAACTATAGCTCCCATAATTCCCATGTGGTGTGGGAGAGACCTGGTGGGAGATAATCGAATCACGGGGGCAGTTTCCCCCATACTGTTCTCATGGTAGTGAGTAAATCTCACAAGAGCTGATGGTTTTATAAGGGCAAAAACCCCTTTTGCTTGGCTTTCATTCTCTCTCTTGCCTGCTACCATGTAAGATGTGCCCTTTGCCTTCTGCCATGATTGTGAGGCCTCCCCACCCACGTGGAACTGTGAGTCCATTAAACCACCCAGTCTCAGGTATGTCTTTATCAGCAGCATGAAAATAGACTAATACAATTGAACTTCAACAGAAATTAACAACTTTTGTGCTGCAAGTGATTTTATTAAGAAAATGAAAAGACAATCCATAGAATAAGAGTGAATATCTGAAAACCATATATTTGATAAAGGGACTTTTACCCAGAATATATAAAGAACTCTTACAGACCAATAGTAAAGATATAAATAACCAATTAAAAATGAGCAAAAGATCTGAATAGACGTTTCTCCAAAGAAAATATAAAAATAGCCGATAAGCACATGAAAAGATGCTCAAAATGCATTATGGAAATGGAAATCAAAATCACAATATCACTTCACATACACTAGGATGACTCTAATATAATACAGATAATAACAAATTTTGGTGAGGTTGTGGGGAAATTAGAACCCTCATGCATTGTGATGGGACTGTAAGATGGTACAGCCAATTTGAAAAACAGTTTGGCCTTTCCTCAAAATGTTAAACATAGAGTTTCGGACTGGGCGCGGTGGCTCATGCCTATAATCCCAGCACTTGGGGAGGCGAGGCAGGTGGACGACCAAAGGTCGGGAGTTTAAGACCAGCCTGGCCAACATGGTGAAACCCCGTCTCTACTAAAAATACAAAAAATTAGGCAGGCATAGTGGCGCGTGCCTGTAATCCCAGCTACTTGGGAGGCTGAGGTGGGGGAATCGCTTGAACCTGGGAGGCAGAGGTTGCAGTGAGCCGAGATCGTGCCATTGCACTCCAGTTTGGGCAACAACAGTGAAACTCCATCTCAAAAAAACAAACAAACAAAAAAAACATAGAGCTTCTATGTGCCCCAGAAATTCCACTTGTAGGTATGTACTCAAGAGACAAAAACGATAGACCCACATGAAAACTTGTGTACAAATATCCATAACATTATCATTCATAATGGTCAAATAGGAGAAGTAATTTAAGTCTCCATCAACCAATGAATAGATAAATAAAATATAGTGTATCTTTACCAATGAAATATTGTTTGGCAATAAAAAGGAATTAAGTATTGATACTTGCTACATAATGGATGAAATCTGAAAACATGATGCAAAATTAAAGAAGTCAGTCATAAAAGACCACCCATTGTATAGTTCTATTTGTATGAAATATCCAAAAGAGGCAAATATACAGAGACAAAAAGTAGATTCGTCATTGTCTAGGGCCAGGGGTTGGGTGGTAATGGGAAGTAACCGCTAATGGATGCAGGATTTCTTATGAGGAGGTCAAAAATTGATTCTGGTGTTGGTTGCACAACTCTGTGGATAGACTAAATACCACCACACTGTACACTTCAAATGGATGAATAGTATGCTGTGTGAATTATGACTCAATAAAGCTGTCAAAAACAACCACAAAAAAGAAGACAGCACTGGGTGCTTTCCATAAGTCAGCTTACATAAAACCCGTCTACGTAGCCAAGAAAGAAAAAGAAATGAGCTATAACTCTTGCAGAGCCTTCCCTATCAAGCATATACCCATCAACTTCATTCATTGTTAAACAGTTTCTTGCTATTCTTTTCTGTAAATGCCTCATCATATATTAAACTATGTTCCTCAACATGTATACTTAGAATGTTTTAAGCGTTGCCTTTGATGCAATATAGATTCTTAGATTTATATATGCACATACATATGAATTTATAAATATACACACACACACACATATGCATACTTTGGTATTCTGTTGGGATTATCACTTTGTGAGTATATACATAGGATAGGTTATCTGCAGGAGAATTAATAGAGTCAAATTCGGGTTGATAGTTGCAGCAAACCACCATGGCACATGTATACCTATGTAACAAACCTGCACATTCCACACATGTATCCCAAAACTTAAAGTAAAATTTTAAAAAAGGCATGTCCTCCATACACACACACACACACACACACACACACACACACACATTTAATATATTATTCTGTGAGTTGCTTGAGACACTAGAACTTACCTAATGTCTAAGTGCCTAAGCAATTAGAGGACCAAATTATATATTACCAAATAAAATGTAAATATTCACCTCTAAACAATATCAATAAGCAGGTTAAATTTGTCTTTTGTAATTCAGAATTTTTCTGTTAATGAAAAACATTAAAAAATAAATGCATTATTGTATGTCTTTCCAAAATAATAGTGTCAAATTGTCCTCCAAAACTGTTTGTATTTACACTTCTACCAGCACAGTAGAGGGATGCTATTTCCCCACATCTTTGGCAATACTACCTAGCATTCTAATAAGTGATATTGAATACACTTCCACTTTAAATACAATTTCTTTATGAAGTCAAGTATCATTGCATTTATGTATTGGCCATTTGTATTTCTTTTTCTGTGGACTTCTTGCACTTCTATTATTTTTCTATTAAAAATAAACCTGAAGAAATTCATGCTTTTCCTGAAAGACACATGTATTGCAAATATGTCTCCTTCTGTTATTTGTTTTTGTTATAATAAATTACCATGTAATTTTCTAAAACCTCATACCATCTTCTTATTCATTTCTGTTATCTTGCTATTTTCTTAGGTTTGTTTATAGTTGTTTTTCTACTTATCGAACTGGACTCTTAGTTCCCTTATTTTCCTTCATTTAATTTCGATGGGTAAAGCATTAAAGATGACATATTTAGTCATATGTCATGTTTTTATGATTATCATTTTCTAACAATTTTGCCATTTGTTTTCACTTTTTCTTTGAGGAGTTGTTTAAAAGGGGAGGGTCTTCTATATTTCCAAGTGTTTTTTCTTTTAAAACTTAATAATTCTTTATTTATTTATTAATACTGATTGTATAAAATCAAAATTTTATGATAACACCAGATTAGCCACTTTTCCAATATGTATTTAGTTTTAAAATAAAAGGGTCACTTGTCAAACCAAAGACTCTATACTTTTTGAAGCAGCACATGGCCTACATATTGCAGAGATTAAAACCAAAACTGCCTGTGATGGTTGAATAATATTCATTTGAATCCCTGCCCAAAAAGAATTAATTACATCATCACATAGTCCCTTCATAGTTCCTTACTACATTATTACTTTCTTCGGGATGAATGGTTACAGAGGCCTTCACCAGTCTAAATCATAAAACTATAATCTCCAGTCTTCTTCCTCTTTCTCTGGAAGACTAAAGAAGGTCTAGGGAGGAATGGAGCTTGGGAAAACAAGTATTGACTGTATGCCAGAGGGGATGAGAGCATCGTTTTTATTCTCAAGCTTCATACATCTGCTTCATAGCAAGAATGAAGGCTGCAAACTGCAGGGCAGGGCAGGGGAAGAGCACCTGCTGTCAGCTGACGGTAGACAGCAGGTAGTCTGATGGCTACTGCTTGAGAGAGCACACGTGTGTCATACTGGCGGCAGCCCACCCTGGTGGGTTGGTATGTGGACCCGGCCCTTCCTTTTCCCATGTGCTTTTCTATGAAACTTTCTCCAAACAGTGCTCTCTTAGAGACTTCAGAGTCCCATTACCCCCACGCCCATTTTTTAGATTAATCTCAATTCCACGAACAATGCTTACAGCCTTTGCTCAGTCTCTTGGCAGATCCTCTCCAAAGGTAGTGCCCACAGAGGCTTGTTGTCTATCAGTCAGCGTGATCTCAGGGGAGAATGAAAATGTGGGGCTCTTATTCAAAAATTAAGAATCTCCAGATGGAGACAACAGATCATTAAACCAGGCACAGGGCCCTTCTAAGCACAGGGCTCAGTGAGACTGCACAGCCCACACACTCATAAAGCCAGGTCTGCCAGCAGGGATGTGCTCAGCAGCTCCACTGACAACCAGTGTCCTAGGAGCAATGTTGGCAATATGGGCTAAGACATGCCATGGTGTCATGGTTAGAAAGAATCATGGCTGTCAAGGTCAAGCCATTAAATCAGTGTCTGTTACAGGGACACTTTTACCCACTCTTGCTGAAAGTTAGTGGGCATTTTAAACATGTTAAGGTAACCGGATGGCAAACTCTGCAGAGACCCTGTGGGTACAGAGTATGGTGCTTCTTTCCCCAGTATCCTTAGCCTCAAGCACTAGAAACTGGGCCCTATATAACTCCAGGTCACCACAGAAGGCAGCATTCCCACTCCCTCTGTGCTGAAGATGTGTTGCTGTGGGTTATTTTAAAAATCCATTTACTGCTATGCCTTTGCTCTTTTATTTTGCTTCCTGCATCCTTGTAGACCTCAAGATAAGCACCTTGAGATGGCAACGTTTTGTTTCTGATCTAATTGTTTTCAAATGTAGCAGAATTCCAGTTACTTAAAACACCCTGATGTGATCTCTAGCTCCTTCCACACACAGCTGTAGAGTGATGTCCAGGTCCAGGCTTTAAGGTGGAAACTAGCTGGAAACAAAAAGGCATCCAAAGTACAAGCCTCTCTATCCACAATGACTAAACTGCCTTCTATTCTGCTGCCGTTGACGGCCCCAGGAACAAGAGGCCTTATAGGGCATTTGCCAGTGAGACTGCACTCAGTTAGTTATGAAACATACAGTTGGTTATGAGCCCTTGGGATCTGCAGGTCACGCTTTCCCAGAGAACACACGCAGAGGCCCTCCGGATGCAGCATGATGTTTGTCCAATCTGCCAGGCACAGCTTTAAACCCTTTTTGAAACAACATTCTAAAATTATACATGTGTGTGTGTTTGTGTATTTTTATTTTTGCTAATTCAGGCTGCACTTGTTCTCCAGTTGGTCCTAATCACAGAAATGCAGTTTATAACATTTAAAATGCTGCAACTCCACAGTGATAGTTTGTGTGACTATATTTTCACCTTTAATGTGCAGCTGGGGGACGGGGTAAAGTCATTTTCTGTTCCTTTGCCTCTAATAGAAGTCATCCCACTATAACCAGCTTCAAGATAAAGTTCGTATTCTTTCTGTCTCTTAGAATTCAACTATTATGGGTGGTTGCATGGCCAAGTGGTCTAAGGCACTGGATTAAGAATTCAACTGTTGGCCAGGCATGGTGGCTCACGCCTGTAGTCCCAGCACTTTGGGAGGCTGAGGCAGGCAGATCACGAAGTCAAGAGATCAAGACCATCCTGGCCAACAAGGTGAAACCCCGTCTCTACTAAAAAATACAAAAATTAGCTGGGCGTGGTGGCATGCACCTGAAGCCCCAGCTACTCGGGAGGCTGAGGCAGGAGAATTGATTGAACCTGGGAGGTGGCGGTTGCAGTGAGCCGAGATGGTGCCACTGAACTCCAGCCTGGCGACAGAGCAAGACAAAAAAAAAAATTCAACTGTTACATAGTGTTCTACCATAAAAACCCTAGAAGAAAACCTAGGCAATACCATTCAGGACATAGGCATGGGCAAAGACTTCATCACTAAAACACCAAAAGCAATGGCAACAAAAGCCAAAATTGACAAATGGGATCTAATAAAGAAACTATCAGCAGAGTGAACACGCAACATACAGAATGGGAGAAAATTTTTGCAATGTATCCATCTGACAAAGGGCTAATATCCAGAATCTACAAGGAACTTAAACAAATTTACAAAAAAAAAAAAACAACCCCATCAAAAAGTGGGCAAAAGACATAAGCAGACACTTCTCAAAAGAAGACATTTATGCAGCCAACAAACATATGAAAAACAGCTCATCGGCCAGGCACAGTGGCTCATGCCTGTAATCCTAGCACTTTGGGAGGCTGAGGCGGGTGGATCATGAAGTCAAGAGATGGGGACCATCCTAGCCAACATGGTGAAACCCCGTCTCTATTAAAAATACAAAAGAAAGAAAAAATTAGCTGAGCGTGGTGGTGCACGCCTGCAGTCCCAGTTACTTGGGAGGTTGAGGCAGGAGGATTTCTTGAACCTGGGTGGCGGAGGTTGCAGTGAGCCAAGATTGCACTACTGCACTCCAGCCTGGTGACAGAATGAGACTCTGTCTCAAAAAAAAAAAAAAAGAAAAGAGAAAAGAAAAAAAGCTCATCATCACTGTTCATTAGAGAAATGCAAATCAAAACCACAATGAGATACCATCTCATGCCAGTTAGAATGGCTATGATTAAAAAGTCAGGAAACAACAGATGCTGGAGAGGATGCGGAGAAATAGGAACGCTTTTACACTGTTGGTGGGAGTATAAATTAGTTCAGCCATTGTGGAAGACACTGTGGCAATTCCTCAAGGATCTAGAACCAGAAATACCATTTGACCCAGCAATCCCATTACTGGGTATATACTCAAAGGATTGTAAATCATTCTACTATAAAGATGCATGCACCTCTATGTTTATTGCGGCACTGTTCACAATAGCAAAGTCTTGGAACCAACCCACATGTCCATTAATGATAGACTGGATAAAGAAAATATGGCTCATATACACCATGGAATACTCTACAGCCATAAAAAAGGATGAGTTCATGTCTTTTGTAGGGACATGGATGAAGCTGGAAGCCATCATTCTCAACAAACTAACACAGGAACAGAAAACCAAGCACTGCAGGTTCTCACTCATAAGTGGGAGTTGAACAATGATAACTCATGGACACAGGGAGAGGAACATCACACACCGGGGCCTCTCAAGGGGTGGGGGACAAGGGAAGGGAGAGCATTAGAAGAAATACCTAATGTAGATGATGGGTTGATGGGTGCAGGAAACCATCATGTCACGTGTATACCCATATAACAAACCTGCACGTTCTGCACACGTATCCCAAAACTTAAAATATGTATTTAAAAAATTCAACTCTTAAGCTGAACCATATGAAACCATTATTTTTGTAGGTCGAAAAAAGGTCAAATATTGTATGTTTCACTATGGTTCAACCTAATACTTGAATTAAGAAGATCACAACCTGGTACCTGAAAATCTTTTCTTTTTTCTTTTAGAGATTTTATATTCTAATAACATTCTACATGTAAAATATCCAATACAAATGACACAAGATCTGACCTGGTGTCCACCTCCCTGTATGCTCTGCCTGATTACAGGGAACTAGTTAAAGGGGAGCTGGTCATGTTCCGTTCTAAAAAATATAAAATTTTAGCTTCAAGTCAGTTATCTTTTTCTATACAGAAGAGGAAACAGACACAGACCTCAAGTAGTAGAATCTGGACTAGAATTTCCAATCCAGTTAACTTCCCATCCAGTTCTGTGTGGGCAAAGTAATTTTTAAGGCATAGATGGAATCAGAATATTTTATATGTACTCCTTGGGTGGGATACGGGGTAGGGTCATTCAATCTGTCACTAGTTTTCTAAGAATAATCAGATTTGAGACACAATATATAGTATCTTTCAGTCATAGTTTCTTGAAGTTCATCGGAGCTATAAATACTGAAATAGACCAAGAGAATTCCCATTTGTTGTGTTAACATGCATATAAAATGTGTTATTATGGAAAATTTCCAACAAAGAAGGGCAATAATAACAACAGATAGACAACTTGGTGATGATAAAAATAACAAGAAGGTGCCATGTTTGAGTTAATATCTGTTCTAGTGATTAAGCACTTTCAGTTAAGCCTCAGAACATTCAATGAAGTAGGTACTTCATATACCCCTATTTTATAGATGTGGAAACTGAGGCTATGTGAGGTTATGTCGTTGGTCAGACAGGTAAGAAGGGCCAAAGCAATATTCTAATCCAGGCTCTTCAACTCTAGGGCCTACATTTCTTCACTACTCTACATGAGAATAATGCCTAGTAATTCCATTGGTCAGAGTCAGCCTGCACGGCCAGACGGCCAGGGCAACACATTTGTAATGGGTTAAATTGAGTGCCCCCAACATTCTTACGTTTAAAGCCTAACCTCCAGTATCTCAGAATATGACTGTATTTGGAGAAAGGGTCTTTATAGAGGTAATCGAGATAAAATGAGATCATTAGGGTGAACTATAATCTAATACAACTGGTATCTTTATAAGAAGGGGAAATTTAGACACAGAAACAGGTACATAGAGGGAAAACAAAGTGAAGAGAGAGAGGGAGATGACGAGCACCTGCAAACCAAGGAGAGAGGTCTGGAATAGATCCTTCACAGCCCTCAGAAGGATTCAGCCCAACCCACACCTGATTTTGTACTCCAGCCGCTAGAACTGTGAGATGATATGTTTCTGCTTAAGCCACTCACTCTGCAGTGCTTTGTTACGGCAACTTTTTGAAACTCATATACCACCTTAGCTCAGCTGCTGCCAAAAAGAACAGTTTTCCTAAGCTTAATTGGATCTGTTTGATTTATCACATTACAAAAAAGCTGAAGGGTTATTTTAAAGATAGTTTATAAGTATAAGAACACATGGGAAAATGTGCTTTTGCCAGCCAACCTATGGCACACACACAGAGAGCACCAGAGACACCTCTGAATGCAGGGCTTGCAAAATAATTTTTCTACAGTTATAGAGGCTGCCATTAAATTCATGGCTCTCTAATCATTTTATTTAGAAATGTTTTTAGGTCTCTGCTTCAACCTGCTCCCCACGCATGGCACTGTTGGCCAATGGCTTTAAAAAATGTTTCTTGGTGCCATTTCAAATATTATTTTTGGATAATAAGGTCCTCAAAAGGGCATATGAAATATAATGAATGCACTCATTTACATCTGGATACAACTGCAAGAAAGCAACGTAAAAAGGAAAAGACAGGATGATTGTTAGGTTACAGCTGGAGGAAAGGCAAGAAGATAAATAAACTGGGAATGCATTAACATGGTATTTCATGGAAATTGCATTTTTATGGGGCTCTACAGAAGTCCTTAGTGACCTATGAAAATTCCTACCTTTAAAGTGTTTTATGGAATTCCACAGAATGGCTTCCAATACAAATTCTAAAATTCTCTGGAGGCTTTATAAAAATTTTATAATTTATAATCCATAAAAATATAATTTGAACATTCTCAATGCAGTGTAATTTCATATTTTAGTGACTTTGATATCTGAAGGCTAGCAATATATCTCTTTTAAGTATTTATGTTTTAAACTATCTGTCCTTAGATACAGTAGTTCATATCCACAGATGTCAGCTCCCATTTTCTTATTGTAAAATAAACAATGTAAGAATGATTACATGAAATATGAGATGAACTATTAAGCAGCTAGCCATATTCATCTATTTTTGTTTTTGTTAAGTAAAATATTGATTCCATTTATTTATTGGCCCTGGCTATCTAGGACATTATTTAATTATGAAGCACAGTAGGATCAGAAGAAGCAGAAATATTACATTCAGCTATTTCCTTTACTACACAAATATTCTTCTATTTCTGGAGTGAAATGATTGATCTCCAACTCTGTTGAATGAAAACGTAGCCAGGCGTGGTGGCTCACGCCTGTAATCCCAGCACTTTGGGAGGCCAAGGCAGGCGGATCACCTGAAATTGGGAGTTGGAGACCAGCCTGACCAACATGGAGAAAACCCGTCTCTACTAAAAATACAAAATTAGCCAGGTGTGGTGGCACGTGCCTGTAATCCCGGCTACTCAGGAGGCTGAGGCAGGAGAATTGCTGGAACTGGGAGGCAGAGGTTGCGGTAAGCCGAGATCTCACCACTGCACTCCAGCCTTGGCATTTGAGAAAACAGCAGAAGCAAGAAGGTGTTTCTGACTTGCCTCCTTCCCTTCTCCCCTGCAGGAAGCTATAAAAGAATTCTGGCCGGGCGTGGTGGCTTACACCTGTAATCTCAGCACTTTGGGAGGCCCAGGTGGGCAGATCATGAGGTCAGGAGATCGAGACCACCCTGGCTAACACAGTGAAACCCCATCTCTACTAAAAATACAAAAAATTAGCCGGGCGTGGTGGCAGGCGCCTGTAGTTGCAGCTACTCGGGAGGCTGAGGCAGGAGAATGGCGTGAACCCGGGAGGAGGAGCTTGCGGTGAGCTGAGATGGCACCACTGCGCTCCAGCCTGGGCAACAGAGGGAGACTCTGTCTCAAAAAAAAAAAAAAAAAAAAAAGAAGTCTATGACCTTCCTCTCTGAAGTAGGTCAAAAGACCTTCATTCCAGAGATATTCTCCCTATACCCAGAGGAAAGAAACGTCCTTATCCTCGAAGACAAGGAGATGCCAAGGAGAATCTGAACAAACAGGGCTTGCTAAGCTCCCCCGAGTTAATCACCCACTTAATTAACAATAAGATTGGACAATAGATCTTACCCACTTTGTCCAGTCATACCTCCCTATGGACTGTCCACTCTTCATCAAATTTAGCCTAAAAATACACAAGTTTCCCTGTTTCTTTGGGTCTTCATTTTGGAAGGCTCCTATGTCATGTAAAATTTACATGAAATAAATAAATGTGTGTGTTTTTCTCTTATCTGTCATTTAGAAATCTATGCATTCATTTATTTTTTAAGAGACAAGGTCTCACTCTGTTACCCAGACTGAAGTGCAGTGGCACTCACTGCAACCTTGAACTCCTGGGCTCAAGCGATCCTCCTGCCTCAGCCTCCAGAGTAGCTGGGACTAAGGGTATGCACCACTGCGCCTGGCTAATTTTTAAACTGAGATAATTCCTTGCTATGTTGCCCAGGCTGGTCTCGAACTCCTAGCCTCAAACAATCCTCCTGCCTCAGTCTCCTAAAGTGCTGGAATTACAGGCATGAGCCACTGTGCCCAGCATATCTTTTATTATAGAGGCCTCAGCCATGAACCAGGCAATAGGTAAGAAAGGGAATCTTTTCCTCCCCTACACTGTGTTGACCTACAGCCCCCAAATATGACCTATTCAGCACATAGGTCACAGTATATGGAGCCGACATCCACTGCTTTGCCTCACCTTTTCCTTCTTTCCATAATGAAATGTTTCTTTATTTTGAGATCCAGTCCAGCAGACAATGTCAGGCCCATGGTTCGAGAGCGTGGCTGGCACAGAGCACATCTTCCAGGCTCGGTAGTGGATGAGACACCCTACTAGATCACTGAGAACCTTCCAGTAGTTTTCTACTAGCACCTAAAAGAAGTGTGGTGACAACCTGTGCATGAAACAGCTCAGGAAGAGCCTGTCTGCGAGAGTAAAAACTGACGCCCAAAGTACAGCAGAGATGAAAGATAGCAAGAAATAAAAAGAGCTTCCAGCAGCAAATCAGCTTTCGCATGGTATGAGAGCCTGTAAATTCCCCATTTTGCCTAAACTCGCTCGGGTTAAGTTTTTCATCTTGCAACAGAAACAATCAACCAAACAATCTCTCACTCTCTCTCTCTCTCTCTTTCTCTCATTTTCCAGAAAATTTAGAAAATGTTGTTTTAAAAGAATGAATTGTTCACAGGGGAAAAGTCACGTTTTTCTCAACAAATTGATATTAAATGTGCATTTGATTTCAATATACAAAGAAACCTTGCTTTGTGCACTGTCTCTTAAATTGTTCCTTGCTTTCATTGTACTTACTATGAGCCTAGTCCAGGCTTTTCACTATTTTTCATCTGGATCATTCTTACCCACCTATAAAGCACTGCTAAAATCCTGTGTACTCCCTCACAAGGACATTGAAGCCTGCCTCTTATCTATGTGCTTGCCCCAATTTTTTGGTGTGGCATTCAAAGCCATCTTTCAACCCAGTCTTCCTCCCACCCACCTGCACCCAGTCTGCTACAGCACCTTATGTATGAGCTGGATTTGACTTCTCACCATTCTTCAAAAGTGACATATGCTTGCCTGCTTTGGCCAAGCACTTATCTTGGAATAGGCAGGACCTTCCCTCTATTTTGCATCTCTTAATTCTCCTTGTCCTTAAAAGTCCACTTTAATTCTATGGAGATTTCATCAGTCCCACTACAGGGAATTAATGGCTCTCTTAAGTATACTCCCAAAGTATTACTTTTTCTGCTTCTTCATGTGAGGTTACCTGCAAATATTCTCATTCTCTCAGGGAATGGAATGTAATTTCATTTATTTGTCGAATAGGAAATATTTAGCAACTCTTGTATGTGGGGTGCTGAGGACACAGCAGTCAGCCACCTTCTTCTGAAGATTTGTTGGTTTGTTTTTTGTGGGGGTTGCAAATTAATTATGCAACTAAGAATGTAACTAAACCATGATGATAGAGAAATAGGTGAGAAAAGCAAAGGGTGTTCAAAGGTGTATGCCTGGATGGGAGGAGGGAGGAGAAAGGAAAAGTTGGTTGGGAGTTATTTATTTATTTATTTCCAAGATGGAGTCTCAGTATGTTACCCAGACTGGAGTGCAGTGGCCCGATCTCGGCTCACTGCAACCTCCACCTCCCAGGTTCAAGCAAGTCTCCTGCCTCAGTTTCCCAAGTAGCTGAGACTACAGGCACGTACCACCATCCTCGGCTAATTTTTGTATTTTTAGTAGAGACGGGGTTTCACCATGGTGGTCAGGCTGGTCTTGAACTCTTGACCTCAGGTGATCTGCCAGCCTTGGCCTCCCAAAGTGCTGGGATTACAGGTGTGAGTCACTATACCCAGCCTTATTTATTTATCTTTTGAGAAAATAATATTTAAGGTAAGAACCTAAAGGATGACTAGGAGTTAGCTAGGTGAAGTCAGGGTGAAAAGTTGTGCAGGCAGAAGTCACAGATCCATAAAGACTATGAGGTAGGAAACGACAGGGCTTGTTGGAGGAAACGACTGACAGCAAGTGACACTGGAGAGCAGGGAAGCCAGAAGGGGCATATGTGGGGATACTGGCCAGGCACACGAGGGCCAGCACACACGGGACTCTGGAAAGCGTGAGGTGGATTCCGTTGTTCTGCTTAGAGCAGCTGGGAATCACTGAAGAGTTCTCAATGGAGCCGTCACAGAATGAAATCTGCCTTTGAAAGGACAGACTGATGTTCAAAGGAAGGGGAATGGCATGGGGAGCCTGGTGAGGAGCCAGTGGGGTGGTGCAGGCCCGAGTCATGGGTGGCAACTGGAAGAAAGTGAAGGTGATGATAGAGTTTGGATGGGTGTCCCCTCCAAATTTCATGGTGAAATGTAGTCCCCAGTTTTGGAAGTGGAGACTGGTGGGAGGTATTTGGGGATGGGGATGGATCCTTCATGAATGTTTTGATGCTGTCCTCGTAATGAGTAAGTTCTCTGAGTTCATGGGAGAGCTGGTTGTTTAAAAAGCCTTGCACCTCCCCAAATCACTCTCTTGCTCCCACTCTTGCCACGAGATACACTGGCTCCCTTTGCCTTCTGCCATGGCTGGAATCTTCCTGAGGTCCTTGCCAGAAGCAGATGCTGGCACCATGCTTCTCATACAGCCTGAAGAACCGTGGCCCAGTACATCTCTTTTCTCTACAAATTACCCAGTCTCAGGTATCCCTTTACAGCAATGCAAAAACAGACGAATACAGGGAATGTCTTTGCAGTAGAGTCAACAGGATTTGGTAACTGATTAGAAGGGGGTTAGAAGGCAGTATCAAGGTGACTGCTGTAGACATTTTTTTTTTAATGCAGTGAGGTAATTAGCCCACTGCCTTGAACAGGATATGTCTTCAATTATGTTTGCTGAATGAAACTACTCTAATGTTCCTATAAGTCACCAAGGACAGCTAGCAATTCCTATGATACACAATGCTAAAGTAAGTGTGTGTGTATGTGTGTGTGAATGTGTGTGTACTGTTTATTTTCTAGGTCTTAAATTTGGGGTGAGAGGTAAGGACACAAAGCTATCCTAAAAGACTGCTTTCTCTCTTAACCCTGACTTTTACTTTTTAAATTCAGTGTCATAAAGGAAGATTAAAAGAAGGCCATTAGAGAGTGTTCCTAAGTTGCAGCTCCCTTATGGACTCACCTAAAAAAAGAACTTTGAGAGTTATTTGTCTTCACTGAGCCTGTGCTTTTGCCTAGAGGTTTGGAAAATATTTCCATAGTAACTTACAATGACTGCTCTTTGTAGTCAACGTAGTTAATCATCTCTCTGTTCAGCTAGAAAAGGGTACTCTCTTTCACAGTGCCCTCCCAATTCATTAGATACCATCTCGAATCTAAAGATTGCAGGCCTCTGATTGTTTCTGTCCATTTAACTGCACGTCTGAAAGTAGAACTTGCCTTCATCTTTCAGATTTCTGTGATAAAATGAACCGAAAGGGAATGAGGAACTACGGATTCTTAACAACTTGGCTCAACAACAGAAATAATGGCTAATCAATTTAAAAGGATTATAGTTAAGCTCTCCTTTAGCAAAAAAGCCAAATATATGATAAAATCTCCAAGCAATTATACTATCCAGCTAACTTGCCGTTTGATGGATGGTCTCTCAAATGCCTTAATCTCCTCCCACATCATCACCCGCAGCCTTCCCATTGGGCAGACGACCTACCAGCTACAGACTAACGGAGACAGCACAGTCCCATCCTGTATTTGATTTCCTTTACACTGGGAGAAATTGCAAATGTCTGTTCCATAGAAGAATAGAATCCAAGACAATATAAGGGTGAGATGGAAACGTTTTGATGGATAAAAGGAGCGAAGCATCATTCATAGCTGGGTCAATGCTCCATGGTTCCCAAGTTAGATTGCTTCTTCCTGGAGGGAAGCTATCCCCTTGGAAATACCACACCAGTATTGTAGAGTAGAAAAGTGATAACGACATGTATTTGCCCTAAAATAGGCATGCATTGCACTTTATATGTTCTCTCATTTGTTCTGGATACTATTATTCTTGTGAATGGAGGGCAGCTATCAGCTAAGGACTTGGACTCTGGAGCCAGTCACTTGGTTTTGAATTCATGCTCTGCCGCTTACCCCCTCTGTGAACTTTTGTGTTCTATAAAAGAGGGACAATAATGTTGCCTGCTTCAATCAGGTGGTTGTGTGGATTAAGTAGAGCAATATACATAAGGCATATAAAAAACTGGGCACAGTAAGTCCTACATAACTTGTTATTATTGCCCATTATTATTATTATTATCTTCCTTTTACAGATAGATAAACTGGACTAAGTAACTTAATCTAGATACCATGTTAATCAGTAGCAAAGCCAAGATTCAAACTCAGCTCTTTCTTGGTTCAAAGTGTATGTTCTTTCTATTATTTTTCCTCTCCCTTAAAACATGGTTCAAATCCAAGCCATGCCATTTACTAGCCTTGAGACCATGGGCCAGTTACTCAGCCCTTCTGAGACTCAGTTTTCTTATCTGCAAACTGAGGAATAAAACTCACCTTGCAAGTTTGCTCCGAGGATTAAAGTGACATGTCAAGTTCCCAGCATAGAGCAGATAATCTACATGTTAGTTTCACTTTCCTTTTTTTTCTTCCTTCTTTCCTCCCTCTCTCCCTCCCTCCCTCCTTCCTTCTTTCCTGGCTCCCTTTCTGCCTTCCTTCCTTCCCTTCCCTTCTTTCCTTCATTTTTTTGAGACAGAATCTCTTTCTGGTGTCCAGGCTGAAGTGCAGTGGCATGCTCATGGCTCACTGCAGCGTCAACCTCCTAGGCTCAAACAATCCTCCCACCTTAGCCTCCCGAGCAGCTGGGACCACAGATGTACATTACCACACCTGGTAATTTTTGTATTTTTCTGTAGAGATGGGATCTTGCTATGTTGCCTAGGCTGGTCTTGAACTCCTGGGCTCAAGAGATCCACCCAGCTTGGCTTCCCAAAGTGCTGAGATTATAGGCATGAGCCACCATGCCCGGCCCCCTTTCCCTTTCATTGAGGCTCTAGCATCAATGGCCAGGACTCATAATTTTTCTGCCTGCTGGGTGCATCTGCTTTAATCTTTCCGTCTATTGACTTACTAGAAGAAGAAAGCTCAGATGGTTTTAAATACAAACAAAGCAGCCCCCTGGAAATGGCCCACCATGTTCTTGCTCAGTGGATATGGAAAATAACAAACCCTTCAGGAGTTGACATCTTATTACACAAATGCATTTTCATCTGACCTTTGGATAAAACAGATTTAAATTAAACGATTGTTGGTTTCATAGCAAGAGAAGAGCTTCACTGAGAAACTCTTGATACTCTAGAAATTGTAAGATGTATAACTTTTTCATAATTGTGGGAAAAAAGGTAAAGCCTTCTGGAAATAAAGCTGGTTCTGGTGCTGAGAAATCTCCAAGTAATTCAGAGGTCAGCCGTGGAGTTTCTTCATTAACACTTGATATAACTGAGTATGGGTCAATTAATCCATTAATCAGTACAACAATAATATTATCTAACATTAATTATGCACTTATTCTGTGCCAGGTATGCTACATGTTGGATGTACATTATCTCATTTTATGTGCCTAATAGCCATATAAAGTAGAAACTACTATTACTTTTATTTTATGCATGAAAACATCTAAGTTGCCAAAACTCACTTGGCTAGTTGAGTCGGGTATAGAAAATATGCCTAATGTTTCCCCTTAATGGTCCGTTCCTTCCTGGCAACAGGGGAAGACTACACTACCCATATCTTGGTAGTTGGGCAAAGCCATATAACTTTTCTAGACAATGAAACATAGATGGCAATCATAGCTGATACCTCTAGCCATTCAACAGCTAATGTATCTATTTTATATGAACTTTTCCCCTTTCCTTGGTATGTTGAGAGCCATATATTGAGATAATGTCTTAAGCTGAAAGGACCCTGGATTCCTGAGACACTGAATGGAGGAGAATCGTTATTGACTTGCATCAGTTTTTACAAAAGAACAAGCATAATATGTTAAACCACTGATATTTCACGGTTAATTTTTTCATGAAGCATAAGCTAATACAATCCCAACTAAAACACTGTTAGAACATTGGGCTGACTCCAAAGCCCAAACTCTTAACTGTTATGTTATACCTTCTGGATAATTTACTTCTTATTTACAAAGTCCTCAGTTCTAAAGTTAGTCCTTTAAAAAATATGTAAGATATCACTGATCAGAATTCTAGAAGTTCTCAACTGTCTTCTCTCAGGAAGTAGACAAGAAGTGACATTAATAGAACTCCTCATGCAAAATTCCTGCATTTGGTGTTGTTCTTCTTCACTTTTGTGAATGAATGCAGTCCAAGTGTTACAGAGGTGTTACTGACATTCAGCAGCATGTTTCTACACCATCTGAGCCAAGTCCTCATGCTTGAAATGACCACTTGTCATAATAAGAAAGCTGAAATGAAAATATCCACTTGTATCTCAATCCATGGGTAGTAATAGCAATATTAACAGCTTACATCTACAGAATACTTTATAGTTTACAAGTATGTTGACATACATCTCATTTGTTCCTTGTAACAACACAAAAATAGGCAAATCCACTGTTACCATTCCCATTTTACAGGTTAGGACGCTGAGGCTCACGAAGGTGAAATAATTCTAGATGGCAGAGCTAAAGCTGAGACTCAGATTTTCCCAATCTTGTCCCTAAATGGAGAAAATGGCCAGGAAGAGTACTGAAGGGTCTTGTCAATAATGCTATGATAGAAAAACCCTTGAGCATTCAGGTACTTAGAATTGCCTGTTTGAAGCATTCAGAGTGATTTCTCTCAGCAGTGGACCTTATTATAGCCCCCCATGTTTTCAAAGACAGATTAAATCCGGCTACCTTTTACAGATTCCTACCTTTGTGAGACACCCGCTGAACACACAAAGGTGAAGGGAAGACAGCAAAGTCCAGAACACGGGAAGCAATGGTTATCCCAGAAATGCAAAATAAAAGGACAGAAACACTTCCAACTCAGAAAATGTGTGGTTCTGTGGGCCAGGATAAATGAAGTCTCCCGAAGAAGGCAAAGACATCATGCGGAATAAATGCTGGGATCGCAGATGGTATTATCTTAAAACATCCCCAATCTTCCATTAGAGTTAGTCTCTGGTTATTGCAGAATTTGGTAGAGCAAATTGTTAAGTAATGATTCTCAATGATAATCCCCATATGTAAGCCGTTCCCCAGGGGAAACATCAGCCTTTCGGGAAGGCGGGTGAATTCTTCTAATCCTTTAAGCTACACTGATTAAATGTACATCTTAGTCCACACAATGGATCTCTGGAGTCCTAAGAAAGTGAATACAACTTCATGTATGTTTACCTTGGTCCCAGCCTATACCACATAGAAAAACAATGAAAAGTTAGCTTTGCAGTTCTCTGAGGAATATTTTCAATAGTAAGAGATGAGATGAAGGATACTAGGCAGGAATTAAACAGTCACCATTTTCCATTTGGAAAATGCTATTGCCACTTGCGGAGGGGATTTGACACACAAGCACAAGGAAACTCTGGTATGTGGGTCTTGCACACGGCAGACTAAAAACATCATGGCATTTGGACACAGACAGAACTGAGCTGGAATCGTCCTCTTGCTTGCTTGCTTGCTTGCTTGCTTGCAGGCTGGAGTGCAGTGGTACAATCATGGCTCACAGCAGCTTCCACGTCCCAGGCTCAAGCAATTCTCCCACTTCAGCCTCCCACATAGCTGGAACTACAGGTGTGCACCACCATGCTGGCATAATTTTTGTATTTTTATAGAGAAAGCGTTTTGCCATGTTGCCCAGGCTGGTCTCAATCTCCTGGGCTCAAGCAATCTGCCCACCTCAGGCTCCTAAAGTGCTGGGATTACAGGCGTGAGCCCCTGAGCTGGAACCTTGGGCCAATCATTTTACTTTTCTGAGCTTTAATTTTCTCATAACTAAAATGAGGACATTACTAGCAACCTTGGAGTTCCTAGGAGAAGCTGTGCTTCCTCCTAGCCTTCAGCCTTGTTCTTCTTATTTCCTTTTGCCTACTTGTCTGGCTACTCCCCTATTGCCTAGGTTTCAGCTTAGATGCTCTTGCCTCATCTAAGAAAGCCACTCTGCCTCCCCAGAATGGGATTAGGTCCACAGGATCACACCAGAGCTTTTGGAATTCCTGTTCTCACAGTACTGCCTTTCATACCAAACGATAATATCCTGTTGTTTGTTCATCTCTTATACTAGACCATAATTCTATTAAGAGAAGGGCAGTGTCTCACATCATGAACACCCCAGCACCAGTGGAGTGACTGGCACCACACAATAAATATTTATGAAATGATTCATTCTTTTATTCATTCACTCAAAAAGTATTTATGCCTATGGTATGCTAGGCCTTGTTCTAGAGTAGACCCTGAAAATACAACAGTAAAGAAAACAAAAAACAATCTGAGCCCTCATGGAGATTATGTTCTACTAGAGAGAAACAGACAATAAACAAGTAAGTAAAATATACAGTTTTTCAGATAGTGATAAACCGTCTCTAATGTCATCCCAAAGCCATCCCCACCCCATCCCTTTTCATAGTTTTGAGCCCAGGGTCAGTCCCCTCCCAGCTTCTAACCCTAACCCATTTTTACCTATACATCTCCAACTTGAAATTCATCAATGCATGAATGCATGCATGCATGAACAATATAATTATTTTGTATATTATTTGAGATAAAGCCAGTAAACCCCTAGAGCAGGCCCGGCCCAATTTTCGTGCTCAATACGTGTTTTTTTTTCCCCTCCCGTATCCCTGTCTGTGATTGAGTCGTTTATGTGTTTAAAACCTCAGTGGATTAGAAATGATGAGATTACATTCCAAGGGAAAAAAATAAAAAAAAAATGATGTGATTGAAAGCTAACACCATGAAAACATAGAAGACATGTTCAAAATTTGCCAAGATTTAGCATTTGAACTTTTTTTGTAAGCTGCTTTTTATACATTATTCACAGAATTCTACAGCACTTCAATGTAACGATTACCAAAGAAATGCTAGTAATCTTATGGGGAAGAAATCCCCAAACTTTATAGGCAGAGGCTGGATCACTGCCATGATTACAACTACAAATCACCACTACTATCATGGTGGGTCAACACGGTGGTGTAGAGTCATTCAGGGTTGTGGGATTAGAGGGGTCTTGGTTCAGATTTCTCCTCTATCACTTACTGGCCCTGAACGATTGCAATTTCCCAATGCTTCTCATTTGATTTATTAATCTACGCTTGAGATGATAAAATCATCTACCTCACAGGAGTCTTATAAGCATGCAATGAGTTAGTAAATACAAAGGCCTTAGAAGAATTCCTGACGTAAAGGGAATGCTCAGTAAGTGGTAGGTGCTATCATTGTGATTCCAGAGTTTAATGCCAGTTCACCGTATTCACTTCATAATACATCTGACGATGGTTCAGCAAACAAACTAGAGCATTTAATTACAAAGAAGTTCTAATTTTCTCACCTCAATATTTCTCACTTTTTATATACAACACTGAACACTTTTCAACTTTTTAAAATAAAAAATTTCATTCACAGTACTTGCATTATCATGATCATAAATGACTTTTAGTATACTTGCTTTTAAACACACCAGGCAGTCTTTTCTTTAATATCATAAAAATTAATCTTAAAAAAAGGTAAAACAAAGAAAAAAATGTTCCTGTCTATTTTTTTTCTAGCAAATAAAATTTATGGCTGCAATTTCTTCTGGGTGTCTGGATTTAATGCATTTGTAATGTTATTCTGTACAAATATAAGTAATCATTGTCAGGGAAACGAATTCTCACCATGCGTATGTCACACAGTCGTGTGTATTTCTACAAACTAAATAACATAAATAACTTTGAGAAGTAACAAACAACTGAAACTGTAAATACATATAAATCAACTAAAAAATAATCAGGCTTACAAAATCTCATCCGAGTTTCCCAGAAAACAACTGTCCTCTTTCATGGCTTCTTTGCTTTTGTACATGAGGGTATCTTGTTTTGCTAGAATTTCCCAGGTATTTTTTGTCAGGGTTTCACACGGTTTGTGAAATTCACAAATATCTTAATTTTCAACAAATGTATTGAAGAAGACTTCATGGGAGGATCATATGAATCAATTCAAGTATCCCTAAAAGGTGAAAGGTCAGTAAGGAATCTTCTCTGATTCCGCCAGTTCTCTCTCGCTTTCCTTTTCTTTTTCTTTTTAGAGTACATTGCATTATTTATTTAGGTACCTTTCATATCTGTGCTACCAAATTGTGAGTTTTTTGAGGGCTCACAGTTTAGCAGATTACCTTGTATACATTAGCATTCAAAAAAGTTACAGAAGTGAGTATATTTTATAGATAGGTAAGTCATGGAGCCCTACTGGGTGTAGTGACTAAGCTGAAATTAAACCTGGTTTAATAACCAGGTTTTAAATGTTGCTTTTTCTCATTTATTCATTCACTTGTTTATCTATTATTTTATTCATTTATTGAACCATTGCATTGAATGCCTACCACGTGCCATATATACTATTCTAGGTATGTGGGATACATTTGTAAACAACAGAAACAAAGCAAAAACCAAAACCAAACAAAACTAAAAACCTTGCCTTCATGGAGCTTACCTTCTTGTGGAGGGAAAATGGCAATAATGAATACACAGCAGATAAGCCTTTTTGATACAGAAACTCTTTTTTTCCCCTCAAAATCACATTGTAACTAGGAAACACATCCATCATCTCTTTAAAGTTTCACAAAAAACCTCACTAAATCTAGCATCATTCCAAGGTATGTAGTTAACAAAGTGGCAGTTACTGGCAATATTTTAGGTGTGGGTGAGGCATTGAACATGACCTTCAATCTAACCTAAATTTGAAACCCTGGTAAGCAGATGCTCAAAGTAATCTTCTTTGTATTGTTTTATTTAATAAACTATTTGTCAGGTACTGCTCTAACTGCTTTGAATACACATTATTACAACAACCCTATGCGGTTGGTACTATAATATCCCCTCTCTGTGGCTAAAGAGACTGAAGCACAGAGAAGTTCAGTATTCTGCCTATGGTCACACAGCTGGTGAGAGCTGGGATTTGAACCAGAATCTATGCCCTTACCTACTAACAGACTAACTTCCCAGGTTCCCACTGGTGCAATAAACACTCAGTCCAAACAACCTCACGAAAGCAAACAAATTGGCAATAGCTAATATAATTTTGTGTGTAAGAAGTGTGTAAGAACTCAGATAACATATCAGATTAGGTGGAAGACACGTTTCTGAGCCCATGTTGTGATTAAGTAAATGACCAATATTGGAAGGACCTGAGTTTATCAGTTAAGGAAAAAGAACCTCTTCTCAGTCAGGGCTCGCAGATGATGGGAGCCAGTAATTTCCCTTTATTTAGATGTTTCTTTATAATTGTTCTAATTGTCACCATTTATGATGTCCTATATGTACTTACCTTGTTTACTGTCTGTATCCCTACACTAGAATATAAGCTTTAGGCAGGCAACATTTTTATCCATTGGGTTCCCATCTGTGTCTCAATGCCAAGAGCAGTGCCTGACACATAGTAAGGCAATCAATCAATATTTATTAAATGAAATAATTTAATGGCAATTTTATAATTTTAACACTACTGCAGTTTGCTCCTGTGATGTCACCACCTACTGATATCTCTTGTTGAAATAAAGAAAGAGGAGAGGAAAGATTATGAAATGTAAAATAATGTACTTTTGCTGCTTTGAGTAATTAGGTGAAAGCTTTGGTATGAGATGAAATGTATAGGACCGGCTAAAAGGAAAGCCTGGCATATTTATCTATGGATTGCACATAACGTGATTACTCCAATTGCAAGTCAAAGAAATGGGAAATTGGCTAATGAGATCAATACTTACTGCTGAAAGTCATAATCGTGGTTTTGGCCAGCTAAACAAAGGTTCTTTGGAAGCTTTTTATTTAACTACATCTTTTCTTCTAGTCATAAATACATTTTATTAGAGATGAATGAATTCATTCTCATGTTATAAACATTCAATCCTTATATAGTGCATTAGTCTGTTCTCATGCTCCTAATAAAGACATACCTGAGACTCAGTAATTTATAAAGGAAAAAGGTTTAACTGATTCACAGTTCAGCATGGCTGGGGAGGCCTCAGGAAACTTACAATCATGGCAGAAGGGGAAGCAAACACATCCTTTTTCACATGGTGGCAGCAAGGAGAAGCGTCAAGCAAAATGGGGAAAAGCGCCTTCTAAAACCATCAGATCTTATGAGAACTCACTCCCTATCATGAGAACAGCAGCATGGGGGTAACCACCCCCATGATTCAATTACCTCCCACTGGGTCCCTCCCACGAAACGTGGGGATTGTAGGAACTACAATTCAAGATGAGATTTGGGTGGGGACACAGCAAAACCATGTCATATAGTATTTGAATTCTTACTCAAAAAAATAAAAATGGTCTCTCCAAAGTTCTTCCTGACCCCATTCCTTCAAACTAGAATATTAACAAAATGTTTTACCTATCAGAAAGATGTGTTGTTATGGGCTCTTGAAGAGTTTTTATGTAGGCTGTTATGTGATGATAATGTTGTCCTGCAGGTAAGCATAACAATAATAATAATAATGATATTTTAAATGATGAAAACAACACTTAGCAGTGATCACTTCGACACAGTGCCATACTGTTTTTTAATTTCTCTGGAAGGTAAAGACATGAATTATATTTGCTTGAAAATATCTTGTTATAAGTAAGGGAATTTAAACTCTAGAATGGCTGTGTATATGGGTAAAATATAAATTAAAAATGAATGCATATATAATTAAACACTTACACAGATCTGAACCCCTGAAATAAATCAGGAAGCCCTAATGAGACTCAGTCAGGTTGTTTTCTACACAATCTTTTTTTTTTCCTATATGCCAAATAGCTCTTTTACTTTTTTTTTTCCTATATGCCAAATAGCTCCTTTACTTTTTTTTTTTTTTTTTAAACGGAAGAGACATTGGAGGCACACAGCATGCATGGATTTTCCTTGGGCAGAAGGCTGTAGAGAAGTCTAGGAAGCTGCCAGAAGAAAGTGAGCCACGTTTCATAAACTGGATATGGTAAAAATGCATTCTTTGTGGTTTATAACTATTAGGTTGTTGAAAAAGTAATTGTGGTTTCTGCCATAACTATTAATGGCAAAAACCATAACTATTAATGGCAAAAACCACAATTACTATTTCACCAGCCTAATACTATTGACATGGAACTTAAGTAACCACTAGAGTAAGCTCTACAGTCAAATAGTCTCAGGATGTAAAATCCAGGCTTTAAAGTGACCTAGGAGCTGAAAACAGGTAGAAGGATATATATAGAGCACTCACCCAGTTGCGATTAGCCTTCATATGCCAGATTAGACTCTCTACTTCTTTCCTGTGAATAGCCCTGTCACACCCCTGTCATATTTTTGTATGGAATCCTGCTTTAAAATAATAACTATTACTACTATTAGAAATGAAGTACAGGAGAATCATTTCCAGGTTCCAGCAAATGCACCACTTATTTTATATTAAACAACATTTGATTTAAAAAACCTCCCCTGCATAATAAAAGAACTTTAATAACCCCTTGGAGTTCCCTGAGATGAGTTTTTTGAAGTAAAATTTGCATTGCACAGATCTTAAACGTAAAATGTGTTGAGTTTTGATAAATGTATACACTTCGTAACCGCCACTACAATTGAAACAGAACAGTTCCATCATTCCTGAAAATTCCCTTATGTCCCTGTGCAATCAATGCCTACCTCCTTCCATAAGCAGCCATTGCTCTGATTTCTATCACCATAAATTAGTTTTCTCTCTTTTTGAACTTCATATTAATGGAATAATACAGTATTTAGTGTGTGTCTGCCTTCTTTTGCTTAATGATTTTAGATTCATCCACGTGGTTGCAGGTATCAATATTTACCTCTTTTATTGCTGTGTTGTGTTCCATTTTATGAAAATAGCACAGTTTGTTTATCCTCTCCCACTGATGAAAATTTCATTATTTCCACTTTGATATTGTGAATAAAGCTACTATGAGCATTCTTGTAGAGGTGTTTTCTGTGTATCTGTGTGTCTGTGTGAATGTGTGTGTGTTGTTGTCAAATATTTAGAAGTGGATTTACTGGATGATAGATGTATGTTAAAACCCTTTTTTTTTTTTTTTTTGAGATAGAGTCTTGTTCTGTTGCCCAGGCTGGAGTGCAATGGTATGATCACTTCTCACTGCAACCTCCGCCTCCCAGGTTCCAGCGATTCTCCTGTCTCAGCCTCCAGAGCAGCTGGAATTACAGGCACACACCACCACGTCTGGCTAATTTTTACATTATTAGTAGAGACAGGGTTTCACCATGTTGGCCAGGCTGGTCTTGAACTCCTGACCTCAGGTGATCCACCCACCTTGGCCTCCCAAAGTGCTGGGATTACAGATGTGAGCCACTGCACCCAGCTTGTTTAACTTTATAAGAAACTGCCAAACTTTTTTTCCCATTATATCTGTACCACCAATGCATGACGGTTCCAGTTTCTTAATATTCTCACCTATAGTTGGTGTTGTTAATCTTTTTAAGTTTAGCCATTCTAGTTAGTGTGAAATGATGACATATTGTGGATTTATTTAGCATTTCCCTAATATCCAATGATGTTGACCACTTTTATACATGTTTATCATTATTTGTATATCTTTGGTGAAGCATGTGCTCAAGTATTTTTCAACTGTTTAATTAGATGTTTTGTGTATTTTTTGTTGCTTTTTTTTTTAGAGCTTATTACATATTCTGATATACTTATTCACTTCTTTTTTTGAGACAGGGTCTCACTCTTTTGCCCAGGCTGGAATGCAGTGGTGCCATCTCGCTCACTGCAGCCTCTGCCTCTGAGGCTCATGTGATTCTCCTGCCTCAGTCACCCAAATAGCTGGGAATACAGGTGTGTGCCATCACACCTGGGTAATTTTTGTATTTTTAGTAGATATGGGGTTTCCCCATGTTGCCCAGGCAGGTCTTGAACTCCTGAGCTCAAGCAATCTGCCCACCTCCACCTCCCTAAGTGCTGGGATTGCAGGCATGAGCCACCGTGCCCGGCCTACTTATTCATTTATTAATGCCCATTATCTTTTGATGAGAAGTTCTCAATTTTGGTAAAGTCCAATTTGTCAATTTTTTCTTTTACATTTAGAGCTTTTGGTATCTTTTCTTAAAGAAAATTTTGCTTAGCCAGTTTAGTAAGGAGATTGACCTATATTTGCTTCTAGATGTTTTTTAGTTTTAGCTTTTATTTTTGGGTCCACCCAATATTAATTTGTATGTGAGGGATGAAGTAGGTGGAAAAGTTTAGTTTTTCATTGTGTATCCAGTTGTTTCCACGTCATGTGTAGGTAGGACTTTCTTTCCATATTGAATTGCCTTGGCACTTTGGTAAAAAAATCAATTGACCTTTTATGTATCCATTCTCTGCCTATCCTTACCACACTGCCATACTGTCCTGATTATTTTGGCTTCATAGAAGTCTTGATATCAGGTAGTATGGATTTTCCAATTTTGTTCTTCAAGATGTTTTAAACTATTTTAGGACCTTTGATTCTCAATATAAATTTTAGAATAAATTCATCAATTTATTGCCTATTGCCAAAAATGCCTGTTGCAGTTTCAATCAAAATTGCACCAAATCTATGGATAAATTTTGGGAGAAATGACATCTTAAGAATATTGACTTTCTAATCCAGGGGCATGGTATATCTCTTCATTTATTTAGATCATCTATTTATCCTATCAGAAATGTTTTATAGTTTTCAGTGTACATGTATTCACATCTTTTGTTAAATTTATTCTTAGCTACTTTTTATTTAAAATAGTTCATGTTATAATTATTTGCTGCTACTGTATAAATATACAATTGATCATTATATGCTGCTCTTGAATCCCAAGGCCTTGCTAAATTTATTTGTTCTAGTAGTTGTTTTGTACATTGCTTAGGATTTTCGAAATAAACAACCATCTCATCTGTAAATATAAACAGCTTTTACTTTTTATTTTCCCTTCTCTTATTCCTCCTTATATTTCCACATGTATAAAATATATGTGAATTTTCTTTTTTTTAAATTTTGAGACAGTGTCTCACTCTGACACCAGGCTAAATTGCAGTGGCGTGATCATAACTCACTGCAACCTTGAAGCCCCAGACTCAAGCAATTCTCCCACCTCAGCCTCTTGAGTAGCTGGGGGCTACAGGTATGTGTGCCACAATGCCCAGCTAATTTTTTTAGTTTTTTTTTTTTTTTTTTGGTACAGACAGGATATCACTATGTTGTCCAGGCTGATCTTGAACTCCTGGCCTCAAGTGATGCTCTCACCTTGGCCTTGCAAAGTGCTGGCACTACAGGCATGAGCGCTGTGCCCAGACTGTTTCTTTTTCTTGACATGTTGCATGGACTAGGATTTTCAATACTGTGTTGAATAGAAGTCAGGAGAGTATGCATCATTGCCTATCCTTGTTACCTTGTATATAATGTATCATTTCCTTTGGCTGCTTTCAGAATTTTGTGTTTGACATCTAGCAATCTTACTGTGATGTGCTTGAGAGAGACTGTGTGTTTGATTTCTCAGAATTGGTTGTCTTAAGATTTGTTGATGGGTAAGTTTAGGTTTTTCATAAATTTAGAGATTTGGGGGGCTACTATTTCTTCAGATACTTTTTCTGCTCCACTGAAGTTGTTTGTTAACTCTACTTTTCATAACGTATAATTTCTGATGATCTGAAATCAAATTAATAGATCTTGTTTTCTGTTTCAATCTGTGAAGCCTAGCCAGAGGATTTTACAATTTCTGTTGTTATAGTTTTCACTTTTAAAATTTCTATTTGGTTCTTTTTGAAAGTTTTCATTTCTCTTCTGGTATTCCTCATTGTTCACTCATTATTACCACCTTTTCCATTACATTCTTAAATATATTTATAGAAGCTATTTAAAAGTCTTTGTCTGCTAGTCTCCAAATCCATGGCATCTCATTGACAGTTTCTAGTCAGTTTTTTATCTTCATTCTTGGTCACGTCTGTTTCTTCACATGTCTAGTATCTTGATGATATACTGACACAATTTCCATGTTACTATATTCAATTGTAGTATAATTATATGTAATATGTATTGAGTTGCATATTATTCATATTATTAATCAAATAGTAAATTACATATTGTAGAGGCTTTGGATTCTTTTTTCTTCCTCTGTGCGGTGTAGATCTTTGTTCTAGCAGGCAGTTGAATTATTGGTTGACTGTCCTGACGTTGTGGAAGATTGTTTTCTCCTTTGGTTAGGGCAAGTCTGTTTCACTTTTACATTTATTTTTAGGATGAATGTTTAGTCTTGGGATATAGAATTGATTCCTAAGGTTTGGCTTTTTGAAATTTCAATGGAAAATTTTATGTTTACCAAGGCCCTCTAACATGACTAAATTTAAGTTCCAAACTCTCTTCTAAGTGCCGTGCAGTACTTGAACTACTGAGCTTTTTAAATCATTCACCTGCCACTTTTTGCTGGGCTCCTGGGATTCTCCATGTATGTTCAGGGGTCAGCTAAAATTCTTAGGGGATTTTTTATGCAAATATGTGCACTCTACATTCTGTGGTCACCTCCCCGAGATGGTCATCCTCAATTTCCAGTCACTGTGACATGTCAAACCAGTATGAATGCAAACATATTTAAGTTCTCATCATCCAGTGCTACCCAGACAAGGGGGTAGCCTTATGGAAAAAGTGGAATAAATGTTAGTCCGATTCAATGTGGTCCCATTATCCAGGGTCAAACCTCCTCCAGTTTCTGTGTGTTTTTGGTCACTCTGTAGTAACTTTGAATAATTGTTGTTTATATTCTGCTAAGAGTTATACTTGCTATTACATTACACGATTTGTTCAATCCAATCTACGTCACCATTCGTGAACCCAGAAGCCTTCCATATTTGTTTGTAATAAAAATGATGTTTTCCCTGTTTATAAACGTATTGTTAACTCTGTAGATAATATTTTAAAAATTTCAAATATACTATGAAAAACAAAAATTACCCATAATTTGACTGTCTGAACAACCATAGTTAAATATTTGAAGTCTCTGCCTCGAAAGCTTTGCCCATGCCTAAGTAAGTAATGTAATGTCCTATGCTTTACCTCTAGCAGGGCTGTAGGCACTTGAACCACTTTTCTCTGCAGGCGCCTGCAGACAGAGCTGCTCTATCAAGAAACTTGGAAGAAGGTTCAGAAGCATTAGGTTTTGATTGTTTCATTTAGTTTGGCACAGTCATAAACAGAAATAGAAATAAGAAATTGAAATGTTATGACAGTAGTCAGAAAGAGTTTGTAAAATAGATATTTACACACTGATTTCTCCTTTGATGATGGATTATTCAGAAGTGTGTTGTTTAATTTCCAACTAGTTGAGTGAAGTTTCAAAGATATTTCTGTAATTGATTGTTAAATCAATAATTCCCTTGTCACAGAATATACATTGTATGATGGAATCCTTTTAAATTTGCTGAGACTTGTTCTGTCTTGTCCAAAATATGACCTATCTTAGTAAAATTCCAGTTTCATGTGCAGTTACAAATAATGCATATTCTGTTTTGGGAAAGAATGTTTATACATGTTCCTTAGGTCAATTTAATTGAAGTCTTGTTTAAGTCTTACATACTTGATGATTCTCTACTTGTTTTATCAATGATTAAGTAACAACTGCTGAAATTTCTTTTTTTCTTTTTTCTTTTTTTTTTTTTTTTTTTTTTTTGAGACGGAGTCTCTCTGTTGTCGCCCAGGCTGGAGTTCAGCGGCGCAATCTCGGCTCACTGCAAACTCCGCCTCCCAGGTTCAAATGATTCTCCTGCTTCAGCCTTCTGAATAGCTAGGATTACAGGCACCTGCCACCACACCTGGCTAATTTTTGTACTTTTAGTAGAGACCGGGTTTCACCATTTTGGCCCGACTGGTCTCGAACTCCTGATGTCAGGTGATCCACCCGCCTTGGCCTCCCAAAGTGCTGGGATTACAGGCGTGAGCCACTGCACTCAGCCAACTGCTGAAATTTCTAATTATAATTGTGAATTTCTGCTACATGTATTTTGAAGCTCTGTTATTAGGTGCATATAAACACGTGGATTGTTACATCCTCTTGATGATTGATCCATTTATCATTAAAAAATAAACCTCTTATACTTAGTGATACTCTTTCTCCTAAAATCTACTGCATCTGATATTTAATATAGCTACACAGTTTATATTTAATATAGTTTATATTTAATATTATATATTTAATATGTGTCATATTTACTAAACAGTAAATATTAATATTTAATAAATAGTTTATATTTAATATAGCTACTCGTCCAAAATATGGCCTTTCTTAGTAAAAGTTCCAGTTCTGTATGCACTTACAAAGAATGTATATTCTGTTTTTGGGAAGAATGTTTTATGTATGTTCCTTAGGTCAATTTAGTTGAAGTCTTGTTTAAGTCTTCTATATACTTGATGATTCTCTGTCTACTTGTTTTATCACTAATTAAGTAACAACTGCTGAAATTTCTAATTATAATTGTAAGTTTCTGCCTTGTGTATTTTGAAGCTCTGTTATTAGGTGCATATAAACATGTAGGATTGTGATGTCCTCCTGATGACTGATCCATTTATCATTAAAAATAAATTATATTTTATGTACTGTTATATAAATATAAAAATATTGTTTTATATTTATCCTTGGTGATATTCTTTCTCCTAAAATCTACTGCATTTGATATTTAATATAGCTATACAGTTTCCTTTTGAATAGTGTTAGCATGGTAGACCTTTTTCTATCTTTTTACTTGTAATATGTTTGTATCTTTAAATTTGAAGTATGCACCACACACATGCATGCCTCCCCGTATAGGGATTGTTGATTCTAACACTCCCTGCTTTTTAACTGGGATGTCTAAACTGTTTACATTTAATGTGATTTTAAAAATATATTGTTGGGTTTAAATCTATCCTCTTGCTATTTTTTCTACTTGTTCCAATTGCTTTTTGCTCCTTTTTTACTTTCTGACTTCTTTTGGATTTTTATTTTGTTATTACATTATACGTGTTTGTTGGCTTATTAGCTGTATTTATTTTTAAGTGGTGGTGTTAGGGCTTACAGTATTTAACTTAGCACAACCTATCTACTATGTCTTTCTTGATACAAATATGTTTTTCTTTACTTTCTTGACTCTATGGGATATAGTTATAAAAGCTGTTTTAATGTCCTAATACACTAATTCTATCTTCTGTGTTATTTTTGGATTGTTTTAAATGTATTTTTTCTCATTACAGGTCATATTTCCCTGCTTTCTTCCACAACTGTTAATTTTTATTGAATGTCATACCTTGTGAAGTTTACCTTGTTGAATATGGCATATACGTATGCATATACACAGTCATCTCTTGGTATCCAAGGGGGATTGGTTCCAGAACTCTCCCATGGGTACCAAAATCTGAGGATGCTCAAGCCCCTTATATAAAATAGTGTAGTATTTGCACATAACCGAGGCACATCCTTTTTTTTTTTACTCTAAATCATCTCTAGATGACTTATAAAACCTAATGCAATGTAAATGCCCTGTAAATAGTTGTTATGCTACATTGTATATAAATAGTTGTATGCTGTATTATATACAAAGTAATACAAATTTTAAAATTTGTATCTTTTTATTGTTGTACTGCTATTTTTATTTTAAATTTTTCAATATTTTTGGTCTGTAGTTGGTTGAAACCACGGATGCAGAATGCACAGACATAGAGGTCTCGGTGTATATACATACTTACCTATGTACGAGCTTTGTTCTTGGGCATATTTAGTTACCTGGAAACATTTTGATTCAATCAAGGCTTGCATTTAAGATTAGTTAACTGCACTGGAGCAGACTTTATTCTAGAGCTGATTGTTTTTCCTGACTTTGCCTGGCTCAATACCCATCGAAGCACTCTATCTGATTCCCTATATATTATGACACATTCCTATTTTGCCTGGTGGAAACACCGACTATTCCAAGTCTTGCGTGAGCTCTGAGGAAAGTTCTGCGTGACCTTTTGAGTGGTTCATTCTCCAACCTTAAGAAGTTTCCCAACATATAGATGCTGGTTATACTAAGCAGAAGATGGGAGGGGCCTTCTCTGTATCTCCAGTGCTCTCTTTGTATTCACTTCTTTCTTTACTAATACCATGCCCTGTGAACTCTCGACACTTGGCCTGCCCTGAACTCTCAACTTCATCTTCTTAGCTCAGCAATTCCTCTCAGTTTTGACTGGGTTCCCTCTCCCTGTGCTAAAGTCTGGAAACCGATTCCTGGAAATAAACTGGGACAATCCCAGGGTTCATCTCATTTGTTTCCCCTCTCTCAGGCATCCCTGTCCTACATTGCTTGCTCCCCAATGTCTGAAAATCATTATTTCTTATATTTTCACCAGGTTATTAGTTGTTTTTATTGGGAAGGTAAACCTGGGCCCTGTTATCCCAATTTGGCCTGAAGCAGAAGTTCCCATTTACTTATGATGATGCCAAATTAAGTTAAGGTGCCATGGGGAAAAAATAAGTAGACTAATGGGCCGTTCTATGGAGCCTCTTCTCAGCCACCTTTTATAACCTGGCTTCTTTTTCTTTTTCCATTTTGTAAGCAACATATAAAACATGGGATAGTGGGGCTAGGTAAGGTGCAGATTCTGGTGAACAGAATTGGGACAGTACTGCCGGATGTATATCGTGACAGAGGACAGAATCTGGAAGGAAGACAAGTAAAAGATGGGCCAACCACAGGGAATTTGGAGCCTTGGTTCTAGGAATGAGTTTCAGGTAAACCAGAAGGCTGGGTGGTCAGTGTGCCACCAAGCAGCCAGGTATGGGAGTGTTTGTTTGTGTCCCCATGCTACTCTCCAACCCAAGGGATTTTGAACACCATTTTTCAGTCATAGTAGGTGCGCTCCTCCCTCACTCCTAAAAAGCTCCGTCCCTATAATTACATCATATGTAACCTAGCTCACATAAGACCACTTGAAAGAAAGAATCAGGCCAGGCATGGTGGCTCATGCCTGTAATCCCAGCACTTTGGGAGGCCAAGGCGTGCAGATCACTTGAGGTCAGGAGTTCGAGACCAGCCTGCCTAACACGGCGAAAACCTGTCTCTACTAAAAATACAAAAATTAGGCATCATGGCAGGTGCCTATGGTCCTAGCTACTCATGTGACTGAGGAAGGAGAATCACTTGAACCCGGGAGGTGGAGGTTGCAGTAAGCTGAGATGACACCACTGCACTCCAGTCTGGGTGACAAAGAGAAACACTGTCAAAAAAAAAGAATGAAAGGAGACTTCAACTGTATTTGTATTATCATGGCCCTAAACAACATGAGTGCTTTCTGTGTGTATTAGTTTCCTGGGGCTGCCATAACAAATTATCACAAACTGTGTTGCCTGAAACAACAGAAATGTATTATCTCACAGTTCTGGAGGCCTAAAGTCTGAAATCCAGGTGTCTGCAGGACCACGCTGCCTCTGAAAGCTCCAGGGAAGAATCCTTCCTTGCTTCTTCCCAGGAGCTGGTGGTTGCTGGGAATCCCTGGTGTTCTTTGGCTTTACAGGCGTCACTCTAATCTCAGCCTCTAGCATTACACAGCCTTCTTCTCTGTGTGTATCCTCTGTGTCTTTGTGTCTGAATCTCCCTTTGCTTCCTTTTATAAAGACACCAGTGATTGAACTTAGAACCCACGCTAATCCACTACGACTTCATCACAACCTAATTACATTTGCAAGAGCGCAAATGAGGTCACATTCACAAGTACTGGGGCTGGAACCTAGACATATCTCTTGTTGGGGCCGGGGGGTAATGTAATATAACCCAGTACAGGTAGTATGCAAGATATCTTTCTTTGACCCTCAATTCTACACTCCACCTTTCCCTACCATTCTCTCAGTCCCTGGAGGCTGACCTTTATGGGTGACATCATGGGTCCCCATGACCTCTGGCTTCTAGCTGTGTTTAGTGAATGAGGACCCCAGGAGCTGACTGGAATAACTGAGAAGACTGTAGCCAGATAATTTACTGACCTGCTTCCCTCCTGTGAGGTGGCTCCCAGTGTTGTTGTGTGCTTTAACAGAAGGTCCTCAGGCTGCCTGCTGTATTTTTACTGTTTCCTGGTTCTAGAAGATTCTTCCTCTTGCCATTTGGACAGGGATTGGGGATACATCATGGCTCCTATTAGGTCCTGCAATCTACCTTGCAGTCTCTTTTGTAATCAGGACCTTTATTATCAAACCATCTAGATTATCATAATGTGTATGTGCCATCTGTTTTCTGTTGGGACCCTGACATTTATCCACCATTAGGTGGGCTTCAGTTATTCTAGAAAAGTGATTTTAAAAAATGTTTGAAACTCATAGCACCAAAAGAAAAATTAATTATTTTAATGAAAGCCTTTATAGATAATACTATACACTGCTTCTTAAATATATGCAGGTGCAAATAGTATATAATTAATTATACAGGAACTTTATTATAAACATTAATTATATGATTTTCTGTGTACCTTTTATTTGTTTTATCAATACCACAGATACTGTCTCTGAAGTCTCACTTCCCTTGCTGTTATATGCACTTCCAAGTGTTTCATGTTTTTGTTTTTAACCTGACTCCCAGTTTGTTGCTAATATACTTTGGTCTGAGAGATACAATCATCTAGTTTATAAAATTTTTGGTTACACTGCATATTAAATTGAGAATTTCAGGTGAAATCAGAGCCGATAAATGTCGAGTGAGTACAGACAAAATACATTTCTTTAAAGAAGATGTTTGCTAGCAGCTCTTCAAAATGCTTAGATGTGTTTTTCTCGCAGTGATCTGAGGTGGGCAGAAGTCTGATATTTGGATAAACATGTCCATTCTTATTGACCTGAAGTCAGTTTAATAATTACAAATAAGCCCATCGTCTGTAAGTGCTTCCTTATCCATATTTTGCCTTTCTCAGCTTTCGGACTGGCCAAGAATTCCACACACGGAAGGTGCCATCACTTTCCTAGGCTTTTCAATCATTTATTTATAGAACATAGACTGTACTTATGTACATCACTCATTATTTATAGAACATAGACTGTACTTATCTTAAATAGAAATGCACCCAATGTGATGGAGGTAATATGAACAGCTTGTAGGTTTTTGGAGTCATCAACCCCACCCTCAGTATCCATGACAGATTTTATCCATGGAGGCTAGATGAATTTATTTGCATTTGTTTTTAGTGTTTTATGCTACAGAACTTTAAAAAAATATACTTTGGCTAGGCGCGGTGGCTCATGCCTGTAATCCCAGCACTGTGGGAGGCCTAGGTGGGCGGATCACGAGGTCAGGAGATCGAGACCATCCTGGCTAACATGGTGAGACTCCGTCTCTACTAAAAATACAAAAAATTAGCCGGGTGTGGTGGCGGGTGCCTGTAGTCCCAGCTACTCAGGAGGCTGAGGCAGGAGAATGGCGTGAACCCGGGAGACAGAGCTTGCAGTGAGCCGAAATTGTGCCACTGCACTCCAGCCTGGGTGACAGAGCGAGACTCCGTCTCAAAAAAAAAATATATATATATATATATACATATATATATATATACATATATATATATATATATATATATATATATATACTTTAAAGACCACTTAATATATTTTTCTTTATTTCTTCTAAAAAAAAAAAAGAAAAGAAAGAAAATGAGATACATGTGCAGAATGTGCAGATTTGTTACATAGGTATACGTGTGCCATGGTGGTTTACTGAACCTATTGGCCCATTCTCTAAGCTCCCTCCCCTCACCCCTCACCCCCCAACAGGCCCTAGTGTGTGTTGTTCCCCTCTCCTGTCCGTGTGTTCTCAATGTTCAACTCCCAAGTGAGAACATATGGTGTTTGGTTTTCTGTTCCTGTGTTAGTTTGGTGAAGATGATGGCTTCCAGCTTCATCCATGTCCCTGCAAAGGACATGATCTCATTCTTTTTGATGGCTGCATAGTATTCCACGGTGTACATGTACCACATTTTACTTATCCAGTCTATCACTGATAGGCGTTTGGGTTGGTTCCATGTCTTTGCTATTGTAAACAGTGCTGTAGTAAACATATGCAGCATCTGTTTTTATAGTAGAATGATTTATAGTTCTTTGAGTGCATATCCAGGAATGGGATTGTTGAGTCAAATGGTATTTCCGGTTCTAGATCCTTGAAGAATCACTATACTGTCTTCAATAATGGTTGAACTAATTTACATTCCTACCAACAGTGTAAAAGTGTTTCTTTTTCTCCACAGCCTCACCAGCATCTATTGTTTCCTGACTCTTTAATAATCGCCATTCTGACTGGCATGAGATGGTATCTCACTGTGGTTTTGATTTGCATTTCTCTGATGATCAGTGATGTTGAGCTTTTTTTTATATGTTTGTTGGTTGTGTAAATGTCTTCTTTTGAGAAGTGTCAGTTCATATCCTTTGCCCTCTTTTTGATGGGATTTTTTTTTCTTTTAAATATGTTTAAGTTCCTTGTAAATTCTGGATATTAGACCTTTGTTAGATGGGTAGATTGCAAAACTTTTCTCCCATTCTGTAGGGTGCCTGCTCACTTGGATGATAGTTTCTTTTGCTGTGCAGAGCTCTTAGTTTAATTAGATCCCATTTGTGAATTTTGGCTTTTGTTGCAATTAACAGAAAATCATGTAATTTTAGAACTGGAAAAAAACTTAGTGATCATTAAAAGTAAGTGCAATGATTTTACAATAGAAGAAATAAAGGCTTGGAGAGGTAGGAGCCCTGCTCTAGGAGCAGTGACTGGTCACCTAGCCAGGAGCACGTCCTGGGTCTCTGGAACCCTAGTCCAAAGCAGTACAGTCATCTCAGAAACTAACGCACCCTTCCGGTAAAGATGGCATTGTCCTCTGAAGTTTTTCAAAAAATATTATTTGGTCTGAAACTCTATTCATTTCTCTCTTCAACTCTCCCTGCAGAATGTGATTACACAGCTTGCAGGGAAGACGTAAAGCTGGGATGCAAGCGAGCAGACCCTAGCTCCACAACGCCTAGCAGATAATAAGCTGATTTTATTATATGAGAAGTAAAACTGCCAAAATAATAGCAATCAGCAGCAATGTTGTGATGCTAAGGCAAAGCCTCTACAGCTTTTGTGCTATTATAAACTGCCCATAGTTCTAGCTAATCAACCAATCGTTCATACCAGGTTCTTATGGTATTCAATTTACCTGTCATAGCAACAACCTAAAAACAAGGGTGGTCCTTACATATGGTTCCAATTTCATATTTATCAATTCTTCTAAGCACCTTTATTCTTATTTATTTTTGCTTCATTATTATCCCAAGTAGGAATTTAAGGCCAGGATGCTCTAAAGAAACTCACACAGTTGTGCAACCAGGTCTTTTATATCTGCCAACTAGAAAGTAATGATTAATATAATCTATTTGGCTACTTTGAAAAGAGATAACATCTCAGGACTTCAGAACTCATGTTTTTTAATGTAAAAACAAATAGTAAATGTCAGTGGTATGGGGTAAGATGATGCTAAAATATTACTATCTAAAAATCATAAAGAAAATGCTCCATGAGAATAGGGTTTAACAGCCTCTGGGAAAGTTTATATGTTAAATTTTTACCAGTTATTCAACACTCCCACACACACATTTCTTCAAAGTTGTGTATTAGGCCCAGAGTTGAGGATACATTATATTGCTCAAGTGGCTTTTAACAGTGAATGTTTTCACAAATCTCTAAAGTTGCACTTTTTTTTTTTTAAGACTAGAAGATTCTGGTTCAATTTGTACATTTTGCTGGGCACATATGGGACCATCAACAAATAGTTGATGAATGAATGAAAATTGTATTAAATAAGCGAGAGCTAAGCTATTTTCATCAATTACATTTTTGGACCCTGCAGGCGACAGTCCTGACTTTTCTCACAAGCTGTGATGAATATCAACCCCTTTCTCCACCAAATGCCTTCTTTGCCCTTCTCCATGTCACCTTTGTCCCAGGAGGTCAACTTCAGGACTGCACCAAGGACTCACTTGCCCCTCAGCTTCTGGTTACCTTCAGCCAAGAGGAGGCACCAGCAGAGATGGAAGTTGGAGGAGGGAGAAGCCCAGGTGTGCATTCTTCTGCTCTCTCCCTGCCCTCCCTGCCGGGCTGCTCTGGTTGTTTCATTTACCAACTGCCACAGCTCTTGCCAGCTGGTCTTTTCTGGAGTCTGGTAACTGGCCCCATTTTTTGTCCCTTTAGACAGGGGGGTAGTGACAGCTCTTGTATCCTCCAGCCCTGGAGGACTGCATTATCCTTTACTGTCCAAGCCTTTGCAAACAATCCCTTTAGTAAATGCTCCTTAATTTCCCAGCTTGAGTAAACCATCTGTTTCCTGCCAGGACTCTTACTGATACACAAAAGTTTTAAGAAACTGCATATCTGCCATATATTAAAGTAAAATACGAGAAGATGAAACTAACCCCACCCATGAGAAAGGAAAGTGGGGCTCGTTTGTGATAGGTAACCAGACACTTTTGGGTCAATCTGATGAGGTTTCCTATAGCTGACCAGGGATAATCCATCCCCCTATCATGACCATGTGGACATTTGTGTCAGGCATTGGGAGGGTGCAGGAAGATTATTAGACATAATTCCTATTTCAAGGAGTTTCCAGTCTAGTTGGTGGATAAAGCTCACACTATGATCAGTGCAAGACAGGGTGTAGGTAAATGTTAGATGGGATGGCCTTGACACAGTGACTCTTCTTTCTCCAGGTCAATTTAGGTACAGGGGTGAAGGGCAAGGGCATAGGTGAGTGGAGGACACACCAAAGTCCCCAGATTCTAGATTCAAATTTTGGCTTTGCTGTTTCCTGGTTATGCGATCAAGGACAAGTCACTCTTTCCCTCTGGGGCTCAGTTTGTTTATCCATGAAATGGACAAGCTAATGCTGATACCTATCACTCAGAATTATTGTAGGAATTATACAAGAACATCCATGTAATGAATTTAACATAATGTTTGACCCCTAGGAAGAACCCAATAAATGCTAGTTGTTGTTATAAGTAAGACATGGTAGAAGCAGGCGGGGTGAGTTAGCTTGCAGCCTAGAAGTAGGAACTATAGAAAATTATAGAAAAGTATTTAATAGAATATTCTGTTGCTACATTCAATATGATGATAGTTCCACCAGACTTAAGATATGCATGTATTCTTTAATTGCAAAAAAGACAATGAACTAGAACTCCTGTATAATTGGGTGTATCTTCAGGAGACCAAGGGGAGGCACACGTGAGGAAGGACAGGCTCAATACCAAAGGGCCATCTAAGAAGGTGAAACATACAACAAGGTCACATGATTGTTAAGGGCAGGAAATCCAGGCCTCACCCTCAGGAGTCCATGTTCCCACTGAGTTAACTTATGTAAATCAGAGCTCGAGTGCAATGAAGGAAAAGAGAATGTCCTCCAATGTCTTTTTCCTGATGAATCACAGATACACTGGAAAAGTCTATTTCACTGACTCTGATTTCTGTGCAAATTGTAAATAACTCACTTCTCATATTGCCCTTTCCAAGCAAGATGCAGAAATTGTAATTTCTGAAAGGCCCTGCCAATTATCTTGCTAGTATATCTGTGTGCATCTTGACTGTAAGATGCAAACCAGTTTTAGAAACATTCGAATGTGAAAAAATGTCTGCTGCCGAGTTGAGAGCAAATAATACAGGATGTAGAACAAATGTGGACATAGCTCTTTGGAAGCACCACCACCCTTCATGAGGACTTTCGACAATTTTTTAGCTTGCATATTTAGATAATAACTATATAAGATGACATAGAAACAGATGTTATAGAAGGTTGACATTTTTCTGTATATATATTTAAAGATCCTGGGGTTGATTTTTTAAATCCCTTATTTCAGAAACATAAATAAATCAATAAGAAAAGCACCAAATAACCCCATTTAAAAGTGGGTGAAGGATATGAACAAACACTTCTCAAAAGAAGACAAACTAGTGACCGAGAAAGATATGAAAAAAATGCTCAACATCAGTCATCATCAGAACAATGCAAATTAAAACCACAATGAGATATCATCTCACACCAGTCAGAATGGCTATTAGCAAAAAAGTCAAAAAATAACAGATGCCAGCAAAGTTGTAGAAAAAGGAGAATGCTTATACACTATTAGTGGGATTATAAATTAGTTCAGCCCCTGTGGAAATCAGCTCAGAGATTTCCCAAAAAAAGAGGAATGCTTATACACTATCAGTGGGAATATAAATTAGTTCAGCCGTTGTGGAAATCAGCTCCGAGATTTCCCAAAGAACTTAAAACAGAACTACCATCTGACCCAGCAACCCCATCACTGGGTATATATCCAAAGGAAAATAAATTATTCCACCAAAAAGACACCTACATTCATACGTTTATTGCAGCACTACTGACAATAGCAAAGAGATGTAAGCAACTTAGGTGCCCATCCACTGTGGATTGAATAAAGAAAATATACCTCATGGATACTACGCAGCCACAAAAAAAAGAATGAAATCACGTCCTTTGCAGCAACATGGACGCAGCTGGAGGCCATTATCTTAAGCAAATTAACACAGGAACAGAAAACCAAATACTACATGTTCTCACTTACAAGTGGGAGCTGAACACTGGGTACACGTGGACTTAAAGATGGGAAAATAAACACTGGGGACTCCAAAAGTGAGGAAGGAGGGAAGTGAGCAAGTATTGAAAAACTACCTATTGGGTACTATGCTCACTATTGGGTTCAGCAGAAGCCCAAACCTCAGCATCACACAATATCTCCATGCAGCAAACCTGCACATGTGCCCCCTTAGTCTAAAATAAAAAAAAATAAAAAATAAAATAAAATCCATTATTTCAGTGAGTTCATATTTTTTTCTTTCTAACTGATGCAGACTTTGTGGTGGTTAGCCATGAAGAATTGCATGAATAATTGACAATAAATGAGAGATTTTGTGTTTTACAATTTACTTCATTTTATTTCTTAGCATAGCAATATTAAAATAATAATAATAAACATTCCATCTCCTTTTCTTGGCTTACAAGGCCCTACCTGATTTGGCCTCTGCATAACCACCTCATCTTGTACCTCTTCTTTCTGCCTTGCCTGGCACACTGATCTTCTTTCTGGTCCTCTATCATGCCAAGCTTGTGTACGCTGGAACCTCTGCCCTTACAGTTCGTTGTCTAGACCTTTGCATAGTTGACTTGTCATTCAGACCTCAACTTATAGGTCATCTCCTCAGACAGAGGGGCCTTCTGAGACCTCTCCAGGTAAGATGGCCACAGAGTGGCTATCACCTTGCCCTTTTTAAATTTTCAATGTGGAAGTGAACAAAACAAAATCTGGAACCATATTGCCTGTGTTCAAGGTCTTTACTACTTATGTGAACCCTTGAGCTATAAGTGTCTCAGTTTCCTTGTCTGTAAAATGCGGATAATAATGGTATCTACCTCATGAGGTTGTTGGGGGCATGACACGTAGTAAGCACTATGTAATTGTATGAGTGTAATTCCTTGCTCATTGACCGTTTTCCATCTTCAAAGACTTTAAGTTACAGGAGAACAAGGATCCTGTCATGCCCTGTTCAGTACTCCATCCCCAGGCCCTAGAGTAATGTCTTGCAAACAGTAGGTGCTCAATAACTACTTATTAAATGAATGACCATATACATTTATATAAACAAATAAATGAACAAATCATCATTTGCTAATTGCATGATGAACAATTCATCAAGCAATTAGCAAAGAGAAAGATCTATCATGCCACGGAAAACTAAAATTCACCGCAAATTCTGGGAAGCTGCTTTCTCAGGTAACTGTTTGAAAAGCAATATTTTCCACTAGAATATGTGATTTGCTTTCAAAGAAAGAGCTAGAAACAACGTTTCCTCCCCCAGTCCATCTGGACCGTGGCCCTACCAAGCCTAAACTGCTCTCAGGGGACCCTGTGCTGCTCGAAGGAGCTGCCAGATGTGGCTTCCTTGTGAAATACACAAGCACAATGTCTCAAAGAGGGACTGAAATGCTTGATGATTAGGCAAAAGCCAGCCAAGCCTACAGAGGTAGACAGCTTAGCCATTGTTTCTTTTAAGCTATGCTTTTTAACAGATATCAAGTACCCTGCCAGCAGCCCATGATGCTGGTCTGCTGGGTGGACGAGTTACTGCATCTGGCCTAAAGTTTAACAGCACAAGTCCTTCAGTGATTGAATTAGGCAAGCTTATGATTACCATTTTTTCCATTTAATTAGCTGTTTTATATGTGTATTTCCTCCCAAGTCTTATGTTCAATGTGACATTTGGTTTATCGCGCACTAGTTTCAGAAGTAAGCCTGAAAAAGAATCTTACTGTCTCCGGAGGCCTGAATAGCACATCTGTTTATATGGGAATCTGCTGCAGAACCCCCAACACGGAAACCAGGTGACATTCAGGGAGCTCAAAGCAAGAAAACATTCAGAAGCATTTATTCTGGGAAAGGACAGAGGGTTTATAAATCTCATCCTGAAAATATATAACCAAAAGCCTAGTGCATCACCATTTTGTCTTCCTTAAGATTCTACTTTCATGAGCTCACATAATCACTTTCAATCACATATGAGCATCTCACAGCATGTCATCCTTCTCTCACAGGAAAATAAAATTTGATTTTGATCCTTCAAAATCTACCTCTGATTTACTACTAGTTTTGTGTGGCACTAATTCTCATAATATTTTCACGTTACACTTTAAATAGAATAATGATCAGTGGTAATGCAAGAGGAGAACCTCAATGTATAGAAAACATTTGGCCACACACACACACACACACACACACACACACACACCCTATGACTTGCTAGGGTGAGCCTTGTGAGAGAAAATGGAACTACTGCTGGAACAGAAATAACTTATAGTAAAAATTTTCAGGCAGTTAAAATAAATAAGATAGACCAGGCACTTTGGGATCCCAGCATAGCAATTTATAAATAGGATCCCAGCACTTTGGGAGGCTGAGGTGGGAGGATCACTTGAGATCAGAAGTTCAAGATCAGCCTGGACAACATCAGAAAATCTGTCTCTACAAAAAATACAAAAATTAGCCAGGCATGGTGGTACATGCCTGTGGATCCAGGTACTCGGGAGGCTGAGGTGGGAGGATTGCTTGAACCTGGGAAGTCGAGGCTGCAGTGAGCCCAGATCACGTGACTGCACTCCAGGCTGGGCAACAAAGTGAAACCCTGTCTCAAAAAAAGAATAAATAAATAAACAGATAAATAAATAGGATAGACTGCTGTCTCAAATAACTTTCTCTAAACACAGAGGAAGAGAGATAAAGATTGAAGGATCGAAAAGAGGGAGGAAGAAAAGAGGGAGGAAGGGAGGCAAGCAGGTAACAATTTTCCAGGCACTTTATTTATTTATTTATTTATTTATTTATTTATTTTTGAGACAGAATCTTGCTCTGTCACCCAGGCTGGAGTGCAATGGCATGATCTCAGCTCACTGCAACCTCCGCCTCCCGGGTTCAAGCAATTCTCCTGCCTCAGCCTCCTGAGTAGCTGGGATTACAGGCGCCTGCCACCACGCCCAGCTAATTTATGTATTTTTAGTAGAGACGGGGCTTCACCATGTTGGTCAGGCTGGTCTTGAACTCCTGACCTCAGGTGATCCACTCACGTCGCCCTCCCAAAGTGTTGGGATTACAGGCGTGAGCCACTGCTCCGGGCCTACCTTTGAAACAGGACTAATGCACATCTCATATGGAAATATTGACAGCATTCTCTATCATTCTTAGCATGGTCATCATTTTCATATGAGATGTGTATTAATCCTGTTTCAAAGACAAGAAACTCAAGTATTAGACTTTTCTTGACTTCTGTTGCCTCCTTTTGTATGCAGAGAAATTAAGTGGCTACACTTCTGCCCCTGTATTTTATTTTTTCCCAGCCCCCTCCACCCATCCCGGCCCTGGGTGGGAGAACTGACTGAATCTAATTAAGGAACAGGGAGGAGATACTGAGCCTGTGTAGATTCCCCTTCTTCCTTCTTTTTCCTGAGGACCAATGCACCTGAGCTGATTTTCACAGCTGCTTTGCCAGGTGCAGTCTCTGCCTCAGTATGGGGAGGTCTGCCTGGATCGAGGACCACAGTGATGGGGTGTGGGTAAGTATGCGCATTTTGAAATCCAGTATGAGAAAGTTTATTGGCCTTCATATATAAGCCAGATTCCCTTTGACTCAGAATACAGGTGCTGTTTTGACACCCATTTGCTTTACTACTTTGCATCAATTCTCAGCTGATCAAAACTCCTGCAGAAAAGAGGAGTATTATTTTATTGGGCCTCTTTGGATCCCAGACCCTAAGCTTGTAGGAATTCATTTACTTGCTTAAGGCCACAGAGCTGGAAAGAGACAGGGACCAGAAATGAATCCAGTCTGTCTACAGTCACTTAGGGCGTGTTCCACTTCTTCCCTCCATGATCACAGAAGGGCAGCACCTCATTCTGAGATGGCAAGTCCTGAAGGATGATTAAAGGCTCAGGGAAAACTGATGCCTCTGCCTTCGAAACATGGAACACAGCATAAAAGTGAACTTTGTTAAGCTGCAATTCACTCAGAAAAGTCTTTCAAAAGCTTGGAAATGTATTAAACGAGTTGGAAAAGTCCAGCGACAGTCAAAAGAGACTGATCCTTGCAGAATGCAGAGAGGAGGTGGGTTGAGGGCAGAAGGCAGGACTTAGTATGTATCGGCCCTTAATATATCTATAATTTCTTTCATGTCTCTCCACTAGAATGAAGCTCCGGGAGTTTTATTTCCTGATGCCTCTCTAGTGCCTAACCCAGGGCCTGGCACTGGCTTAGTAAATATTTGTTGATCAGGGGCATGCCTATGTATGCTGAAAGAGAAGAAGGAAAGCAAGAAATTGCCAGCCTTTGTAAGTTGTTTCCTTATCTTTTTCCTTCTGCTTCTACTGACATTGCTGCTGTTTTTCCTCCTCCTTCTCCTTCTTTCCCTATCTATCTTCCTTCTGTCTTGCTTCCTCTCCTCCTTCTCCATCTTCTTCTTCCACATTTCTAAGTAATATGAACACTTTTGGGACTAAAAATTTGGGATATTTCACCTCAAAGACATTTTCCTTTCTGTACAATGGGAAAAACAGGCCAAGTTTCCAGATCTCTCAAAATAATGCTATTTTGGCTACTGGATTTTTTTTTAAGTTTTCTCTAAGTAAATCTACTTTTAAAAATTTCTAAAATTTAAGAATATTTCTAAATTCATTATTTTTTTTTCCATAACAGCTAACGCCACATCCTAGTTTAATAGCATTTGCAAATTTCAGTAATGTCTTCCTGCTCCCTTGTTCAGACTCAGAAACAGTGTCATAAAGGAGACTGGATATAGGCCTGTTACTGAGGTGCAATTGAATCATCTGCACCACTTTTCTTTTTCATACAGATTATTTGCAAACTTTTTAATCCTGGAGTAGGAGAAAAAGCGCTGGAGGCATGAAATTTGGAGGCAGGAAGCAAGGTGTGGTCCCAGCTCGCTATGGTCCTACTGTCTGACTTTGAACGTTTCCTTGAGTTCTCTATGTCTAATTTTGCTCATCTGACAGGACAAATAAGGTGACCTTAAGGTCACTACTTCTAAAATAACTCAGACTCTACTGCTCTCATTTTGTCACAAAATCGGTATCATCTTTACATCTTCCTCTTACACTATAGAGGCATTTAAAAATCCTACATTTTCTTCTTATAGAGAAGACTTAAAATTCACTTCCACACCTCATTTTCATGATTAGACTTTTTCATTTGTTCTTTGGTCATTCTGGTAGTTATATTGTAGTTTCCTTTGATCAGTCTCCAAGATTTTCATCAACTTTCCTCTAATTACTTTAAAAAGTAAAGACAGTTATCTTAGTTTCCCATTGCTGCCGCCACAAATTACCCCAAACACAGTGGCTTGCACATGTATCCTAGAACTTAAAGTAAAAAAAAAAAAAAAGAATCAGAGTAGCAAATAGTGGGGAAAAATACAGTATCACCAACTTCAAAATATTTACAATTATTGTTTGCAGTTTTGATCATAAATTGATCAGTAATTCTAAATATAACATTTAAAAATCATAATTATCTTGAGACATTTTTGACAATTTCCATTAAATCCTATGAAAACATAGTTGAAAATCTATGTATATGAATAGGTATTTGCAAAAAATAAAGGTAAACGTGAAAGCTACTTCCTAATCCTACATTTTAAATTTCACTTCCAAATGCCACTGCCATTGGAAATAAAAGCAACAAATAATATCCAATTTAAAATTTTCAATAAATTAAATATACTCAAATTTAAAAAACAAAAACAAACAAAAAACCACTCAGATTTGTTCCCTTACAGTTCTGGAGGTCAGACGTCTGAAGTCAGTTTCACTGGGCTAGAGTCAAGGTGTCAGCAAGGCTGGTTACTGCTGTGAGCTCCAGGGGGAGAAACCATTTCCTTGCCTTTTTAAGCTTTTAGTGGTGACCTGTTGTTGTGGCTTGCAACCCCTTCCTCCTTCTTCCGACACATCTCTCCATCTCTGCTTCTGTCATTCCATCACCCTATCCTGTGTGTAGTCAAATCTCCTTCTGCCACCTCTTACAAAGATGCCTGTGATCACATTTAGGGCCCACCCAGATAATCCAGGACCATCTCCCCATCTCAAAACCCCTCATTTAAACACAGCTGCAAAGTTCCCTTTGCCATATAAGGATGTAGGCATCTTTGAGGGGCCATTATCCACCCTACCACAGTGTGACTTTCTCACCATTCGGAGCACAGAGTTCTTATTTTAAAAGGTCTTTCTTGGGACACTTGTACACACATGTTTATAACAGCACAATTTGCAATTGCAAAAATATGGAACGAGCCTAAATACCCTGGATGGAACCGGTGACCGTTATTCTAAGTGAAGTAACTCAGGAATGGAAACCCAAACATTGTATGTTCTCACTGACATGTGGGAGCTATGCTATGAGGATGCAAAGGCATAAGAATGATACAATGGACTTTGGGGACTCGGGGGGAAGGCTGGGAGTGGGGTGAAGGATAAAAGACTACATATTGGGTACAGTGTACCCTGCTTGGGTGACAGGTGTGCCAAAATCTCAGAACTCACCACTAAAGAACTTATCCATGTAACTAAACACCATCTGTTCCCCCAAAACTATTAAAATAAAATAAAAGTCTTTCTTGGTTTACCTTACAATATGCATCAAAACTAGGTTTTGTTTTGGTTTGTTTTTAAGTATTATATCATCCTTTCCTTTGTTTGTAGCTGGTGTGCCTAGTTCTGGATAGGTTTTCCTTTACCTTATTTCAGGCCGCCATGTTCCTTAGCAACATTTTCTGTCATTAAAAGCATCCCCCTTATAATCTTCAAGATCTGCTGAATTCTAATGTTCTCCACTCTTGAGTCAAAGACATTAAAAAGGAAATTGTTTTTCTATGCTCACTACACTTCTGACACCAAATGTGTGGATTTTCCATACCCAGGAGTTCTCCTGTTCTCTGTAGACACCAACTGGGTGACCTACAATTTAGTTTCATTCTAACACTAACTACCTGAGTTAGCACAGACCCCACAGGTTAAGGGTTCAGTCCCCCAAGACTGTTCCCACTTCAGATGCCAATTCCAAAGAGAGGGTCCCCATGTCACCCAGACTTAGGTCTGACTTGATTACCAAATGAGAATTCCCATAACCCCCTTCTCAGGTTAGATAATTTCCTATAACAGCTCTCAGAACTCAGGGAAACACTTTACTTACATTTACTGGTTTATTAGAAAAGATATTATAAAGGATACAAATGAACGGTCAGATGAGGAGGTATGGAGGTCAAGGTATGAGAGCTGGTGCAGAGATTTTTATACCCTCTCTGGGGATGCCACCTTTCTGGTACTTCCACTTGTTCACCAACCTGAAAGCTCTCTGAACCCCTTCTTTTAGGGTTTCTACAGAGGTTGCATTATGCAGGCATGATTGATTAAATTATTGGCCAGAGGTTGCATTATGTAGTCATGATTGATTAAATTATTGGCCATCTCCAGCCACTCTCTGCTCCCAGGAGGCTGTTGGTGGGGGGTGGGGGGTGAAAGTTCTGACACTCTCATCACATGGCTGGTACCTCTGGCAACTGCAACTCCCATCCTGAAGCTATCTAGGAGCCCCAGCCACCAATCATCCATTAGCACACAAAAAGACACATTTATCACTACTAGGATTCCAAGGGTCTTACAAGCTCTTGTGTCAGGAACAAGAGATGAAGACCAAATATATATTTCTTATTATGTTACAAGTCCACACAGCCACAACCTGGCAAACAGCACTGTTTTGCTAATAATGCTAGGAGTGGTTAACTATGAACCATGTTCATGGGGCTTCTGTTCTGAAAAGACAATGGGCACTAACCTGCAACCAAACAGCCAGGGGGGTGCACCTGCTCATCCCTGAACACCCTCCCCGAAGAAACTCATGGGCCTGCAGAAAGAATAACATGCTCAGCCCCCAGCTCAAAGTATCACACATTTTGAACAGAGGCTATTTGAGCCTTCTACTGATTGGATTCTCATTTCCCTGGCAAAGCTTAAGAAATATTTGGTGAAGCTTAAGAAATATGGCCTTGCACTGGCCCTAAAATATCAGTACAAGAGAGGATAGGCAACACCAACCATGAGAGAAGGAAGTGACAACAATGTGCTGGAATCTTAAGCTAAATTATTCAAGCAGATGGAGTCAGGAAAACACAAGTTCTCTCTCTGATGGAATCTTCTCACTGGATCAGAAAATAGGACTTCAATGAGCCCACAGTTGTCTGTTTTGAGCTCCAGCTGCAGGAAAGGGGTGTTCTGTGTCCCTGACCAAATCCCTAAGAGAAATCATTCATTTTCTATTGGGTATAGAAATCCCAACATATGCACTTCACCAGAGACAAATTTGCCAGTTGTTGAAATGGTTCTATATAAAGAGAGTGATGTTTTGACTTTAAAACAAACAAAAAGTTTAATATAAGCTGTGTATTAGTCCATTTTCACACTGCAATGAAGAAACACCTGAGACTTCGTAATTTATAAAGAAAAAGAGGTATAATGGACTCACAGTTCCACATAGCTAGGGAGGCTTCACAATCATGGCAGAAGGCAAAGGAGGAACAAAGGCACTTCTTACATGGTGGCAGGCAAGAGAGTGTGTGCAGGGGAGCTGTTCTTTATAAAATCATGAGACTTATTCTCTATCACAAGAACAGCATGTGAAAAACCCTCCCTCATGATTCAATTACCTCTCACTGTGTCCCTTCCATGATACATGAGGATTATGAGAACTACAGTTCAAGATGAGATTTGGGTGGGGACACAGCCAGGCCATATCAGCTGAAACCAGGTTCCCATCACAGGAGAACTCTGTCCATTAGAGCTATCAGTGGACTGACTGGGCCATCTTGAGACAGAGAAGTCCCTGTCACTGACTGTTCAAAAGGAGGTCAGACAACTATATCTCAGAGTGTGGCAGAGGGGATTTAAGAGATAAATAGAGAGACAAAAGAAGGAATTAGCCTTAATGTCTTCAAAGATTCTTATAAGCTTGGTATCTAATCATTCTAAGGCCAAGTCTAATGTGATCTGATGACGCACCACAAGTCATTAACCTGAAAGACCTCAAGGAGACCAGTGAATCCTATGTCCACCCAAAAAGCTCAGGTTGCCTTCAAAACAAAATTTTATCAGTCCAGAAATAGAATACACTTTAATCAATCTAGCCAGTCAGCGACCTTACCAAAAGAAAGGACAGAGAAGCTAAAAGTGGATGACCAGAGACTAAAGCAAAAGTGTCCGATGTCTACCTCTGAAGCTGGATCTCCATGGTCACAAATGAAACCCTACAAAAGGGCTTCTAGTCCCTCTCCTTTTACCTGAGTCCTCCTTAAGGTGTGCTGGGCAAGAAAAACAAAAACAAAAACAAAAACAAACAAACAAACAAAAAAACCTAAATGTCACTGTGTTGCAGAAGAGGGTCAAAGCTGAGGACATTTTGTCCTTGAGTAGCTGGGTGTGGAGCAAAGGGTCAATGACTTCAGAGTCCACATGACAAAGCCTCTTTAAGTCACCCATTCTGGAATCTTCTCTTGGAGGACTGACCCTGGGATTGGCATTTCTTGGAAGCCCTCTCTTTCTGGATTGTGCCCTGTAAAAATTGTGTCTGAGATGTCAACAAGTTCAAGCAAGTACTGTGTCCTGGAGAAGGTCAGGAAGGAAGGAACTAGGTGGCCAAGGAGAAAGGTGTCATGGGGCAGAATTTTGCAGTCGTTCTAGTTGAAGAGGCTCCTCTAGATTCAGGTCAGCTCTCTTTGGGTAGCACCGAAAGAATAGGGTTTGGAACTAAAGCCTTGTGTTAATGAACACTGTCATCTGCTCCCAGAGCATAAGACAGTGCCTGCACACTTGGCATGTATGAATGAATATTGTTGAATGAATGAATGAATGAGTAAATGAATCTGCAGAGCCTTTTTTTTTTTTTTTTTTTTTTTTTAGAGAAGGAGTCTTGCTTTGTCGCCCAGGCTGGAGTGCAGTGGCACAATATCGACCTACTGCAATCTCTGCCTCACGGGCTCAAGCAATTCTCCTTCCGCAGCCTCCCGAGTAGCTGGGATTACAGACACATGCCACTGCACCCAGATAATTTTTGTATTTTTAGTAGAGATGGGGTTTCACCATGTTGCCCAGGCTGGTCTTGAACTCCTGACCTCAGGTGATCCACCTGCCTCGGCCTCCCAAAGTGCTGGGATTACAGGGGTGACCCACTGCACCCAGTCGATGATTAGGGGTTTAGAGGAGGAATTGAGATTTAGTGGGGTGGGGGTTGGTTGCAGCCAAGAGAAATAAATAACTTAAAAAAAAAATGACCCTAGCTTCAAACATGCACACCTAACACTTGACATTTGCCACCTTCCTTATTAGAGACTCTCAGATTCCTCTCTGATGAGATAAGCCTTCACCCAGACAGACCCAAACCAATGACAATAGACACTGAATGTGGGGCTGGAGGTTGGGAGATGGGGGAGTCATTTCCATTTCTTTCAACATCTCAGACTGAAAATGAGTCATCTGTATCTGTGACCAATGCCTGTCCACATGACCCTGATATAGCCTGTGTTCTCTTTCTTTACTCATCAGAGACCTGGCTTCCCCATGTGCTTGTTTAAGCCTTGTATGGGGAGACATCTAATTAGGCTTAGGGACTTGGCTCTGACTCTGTAGCAGCCCTGGAGGTGCAAAGACAATTGTCTTGGCATCTGCTGTCAGCAAACTTGCTCTCTGGATGATTTACTGGGGAGGAAAAAGGGGTGCTGTTATTGTCACTTACTATATATGTGTGTGTGTGTGTGTGTGTGTGTGTGTGTGTATATATTTAATTCTTAAAGATCACACTATTGCCACTATCTGTGGGTATGAAATTATTCATGGTCCATCCAGTGCTGGGTACATGCTGGACTTCACTGTGTTTGTCTTAGCAGGAGCTGGTAACAGCCTGATGCCGACAGCAGGTCTATGACAGCGCAAGCATTCACAGTAGCCTTCCTACTGGAGCTACCGTGGGAATGGTGACATTCCCAAGGGGTCTCAGCTGTGACCCAGCACTGCAGCAGACTGCATGCAAAGGTTATCACGGCTAAACACAGCTTCCCGAAAGGGCAGGTCAAGCATCAGTTATGCTTCATTCTCAGAACAAGATCCACTTGTGACTAGTGGTTTCAAAGTTTATTTTTCACATGGAGATGAGCCAATTTCTCATTAGCCTCTTGTTTTGCTTGTTTTGTTTTCTCTAAGAATTGTGGGATAAGGGTAGGGCACAGCGGCTCATGCCTGTTATCCCAGCACTTTAGGAGGCTAAGACAGGAAGATCACTTTATTGAGGTCAGGAGTTTGAGAACAACCTGGGGAATGAAGCAAGACCCTATCTCTTTAAAAAAAAAAAAAAAAAAAAAGTCCCAGCTACTCTGGAGGCTGACATGGGAGGATCAATTGAGCACAGGACTTTGAGGTTGCAGTGAGCCATGATCACACCACTGCACTTCACCCTGAGTGACAGAGAAAGATCCTGTCTCTTAAAAAAAAAATTGTGGGATAAAAAATGTCTTGCCTTTCAATTGTAAACATGAATCCTATTTAAATGCATCTAAGCTAAAACTGGTCTTGTTCATTCCATACATCTCTCTATACGAACATACATAATACATCCCACAAACCCTAAAGCAAAGTACTCAAGTGATCATACCTCTCTAAATGGAAGACAAAGGGTCATAGGCCCTTCACAGCTTTAGGCATTGAGAGTGGTTTCTCATCTTCCCTTGCTGGTCATACTTAGCACATAGGATGTGCTGTGGGAGCGAGAAACAGACACCATTTGTCAGCGACAGCTGTCTGGACAGCTGGGGAGAGCCCTGTGTTACCTTCCTGGAACTCTCTGGCTGACTCTTTTGCATTGACCTTTCATATTGCCTGCAGCACACTAGCTCTGGGAAATGACATCTCCAAACTAAAACTATAGTCACTTTTCACTCGCACAGTCAGAGTTCTTGCTCCAGATCTCCAATCTGTTATTGCATCTCACCACCTCTTCCTCTGTGGCCGCTGCTCCCACATCAGTCCAGAGTCTCCATTTCCTTCTTCCACTGCCCTCTTTTCACAAGGCCCTAGGCTTGCTGCCAAGTATTCACAGAACAAGCAATCTGAGAATTTCAGAGTGAGGAGTAAGAACCTGAGTATCCCCTTGTCTCAGATGCCCTACTGCCCTAGAAGCTCTCTGGACTGAAATGAGAGTGGTTCCTTCTGAGTGAGGGACCATGGTTTTGGAAATTGCAATTCAGCAAGACTTCCATTCTGAATATGGACTCAGTGGAGGTCTGCGTGCAATGCTGTCTTTATCTCAGTTTTCCTCTACCATTTCTTGTTTAATTTGGTCATGATAGCCACCAGAGTGTCATTAACGCACTAAAATGAAGTGGGAGCATAATAAAATATGTTAAAACACGAAAATGTTGGCGTAGTCCAACTGATATGTGTATATTATATTCTATAAGAAGAAAAAAGGAGGGAAAGGAAAGGAAATGAAAGGGAGGAAAGATAGAAAGAAAACTAAGACAAACCTTTTTTTTTTTTTTTTTTTTGAGAGAATCTCACTCTGTCACCAAGCTGGAGTGCAATGGCACGATCTCAGCTCACTGCAACCTCCAACTCCCTGTTTCAAGTGATTCTCCTGCCTCAGCCTCCCGTGTAGCTGGAATTACAGGCACACGCCACCACATCCAGCTAATTTTTGTATTTTTATTAAAGACAGGGCTTCACCATATTAGCCAGGGTGGTCTTGATCTTCTGACCTCGTGATCTGCCCGCCTCAGCCTCCCTAAGTGCTGAGATTATAGACACTAGCCACTGCGCCCTGCCAGCCAAACATTTTTAATAAAATGTATCTGGGTGCTAGCATATGTAGGCTACATGAATAAGAAACTCTCCAATCACCACTTACAGTGACCTTTACAAGGAAATACTTTCATATTTAGTGTTTGAAAGGTACTATGTATTTATTCTAATCTAGCACTACCAGAGCATTAAATAAACAAGCAAGCGACTGCAATTCAGTGAGATCCACACTACCTCTAGTTGAAGAAGATATAAAGTGGTGTGAATGCACCAGGAAGGAAGAGACACATTGCCTGAGGTGGGATTGCAGAAAAGGAACCAACTGAGCCGGGCTGTGAAGGATGAGGAAGATTTGCTTAGAGCCAGAGTAAGACAGGCAAAGCATGAACAATAGAGTGCAAATTCAAATATGGCCTTAACTTACCTTTGAAAGCCGTAATTGAAATGAGGTTAGAGAATTTTATGGATGTGTCTGTGTCTGTTACTATAAATCTAGACAACTGAAAGTTCAGCTCACCCTCATTGGACATCAGTCAATCTAGAAGGCTGCTTTCAGTTTAATTTTTTCCTTGGAATAGGGCAAGAAGACAATCTGACAGTATTAACCTGGACTGTGGCATATGCAACCGGAGGCTGAATATTTTAAAGTGACAGATAGAATATTGATAACTGGCAGCCAAGAAAGTACCTAAAAGCCCATCCTTGGCATTCTGACATTCTTAAGCATTGCCCTAGGTATTCTTTCCCTGCCATTATAACACGGTTTTTAAAAGAATTTCCACCTCCTAAATCTTGTGCTTCTCCCTTCCCCCATATTAACCAATGATAGGACCTTCTCCTTGACAGAGAAAGCAGATACTGTCTACGAGCTGGCTTTGAACTTCCCACAGGCAATTCTACAAAGGTATTCCTCTCTGCCCAAACTTTCCTCCTGGGTCTGGTCATCGGCCCTGCCTTCCTGCCAGTCTTGCACCTTTCTCTGCCCTAGGTTACCATTCCATCTCTAGAAGCACCTTCCCAATAACTGATTTTAAAGTAAACCCTTTGTTTTGGAATAGCTATAGATTTCCAGAAAAGTTGCAGAAATAGTACAGAGAATTTCTATATACCCTTACCCATCTTTCCCTAGCATGCACATGGTATCTTGGTACATTACCTTGGTGTATCAGCCCAAATTAAGGAAACAATGTTGGTAGAATACTGTGAACTAAACACCACACTTTATTTGGATTTCATCAGTTTTCCCCTCATCTCCTTTTTCTATTCCTAATAGCATTTTACCATATCCAAATCTCTACAATATTAAAACAATAACAATAACAAAAAGCCTGTATGAAACATCCACGACTTCCCTCCCCCCCACATCTCCCTCACTGGTAAACTCTTGTTTTCCCATCTACATCTCAGCTCATGACAACCGCTGCAACTGCCTTTGCCAAGGTTGCTAAAGATCCAATTATTTCTAAATCCAAGGACCTCTTCTTTTTTCTTAGCTACATGACCTCTTTGTAGCATTGACCGCTTGTTCTGTTTCTGAGCAATTTCATGTTTGTCATTTTCAACCTCCCCTTGATCTTTTTCTGTCTTCCTCACCCCTTTCTTCCTTCCTTTCCTCCTTTCTTTCCTTTCTTCCCTCTTCTTTTTTCTTTTCTTATTTCTTGTAGGGTTCTCTTTCTTCTGTCACAGGTCGGGTCTATAATTTCTTTTCTTCTCACTCTAGGCATTCCTGCAGATAGATCTTATTTCTTCAATAAATCAATAGATCTAGTGACTCTCAAACCTACATCTACTCACCCAAAATCTCCCTTGAGCATCCCAGCATCTACAAATGTCCACAGTCCTGCTCCACAGGCAGCTGGAAGTGAATGTTGCACATCAAGACTGGCAGCTTGCCCAGCAGTGATTTCCTTCTTTGGGGGATGAACTTAACTGAAAAGGAGAATTGCCATGGACCTAAGCACTGGGTGTTGCACCGGTATTTACACTGTTCTTAAACCTGGGCTGGAGTGAAAGAGGGGAGGGAGGATCACTACTCTGCAGCATCCTGTTATGTGCATAGAGCCACGGGGCTGGGTTACAGCTGATGTTAAAATTTTGAACCAGCCCACCATGGTGGCTCACACCTGTAATCCCAGTGCTTTGGGAGGCCAGAGTGGGAGGATCACTTGAGGCCAGGAGTTTGAGACCAGCCTGCACAACACAGCAAGACCCCTATCTCTACAAAAATTAAAAAAATTAGCCAGTGCAGTGATGTGCACCTGTAATCCCAGCTACTCAGGAGGCTGAGGTGGGAGGATTGCTTGAGCCCAGGAATTGGAGGCTGCAGTGAGCTATGACTGTGCCACTACACTCCAGCCTGGGAAACAGAGTGAGATCCTATCTTTAGAAAAGTATTCTAAACCAATGTCAAGGAAAAAGGTGGAATTGTGCATGTTGGTGACTGACCTCAGATGTGGCCCATCACACCCCTGTGCAGCCCTCTTTGTAAGCTGCACTCTGCCTCTAAAGGTGAGTTTCCTCCACCTGGAAGAGTCTTCCTCTGCCTGGAAGAATGACCAAGGCCCACTCATCCTTCCAATCTTGGCTTCTGTATCCCCTGTCTTGGACAGTCTTACTTGGCCTCCAGACTAGGTTGAGTTTCCTCTCCTCTCTCACTTAGCACAGCATGGTAAGGCTGGGTCCCTTTCTCCCAAGGGCAGGGCATGCCTCTGTGTTTCTGCAACACCCCTGGCACCTAGGAGCCACCTGGCTCCAGGGAGGGTCCAGGTACATGCTGGTTACGTAGAGGAAGAGCTGAATGAATAAGAACAGCCAGCCATGCCTTCCCTGTGTGAGGACAACAGGTAGAAGGAGAAGGAAGTAGTTCCCTGCTCTCCCCCAACCCCCAAAGAGACTCCCCCATGGGATTGTCCACCTTCCCAGTGTGTAAAAAACAGAATGAGAAAAGGGAGAGAACAAGTCATATTTTTATTAGTCTATGTGGAGAATCTGGCTGATGTTTTTTCTCTCTTAGGGTACATGCCAATCGAGAGGGACAGTGCTATTTTAGAACCAGACATTTCTCCAGCAGCCTGCCTGGTGCCCCAACAACCCAGGATATTCTGTAGCCTTTGGGCACCCCTCACTTACCCCTCCATTCTAGCCCCGGTCCTCTAATTCAATCATTCTTATTATACACTTCTCACTCCCCCTTGCTTTCATCTCCAAAAAATCCACAGACCCCCATGCACGTTAATAAGGCAAGTTGTGGGGTGCAGAGGTAAGACAAAAAAGGAGAGCATCTTTTACTTTTTTTTTTTTGGAACAGAAAAGCACTTAGTAAAAAACAAAAACAGAAACAAAAAAACAACACGGTAAACTATGATAGCCTTTGTCGCCTTTATTGCCAATATAAACTCATGTACTTCATCGGCTGTCTGTGCTCTGGGATTGATTCAGTATGACAACTTCTTTATCACTGACCCAGAGAATCCCCAGAACTGCCTGTGCCCTGCAGTCTGGGAGGCTAATGCAGCCCCTGGGGGAATTCTGCTCAGTCAAAGCAAGGTCTCCATTAAGACTTTTGGCTGGCTGTCACACGTCACTGTAAACTCACAGGCTGTCTTAGTAGAAGACAAGTTACCCGCAGGGTGACCTTTGTTCTTAAGGTTAAATGAAGGAAATAACATGGTTTTCCTCCTGCTAGAGATGCTGTGTTGGGTGCTACATAGACAACTCAGAAGAGAAACTGACAGGCTGAGAAAAACGTCAGTGACAGACTAGCCAAAGCAAGCCTAGACTGTGGCACTGCTTTTACAAAGGACAGTGAAGTGAAGCTAAGACAGTCAGCATTGTGGTCCCCTCCTGCAGCCAGTGTCTAAATGATTGCTCTCCGTTTCCTCCCACTCTTACTCTGGTTCTCAAATTCTTTTCACAGGAATGTGTGTTTCATTCTTTCAATCTCATTGAAAGGCAAATGATTATTTTATTTCACACTGTCTTAAAATTTTACCTTTGAAACACACACATAGAAACACAACACCATAGAATACTATGCAGCCATAAAAAGAATGAAATCATGTCTTTTGCAGCAATGTGGATGGAGCTTGAGGCCATTATTTTAAGTGAATTAACTGAGAAACAGAAAATCAAATACTGTGTGTTCTTACTTGTAAGTGGGAGCTAAACAATGGGTACACATGGACACAAAGTAATAACAGACACTGGGGACTCAAAAAGGGGAAAAAGTAGGAGAGGGGTGAGGGTTGAAAAAGTACCTCTTGGGTACAATGTTCGCTATTTAGATGATGGGTACACCAAAAGCCCAGACTTACCACTACGCAATTATATAACAAACATGCACGTATAACCCCAAACCAAAAAAAAAAAGTTCTAAAAAAATAAACAAATGGAGCCACAACATTTACCTTTGAGCCTCCCAACTGTTATTTTTGCTGCTTCCAGACTTTTAATGGACTATATTAAATGCTCATTTAAATCTGAGTAGACAACAGCTCTAGAAGGCTAAGAATTGGAGGCCTAATCCACTGGAAACCTTTGCCTCAATGTCAGTTTAGGTCAATGTTTTACTTCCCTCAGGGGCAATTGCACTTAAAGTTCTCCTCAAAACTGGGGAGCCAGGAGACTTTATTTCTGTTATTGGATAACAGCATCCAGGAACCACTAAATGGAAGAGGAGGAAGAGAAGGGGTGCATGTCAACGAGCTACACCTCCTAGTAAGCTAAGTGGCTGCCTCCTACGCTGATGCCACAGGCCTGTAGTGGAGGGTATGATTTGTACTCATCCTGCCTATTGTTCATCATTATCTGAAATAATCAGTGCTATCACAACTCAACTCATACCAGCACAGAGCCATGGGGTTCTTGACAAGGAACTCTCATCTCACCTGCCTACTGATTGCAAAGCACCGCTCCATACAGAAGGAAGAGTTGAAGGCATCACATGTCCTCGGCCATCTTAATGGAATAATAATAAATTACATGCCTAGACATTCAACCTTGAAAAAAGGCAAGGCCAGCTGCATCAAATGCTTTGCTAAACCACTGGGTGATGCCAGTCCAGTTTTGCCAAATACATATATAATAAATACATTTTCCTTCTTCAAACTTTATTTAGGTATTTTTCATTTGGGAATTGGGTAAGGAAAGAGAATGGCTTGGCAGAGAAACAAAAATGCTATCAACACACAAATGCATGTGTGCACACACACACATACATAAAAAACATGTCCTTCGTATAGCATCTATTCTCATATGTGATGGTAAAGTGAGAAGGGGAAATTGCTTGCATTTCAAAGACAGAAGGCTTGAAGCTGTCAATGATGAAAACATTTCTAATTCAAAGCCCCTACGGGGTATATGTGGAGAAGTGAGGTTGTTTTGGGTGGTATCCTAGTATCTCAAAGGGATAAAGGGCCTGGAGGCAGACAGTAAATAAGGCCAGTCCTAGTGCCTTGTAGACAGTGCCAAGGCTTTGCAAATAAATATCTCTGAATTTGGGGCCCAGTGACTTGAATCCTGGCTTTGGACTTAGCAGAGACATGGTCTGGGGCCAGTTACTTCTTCTAACTTTAATATTTTAGCCTTTAAAATTGGGATAGTGATACCTGCATCCTAGAATATTTATACAGATTAAATGAAATAATACATGCTAGAACTTGACTCGCCATCTGGCACATTGTAGACATTAAGTGTTGGTGGCATCCAAATTGAGTTAGAGATGGGGGATAGGCAGTCATCCTTAATCCCTGCAATTCCAGGGTATGGCCATTGCTGACTCTACTCCTGAATGGGTGCAGATCAGTAGATCCTTGGAGGAGCCTTGAAGCCCATCATTTTCAAACCCACCAAGTGGATCCATCTGATTTGAGCATTTTGCTGCTAAGAGTGGACCCTGGGGTTTGATTTCCCTCTTGGCCAGCTTGTTTATGTGTTACGGGGCCAGACATCCCCATCAGAAATCAGCCCTCAGGTCTGCGGCTGTTCATAACAGTCGAATGGATGAACCAGCTTACACCTAACGTCCTACTAAAAGAAAACAGCTGCAGGCTGTCTCCATCTTCCTTGACATTCATCACAACTTGAGTTTCCTCACCCAGGATTTAATTTTCTGGCTCAGAGTATTTTATTTCTTTTCACTTAACTGAGAGTCCTGTTCTTAAGGGAAGTCTCTCCTAGGTTAGGGAGAATCACTTGCCTTTGCCTGACAAACAGTGGCAGCTGCAGCCAGGGATGCAGCTGGACCCGTTGTACACAATCTAGTCAGAGCCATGCAGAGGTTTCCTTGGGAGTCCTCCTGTCCTTCTCTTCCTATTGAGAAATTCCCACTTTTTCTGCTTCTTCAGAAGGCCATTTTACTTGAGATTTTGAAATCGCTTATCTACTTTTTCCCTTAGCTTTCTTTTCTTTTCTTTTTTTTTTATACTTTAAGTTCTGGGGTACACGTGCAGAATGTGCAAGTTTTTTTACATAGGTATACACGTGCCACGGTAGTTTGTTGCACCCATCAACCCATCATCTACATCAGGTATTTCTCCTAATGCTATCCTTCCCCAGCCCCCACGCCCCTGACAGGCCCCCGTGTGTGATGTTCCCCTCCCTGTGTCCACGTGTTCTCATTGTTCAACTCCCACTTATGAGTGAGAACACGCGGTGTTTGGTTTTCTGTCAATGGTCATTAGAGAAACGCAAATCAAAACCACAATGAGATACCATCTCATGCCAGTTAGAATGGCGATCATTCAAAAGTCAGGAAACGACAGATGCTGGAGAGGATGCAGAGAAATAGGAATGCTTTTACGCTGTTGGTGGCAGTGTAAATTAGTTCAACCATTCTGGAAGATAAGGTGTGGGGATTCCTCAAGGATCTGGAACTAGCAATACCATTTGGCCCAGCAATCCCATTACTGGGTATATACCCAAAGGATTATAAATCATCCTACTATAAGGACACATGCACACATATGTTTATTGCGGCACTGTTCACAATAGCAAAGACTTGGAACCAGCCCAAATGCTCATCAATGATAGACTGGATAAAGAAAATGTGGCACATATACACCATGGAATACTATGCAGCCATAAAAAAAGATGAGTTCATATCCTTTGCAGGGACATGGATGAAGCTGGAAACCATCATTCCCTTAGCTTTCTTTTCTATACGACTTTCATTTTTCTTTTTTTTATAATTTCAACTTTTGTTTTAGATTCGGAAGGTATGCATTTAGGTTTATTACATGAGTATATTGCATGATGCTGAGGCTTGGAATATGAGTAATTTCGTCACCAAGATAGTCAGCATAGCACCCAACAGTTAGTTTTTCTTTTTTTAATTTATTTTTATTATTTTTTAATTTTTTTTATTTCCAATGGTTATTGGGGAACAGGTGGTGTTTGGTTACATTAGTAAGTTATTTAGTGGTGTTTTGTGAGATTCTGGTGTACCCATTACCTGAGCAGTATACACTGCACCCAATTTGTAGTCTTTTATCCCTCATCCCCTTCCCACCATTTCCCCCTGAGTCTGCAAAGTCCATTGTGTCATTCTTATGCCTTTGAATCCTCATAGCTTTGCTCCCACTTACAAGTGAGAACGTATGATGTTTTGGTTACCATTCCTGAGTTACTTTGCTTAGAATAATAGTATCCAGTCTCAGCCAGGTTGCTGTGAATGCCATTAATTTATTCCTTTTTATGGCTGAGTAGTATTCCTCTTTCTATATATATGTTTCTTTATCCACTCGTTGATTGATGGGCATTTGGGTTGTTTCCACATTTTTGCAATTGTGCATCTTCTTTGTATAATGTCTTCTTTTCCTCAAGGTATACACCCAGTAACGGGATTGCTGGATCAAATGGTAGTTCTACTCCACTTTTAGTTCTTTAAGGAATCTCCACACTGTTTTCCATAGTGGTTTTACCAACAGTGTAGAAGTGTTCCCTGTTCACCGCATGCATGCCAACATCTATTATTTTTTGATTTTTTGATTAGGCCATTCTTGCAGGAGTAAGGTGGTACTGCATTGTGCATAGGGAGATATTGAAAATGTTGACACTGAAGAGACTAGACATCACTCAGGGGAGATGTCCTGCTGGACTGTGAGTTCAGCTGAGACCTCAGGGCTGGGTTGGAGAACTATTAGAAAAGAAGCCATGACTCAAAGGCAGTCACCCAGAGAGGGTACCAAGAGAAAGTAAACAGTTGAGGGTTGTATCTGGGCATGCGAACACCTAAGGGGTGAGCCGAGGAACAAGAGTCAGTGAAGAAGCAGAGAAAGAGCAGTCCAAGAGGTGGGAAGAACATGAGGAGACAGTGATGCCATTGCCCACTGGGGATTGAGAGCACCAGTTCTGAAGGGGAAAGTATTAGCCTGGAAACTGGAGGACGCATAGCTAAGAGGATGAAATCCAAATTATGGAAAAGATTTGAAAAAAAACAATACATCCATAGACTCTTCCATCCAAATTCCTTAGCATCAGATACCCCTACATGACCCAGTCCTGACCACCTTCCCTTCACTCTACTTGTGTCATTGCCATTGCCTCAGCTCTAGCTGCACGGGCTCTTGTAATTACACTTGCCTCCCTGCCATCTGCCTTCACCTTGCCTCTTTCCTCTGCCTGGAATTCTCTCTCCTCAGGTCTTCTTACGGTCATTTGCTCACATTGCAAATGCAAACTCTTTAGAGATTCATTATCTGATTACCCAATATGGCTTCACTACCAAGCCCCCATCTCAAGCAAAGAAGAATTTTCTTCTTCACATCTTTTTTTTTTTGCTGTGTTTCCCCTTTACTCTTGAATGTTAACTCCATGAGAAGAGAGTTTTTTCTTGTTCATTGTTTTTTCCCCATAGGGGAAGCCTAGAAGAGGAGCAGGCACATAGTCAGCCCTTCTGAGAGTCAATTTTATGTAAACTTGACTGGATTAAGTGATGCCCAGGTAGCTGGTAAAACATTTCTGAATGTGTCCGTGAGGGTGTTTCAGAAGACATTGACGTTTGAGTCGGTAGGCTGAGCAAAGATCACCCTCACCAATGTGGGCATCGTCCAACCCGTGGAGGGCCCAAATAGAACAGAAAGGCTGAGAAAGAGCACATCGCTCTCTCTCTGTGTCAGCTGGGACATCCATCTTCTCCTGCCCTGGGACATCAGCACTCCAGGAACTTGGGCTATCGGACCCAGACCAGGACCATTGTCTCTTCTGGTTCTCAGACCTTCTGACTCAGACTGAATTATACCACTGGCTTTCCTGGTTCTCCAGCATGCAGATGGCAGATCATAGGACTTCTCCACCTCCATAATTGTATGAACCACATCCCATGCTAAATCTCTCTCTCTTGCTGTTTCTCTCCCTGTCTTCCCCTCTTCTCTCTCTCTCCATCTCTCTCTCTCTCATACACACACACACACACACACACACACAAATCATATTGGTTCTCTTTCTCTGCAGAACCCTGACTAATACAGCCCTCAAAAAAAATGTTGAAGAAAAGAAGGAAAGAGGTAAAGACAAAAGAAAGGAGGGTGAAAAGATGCAGCCTATTTGTTGAATAACTCAAGCAAAGCAGCAGTCCAATAAAGGTCTTTAGGCCAGTTGCTTTAATACACATGGGAGAATGGTGTGCAGTTTTCATGTCAATTATTTATATATAGAAATCCATAAATGACTGTACGCTGCCTCAGACAGCTTCACATACACTGGCACCCTCAAGCCCTCAGTGTATAAATATTTCAGTCACTGAGAAAGGTAGTTTTGCTTCTTATAAATATTCCCTCTATAATAAAATTTAGCCCATTGAATTCCAAGCATTCTCAAAAAAGGTATGTATAGAATGTAAGGGAACCCAGTCATGGTGGCACTGGTCTGTATGATCATCAATTACAAAGAAATTTAGCCAGGATGAGGGATTTTACATCAGCCCGACAGGAAGACTTTTCTTCTCCATTATGTGCACATACCTATGAGAGCTCCAGCAGTAATAACTGCAGTTTTGCTTGTCTTGCCCTACAAACTGCTCTCACACACTCAGGCTCCTTACCCCACACCAATCATAAAACCAAATGCATGTTGGGGATTTAGTCTTGGAGACATTCAACTTTCTTAAGTAGTTTATCCAGAACTATTTTCCTAGACACAGTTCTATAAGAAATTGCAAACTGGGGATTTTGTGAAATATTTTTGGTAACTAAACTACTTTGCACAAACAGAAATAAAAATTTATCATAATTTTAGTTTTACACACATAACAATAAAAAACCCTGACCATCTACAAAATAAAATTTCTTTCTCTACTTCTCATTTGTTTTTTAAGTACATTCCATTTCACATTTGGATATTCCAAGAAAGTAGTGAGTAATGAAGAGATTAGGAACATGAGATTATGAGAAAAGCCTTGAGTATGTGTTTGGGGTGTGTACGTGTTTGTGTGTATGTGTATTTTTGTGTGTGTGTGTGTGTGTGCTTCCTATGGTTTGAATGTTCATGTCCCTTCTGAAATTTATGTTGCAACTTAATCCCCAATGCAACAATATTAAGTGATGCAACTCTTAATCACCTTTAAAAGGTGATTAGCCCATAAGGCTCTGCCCTCATGGATATGATTAATCTTTTATTAAGGGGCTGGAGAGAATTAGCTGGGCCCTTTTGCTTTTCCATCCTCCAACATGTGAGGAACCAGCAACAAGATGGCCATTGTGGAATCAGAGACAGGGGCCCTCACCAGTCACTCAACCTACCAGCACCTTGATCTTGGACTTCCAAGCCTCCAGAACTGTGAGAAAATACATTTCTGTTCTTTATAAATTACCTTGTCTCAGGCTATTTCTCAGGTATTTTCTTATAACAGCACAAATGGACTAAGACAGTGCTTGTGTGCACACACTTCCCTACCAAAGTCATCTCAGTCTTGGACTTTTGGGGGAATGGTTAACATTTGTTTTTCAATGGTTTAAAGTCATTGGGGATGGTGGTAATGATACTACTGTTTAGTGAATGATATAGTCCTCAACTCCTCTCTTTTTCCATTAAAGAATGGGCTCTTTCTAGCTATGGGTGCAAACTATAATCCATCTCCCTACCTTTTATTTGCTCTCAGAAGCCTGTGGCAGAGCATCCTGTGGGGCATCTTTCAGAGGCAATGTAGCGCAACTGAAGGAGTTTCCCTGAGGATTGTGTAGCCCTGGGTCCTCCCTCCCCACCTCCTTTAGCTTTATGACCTTGGGCGAATGACTGAACCTTTTTGAAGACCTGCTGTCATCATCTGTAAAGCATAAACCATACATTGGGCATCTGAAGGAAGTCCAGCTGATGATTGATCTCCTTCATCTCCAGGCTCCTCGGCTGTGGGTGTGGGGCAGGACATGCCACCGGGTACACAAAGGGCTGATTTGTGAGTGGGGAGACTTGCAGAGACAAGCTCCCTAGACTCACTGCTCATACCCTCTCAAGAGATAGTGCATGTGATCCAGGGTCCTGGGCAGATCTTCCCCACTGCACCCAAGAACTCTCTCTGCAGAAAGAAAAAAAAAAAAGCAGCCCCTTCTGTGACTTTAGTTTCAGATGACAGGCTACATACTGATACATTAGGTATAACTACACACACGGCCATATGGTAAGTGATTACTCTGCTAAAAAAAAAAAAAAAAAAAAAAAGGAAAAGAGAAAAGAAGAATCCCAATTCAATGGGACCTCTGCTTCTAAAAACAAACACACTCTCAGCAATCGACTCCATCATGATGGTGGGTAGAAAAAAAAAAAAGAAGATTTAGAATTAGAGGACTGGTGTCCAAGTGGTACATTTCTTACCAACTGGGTGACTGTGGGCAAGTTTTTTAAACTGAGTCTTTTTTCATCTGTAAAACAAGAATAAAAGATTTTTGACCCTCATAGAGCTCTTTGAAAGATTAAATGGTCAATAAGATAATGTAGATGTGGTGTCATTGCTGCTGCTCACCAATATTTTATTTTCTCATTTCCTTCTGGGCCACAAGATTGTACCTATGCCCTCCATGAAGTCAGATGTAGCCACGTGACTTGCTTGGGCCAATGAAATTTGAGCAGAAGGGGCTTGTGTCACTTCCAGGTGGAAGTACTCAAGAACCAATGCATGGTTTTCCTGCTCTCTTTCCCCTGCTGCCATGACTCTGATAGCTCACCTTGATGTGGAAGTGTTTGAAGCAAAAGAGGCTCCAACTGATGTTCTAAAATTTGCAGCTGGCCTTGCATGAATACAATATAACTTTTGTTGTGTCAAACCAAAAATATTTTGGAGTTTTTTGTAAGTATAGTAAAACATAGCCTATCCCGACAAATATATGTTAGCAAAGCTTTGTCAAATATAACATGTTCTGTAAGTGTTAATTATTGCTATGCGGGTATCTGTTAAAATCATGTTACATATGCATAAGAGAAGACTACAGCTAAAGCAGCTCAGTCTTGTCATTTCATTGCCATCATCAATGTGTACAGAGCATTCACTGTGTTTCTGATATTATTTCAGGCAATGCATATGCAATACTTTCTTTCTGATGTGAAAACATCTTAAATACCAATTGCCTTTACAGCTGGCATGCCCTTTGAAGACATAATAATGGTTCATCATCAAACTGCAGACTTATACAAAAAAAAGTCATTCAGTTTGTAGAACTCCTCTAGGTTACTGTTTGCCAGGGATAGAGAAGAGCTGTGCAAAAATATTTCAGAATATCCAGAAACATTCTACTTCAAGAGCTACATGGTAATCAATTAGTATATGCTAGCACAGAAATTCCAAACTTTGAGAAAATTCGTTTGCCAGCTCTTGATAATCTGAAGATATATGGCTGACATTGTATGAAATCATTTCTTTTTCATTTAATATAAGGGAAGCTATCCCAGTTCCCAAGTGCCAGGGCTAGAAAGTGATGAGGTGTAGGAAATACTACCCCAAAATATGGTGTCATGGAAACTGAGGAAGCTGAAGAAGCAAGAAAATCACTCTGTCTCCTACCTTGCTGTGTGAGAGACAACCATAAAAACTCTCTGACCTACTTCCCCTGAAAGTAGGTCATAAGATCCTCCTGTGACAGGTGCCCTGTCCTATACCTGTAGGAAAGGAATGAGGATACAGATACACTCAGGAAAATCTGAACAAACAGGCCTTGCTAAGCTCCCTCAGTTTATGACCATTAGATCTTACCCCTTTTTGTCCAATCTTCCTTCTCCATGACTGTCCACTCTTCATCAAATCTAGGCATAACACTACAGTTTTTCCTATTTCTTTGGGTCTTCATTTCTGAAGGCTCCTGTGTAATGTAAGACTTTGGTTAAATAGGTATGATGGGCTTTTCTGTTGTTAATTTGTCTTTGTTATAGAGGTTTCAGCCATAAACCTTGAGATAGTGAGAAAAATTTTACTCTTTCTCCCTTACAAAAGACTTTTTAGAAGCTTTAAAAATATCTATTATAGAATCACCAATATTTGATAGAAACTACTAAGTTCACCATGGGTAAGTTTTAAAGAAATACCAAAAATGGAATAGATTTTATTTTATAAATTAACATAAACCTAAAGGGATGGAGGAGGGATTTCCTTATCTTCATTCCCATTTCCAGTATTTGTGCGGGCTAATGACAATAGTCACTTTATAGTAAGAAACTTGGGGACCTAACTTTCCTACACACATGGATTCATTAAAAACAGTGCAAAGGAGCTAAAAGGTGTTCACTGAAATTGGCTCCCATTTCCAACGCTACACCCTGCTTAGGATCCTGCCTGTCATTAAGAATCCCCCTTCCCTCTCCTCAAGACTCTCTTTCTGGCATGACTTTAGTTTTTGCCTCAGCTGTTCTGCTAACATTCACCTTCCAATAACCTCCCATGTATGGGCCACGTGGACCTTAAGATGAACTGCACTCACAGATCCTTTTGTCAAATCAATGGGGCAGTTCAGCCACCATATTGACTCCAGCTCTGCTGCACGTTTCTTTTCTCCTTGCTTAACTTAATTGCACATCAACACCCCATCACATGTCATTCCCAGAAAAATTAAATTGGATGAACACTTGTGCAACATTACTGGACTGACTAGTATAAGCTCTTTTAATGTACAGACAGCCTTGCCTGCCATCTGATGCTGTGACTAAAGTACTGCTATGAATTGGTTCTGGAGCTCAGCATGGCATCTACTCCCTCCTTATGCATAAATTCACCACATGCAAAGAATGCATCCTAAACAAGAAGCTTTGCCTGAGCCCCCAGGAAGGTGAGATACTTTGAATGCTGTTTCCAGGAGTGGGGATGAATTTGTGGCCCATCCAATCAGACTTCTTGCTCCATGTCCCTGAGATTAGAGGTTTGCATTGCTACTTAGCTGAGGTTTAGTGTGCTGTTCCCCTCGATGTGCCCACGTGTTCTTATCACGTAGCTCCCACTTATAAGTGAGAATGTGTGGTATTTGGTTTTCTGTTCCTGCCTTAGTTTGCTAAGGATAATGGCCACCAGCACCATCCATTTTCCTGCAAAGGACATAATCTTGTTCCTTTTTATGACTGCATAGTATTCCACGGGAAAAATACAACTCTTTTAATGATCATATGTCAGAGGGATATAGACCAGCACCCAGAGAAATGAGATAAGAACTGCTAGACTCATCAGCATGGGAACCAAATACTGCATGCTCCCTCCAAGCTTGTTGTAAAGGCTCTGTATTATTTGCCTGAAGTTCTATTTTCATGCTCAATTTTGTAATCTGGATACATATCCAAGTATGTTAGGTTTTAAATATTTCTTTTCTTTCTTTCTTCCTTTTTTTTTTTTTTTTTGAGATAGAGTCTCACTCTGTCACCTAAGCTGGAGTGTAGTGGTGGTACAATCTCGACTCACTCCAATCTCCACCTCCCAGGTTCAAACGATTCTCCTGGTTAAGGCTCCTGAGTAGCTGGGACTACAGGCATGCACCACCACACCACACTAATTTTCTTTTGTATTTTTAGTAGAGGCAGGTTTCACCATTTTGGCCCACTGGTCTCAAACCCTTTACCTCAAGTGATCCACCCGCCTCAGTCTCCCACAGTGCTGGAACTACAAGAATGAGCCGCCATGCCTAGCCAAATATTTCAGTTCTTAGCTGATTAATGATATGGTACAATTAGAAAAACAAGATTCCATAATACATTCAATCCTAAGTCACCAATTAAATTTTGGAGTTGGATGTTTGATTTCCAACATAAGTTAGTTTTGCCATATTTTACACATTTTCTTATGGTTGTGTTCTTGGCCACAGGCATTTTTTCTTGCTTTGTATCAGTATATTTTATTTTCTGAGGAACAATGTCTAAGATTTGTCAAACTTGAAGCCAGTTAAAGTATAAGACTGTATTACTATGGAATTTTTTAAAGTTTTCAATATCAACAATTAACACAAAAATGGTTAAGACATAGATGCTGACATTGAACTTCCTTGGTCAAATCCTGGCTTCCTTCTTTACTAACAGGGAGATCTTGAGCAAGTTACCTAACCTCTGTTAACCTAAATTTCCCCAGCTAAATAATAATTATAATTACTTTATAGGTTGGTAGCAAATATTCACTTAAGGAAACTAATCCATTTAAAGTTTTTATGTCTGACATGAAGTAAGCATTCAGAAGTGTTAGTGCTTATTATTGTGGTTAAATAAAAACATTAGAACAAGATGGGTCAAAATCAAGTGAACAAATGTTTATTAAATAAAAATAATTATTAACAGCCATAATAATTTTGATAATTTGAGCACCTACTATATGCTCTTTTACAAACATTATTTTACCTAATCTCCACTGAAGCTTTAGGATATGTGTTATTATTAATTCATTTTGCAGGTGAGTAATGGATGGATAGAAAAGCTTTATAGCTTACCCTAGTCCATGACAACTGGACATGATACAGTTGGAATTTAAATCAAGTCTTTCTTTAACTGGAGTCTATTTCTCGCCCTCCACTAAACTGCCTTCCTACCTCCTATATACAAAGTCCTTTGATGGTACCTTAGAGGTAACCCAGATGAATACAACACTTCTCCTATCTTCAGGGAGCTTCCACTTCCAAGGGTAATAGACCACAGTTTTACAAGACAGAGTAATATAAGTCCTATAATATGAGTGCATATTGTATATGAAAACTATGAATAATATACTTTTTGTGAAAGGAAGTTCTTTTATAAATATCCAATGATCATCTATATAAATATTGAATGTTTTGTGATACAGGAACAATTTTTATTGTTTGAGACTGTCTCATATATCATATCTCTGGTTCTTGGCTGATAAATGCCAGGAAATCCCTCACAAATATCCAAAACATTCCCTGGAAGCAGCAACGTCCCCATTGGGAACCATTGTAGCTGCGGATTGTAAAATCAACTTAGTTGGTAGTAATCAGAAAGAAAGGAAGGGGCTGGGTGTGGTGGCTCGTGCTTGTAATCTCAGCACTTTGAGAGGCTGAGGTGGGCGGGTCACCTTAGGTCAGGAGGTCAAGACCAGCCTGGCCAACATTGCAAAACCTCATCTCTACTAAAAATACAAAAATTAACCAGGAGTGGTGGTGGGGGCCTGCAATCCCAGCTACTCAGGAGGCTGAGGCAGGAAAATCACTTGAACTCATGAGGGGAGGTTGCAGTAAGCCAAGATCACACCACTGCACTCCAGTCTGGGCAACAGAGTGAGACTCCTTTGTCTCAAAGAAAAAAAAAGGAAAAAAGAAAGGGAAGGAGGGAGAGAGGAAGGAAGAGACAGAGGGAGAGAGAAAGAGAGAGAGGAAGGGAGGGAAGAAGGAAAGAAAAGAAAGAGGGAAAGAAAGAAGTAAAACAAAGAAGACTGGACTAAATCAAAGTAAAAATATCAAACTGTATTTTACCTAGTAGGTGTAAGAATTGTTTTATGAGACTTTATCGTGTGTGGCATTTGTTTTACACACACAAACACACACATACACATTCCCATATGTCTCTCAGTCAAAAACATTAGACTGTGGTCCTCTGAGCTTTCTAGTGCTCTGGCTATGGACCGCATGATACCTTTCATTCAAAGATTCTGTGCAGCATCAGGAGATAAGTTGTTGACCACAAGATTTGAGGGCAGTGCTCATTTTATATATTTAAACTGCTCCAATGGGGAAAAGAGCTGACAGAGTTACGGTCAATTAAAAAGTTGCAGTTACAGAGTTAAGGTCTGGATATAGAATACTTTCTCTCTCTCTTTCCCTCGACTTATATTTCTTCTCTTCTAATCCAGAAACAGATTTGAAGATTCAAGTCAGATGCACAAAAAGATGCTCCAACTTCATTAGCAATCAGAAAAATGCAAATTAAAACCACAATGAGATACTATTTCACACCCACCAGATTGGCAGGCATTAAAAATTCTGACAATATCAAGTACTGACAATGATGTGAGACAACAAGAACTCTCATGCAGGAATATAGATCAGTATAAACACGTTGGACATCAATTTGGCATCATCCAGTAAAGTTAGCATGTGCCCTATTGTTCAGCAGTTTTCTAGGTTTATGCTTTAGAAAAACTCTTGCACAGGTGCACACAATATGAATACGATGACATGAACAAGACTACTCCATGGGCATTGATTATAGAGGAAACAAACCAATCAGCCAACCCAGGAAACAGCTCTAAGTCCAGACAAAACAGAATGGATAAATAAGTTATGAAATAGTGGTATGATAGAGTAACAGCAGTGGAAAGTAGTCAACAACAGCTATACACATCAACACAGTTTAGCCCATGGGTATAATGCTGACTTCATAATTCAACATTTTGCCTTTAAAAGGAAGGAAATTCTGACATGATATAACATAGATGAATCTAGAGAATATTATGCTAAATGAAATAAGCTAGGGACAAAAAGACAAATACTGTATGATTCCACTTTAAATGTATATAGAGTAGTCAAATTCATTGAGACAGAAAGTAGAATGACAGTTGTGAGGAGTTGGGGTGGAGGGGAAAATTGGGACTTGTTTAAGTTTCAGTTTTGTACAGTAAAAAAGTTGTGGAGATTGGTTGCACAACAATATGAATATATTTAACAATATGGAACTGTACACTTAAAAATGGTCAAGATGGTAAATTTTATGTGCATTTTGATGCAATAAAACACTTAAAAAATTTTAAGAAGAAAGTTGCAGAAGAATACACAAAGTATAATGACATTTTTTAAAAGTCTCAAACATCTTCAAACTTATGTAATTTTTAGAGATATAATTATTTATGGTGAAGTTATAATAAAAGTAAGGTGATTTTGTGAAATGGAAAATGGTACATGAGGTCTTCAATGTTGATAGTTGTGTTCTAACCTTTCAATTGGGTGTTAGTATAGTTTGATGGTTGTACATGTATAAATATATATTATATATATGTGTGTGTGTGTGTGTGTGTGTATATATATAGTCTTATAAATATAGAAACTTTTTTAAAGCCAGAATTTTGTGGTCTGAATATCAGAATTGAGATCAATATGATGGAGTATACAGAACTGAGTTCCAGGTTAGAAAGTCACTCCGTTCACAATAAAGTACCCGGTATCCTGGTTAGAATCAGAATTTATGTGCAGCTTGTTCAGTAAAATATGAGTAGCCACTGTTTTCTTAGACTCCCTTAGCAACAGCTAAGCACCAGCACCAGGGAAAACAGCCATATCACAGATGCTCTGGCACTTTCTCTCCTAACACTCACTATTAGCCTCAACCAAAATAGAAGTCTACTTGTAAGAAAAGGGAAATTGAGGATTCAGGAGAGAGCGTTTTTAAAAAAAAATTTAAAAATTGTTTACTATCAAATAAAATGTAATGCCATATCAGATTATTTTAAGAAATTATTTTTTGTAACATACTATAGACATTTAAATCCTTTTTTATATTTAGGAAGATTTACATTTTATATAAAACCTTTTTTATATTTAATCCTTTTTTATATTTTGGTTCCATATGAAACAGTGAAGAAAACAGGAAAAATAAATGGTTCCACTGATATCATTCAGTGTTCAATGAAGGTTGAAGAGAAGGTAAGGGCTCCTAGCCACCAGTTGGTTTTACACTCCTCGGTTCCGTGTAGCTCCCAGGGGCCTATATAAGAGCACATTCAATACAGAAAGGATTGTGATTCACCCCAGGTACCCTGGCTCCATAGCAGGTCAAATTCGTGGATGTTGGTAGCTCCCAGTCTCAGCCCTGGCCACCATCAGGGAAATTCATCAGCTGAAGCTCAAAGTCCATTGTTTCTCTGATACCAGTGAACACCAACAAAGCCAGAGAATAGTTCAGACCAAAGCCAAGAGCAGAGAGACAGGGCAAAGGACATGCAAAGGGAAAAGTCAAACCAAGAGGTGGCATTGAGACAATTCCAATGATGCCAGACAACTTGGGTTGCTGCGGCAGATGAAGCTACAAATAGATTTTATTTTGATATATAAATAAAATGAGAATGAAGGAAGTTGATGAGGACCCCAAGATCACATGCCCAACTTGGTGAGCTGACAAGGGCATTTCCAATCTGTGGAATCTGTGAATAGACAGCAGTATTGCTTACATCAGAATTTTACTTCTACCAATGAAGTGCTTAAAATATATCTTGATAAACAAGTTTAACTATATGAACGCTTGCAGAGCTTCATATATTTGCCTTCCAAAAATTTATCACTTGCTTCCAAAAAGTGTTATTAACAAAATGTAGGAATGTCTCTTTATAGTATTGGATTTACCACAAGTGTTTTCATTAAAGTAGAGAAGCCAGCCAATATCTCAAAGAAGCAAAATCCTTAAGTGTCCACTTAGAGTTTCTAACCTCTAGAACTTGTGAACCACCACCCACCCTTAATCAAAGGTTCATTTTAAGAAGTCTATTTTCACTTGCCTCAACTTTGTAAAAAAGAAGCCAGCTCTTAACAAACTTCAAAAATTTAAAAATATAACTGATAATGGAAAACATCTCAAGTTTAAAGACGTTTTTGCAAAGAAAGCAAGTGTCATCCAAGTTTGGCTGCTCAAGACTTCTTAAGAGATTAACCCAACCTTTAGGATGCCTCCTTCAAAATAACTGGCTGCAGTGGTGAAACATGAGGTTTTTGTTTTTTAAATGATTATTCGGTCTATATCATCATACATTACCCAACTGTATGGTAAGCCAAAGATAATAAGAGGTCAAAATCAAATCAGATACGACCTGCCAAAGAGTGAAATAGCACTGCACTGTGGTGATCACCAGAAAGATCTCTATCAGTCACCTGAAGCTAAGACATTATAATCAGGTGATGACTTCATAGGGGTGAACAGAGGGTGGAAGAAGGAAAAGATTACAAATAAAGCAAGAACTCTCGACAGCGTGTGATGCGTGAATGCCAATAGAAGTGTGACAAATTCATGCAGAAGTGCTTTTTACTTGCTGAAACAAAACCTAAAGATGCATTCAATATAAATTTAATTCTGTGGATGATTAAAAACTCATAAAAATAACAAAAGATAAATTAAAAAATAGAGTAAGAAAATATGGAGCCATTTGCCTTTGATTATTCTTCTACTTTTTTAAAAAATTTTATTCTATTATTATTATACTTTAAGTTTTAGGGTACATGGGCACAATGTGCAGGTTAGTTACATATGTATACATGTGCCATGCTGGTGTGCTGCACCCACTAACTCGTCATTTAGCATTAGGTATATCTCCTAAAGCTATCCCTCCCCCCTCCCCCCACCCCACAACAGTCCCCAGTGTGTGATGCTCCCCTTCCTGTGTCCATGTGTTCTCATTGTTCAATTCCCACCTACGAGTGAGAATATGCGGTGTTTGGTTTTTTGTTCTTGCGATAGTTTACTGAGAATGATGATTTCCAATTTCATCCATGTCCCTACAAAGGACATGAACTCATCATTTTTTATGACTGCATAGTATTCCATGGTGTATATGTGCCACATTTTCTTAATCCAGTCTATCATTGTTGGACATTTGGGTTGGTTCCAAGTCTTTGCTATTGTGAACAGTGCCGCAATAAACATACGTGTGCATGTGTCTTTATAGCAGCATAATTTACAGTCCTTTGGGTATATACCCAGTAATAGGATGGCTGGGTCAAATGGTATTTCTAGTTCTAGATCTCTGAGGAATCACCACACTGACTTCCACAATGGCTGAACTAGTTTACAGTCCACCAACAGTGTAAAAGTGTTCCTATTTCTCCACATCCTCTCCAGTACCTGTTGTTTCCTGACTTTTTAATGATTGCCATTCTAACTGGTGTGAGATGGTATCTCATTGTGGTTTTGATTTGCATTTCTGTGATGGCCAGTGATGGTGAGCATTTTTTCATGTGTTTTTTTAGCTGCATAAATGTCTTCTTTTGAGAACTGTCTGTTCATGTCCTTCGCTCACTTGTTGATGGGGTTGTTTGTTTTTTTCTTGTAAATTTGTTTGAGTTCATTGTAGATTCTGGATATAAGCCCTTTGTCAGATGAATAGTTTGTGAAAATTTTCTCCCATTTTGTGGGTTGCCTGTTCACTCTGATGGTAGTTTCTTTTGCTGTACAGAAGCTCTTTAGTTTAATGAGATCCCATTTGTCAATTTTGTCTTTTGTTGCCATTGCTTTTGGTGTTTTAGACATGAAGTCCTTGCCCATGCCTATGTCCTGAATGGTAATGCCTAGGTTTTCTTCTAGGGTTTTTATGGTTTTAGGTCCAACGTTTAAGTCTTTAATCAATCTTGAATTAATTTTTGTATCAGGTGTAAGGAAGGGATCCAGTTTCAGCTTTCTACATATGGCTAGCCAGTTTTCCCAGCACCATTTATTAAATAGGAAATCCTTTCCCCATTGCTTGTTTTTCTCAGGTTTGTCAAAGATCAGATAGTTGTAGATATGTGGTGTTATTTCTGAGGGCTCTGTTCTGTTCCATTGATCTATATCTCTGTTTTGGTACCAGTACCATGCTGTTTTGGTTACTGTAGCCTTGTAGTATAGTTTGAAGTCAGGTAGCGTGATGCCTCCAGCTTTGTTCTTTTGGCTTCGGATTGACTTGGCGATGCGGGCTCTTTTTTGGTTCCATATGAACTTTAAAGTAGATTTTTCCAATTCTGTGAAGAAAGTCATTGGTAGCTTGATGGGGATGGCATTGAATCTATCCATTACCTTGGGCAGCATGGCCATTTTCACAATATTGATTCTTCCTACCCATGAGCATGGAATGTTCTTCCATTTGTTTGTATCCTCTTTTATTTCCTTGAGCAGTGGTTTGTAGTTCTCCTTGAAGAGGTCCTTCACATCCCTTGTAAGTTGGATTCCTAGGTATTTTATTCTCTTTGAAGCAATTGTGAATGGGAGTTCACTCATGATTTGGCTCTCTGTTTGTCTGTTGCTGGTGTGTAAGAATGCTTGTGATTTTTGTACATTGATTTTGTATCCTGAGACTTTGCTGAAGTTGCTTATCAGCTGAAGGAGATTTTGGGCTGAGACAATGGGGTTTTCTAGATATACAATCATGTCATCTGCAAACAGGGACAATTTGACTTCCTCTTTTCCTAATTGAATACCCTTTATTTCCTTCTCCTGCCTAATTGCCCTGGCCAGAACTTCCAACACTATGTTGAATAGGAGTGGTGAGAGAGGGCATCCCTGTCTTGTGCCAGTTTTCAAAGGGAATGCTTCCAGCTTTTGCCCATTCAGTATGATATTGGCTGTGGGTTTGTCATAGATAGTTCTTATTATTTTGAGATACATCCCATCAATACCTAATTTATTGAGAGTTTTTAGCATGAAGGGTTGTTGAATTTTGTCAAAGGCCTTTTCTGCATCTATTGAGATAATCATGTGGTTTTTGCCTTTGGTTCTGTTTATATGCTGGATTACATTTATTGATTTGCGTATATTGAACCAGCCTTGCATCCCAGGGATGAAGCCCACTTGATCATGATGGATAAGCTTTTTGATGTGCTGCTGGATTTGGTTTGCCAGTATTTTATTGAGGATTTTTGCATCAATGTTCATCAAGGATATTGGTCTAAAATTCTCTTTTTTGGTTGCGTCTCTGCCTGTCTTTTCAAAGCAGTGTGTAGAGGGAAATTTATAGCACTCAATGCCCACAAGAGAAAGCAGGGAAGATCCAAAATTGACACCCTCACATCACAATTAAAAGAACTAGAAAAGCAAGAGCAAACACATCCAAAAGCTAGCAGAAGGCAAGAAATAACTAAAATCAGAGCAGAACTGAAGGAAATAGAGACACAAAAAACCCTTCAAAAAATTAAAGAATCCAGGAGCTGGTTTTTTGAAAGCATCAACAAAATTGATAGACCACTAGCAAGACTAATAAAGAAGAAAAGAGAGAAGAATCAAATAGATGCAATAAAAAATGATAAAGGGGATATCACCATCGATCCCACAGAAATACAAACTACCAGCAGAGAATACTACAAACACCTCTATGCAAATAAACTAGAAAATCTGGAAGAAATGGATAAATTCCTCGACACATACACCCTCCCAAGACTAAACCAGGAAGAGGTTGAATCTCTGAATGGACCAATAACAGGCTCTGAAATTGTGACAATAATCAATAGCTTACCAACCAAATAGAGTCCAGGACCAGATGGATTCACAGCCGAATTCTACCAGAGGTACAAGGAGGAACTGGTACCATTCCTTCTGAAACTATTCCAATCAATAGAAAAAGAGAGAATCCTCCCTAACTCATTTTATGAGGCCAGCATCATCCTGATACCAAAGCCGGGCAGAGACACAACCAAAAAAGAGAATCTTCTGCTTTTCAAAGAGACGTCAATGCCACGTTGTTTTCCGCACCATAAGGCAGCCAGGAAGAATGGGGACCCCATTTCCTTTACAACCAGGTCGTGGTTTGTTGATGATGGCATTACTTATTTTAAGCTGTGGGTTTATTTTTGTTCCAGTTCTATCAAAATTCTTAACTGAAGTATCTTTCCTTTTGTTTATAGTGTAGAACAAATTACCCTCTCAAATTTGTGAATCTTGAATAAAATTAAAAAATAAGCTATCATTATTAAAAGACATTTAACATAATAAATGAGCTACACTGTGCAAATTTTCCATGAGATTTCTCCTCCCTGGAGGAAATGACAGCTGATACTTAATGCATGCCATTAATAACTTTTAATTCAAAGGCTGATTTCTATGACTTAAGAGGCCAGAGTTTGCCAGCAGACTCCTAGTCCTGAGGCAAGCAGACATTGAACATATTATGAGAGATGACTCACTGGCCAAACCAAATGTACCACAAATCTCAACAAGGCTTCCAGAGAATGCCATCAGGGAAAAGAAACAGCCTTCCAGTTTACTGTACTGATAATTTTATTTCCCTAAGTTTAAAGAAACCAGATGAAAGGAAAATCTCACAAAAGGTATTTGTTTAAAATGTTACCTATATTCTCATAAAAGGAATCTCTTTACATATTATTATCTGACATATAATATTTAAAAGGGAATTTTCAAATTGAACAGATATTAAAACATTTAATAATGATTTTCCCTTCTTTTAATTTTGATTAATGGTTTGTTGAAATGTAAGACATTTACTTTCCAAACATTCAATAAGAAAGGCATAAAAATACCTATTGTAACATATGAAATATATAGTGTGTGTTATTTTTATTTTTATCACCATTCATATTTATCTGTAAATATATATGTACATGAATATTAGTTATAAATTTTAGAGAAAAACTGACATGTACTTAGATAAAACTTTGAAAACACTTTATACTAATAACCTTCAGAGATTTATAAGTTGAAAAAATATGAGTAGTTGATACTTAATGTACCCAGTGGACTTACAAACACCACAAATTATTTATCTTCATGAAGTACAGAAGCATATATTTCACGTTGGCTATTTCTGTGGTTTTTCATTTTTAAAACCAAACAGAAATTCAGAGAGAAATAAATTTTTAAACTAAGAAGTACAAAAAATAAATAGTTCTGAAACCAGAACACTAAAAACATAATGAATCAGAGAAAATTAACACTAGGTTGTTAGGGAGAAAAAAATCAATAATTTCTAAGCAGTGGACAACAAAAAGTACAACGCTGTAATTGAGAGTAGAGAGACTCATGAGGCGAAGCCCATGATTACCTTAGAATTCTGCCTGGGGACAATTTCCCAAATGCAGCACAAGCAAAACACAGCAGTTCTGCTGATCTGAGGAGGCAAAGATCAGGGTATGAGGTTGCTGAAGCTACTGAAACCTGAATGGCTGGGTCCTGAGGGCAAGAGAGCTGCCAGAGTGTCGGGAAAATGGGTTCAAAGGTTTAAACGTGTGTGGTCCACAAGTCCACTGCTCAGGGTTGATCTTATACCACTGAATTCCAGCCTGGGCAACCAGGTGAGATCCTGTCTCTCAACAAAGAAAATAAGAAGACAGTAAAGAAACATTAAAAGAATAAAGGGAAAAAAATAGCAAGATGTATCTTAAACACAATAACATCAATTGGTACATTAAGTGTAAACAGACTGAACACTTAAAAGGCAGAGATTATCAAACTGCATTTAAAAGTAAGATCCAGTTATGTAATGTACTGTATAAACTAGAAAGATACATTTTAATTTAATCTGCAAATGTACTGAAAGTACAAGTGTTGGGAAGCTTTTCATGTGAACAGTCCGGATAAGAAAGATGATGAGGCTATTAAAATACCAAAATGGTCTTCAAGGCAAAAGATATTAGTTGAGTTAAAGAAAGACACTGTATAATGGTAAAAAGGAAATTTATCAGAAAGACATAGCAATTCTAAATGCATATGCACTAATAACAAAACTCCAAAATTTATAAGCTAAAACCGACAAAATTAAATAAAAAACAGATATCAAATTTGGAGTTTTTTATTATTGCTCTGTTAGTAGTTAGCAGATCAAGTAGGCAAAAAATCAGTAAGGATACAGAAGATCTGAAAAAGACTATTCACCAACTTAACCTAATTGACATTTACAGAATACTTTATTCAATAACCTCATAATACATATTTGTTTCAATGGCACATCAACTGCTCATCAATATAGGCTGTATGCCAAAGTGTATAATGCATTCAAAAAATTTCAAAAGCTTGAAAACTGACAGAGTATGTGAGCTTATCATAGTAAAGTTAAATTAGAAATCGATAACACTAAGATATCTTTAAAAATCCCAAATGTTTCAAAATTTACCAATACACTTTTAAATAATTCATGGATTAAAAAAGGAGTCAAAGATGAATGAGAAAGCCTTTCAAAATAAATAATTTTACATATCTATTTTGAAATGTAATTATTTTATTACATATCAAAATATGCAAAAGGCAGATAAAGCATTGCTCAGAAGAAAATTTATAACTTTAAATGACAAAATTAAAGAAAGAGAAAGATTAAAAATCTGTTATCAAGTGTCTATTTTAAGAATTTAGAAAAGGAAGATTGAACTAATCCCAGAGTGAACAGAAATAAGAAAATAACAAAGATCAGAGATAAATGAAAATAGAGAATTAACAAATAAGAAATTTATTTTTTAAAAAGATTGTTAAAAACAATAATCTCCTACTAAGACTAATTACGGAAATAGAAAAGAATTTGAACCTATAGTCAAAAATCTTCCCACTAAGAAAACTAAAGTTTTCCAGATGATTCCACTGGTGAATTTTACCAAATGCTTAAGAAAAAATTAATATCAATCTTATATAAAATCTTAGAGGAATTAGAGGATAAAATGCTCCTACACTAATTTTCTGAGGCCAGGGTTAACCTACAACCTGCTAAAGATATGACATTGTCTTCTGTTTACAGAGAACAAGATTATCTGTTAAGAAAATCCTAAGAAATATACTAAAATTAATAAAAATGAATAGAATTTAGCAATGTTGAATAATGCAAAAAAATCAATGCACAAAAATTAATTGTATTTCTGAACAAAACAAGGATGGAAAAATCCTTTCAACTCTATCGTAGGTCATTGATTCCTAGGAGAAAAAACAATACAAAATGAAAACACTAGCCATAAAAGAAAACTCAATAAACTTAAAAGCATTTTCTTGCTCTTCAAATACTACTTTGGGAAAATACAATGCAAACCATTAGTCTTTTCTGAATTGAATCATTTAAGGATACAAATATTTCTCTAAGCAAGCAGGGATAAGATATTTGCAAAACAAATAACTGACAAAGAGCTCACATCTAGAATGGTTAAAGAACTCTTACAAATCTGTAATATAAAGACAATCTGATAAATGGGGAAAAGATGAGAACGGATATTAGACACAAGAAGTTATGTAAATGGATAATAGCCTATCAAAGGTGCTCAGCATCATGACTGATCAGGAAATCCAAGTTAAAACCACAATGAGGTGCCAATATGCATTAAAATGCCCATAACAAAAATAAATGACAATCCCAACCACGGATGAAGAGCTACTGAAACTCTCATACATTTCAGGTAGGAGCGTAAAATGGTCCCATCACGTTAGAAAACAATTTGGCAATTTTTTGGTAAAGTTATACACGCTATGAGCCAAAAGTATTCATCTAAGAGCAATGAAAACATCTATGAACACCAAAATGTATGCTGAAAATGCAGAGTAGCTTTAATTACAATAGCTTCAAACTGCAAACTACCCAGATGTTCATAAAACTATGCTATATTCTTAAAATTGAATACTATTTAGCAATGAAAAGGAACAGATGATTGATACTTGCCACAAATGGATGGCTCTCAAAAACATAATGCAGAGCAAAGGAAGACAGACACACCAATATGTCTTGAATGATTCCAATTGTATAATGCTCTAAAAGAGGGAAAACTAATCACTAGTGCTAAATGTCAGATCGGTTGGTTGCTAGGGGTGGGAAGAGGTAGCAATTAGCTGACAGTTTGCAAGAGAGGACTTTCTGGATGAAGGAAATGTTCTATGTCTTGATTTGGGTGTTGGAATTTTACATTTTAAATGGGTACATTTACTTTATGCAAATTATACATAAAAAAGTTCATTAAAATTTTTCTAAGAACAGACTAATTTACAATTAGCAGAATTGCCTTGGTGCCAAAAGTGCAAAACCTACTTTTACACAAAAGTCACTTAAAACCATTTATTCTACTTTAAAAAATACTAAGCAGTCTCCTCAATCTCATCTGTCCCTTTGCACATTACCTGGGTTTTCTATAACCAAATCCTAAGAAAAAGGTTGATAGGATGTTAAATGTGAAACAACACACAAAATATTGACCCTAAATTTCAAAATCCAGATAGTTGATTTCAGATGCATTATAGATGTGTATATCTATTCAGGAGTAGTCTATCTCACTCACTTCTCCCTAGAAAGAGACAAAAATAGAGTGAGGTTGATTAAACGGAGAGAAGGAAAAAGCAATTTGAACCAATGTCTATCCTGATTTCAGTCTTGATATCCTTTTTGATTGTTACTGAATGAGGTCAAATTGGTGTTATGCTCAAGTTCTTAAATCTAGTCCCAAGGTTTAATGTCAGACAGGTGTGAGCCTGGTAAAATGAGTCACAGAGGTAGTTTAGTAAGCTGTTCTCTGCACATGGCCTGGACGTCCTATGTTAAGACAAGTGGAAATGTTTGGAAAGCTACACAAAAACAATTGCAAACTTGACTGTATTCCGTTTTGCAAATGTAAAACCTGCTAAAAATTTTACAGAGGTTGTCCATTGTTCTCTATTTACAGAGAACCATCTTGCCAATGAAAGAAATCCTAAGTAATGTATCAAAATTTATGAGATTTACACAAAATCACAAAGATAACTATTTCATAAGAGATATATCATAAGCACTGGCCAGTAGCTGGATAATATTTATTTTGGGTTTTTCAAAAGGAAATAAATTCTCAGTCATTGGTAAAACTTTCCAGTTGTTTTAAAATTTCAGGTTCTCTGGGGGTGGAGGTTGCAGTGAGCTGAGATTGTGCCACTGCAATCCATCTTGGGGGAAAGAGTGAGACCCTGTCTTAAAAATAAATAAGTAAACAAGTAAAAACTAAAAATAAAATTTCAGGTTCTTTCAAAGGGTAATCACATCTGGATTGTCACGAAAGCCCAACAAGTTAGATTTTTATTTAAAAGAAACCGAGAATGTATGGTATAAAATGAGCATTTTATAGCTTTATTATAGACAATATAAAAAAATCTCAAGGCTGGTGTGTGTTCACAAATATAATTTTGTTTTTCTTATGTTACTGTGAATATTGAGCCCTCAGGACAGAGATGTGAAAAGCCTCACATTCACATTAGACAGATTCTAACTTAGCCTAATGGTCGCCTATAGCTGTGTTTCTTTTTCTTTCTTTTACAACTCTTTGTTATAAGAACATTAACAATGGAAACATTTCAAAGGCTGTGATTTACAGATTAAAAACTAACAACCCACTGTGTCCCAGCATTGACACAATCTATTTTTTTGCATCCATATCTTTTCTTAAACATAAAACACTTATATAATGCTTTAAATTTTAAAAAAAGACTCTGGCACACATTATTGGATATGATCATCAATATTGTTAGCTGCTATCATCCTTTTACTTCTTATAATTTGGGAAACTGAGTTTCAGAGGAACTAAATGATGTTCCAAAGATAAGAAAGCCAGAAGATGGTAATGCCAAGTCTAAAATCTAGGATTCCTGACTCTTATTCTGTTTCCCTACTAAGTAGAGCCAGAAATATTTTAATGATAAAGATTGAATTAAGAGGGGCCTCAAATCCCTTCAAAATTACATTATTTGATAGGCTTACAGAATAAGGTACAGGAAAATGTATTCTCTACTGGTTACAGCAGTTGGAGAATTTGATTCCAAAATTCAATGTGACTAACATTTTATCTGTAAATTCCTTCAAAAGTTAAAAAAAAAAAAAGTCAACAAGATTGGTTGCTCCTACTACCTTAATGACTACTAATTTGTTATCAAATGACATTTATAAGGAAAATAAATACTTTTAAAATATAAAAAAGCCATAACCACCCAGTCTAAAAGAGGCTATGCTAATAACAGAAGATGTCTTTTAAGAGAATGCACACATGCAAAAATCAACCTCAACCTGAAGTTTGTGTTTCTCCTGTTCAACTGTCATTAAGTCAGTTGCTGGGTTTTCAGTGGGTGAATACGATTTCTCTCTCTGCTGCGCCCTAGCGAGCCTGTTAAAAATGAAACACGTTGACCAAAGCCCAGTAGCTTCCTCCGTCTGATACCCTAATCTGAAAGAGCATTCTGGCCTCTGACTGACATGGCTATTTCTGCAATCACTTTTCCTAAGCATGCTTAACACAGAACTTTTGTCTTTCAGAAACTGTTTTGACTAAAAGGCAACTGACTAGTAGAGTCAGCCATACGTGGACACTGGAGACAATCCTTTTGAATGAACATGAGACACCAGACATTCAAAGGAAAGTGTTTCAGAATAATATTGTTTTCTGATCCAAATGTGAAGATGCCCATGTTAACATCCACACAGTTAGCAATAAGAGGAACACTTGGCTACTGGAAATCAGAAAAGGTCACTACAGGGTCAGCTTTTTTCCTAAAATTATTTGTGAAGGACAGGAGCCAACATCAGAATAATGATTCGTCTACTAACAGCTGCAGACCCTACAGCCACCCTCGGCACTGAAGGCATCACCCACACAATCACACCCAGAGCTGAACAGGAAATACGCGTAAGTACGTTTCAAAGAGCCAGCACCACTTCATGACTGTGAAGTGATGATGGGAAGTAACTCTTTCACTTGGGCATCTTTGGCACCACAAATAACCCACTAAACATGGTTACAACAATTGTTCCTGTTTCAATGATTTGAAAGACAGCTCAATTTGGAATTGATTGTGTTCATGGGTTATCTAGGCACACAGCTTCAAACAAAAATGCAGCACAAAGATCTTTGTGAATATAAGCAGGGGTGAGAAGTTTATTTCCATCCTTTTCCCATTGCTCTGTCATCGACTGAACTCAGTCGCCAGTTGACTGCCACGTGTCCCTGGCTCAACTGTGTGTGGCTCTGTTCTGATCAGTTCCACGAATATTTATCAAGCATCTCCTAAATGCTGAACACAGAGCTACATGCTAAAGACCTAAAGATGAATGAGAGACTTTTCCTGGACTTACGGAGTTCATCCATGGACTTAAGGAGATCAAGTCTATAAAGAGAGAAGAGCATTTGTCATTATAACTTGCTCCCTATGTGGATTTCTTCCAAGACTCTCCCAGGCGAAGTCCTTCACCTTCAAATCTACTCTCTGTCAGTTTCCCCATTTAGAGATTCCAACTTCAGGGCTTTAATGGGGACATGTTGGTCAAAGAGTACAAAGTTTCAGTCCTGTAGGATACATAAGCTCTAGAGTTCTAATGTACAGCATGAGGACTATACTTAATAATATTGTACCGTAGAGTTTAAATCTGCTAAGAGAGTAGATCTTAAGTGTTCTCACCACACACACACAGTAACTATATAAGGAGATGAGTGTGTTAACTAGATTTAGTGTGATAGTCATTTCACTATGTATATATCAAAACATCACAGTGTTCATCTTAAATAAATACAATTTTTATTTACAAACTGAATTTTTAATAGTACACTGTGAACTACAAAACACAAAAAACATTCTGTTTATTCTGTTCTTTGGCTTCTGGAAACAGAAATAGTTCCCTCCCAAAATAGCAATTTAAACTATCAGGAGAGAAGAGTGTGGCAAGACTGGAGAAATGGGAGAAGAGGAAAGGTGGCAGACCCACTCCGAACAATTGTGTTTAAATTAAACTTCTAGTGAGTTGAGGATGGAGTGCTGGAGTTAATGAGTAACTGCAGAGATGGCTGATTATTGACAACTGGGAATTACCAGGTGCCAGACCCTCTACTGTTCCCAAGAACAGGAAACTAGTAAGCAAGTTGCTGGGGACAAACCTGAAGCCTGCATTGAAGGGCAAAGCTGCAGGAATAATTCCTCTAATTCTACCACGTGTCAGTGCTCATGGTAGGATAATTAGAGAGGCAACTGGAAAAGCAAGAGATTATGTTTTATAGTGCCTGAATTTCATTCTTCCCTGGATAATGGTCTGGCCAAGAAAGAGGCCTCCCTACCTTGGAAAATAATTTCACTCCTGAGAATATCAAACTGATAGTGCATTACAGGCTAAATTAGCTGAAGAGATGAAGATGACATGAAATAAGGCTGTGGCTTGCCCGATTGCTGCTCTAAGAAGGGACATGTCAGCAATCGTTAGACTGACAGTATACTTCCCTTGTATTTTCAGTGGTTAGATTTCTCTGGACATCCGCAACATCCTTTCAAGCTTTAGAGTAATCAAGAATGGGTAAGAAAAGTTGCCACCTACATCATTTGTCATCAGGGAAATGCAAATTAAAGCAACAATGGGATGTTACCATATTCGTATTAGAATGGCCAAAATCCAAATCACGGACAACACCAAATGCTGGTGGGGATGTGGAGCAATAGGAACTCTCATTCATTGTTGGGGAGAATGCAAAATGGAGAAGCCACATTGGAAGAAAGTTGGGTAGTTTCTTACAGCACTAAACACACCCTTGCTATACAATCCAGCAATTACATTCCTTGGCATTTACCCAAAGGAGTTGAAAACTTAATGGCCACACAAAAATCTGTACACAGACGTGTCTAATAGCCTTATTTATAATTGCCAAAACTTGGAAACAACTAAGATGCCTTTCAGTAGGCGAATGGATCAACTATGTTACATCCAGACAATAGGATATTACTCAAGATAAATGAGTTATCATGTCATGAAAATATGCGGAGGAAATTTAAATGTGCATTACTAAGTGAAAGAAGCCAGTCAGAGACATACAATGCGATTCCAACTACATGACATTCTGGGAAAGGCAGAACTATGGAGACAGTAAGAAGATCAGTTGTTGTCAAGAGTTGGGGGGAGAGATGGAGGAATAGATGGTGCACAAAGGATTTTTAGGGTAGCGAGGCTATTCTGTATGATGCTGTAATAGTGGCTACATGTCATTATACATTTATTCCAATCCAGAGAATGTGAAACAACGAAGGGTGAAGCCTAAGATAAACTCTGGGTGAGAATGATGTGTCAATGTAGGTTCATTGATTTTAATCAAGGTATCGATTTGGTGGAGAACGTTGCTAATGGGAGACGCTATGCATGTGTCAGGACAGGGGTGTATGTGAAGGCTCTGTACCCTCTACTCAGTTTTGCTATGAACCTAAAGCTGCTCTAAAATATAAAGTCTGTTTTGAAAAAACGTGTACTGACATTTTCTTTTGTCCACAGCAACCAACTCTGAGGTGTGAAGATTTTTTTACATTTCCTTTTTTTAAGCAAGAGGCAAAAAATAGCTCACTTGCATCCCACCTTTTATTCTACACATTTAAATGTTGAAAGCTAGAATCTGAGAGATTCTCTAGTCTCATGCCTTTCCTTTATGTTATTTTCCCAAGGTAAAGAGTGAGTTAGGACATTCGATCTAGAACACAATTCTTAAATTTCAGACCAGTGTATTATCACAATTTCACTCGGTTCAAAGATGCAATTTCAGTAAAGCACGGTATTATTTGGCTGACTCTTGAAATGACCATAACAACTTAAGGAATATATCTATCCCTACCTTTGATCCTTTGTATTGTTTTTAACAAATGGTGCATGAAGCTAAAATAGCTATCACTGTAATGCAAATCATTCTAGGTAAAAGAGAGATATAATTTATCCCTCTAGTGAAATCCATCCTAAAGATGTAAACTCTCCCACCAGAATGAATAGTTGCTCTGTCCCCTCATCTGTCCCCAAGTTTTTGTGAACTATTTTCTAATTAATTTAATTGTAGCATTAACCACATTTTCCATTTTTTAACCCATTTTCATGAGGAATCACATAAATATTTTTCAATCTCCATGACACCTCACAAAGAGCAGGGTTTATAAACACACTTGAACCCTAGGTAAAGCAGGAGACATTCCTGTACTTAATATTTAGCATGAGAAACATTGCTGAGAGTAATTCCCAGAAGATGGACCATTTGCTATCTTGAGTGACGAACACAGATTGAAGTTCAGGTTTTCTTTCTTTTTAAGTATTGTGGTGATTTGTTTCCTAATTGTAAATCAATCCAGCAATCAATAGATACAAATAAATCAATATAAGGGATACAGATTATTCCCAGGTGCTATTTCAAACAACATAAAACAATCATAATTCAAACATGAGGGAGTGTAAAACCGTGTTTCCCAACCACCATTCTGTACACATATTAGCCTCTCTGTCAAGTTCCCCTTCAATTCTTTCCTCTCTCTTGTTGATGGGATCTGCTTTAGAAAGTGTCTATGCAGTCCCTTCTAGGTAGTGATATGTCTTGTTTTCATGCAACTATTGATTAACATTGATCATCTAAACTGCCATACTTTGATACTGAGGGTGTCTTCACACAATGGCAATGTCTGCTGTACACTGACTCAGGTTTGTCACATTGCCACCCACATCTGTGCAATGAGGTATATATGAGAATATGAATGTGATAGTGTATTTGGTATAGATTATTTTACAGAAATAAAACCTCAAAATTGTGGTGGGTTTATATGTGTTTTTATGGTTTTTGAATGTATTCGAAACTTTAACTTTGATGATATCAAAAGTATAACTGTATAACTCCTTTAAGACAAGAAAGAGACACTCTATTTTACGGAATTGTGAACCATATTTTTACCATAATGAAAGAGATAAGCAGCACAAGTTCATGATGTCCTCACACCTGTGATATGATTTTGATGGCTAGGTGGGCTCTGGCATCAGACATCAGAACATAAGCCAGGACCAGGCAAGATGGAGTTGATGGGAAGTGACCTGGTCTTAAGGGTGTATGGGGGATGGGGCAGCTGCACATGGACCCACCATGCCAGGTTCTAATGCTACAAGAAGCTGCTACTCCTCATCCAATCAGGAGGTAGGCATGGAGCAACATATCCAAGCTGCCCTCTTCATTCAGTGGGTCAGACCATTTGATTAGGTTATAAAGTAGATAATGCCCCACTCACCAATAGCAATTCCGAATGTAATGGACAAAATCTTTTCAAAGTCAAGCATCTCATAGCTCTGGCATTAGTCTTACATAATGCAATTTTATCAATTAGATTTTTGAAAAGTGTTTCTTGATTCCAGCGAATCCCTTTCAGCAATTTAGCACAATTAAAGTGATTTACAAAATAGGCGGAGACATACATTTTGCTGCTTGTCATCATTTCCCCAAACTACTGAGGTTGCAAAGAAGCATAAATATTTAAAAAGTGCTCAGGATAGCTTAATTCTGTCATTGATAATTTATTAACTTACAAGAGACAGATGACTGAGATGTACTCTAGCAACCACTAATTGTTTTTAGATTATTCATTAATATATTCATTTCATAATTGTAAGTGAAAGAATGCATATTAATGTTCAAAGCTATGGCTCTTTTTGCATAACAACTAATTTCAATGGTTAAAAACTTAATCAGGTTCAAAGTAAAATTGGCTTCAGTAAGAAATGTGTTTACCTTTCATCGAAACAGACACTTTCTTCACACCATAGTGAACTACTAGAACCATGGCTTCAGCATTTTTTTTTTTTTATCTACTCCAGACCTCCAGTGCTCCTCTCCTCTGAAATCCTCACTTTCCCCCCAGGCTAGTATACATCACAGGGTTCATCATTATAATCACACCATTGCATATAGCTTCAACTCTGTGGCTCACTCTTCCTACATTGTATTCACCTGTTGAGAACTCCACCCTGGTTAAGTCTGACTCTCCAGGTTGTCTGCACCAGGCAAGCAGCCGAATGTGGCTGAAAAGCACACATACAGCTGCTGGTCTCAAACTAAACCTGTGACCTTGAACTGTCCATCAATTCTATGTTTCCCCATCCATTTACTCATTCATTTTTGTTGTTGTTGTTGTTTTCTTCTTTTAATTTTTAATTTTTATGGGGTACATGGTAAGAGTATATATTTATGGATTAAAAGAGATATTTTCATACAAGCATGCCACGCATAATAATCACATGAGGGTGGACAGAGTGCCATCCCCTTAAGCATTTATCCTTTGCATTTCAAACAATCCAGCTATACTCTTTTAGTTATTTTTCAATGAACAATTAAATTTTTTTTACTATAGTCACCCTGATTTCCTAGCAAATACTAGGTCTTACTTATTCTTTCTAAATATTTTTTGTACCCATTAACCATCTCCCACTTCCCTTCCTCTCCCAACTACCCTTCCCAGTCTCTGGTAACCATCCTTCTACTCTATCTCCATGTGTTCAATTGTTTTAATTTTTAGCTCCCACAGATAAGTGAGAACAGGTGATGTTCGTCTTTCTGTGCCTGGCTCATTTTACTTAACATAAAGACCTCCAGTTCCATCCATGTTGTTGCAAATGACAGCATCTCATTTTTTTTTATGGTAGAATTATACTTCATTGTGTGTACATACCACATTTTCTTTATCCATTCCCCTGTTGATGGACACATAGGTTGCTTCCAAATCTTGGCTATTGTGAATAGTGCTGCAATAAACTCATTCATTTTTCCTTATGTGTATTTCATACCATGCTCACTTCTCAGGCCTCTAATCTCTCCTTCCTATGCCCTCTCTCATCTAAAGCCCTGGCTTCTTATTTCCCTGAGAAAACAGAAACAGTCTGAAGAGACTGTCCTCCAGCACCCACCACCAGAAGCATTTGCCTACCTAGAAGTGGCCCATGTAATCAAACCTTCCTTCCTGTTATGTGGAGCAACTGGCCATGCTGTCACCCAAATTAAAGCCTCCACTGCATACACATCCCTTTCTTCCTCACCTAAGGGGATTGTTCCATCAATTCTTCCTTCCTTCTCCTACATTATCATTTTCCTCTATTATTGGATCATTTCCAAGAGCACACAAATATGCAACTCTTTTTACCATCTTAAAAAAATAAAACTTTCTTTCCCCCACCTCCTACTTTAGCTAACTCCCTGATTCTCTACTCTCTTTTATACAGAAACTCATTAAAGAATGGTCTTAGAAGGACTGGTTCCAATCTGTCTTTTCCCATTCTCTCTTGAATCCACTCCAGCCAAGACATCACCCTGTTGGACTACTGATACAGCTTTTGTCAAGGCCACCAAAGACCCAACTTGTAAATCCAATGGTCAATTCTCAGTCTTCATTGGTTTGACGTGTCTGCATTGTTGATATATTTAATCACCCCTTCTTCCTTAATATGCTACACTTTGCTTTCAGAATCCCTCACTCTGCTTATTCTCCTGTCTCACAGTAGCTCATTCTCTTTTCTGGTTCTTCCTCATATCCTTGACCTTTAAATGCTAGGATGCCTTGTACTCTGTCTTAAGAGTATTTCTCATCTCTAGCAACACTCAATCTCTAAGTCAGAGGTACTTAACCTAAGTCACAAGGTTAAAATGGAGATAAGAATCATCCGGGAGGTTTTTAAAAATGCCAAAGTCTGAGATCCATCACAGACCAATTACAGAAGAATTTCTAAGGGTGAAGGTGGGTCTCAGTTGAGAACAACTACTTTAAATGATCTCAGCCAGCCTCGCAGCTTTGAACGCCATCTAAGAACTGTTAGCCTCAAATGTATGTCTTCACCACAGATCTTGCCCAGACTTTCATATCCAACTGCCCATTTGATTTCTACACGTGGATGTCTAATAAATACTTCAAACTTTACAATCCTAAAACACATATCCCAATTCCACATGTTCTAAACTTGTTTTTGCAGTCTTCTCCATGCCAATAAATGACAACTCCATCCTTCAGTTGCTCAAGCCAAAAACTTCGGAGTCAACCCGATCTTTTTTCTCTCATACCCCAAATCCAATCTGGAAGAAAATTCTGTCATTTCTACCTCCAAAATAGTTTGAGAACCTGTCACTGCTCAACACCTCTGCTAAGACTGTCCTACTCCAAACCCCACCACTTTTCTCTAGACAGATGCACCTCCTGCTCCTTACTTCTTCCATTCATCGCCCATATATTATCCACTCAGCAAGGCTTTGTCTGACTATGCTGTTTAAAATAGCACCCTCTCCTCATCACTGCATGTCTTATCCTCATGCCTGGCTTTATTTTATTCCAATGCATTTATCACAATCTGACACACTACATCTTTCACTTATTTGTGTATTTATTCTGCTTCTCTCTCAAAATACAGGCTCAAGAGGGCTTCCCATCTGAAATAGAACCTCGAATGTGAGCAGAGTAGATGCTCAGTAAATATTTACTGAATGAATGATTGAATCTTCCATATCCTAGCAAACAAATCCCTCTGGAAACAAAATCATTTAAATGAATCAAGAGACAAATAATAAGATCATTTTAAGCAAGACAGAACAGCTAACCCAAACTACTGTCAGAATGCCACTTTTTGATACTGTCCGCTGGCTTCATAGTAGAAATTTTTTAAAAAATCCATTTTGGTGCAGAAGTATGCCTCCATAAAGAATGTGCTCTACGTGAGAAGCATGTTATTTCAATAAAAACCATGTCTGGATTTTTTCTTGCCATGATCTAACTCAACGTCTCGCACTGCTCACAGCCAAACTGTCTCATAAGTCGGTCTTCTTGTTTTAGAGCCTCCCTGCCAAGAAAAAAAAGCAGAGGGCATTTGTGCCTCTTTACTGTGACAATACGCATCTGTGTTACCTGGTAACTTCTCTGCACTGGCTGTTGGTTCAGCTGAACTGTGTGCCCCGGGCAATCCTGATTCTGTGGTTCCTCTGTGGGAGCTTGACAAGAAAGAGTGGAAAACCAATGCCTGGATGTGGTGCAAATTAACATTTTCGCTGTGTCCATGAAACCCTCTGTCACGAACGTTGGCATCACAATATGAATCTTTTATGTACCTGTGCTCATTTGGTATATGACAAAACAGATGCTAGCCAACTAAGAAGAGAGATTTTAAAAGCCTATTTTATATTCAAGTGTCAATTGGTAGCTAATGTTAAAGCTTTTGAGAGTGAACATTTATTCAGAAGCTATCAAAGAGAATTGGCTTCCCGATTTTTAAAGACACACGTTGTGCATATCTGACAGGCAAAATTTATATGGCCCATGGAAACCTATAAATATTCTCCTAGGGAAACTGGAATTACTTAAGGCAAAACTACATTAACCAAGGCAGAATACACTGTTAATACAAACATGCTGATTATGACGTTGTCTCACTCACCCACTACAGGTGTTCGATGTTTCTTGCCATAGAAAGAGTTTTGCTCATGGGTGGTGGACAGCATTAAACCGAGGGCCCAAGGAAACAGTCCTAGAAATGTTAAAAATAAAAATGGACTTTAACATATTAGGACAAATAAAAAATCAAATTTCTCCTGCAGATATGAAATCCTGTATGAAATAAAATGGACAATCAAACAGGATGTAGTAATATGGCTGTGCTTCTGAGGTCCTTTGGTCTAATGCCTGTGAGAAGACAGCCAATGGGCTTCTGGCCTGATAGGTGAGTACATCTCATTAACATCTTAGAAACTTCAGTATCACTTAAAAAGAACAATTGGACAAGCAATCCATTCATTAGCCAAAGAAAACGCATCTAGTGACACATGAGTTTGAGACTACAGAACCTGTGTGCTGAAAGGGACCCTAGAAATGATCCTGTCACACTAATACCACGGTTTTTAAAATGCAGAACTTTTAAATGTGAAAAAGAAGTTGGCGGTGTCAAGCCACTTAATGGCAGAGTCAGTCTAACTTCCAGTTTGAGGGACACGTAAGTCAATGTCCTCTCTGCTGCACTATGACACCGCTCACCCTAAACCGAACTCTTCGTAACTCACCCTTTATTGTTGTCATCAAATATAGTTGTAAAATTTCATGACAGTCTCAGCCCTAAGCATATACAGCTTTAAATCTAACCATTTATTTTCTATTGGAAGAAATGTAAAACTTTCAAAGGCAAGAAAAAAAAAGCACTGAATTATAGATTCCAATTCAACTGCTGCAAGATGGCTTTTCAAGAAAGAAGAATTTATGAGAAAGAAAGGCATGCAACATGGACACTGGTCTAGCATTGTAGAAGATGTGTGTATGGCCCATGTTTCTGGAAGAGTGCCATCCCAGTAAAATTGACCCTGAAGCATAATCATAAATCATGCTTTATATCCACTACGGTACCATATAAAACTGGAGGTGCATTTTCTTTTTTTTTTATTTTTTGTTTTCCATTTTTTATTTTCAATTCAGTGGGTACATGTGCCGCTTTGTTACATGGGTATATTACTTGATGCTGAGGTGTGGGGTATAATTGATCCCATCACCCATAGAGTGAACATAGTACCCAACAGGAAGTTTTTTCAGCCCTTTTCCCATCCCTTCCACCCTCCTTATGGAGTCCTCAGTGTCTACTGTTCCCATCTTTATGTCTATGAGTACCCAGTGTTGTGCTCCCACTTACAGGTGAGAACCTGCAGCATTTGCATTTCTGTTTCTGTGTTAATTCACTCAGGATAATGGCATCCAGCTGCATCCATGTTGCTGCAAAGAACTTGATTTTGCTCTTTTTATGGCTGCATAGCATTCCACGGTGTATATGTCTCATTTTCTTTTTTTTTTTTAATTATACTTTAAGTTCTAGGGTACATGTGCACAACATGCAGGTTTGTTACATAGGTATACATATGCGACGTTGGTTTGCTGCACCCATCAACTCATCATTTACATTAGGTATTTCTCCCAGTGCTATCCCTCACCCAGCCCCCCACCCCCCGACAAGCCCTAGTGTGTGATGTTCCCCTCCCTCTGTCCATGTGTTCTCATTGTTTAACTCCCACCTATGAGTGAGGACATGCAGTGTTTGGTTTGCTGTCCTTGTGATAGTTTGCTTAGAATGATGGTTCCCAGCTCCATCCATGTCCCTGCAGAGGACATGAACTCATCATTTTTTATGGCTACATAGTATTCCATGGTGTATATGTGCCACATTTTTCTTAATCCAGTCTATCATTGTTGGACATTTGGGTCGGTTCCAAGTCTTTGCTATTGTGAATAGTGCTGCAATAAACATACGTGTGTATGTGTCTTTATAGTAGAATGATTTATAATCATTTGGGTATATCCCCAGTAATGGGATTGCTGGGTCAAATGGTATTTCTAGTTCTACATCCTTATAAAGCCTCATAAAGCATGCTTTATATCCACTACCGTACCATATAAAACTGGAGGTGCATTTTCATGGGGAAAACTTTTTAGAACAAGTTGAAACAGTGGTTAAAATAGAGGCCAACCACTCTTTTCTTGGATATCCTGGAACACAACCAGCCAAGCTTGTCAAGGGTTATATTCTGCACCTATAAAATTATATTTTCCCAATGCAATATCTTTTCTGTTATTAGTTACCTGCCTCCTATCAGAGTCCTGGTCCCTTGCTCCCCTGTTTCTATAAAGAGGGATCTTAGAACAGTTTCCTCTTTCCTTCTGATATGGTTTATATATTTTTCCCCTCCAAATCTCATGTTAAAATGTGATCTTCAGTGTTGAAACTGGAGCCTGGTGGGAGGTATTTAAGGTATTTGGGTCATGGAAGCTCATCCCTCATCAATGGCTTGGTGCCCTCCTTGCAGTAATGAGTGAGTTCTTGCTCTGAGTTCACATGAGATCTGCTTCTTTAAAAAGAGTGTGGCACATCTTTCATCTTTCTCTTGCTCCTGCTCTTGCCATGTGATATGGCAGCTCCTCCTTTGTCTTCCACCATGACTGGAAGTTTCCTGTGACCTCACCAGAAGCTGAGCTGATACTGGCACCATGCTTGCACAGCCTGACAAACTGCAAAATAAACCTCTTTTCCTTATAAATTACTCAGCCTCAGGTATTCCTTTATAGCAGCACAGAAAAGACAAATACCCTTTCTGTATGATTATTTGTAATAGTGACTGGTAGAGATGCCAAAGATAAAATCAGGATGCTTTAGTGAAGATTAGTTGTTCTTAATTCTGGCTGAACATTAGAATCAAAAATACGATATTTGGACTCCACTCCTAGATAAACTGGTCTGGGGTATGGTCCCAGCATCAGGTGGTTTAAAAAAGAACTCCAAATGATTATATATATGATTATAGCATTGTTCTAGATTAAGGAGATATGAGCAAAGATTAGGGTATCATGAAGGGTATGAAGTGAATTACAAAATAATAGTAATTTATAGGTAGAAGTTACATGTGAGAGTTTAGGGGCTATAATTTGCTATAGCAGTGAGAAACTGATGCCTAGGGATGTTAAGTCAATAAGGTCTCAGAGCTAGCTAGTTGCAGAGCCAGCATTCTGGTCACTTGAACTTGTGAACAAACTAAATAGTAAAGAGTTATCCCATGACATCTGAAAGAGAGAAAAATAATTTAGAATAGAAATAAAATAAAGTGACAGCTTTGCTCAGAAAATATAAAACATATGGTATTCAAGAGGTGAGCACCATACCACCATTCAAGGAGGGATTATTAGACAAATCTGTGATGACTCACAGCCGATTAGTAGGAGCTGTGGGCTGGAGGTGTGATAGCTAACCATGAGGGGTGAATGTCAGGATAAAAACAAAACGTGACTTGGTTAATATCAAACAGAATCCAGGTTTGGGTGAACTACAGAAATGATATCATAAAATATTGCACATATTCTTTCTATGTAAGCAAAGGAAACATTAGATACATGTGCCTCCTATGTAAGCAAAGGATACATTAGACACATTCTTACCATGTGCTTGGCATAGGCTAAATGCTCAGTTCATGACACATGCCACTTCACTTCACTGATGAAACAATGAAGAATCCATCTGAATTGGGCTTTGTTGGTCCATAAATTTGAATGCCTTACTGTCGTGCTACATGTGTACTGATATTTTCCTGACTTACAATGGTGAAACATTGAAATTTTGTACTCTGCACTTACCTAAAGTGAAGAGTACTTTCTTCAATTCTGAGCATTGAGAGATAGATGGCGAGTGAGACAGAGGGAAAGAGAGAGAGAGAGAGAGAGAAACAGACAACTTGTAGGGCCAGAAAGACAACAGCAATGGGCCTCTCCTTGTTTTTCCTTCAACCAAAATTGCGGAGGATGAAATCAGTAACAGAAGAGCTGATGATGCCTTGTCTTGGCCCTGGAAAACTCAAACATTGCTTAGATCCGTTTACCTAACTATAACTCATTTATCCGTCTTAAAATTGGGAGTAAATTACCTAACTTATGAGTAAGGCCGGATGCAGTATGTTCAATGGCACAGAGTAATGCTTCATCTGGCATTTTCATGGAAGAGGTAGTCCACATAAATTCATTTTTAAGATAAATCACATTTCTTTAAGAGCCACCTTTCAGAAAAATATTCTAATTGAATTATTGGTAAAGAATATTAATGATAATATCCTTTTTAAAGGATATACCAAACATAATTTGATTTTGTTCTTGAGAACATGGGATTAAGAGAATGAATAGCAATGTTCTTATTTAAGAGTTGTGATGCTCTGAAAAAATATTAAGGTATGGAAAGTTATTTGTCCCTAGGTTTAATGATCCCAGATTATTGTCCTTACACTGTGTTGATTTGATCTCTATTCCTGGTATCAGAATATCCTGCTTCTAACTTGGTTCATGTTTTTTACATAACCTCTAGCCAGTGAGATATTCTATATTTCTAATTGAACAAAATGCAAGAGCTTTTTAACAGACTTTTGTCATTTCTTTCATTTCAGGCTGTTTGATTGCTTATTCTGGGCTTGTTTCATTCCAAAAATACGGGAAACCTGACCTCTAAATGGGTGAGCTGCCAATGTTACATGCTTCTCATGGTGAATACTGAATGTCAACTAAGGAAAAACTCTGGGAAGAAAAATTGAAACTATATCTCCATTCCTATTCTAAAAATTAAGTGTATATAAATTTATAGAAACTGTTCACTGAGTTACTGTCATTAGAAATTAAACCCTCACTTTAATTAGCTTGTTTTTCCAAGATGTTATATTTTCACAAACCTTGTATTCCAAACCCTAGAAGTAAGCTCGGTGAGCTCATAAAAGTGCTTAGGCTACTGATCAAGGCAAAGCAGCTTTGCCAATAAAGAAGCAAATAAAAAAAAACACAATTAATTAACTTGCTAATTGTTTTCCTTAATGTGAACACCAGCTAGTGGAGATATATTTGTGGTGGTAAATGAAGCTCTCTGCAGTGTTGGCAAGGCTCGTGTGATGCAGTCTTGCAGCAGGCAGAGGCAGGGGGTCCTCAAGATGCAAACAGCATGCTTAGCCTCTCAGCTGTTTTTTGTTAGTTTGTTTTCTTTCTAGAAGCTGTGAGTGAACTTGTTCTCCTAAAAGTTGAGAATGAGACTCAGCAGTAATGTTTAAACTTCTTTCACATTCTATCTCTCCTAAGTCTTTTAAAATCTATTGGTCCTACCCAGATTCATTCTACAAGAGCTCTCTTCCTTTCATCTATTCCCATGACACCTTTGCCTTTGCCAAGGTGATGACGTTCACTTTTCTATACTTGTCTTGTCTTTCCCAGACCCCCTAGTCTCACTCTGCTGCTCTAACAATTTCTGACCACAAATACTTGCAATACCTCTTCTAAATCAAATGTGGGGAGCGGAGTGTTTTTTCCCCAAATGGACAAATGCATCATATAAAGATTCATAAACATGGAGGTCGCTTGATCTTCTCAGAAAAGCTGAATAAAAATGGAGAAGAATGGGCCTCTGCTGGAAGAAAGGAATTTGCAAGTGCTTAGAGACACGATTCAGGACTCATTGGCATTAATCCCTGGTCCTGGCATGTGGGTGACACTCTATGCATGCTGTTTTTAATGGGAAATTTGAAATGACACGTTGGTGATGCTATTATTACTCTTGATGCTATGAGCAAATGGTTTTAGTTGCTACTGATTTTTCATAGTACTTCTTGAATCTGTAACAATCTGAGGTTACAGTTAGAGTCTTGAAAAGACGTCAGTACTGAAGGAGTGGGAATCAATGTTTCGTTCAAACCCCCATACTTAGAAAGTCATGGTGGATTGTAATTGATCAATTTTGGTGGTGACAGGGGTAGAAGGGGGAGATGTTTGGGTAAATCCTAGCCAATGATTTAGAAGAAGTGACAGAGTCAGCATTCAGAGAAGGGGAGCTGGACTGTGCTGATGGCTTTGTAGTGGTGAAAGATGAAGAGCAAGATCCCAGTTCCATCAAAGAACTTGACTAAAAATCAAGAATGAGGACAGAACTTCCCTCTTGTGGTGGGTCATAGTGGGAGCCAGGAAGGAAGCTGCAGCTTATGGAGCTGCCTTAGAAGAGCAAGACCCCAAACCGCACATGTGGTTTGTCTGCAGAGTAACAGTTGGTGGTCAGTACCTAAAAATAGGGTAGAGGAAACTAGAAACTGACTATCTCTTCTATTTGCAATGTAAATCCCAAGCTGTAGAACAAATGACTCTTCAGCAGATATTCAAAGCCTAGAGCTTGGCAAAACTACAATGACAGTAATCAAGTGACTAGGAAAGGAGGCCACACTATAGATGAAAACTCCAACCAGTTAAGACAAATAATCTTTCCAGAAAAACAACTCTGGGAGTGTTTCACATTCATTCCTATGAGTTTCCTCTAAGATACAGAAAACAATATGTGAAAGGACGGAGGAAAGTATGCAGCTTTGTGGAAAAAAAAAAAGAAAAGAAAAAGAAAAAAAAACAAACCTAAGTTCAAATTCCAGCTCTTTCACTGCCTATTAATAATTGTAGCCATGTGACCTTAGTCACATATTTAATTTCACTTATCCTTGGCTTCCTGAAATATACCATAGGGATAATAGGAACAACTTCAGAGGACAGTTATGTAAAAGCAGCTGGCATAAACTCAATTGACTTAGGGTGCTGATGACATAGCAGAGAAGACTGAGGGAGAGCCTTGATTTTGTAGCCAGACTGCCTAAGGGTGAATCTCTGCCTGTTGCTACCAGTTGGGAAAGTTCCTTAATTTATCTGTGATTCAGGATTCCCATTTATGAAATGCAGATATTAATATTACCTACTTCACTGCGTTGTTATGAGAATTAGGTGATTTAAAGTACGTAAAACTTGCCTCCCTGCTTAGCACAGAATAAACAGTAAATAAGGTAATGAGCCCTGGCCAGAGATGGGCTAAGTCCCCACGACCCTGGCTGATGTCACCATTCCTTATTGTTGCCTTGTCAATTTCCTGGTGCTTCTTGAAGTGTGTGTGTTTGGTGAAAGTAGAAGGTGGGGACTGATTATGGCTTGACTCAATATGGCCTTTGTTAAGATGCCTAGAGGCTAAGAAGATCTAGAATATGAAAATATGGAATTTGAAACTCAAAGTACTTCAAACCCCAGGAAATCACAGTCTTTATGGCCAAGCAGTGAGCAGGAAAAACAGAGATGTTTCTGCCTCCAGACACATTTCCACCTCTGGATATAGTCAGCATCTATTCCCTCAGTGGCTTCACTCTGGATGTGTGAAAATCCTCACGTGTTCCTGCATAGAGAGTAACTAATCAGAAGGAATGCTAGGGACAATCCAGCCCAGCTGGATTTTACCTACTTTTTAACGGGTAGATAGCTACATTGTTACTTTAAAATATATGCTACTTAGGCAAAAAGCTACATTTCATGTTCACGTATTACCCTGCAAATGTATGTACTCTGAACCAAAAATATATTTATGAAAAATTGGGCTTAACGTTGCTTCAACATAATTTGTGTTGTTAGAAAATTATTTACTACAGTTTACATATGCTGGCGGTATTTAAGGAAGAATTCCTTTCTCAGAATGCACTCAGATGTCAACAAGATATTAACTAAATATTGACTAAAAATATTTGTTTAGAAGCAAGACAAATACCCAGGAACTTCCTGGGAATAGTGTCCATGAAAACATTTGATAGGCTCACAAATAATGAAATCAATCATGTGGAATTCTTGGCGGCCGTGGTACTTGTCTTACCAGTGTGGCAACCATAACTCACTCTCTTTCTTCTCTCCCACTCAAGAAACTACCTCAGAAGGTGAGATGGTGAGAGTGACATCATGGGGCTAAACTTATCTGCGTTACAACTGTAAGTTGTTTGCAAACGTCAGGACTTTATTTCTAGTAGCAATAAATTATCTACCTCACGACCGATTGAGACATGCCCATGTATAAATAATGCAGTTTAGAAGTCCCATCTGGTCTGATCTTTCCACTTGTAGTCAATAAAAGAGATGCTCAGACAGCATAAATAAATTATTCGAGGTCACACAGCTAGCAAGCAGCAGCACTGCCACCCACTTGAAACAAGTCTGTTGACTTGAATCCAGTGTTCCTCTCACAGAACACATCACGTTTATTTCAGCGGAGACCTAATATGTTATTCAAGTGAATAACAATTTAGTAGTGCTGGATATGACTCACTTTTCCTTCAAGACGTATACCATCTTCCCACTGGAAAGAGTCATCTATTTTCCATACTGCTGCTAGACCACTTTTTAACAGGTAGATAGCAACGCTGTTACTTCAAAATATATGCTACTTATGCAAAAAAAAAAAAAAAAAAAAAAAAAAAAAACTACATTTCATGATTGCACGTTACACTGCAAATGTATATACCCTGGACTGAAAACACATTTATAAAAAAAACGTGCTTAGCATTGCTTAGACAAAATTTGTGTTTTTACAGAATTATTTATTATAACAGAGAATCTTTAATTCCAATGACAAGACTGCCTGCAGCAATGTTTAATATTCATTCACTTTTATTCAGGCAGAAAATTGACATCAGAACAGGTCTATTTTTATAAAACATTCTAGTTTTTCCAAAGACAAGATACTTTTTCAAATATTCAAAAATATGGGAAAGGATAGCCTCAACTTGTGATATCAAGTGATAACATTGTATTAGCTACTATATCCAATAAAGGGATTTTGCAAACATCCTGACAACGCAGCAGGCCTGAGAGCCAGGAGGCTCTACTAACAAGAAGGATAGACAGCCCTCAGGCCCTGCCATGTGTCCTAGAGGTTGGTCACAAGAGAAATGAAGAATCTTCTCCCTGAGTGAACTGACAGCCATTTATTTGCTCAATATGCAGGCTGCAGATGTTGGAAAATGTCATCCTTCAGAAGAAACAAGGAGCTAACCACTGCATCTTTACCCAGGCTGACTGTCAGGAGAGTCATGATTTGGTAACAGATGGACAAAAAAAAACATCTCCATACAAAGAGCTATACAGGCAAGGACAGATTCTGGCAAATCTCTTTGCCTGTCTTTCTTAGAGCCCTGGGCACAATGCAAGCACTGAATTGAGTGTCACTGTGCCCTTGGGTCAGGAAAATCTTGGCCCAGGCTCTGCTCAGCCTATTTGCTGGTCTGTCTTTGAATCCTTCATGCCAGGCCTGGCTTAACTGAGTAACCGTACATCTGGGCTGCTTTCCTGGAAGCAAAGAAAACCATGTACCCAGGAGTTATTTTGTGGGTTGAGAAGGGGTAAAAAGCAACACAAAGACAAACAGGGCTGAACCATCAGGAAATGAAGAACCATGTAGAAATGTGTCCTGAGATCAGACGAGATCGGGCGCATTCAGGGTGGTATGGCCGTAGACCTGCTGGGAAAACTGGCTAGCCATATGTAGAAACCTGAAACTGGATCCCTTCCTTACACCTTATACAAAAATTAATTCAAGATGGATTAAAACTTAAACATTAGACCTAAAACCATAAAAATCCTAGAAGAAAACCTAGGCATTACCATTCAGGACATAGGCGTGGGCAAGGACTTCATGTCTAAAACACCAAAGCAATGGCAACAAAAGCCAAAATTGACAAATGGGATCTAATTAAATGAAAGAGCTTCTGCACAGCAAAAGAAACCACCATCAGAGTGAACAGGCAACCTACAGAATGGGAGAAAATTTTCACAACCTACTCATCTGACAAAGGGCTAATATCCAGAATCTACAATGAACTCAAACAAATTTACAAGAAAAAAAACAAACAACCCCATCAAAAAGTAGGCGAAGGACATGAACAGACACTTCTCAAAAGAAGATATTTATGCAGCCAAAAAACACATGAAAAAATGCTCATCATCACTGGCCATCACAGAAATGCAAATCAAAACCACAATGAGATACCATCTCACACCAGTTAGAATGGCAATCATTAAAAAGTCAGGAAACAACAGGTGCTGGAGAGGATGTCAAGAAATAGGAACACTTTTAAACTGTTGATGGGACTGTAAACTAGTTCAACCATTGTGGAAGTCAGTGTGGCGATTCCTCAGGGATCTAGAACTAGAAATACCATTTGACCCAGCCATCCCATTACTGGGTATATACCCAAAGGACTATAAATCATGCTGCTATAAAGACACATGCACACGTATGTTTATTGCGGCACTATTCACAATAGCAAAGACTTGGAACCAACCCAAATGTCCAATAATGATAGACTGGATTAAGAAAATGTGGCACATATACTCCATGGAATACTATGCAGTCATGAAAAATGATGAGTTCATGTCCTTTGTAGGGACGTGGATGAAATTGGAAATCATCATTCTCAGTAAACTATCGCAAGAACAAAAAATCCAAACACCACATATTCTCACTCATAGGTGGGAATTGAACAATGAGAACACATGGACACAGGAAGGGGAACATCACACTCTGGGGACTGTTGTGCGGTGGGGGGAGGGGGGAGGGATAGCTTTAGGAGATATACCTAATGCTAAATGATGAGTTAATGGGTGCAGCACACCAGCATGGCACATGTATACATATGTAACTAACCTGCACATTGTGCACATGTACCCTAAAACTTAAAGTATAATAATAATAAAAGAAAAAAAGAAAAAGAAAAAAGAAAATTGTCCTGAGATCGCACCAAAGAGAAGAGCTCTATAATGTATGGCCAACTTGTGTTGTCTCTGCTGTGACATGAGGGCTTCTGGGTCTACAGAATGCAAAGGTCTCGAAACAGTGCTGCCAAGCTGGGAGAGTAGCAGGTGAACAAATGGGCAAGAGGGAGAGGCATCAGAGGAGCTCTGATGGCACCTTCTCTCCCAAGCAGGGGTAGGGTGCACGGTGGGATGGGTCCTTCCCAGGAGGGGGAGATAAGCCTGGGAAAAGGGTACAGCTGCCCTCCAGAAATCAGCAAGATTAAATACATCCTCTTGACCATCTTGGCTCCCATAAGGGAGGGGATTCCTTGCTCTTTCGTATAATAAATTGTGGGTGTACTAACAGGAAACATCATGTCTTTAGAAAACAGAGAAAGTTGCTAAAATACAAAATTTTGTTTTACTAAATTTTCACCCACTTTTATTAGAATGCTTTTGAATCAGTACTGTAGAATCATCTAGACATAACAGAGGAGTTCTCCCTGAGGCTTGATCAACCTGAAGCAACTATGATGATGGCAGTTCAACAGATAAGCAACTTTCATTGAGATGAGAAGGTTTAATATCATAAGCACAGCAATATCTCCCCCCGACATCACACATCATAGAATGCAGCCACCAGCAGAATCCTATAGGGTTGTGTTTTTGCTTTGCTACAGCAGAGGTTACTTTATTTATTTTATTTTTGGAAGTGTGTGAAATAATTTGATGTTTGTATGGAAGAAGGAATCTCCAAGTATATAAAATCATGAGAAAAAAGAATACAGCATATGTATGTTCGAAGCTGAGGAGGTTGTTGATTTGCTTTGCCAGCTATAAAACTTTATTATAAAGTTTCCTTAATCAGACCAGCACAGGAGCAAATAAATCAATAGAGAATCCAGACAAAGATTTGAATATCTATGAAAAACTGACATGTGACAAAAATGGCATTTTAATTTATTGGAGAAAGGATGGCTTATTTAGTCCCTTCTCCCATTGTTAAAATTTATTTCATTGAAATTTAATAACCTTAATAAATTTTACTGTCACCATTGACAAGCTATTTCAAGGGAAGGAAATTGGACTTCATCCTATATAGAATACAAAAATAAATTCTAGCTAAATTAAGATTTAAACGTTAAAAATTAAAAAACAAAACAGAGTTCTTAAGCAAAAGAACTTAAGCACCTCTAAAGCTATAAAAAAAAAGGCAGTTTGGATTATAAAAGGAAGTTTAAGAAAAACATTTAGAATGTTCAATGATTTCACAAATAATGTCAAAAGACAAATGACAGACAGGAAAATAGTATTTGCAAATGACGTGAAATATTGAGAGTTAAATTCTTGAATACAAAAATTGATAAGAAAAAACAATAGAAATAAATGGAAAAGTGGGCAAGGAATATGATTTAATTCTCAAAATACAATTCACAGAATAGAGGCTAAATGATTAATAAATAAATAAAAAGATGCTCAACTTCCCACAGTCTGGGAAATTAATATTAAAGGTATAGTAAGATGCCATATTTCATTCATTTGATCTGCATTAATTACAAATAATTCTAATGCCCTGTGCTGACCAGGACAAAGGAAAAATTCTCTCACATGCTGCTGATGGAAAGGTGAATATTGTAATTATTGATATGAAGGGATGTCAATGTTACCTTGTTGGTGAGAAAAAAGCAAGTTATAAAGAAATACACTGTGGTGGTAATTTTATGGGTCAACTTTTATAGCCTGTGGTTTCCAGATATTTGTTCAAGCACCAGTCTCAATGTTGCTGTGAAAGTATTTTTAGATGTGATTCACATTTAAATAAGTAGATTTTTAATAAAGCAGATTATCCTTCATAATGTGGGTGGGCCTCATCAAATCAGTTGAAGTTCTTAAGGGAAAAAAGCTGAGATTCCCCAGAAACAGAAGGAATTCTACCTCCAGACTGCCTTCAGATTCATGACTGCAGCTTTTCCCTTGGCCTCCAGCCTGCCAGCCTACTCTGCACAATTTGGATTTGTCAGCCCCCATAGTCATGCCAGTCAATTTCTTAAAATAAATAATGTTCTCTCTATATATAACTATGTACAGTCTATTTGTTCTGTTTTTCTGGAGAACCCTGACTAATACATGCATATAATATTTCCAGTGCTACAGACAAACAAAAGCCCTATTCATGTGTATTTATATTTGTACAGGTCTGTACAAATACGGGAAAAATTCAGGAAGAATTTTTCCCAAGCTGAAAGTACTGTGGGTATTCATGTGTGTGTGTGTGTGTGTGTGTGTGTGTTGGTGTGTGTACTGAGGAAGAGGAGAATGGAAAAAATCTAGAATAAATTAGAAATATAATATAAAAGAAAGTACAGTAAAACTGCAAGTATATAAAAATTAAATAAAAACAAGGACATAAACTAAATTTTACAGGGATCAATTGAGAGAAGATACTGAAGGGTCTTTCATACCAGGCTAAGGAACATTAACTTGTCCTGTGCAAAACGGACAGTTATCACAGGCATAAGATATACAAGTAAGAAAAATTTTAAGAGAATTTGTCAAGGTAAGTTCATTTCAGGGCACAATAAGAGCATAGTGTAAAAGCCTGGGCTTTCACATCAGGTGTATCTGGGCTCAAATCCCAGCTCTACTGCTTATTTGAGTGTGACCTTTTATGTAATTCCTCTGTTTTGGTTGCCTTTTCTGTAAAGTAGGAATAATAATAATAATAATAATAATAATAATAACTACTTTACAAGGTTTTTGTGAGTACTCAATAATCATGTATGGAAAGCATTTAATATACTGTATGCAGGCACAAGGTAAACCATTGCATTTATTCCTACTGTCATTTCATTTTTATTACAGACAAGAGGCAGTGAGATCACTAAAGGACTACTGAAAGTCAAAACAAAATGTGCAGAGGAGTTAAGTAGCTGGCATAGTAGTTCAGTATGGCCAGAGTGTAATATAAGGAAAGCTGTGTGTGTATGTGTACATGTGCTTGGAAGGAAGAGGCCATGGCAGTAGAAATAAATAAAGGGGAGAATCTCAGAGGTAAAATCTACAAGATTACATCAATATCAAGGGTGGCTCTGAAGTTTCTGGTTTAGATAGTACCTAAGTCCATTTGTAATGCTATGACATAATACCACAGACTAGGTAATTTACTAGGAACAGAAATTTATTTATCTCAGTTCTGGAGGCTGGCAAGTACAAATCAAGGTGTCAGCACCTGGTGACTGGTGAGGACCTTCTTGCGCCTCCTCACATGGAGGAAGAGATGGAAAGGCAAGAGACGATGAACCGTATCCTCACATAGCAGAAGAGCAAAAGAGCAAAAGATCAAGCCAGCCTAAATGTTGTGAAGCCTCTTTTGAAAGGGTCTTAATCTCATTAAATATGGAAAAGCCCACATAGCCTCATTAGCTCTTAAAAGTCCCACCTCTTAATACTATCACAATGGAAACACTGAATTTTGGAGGAGACACATTCAAACCATAGCAGGTAGCGATGCCACTAATGGAGGAAGAGCAATTCTGGGAGAGGAATTAAGATCGGGAGTTTGGTTTGGGATGTAACAATCGTTAATATGCATTGAGTGCTTATCTCTTATTACTCTCAAAATGTCCCTTTGAAGTTGTTACAATTACTTCCCCATTTCACAGATGAGGAAACTGAAGAACAGTGACATGAATCAGTATCCCCAGGGTCACAGAGCTAACAGGGCCAAAATGACTGGAAGTAGGTTATAAACAGATGAAGAAAATTTCAGAATGGAAGCTAATGTCAAAGGTATTAAGGGTCGCTAAGAATCTGGAAACATAACACTGAAAAGAGATGTTGAATTTGGTAATTTGGAGGCAACCTCATCCTTGTTAAGGTCTGACTTCAATGGCTTTCAGAGCAAAGAATAAAGAAGAAGAAATGGTAAATATTAATATTTTTCAAGGAATGTAGCATCAAGGCAAGAAGAAAAACAGAAAAGCAGTTAGAATATCTTGCTTCTGCTTGAACCTCTCCAAAACTTTCTTACTTCCCTCAGAACAAAATAAAATCCTTACCTTGGCCTACAAGATCCTCTGTGATCTGCCCCCTGCCTACCATTTTGATTTCTTTGTCTGCCACTCTCCTCATTGGGAATTTTGTTCTCCAGTAATTTAACATTGGATCTTTACAACCTGAACTTCTTGTCTACTAATTTTTATTACTGTTTTCAATCTGTTTGGATAAAAGTATAAGTAATTACAAAATTTCCCTATATCTTAAACTATAATCTGAAAATATAACTCCTGAGAGACATTCGGCTCCAAAGAGAGAGATAAAAGCTCTGGTTGGTCAAGAACAACATGTGTTTGGTCAACAAGAGTTATGGATATTTGTGAATCATCTCAAATACTCAAGTATCTCTGTATGGACAACTTTCATTGATCCCTCTCTCTCTGCCTAATTTTTGACCTCCAATTCTTTATTTTAAAATTTAACTTAGAAATGCACAACAGGCATATTTATAATCTGTGCATTAAAATTCCACTGAAATAGAGGTTCATGTTTATTCATATTTTTCTTTAATACTGGGGCAAAATCACAGCTTACTATGGATTAAAAGAAGCTAGACAAAGATAAACTAGGTATAAAATGCCAGCCAACTCTTTGGGAGCCACTGAACATACTAGACTGCTATGAACTCACCTAAATGCATCTCAGTACCCAGACCCAGACCTGTAGTCTAACAGGTTAATCCTATTCATAATCAATGAAGATGTTTCATCTTCACAATATTGACCAGTTCAGAACTAAAGTCTATGACTCTGGTCACAGCTTCCTACTTATATTAGTTTTCTATTGCTGTCATAACAAATTGCCACAAATTTAGCAGCTTTAAAAAACACAATTTGTTATCTCATAGTTCTGTAGGTCAGAAGTCCTGGTGGCTCAATTGATTTCTCTGCTCTGAGGCTCACAAGGAGGAAATCCATGTGTCAGCTGGCCTGGAGGCTCTGGGGGAAGAATCCATTTCCAGGTTCATATCTGCTGAAAAAAATTTGCTTCATGTAGTTGCAGGACTGAGGTCCAAATTCCTTGCTGATGGCCAGTTGGGAGCTTCTCTCAGACTCTTAAAGCCACCTGCATCCTCGTCCTATTGGCCTCTCCATCATGGAGCCAGAAACATTGAGTCGAGTATGTCTGAAGCTTTGAATTTCTCTGACTTCCTTTTCTGCCACATCTCTCTAATCCAAACTGGAGAAAGTTCTCTACTTTCAAAAATTCATAGGATTAGACTGGGCCCACACAGATAATCCAGGATAATCCCTCCATTTTAAAGCATGTGACCCTAATTACATCTGCAAAGTCCTCTCTACCGTGTAATGTAACATATTCACAGCTCCCAGGAATCAGGGCATGGACATCTTTGGAGTTCATTCTGCCTATCTCACTGCTTATAGCTCAGAAAACCACTACTATAAAGTCACTGTGTCTGTGTGTTTCATCATTCATTCCAAATTCACTTGAAATTTTACCAAGCCTGCCTTTCTTGATGTGGATCTCCTGCCTGTGTTACTAAACAGGATAGAAGCTACCAGGAACTTTCAAAAGTCAGGATCTGGCCAGGCACAGTGGCTCACACCTGTAATCCCAGCATTTTGGGAGTCCAGAGTGGGCAGATTGTTTGAACCCAGGAGTTTGAGACCAGCCTGGACAACATGGTGAAACTCCGTCTCTACAAAAAATACAAAAATTAGCCAGTCACGGTGGTGTGTGCTTGTAGTTCCAATTACTCAGGAGGCTTAGGTGGTAGGTTCGCTGGAGCTCAGGAGGTGGAGGCTGCAGTGAATTATGACCCCCCACTGCACTCCAGCCTGGGTAACAGAGCAAGATTCCATCTCAAAAAAAGAAAAGAAAAAAATAAAAGAAAGAAAACAAAAGAAGGAAAGAAAAAGAGAGGAGAAAAGATGAGAAAACAAAATAGAAAAAAAGAAAAATAAAGAGTCAGGATCTCTGTATAACACAGGAATGGAGAGCACTTTCCCAGAAAAAAAAATACACAAGAACATTTTTAAAAAATTTAATGTTTCATGACTTTTATGTTGCCCATAGCAGGTTAAAAGCAAACCTTAATAACAGTTAACATCATCTTTATGATTATCTCTACAACAATTCCTTTATTATTAATGTAGTAGTAATGTATTTGCTTTTTTAAAACTGCATATCTGAATTGTTTACACATAAAGGAAGAAAGAAATGAGTTAGAATAACAATTCCTAACTCCAAAGTCTGTTTTTTAACCTATTTATTTTAAAATATATGTTCTGACATGTAAACATTTCATTACAATGTATAATATTGTCATTAAATTATATACCTTTTACATGGGGCAAGGGAATCTTGTCAGCTCTGATGGGAGTTACATAATGGAAATCATACTACACAGAAGACCAAAGTGAAATGGAATAGTTTCCAAGTAGGTTAGAAGCAAGGAGTAATGACGTTAAATTATCACCTAGGAAACCAGAGGTATAAATTTGTAAAGATTTTGCCATTAAGGTCAGTTAGAGTTTAGCGTCAAGATAAAAAAAAAAATGTGCATTTACCTCAGCTGCATTAAGGAAGATAAAGTCACAAAGACCAGCACAAGAAGGCAAGGAGAGCCCTGCCCAGAGCTGCTCATGAGGCCCAATCCTGTAGCTGCTCCCTGCTCTGAAGAGGAGGCCATGGAAATCAGAACGTACGAGGGGCAGGACTAGCTTGGGCACATCAATATTCCTGCTCGCTCTCAGCCCTCCTATACATAGACAAGTGACTATGTCAGCATTGTTGCTGCAAATGCCATTACTCAAATGAGCATATGACAAGGAGTGCATACACCTTTGAAAGTCTACATGATATTCTAATACCAAAAGGCAAGTCTTACAGGTCTGTGACTCTGAGTAATTGTTTTTTGTATTGGCTGCCAAGAAAAAAAAAAAAGAGGGATCACAGCAAAGTCATTTTAGACATTTGAGTCTAAACACAGTGACACTTTAATGAGGCTAATAAACTCATCTCTAAAAATGTTGTAAGTTTCTATACTTAGAAATTTTGCTAAAAGCATATGACCTTTTCTAAAGTACACATTGATTTATTCTTTGTGTAGAAACCTTTGCAACATGCCATGGCCAAAAGTAACAAAGTTCGTATTTAAATGTGAAATATTGAAGAACAACTGTTTACATGTGGATGAATCCCATATGTCACTACAGCCATAGTCTGACTATTGTAGATAGTGGTAATCCCTTGGGTGTCCCTAGAGCAAGGAATGCTTCAAGACATGTGATTAGTAGAAGGTTGTGCCATTATTTTGCAAAATATGACACCAAATATATTTTTATTTCAACCTAGATTAGAAAATAAATCAACCAATCAACAATGACAATTCCATTCAAGTTACCATTATCATTACATATAGAGAGTTTAGTGCCTATTGTTGGAAGTTGTAGGTTGCAGCAATTCTCAATCAAAGTCAATGCCAAAGGGCAAAGAGATCCCAGAAGCACTTAATATTAAGGCTGGAAAGGATCTTAGAGACTGTGTAGTCCAGAGGTTCCCAATCCACAGGCTTTAGGTCCATAACAAAGAAACCACCAATCTATAAATGTAACAAGTTTCACATGTTATACATATACATATGTATACACCCACACATATACAAAGACATATACATATATGGGTTCACACACACATTACATGTGGAATTATAGTATATTGAAATCATTTGTGTTTCTCCTTTCCAAGACGGTAGTCAGGGTCTTTGTGCTCCACTGGCTTAGAATAAGTTTAAATTTCTTCCTGCATTTTATCTTCTGAAACTCTAAACCCCTTGGAGAAATTAAGTTACGAGGGAGGAAAGAGAAGTGGTAGCTTTATATCTAAGTAAGGACGATTTTGAGATTGTACAGTAGACTGGAAGAGCAATAGAATCATAAGATGGAGAGTTTTCTACTATGTCTCTTAAGTCTTGGCAGGTGACACCTACAACCAGGTCTTTTAGACTTGAAAGGGCACCACGCCCAGAGAACCAGCAGATGAGGCAACTGTAAAAGGACCGAGTGGTGGGGGACAATGAGTATTTCAGTGGCAATCAGTGAGGGTTGAAGACTGGAGGGATCCTAGGACTGATGGGGAGCCCGATTATGACTGAAATTAGACTTATGATTATACTAACAGAATCATTTTTATGATATTCAGAGTCAGATTCAAGTTGTTTTTTTCAAAAAGCAAGAATTCAAGCAATGATACTGATATCTGCTATAGACATGTGTATACAACTGCTCTAAAGATGTGTGTGTATATTTATATGTATGTATATACACACACACATATGTTTGTGTGTATATATATATATACAGCATATATATATGCTGTTGTGGTGAATAAAAGGAAATATAATTTTAAAAAGTTCTAAGTTTATAGTTCTTTAGGTATCATCAATTTTTAAATCAGTGAACACTAAAATTACAACTGTCATCATGCTGGGTTCCTCACGACTATGCTGAAATGATGACACAGCAAGGCACATTCTCAGGCTAAATTGAAAATCACTGCTCTTCCCCATCCAGCTCATTTTTCAGGAGAAGAAACTGAGACCTGGCAGGATTAAGTCAGAGCCCAGAGAAGAGCCAAGGAAAGAAGATCCGGCCTTGGCTCCCGTTTCTTGAGTGGTCACAGTTGTCCTTTCCTGGCCCTCTTTCCTGCTGTATTCTAGAGAAATTACCAAGTAGCACAACTTTGTTCTTCCTCCCCTTCCATATCTGATCCTCTTGGCCTGTCTCCCAGCTGCTGTCTCCTACTTGAAGTCTCTGGCCCACCCCTCTTTTTTTTTTTTAACCAGATTGAAATATTTAAATGTTTTTGACATATAACTTAATAAAATGGCATTTTCACTGTTTCTAACTATTAAATTAGAAGGAATTTCAACCATATCTATAGTTTCCTCTATAAATACATACATATATATGAACATACATTCATCCATAAATCTAAATAGCTATCTCCTTCTAATATATTATAGCTGATTCTTTGTAAAGTTCTCAAGAAAAGATTCCCCACTCCTCTAAAGGTTGAGAGATGTCACTCCACTCACAGAAATTCTTAGAGGCAATGTGGTTTCCTAACTAGCTATGCATCAAAAGCGTGCAAACCGTTTATTATAAAATGCAAATTCCTGGGCCCCGACCCTAGACCTTCTGATTTAATACCTTTAACATGGACCTGTCATTCTCCAGATGATTGTGATATAGAGACAGGCTTGAAGACCTCACCTCTGAGGCACAAGGGCATGAATACATTTACAAAGGTGTTTTAATTACAGCTAGAGATCATCATTATTAATGACAGGGCCTGCTTTCAGAAAATCCTTTCCTTAATTGACCATTTTATTCTCATTCCTTCCTATTTATGGTCTCCTATTTCGTCCTGTCCTTTTTCTCTCTAATGAACAAAGTGAACTTATCAGCACTATTTGAAAAGATGCTCAGAAGAGGTGACAAAAAAATCCCTCATAGTCTGAGGAATAAGATGTTCTGACCCCTGAAGTCTATCTCAAGTCAGTATCGTATGGGGAGTGATATGGTTTGGATTCACATCCCTACCCAAATTTCATATAAAATTGTAATCCCTGAGAGAGCGCCAAGATGGCCGAATAGGAACAGCTCCAGTCTACAGCTCCCAGCCTGAGCGACACAGAAGACGGGTGATTTCTGCATTTCCATCTGAGGTACCGGGTTCATCTCACTAGGGAGTGCCAGACAGTGGGTGCAGGACAGTGGGTGCAGCGCACCATGTGCGAGCCAAAGCAGGGCGAGGCATTGCCTCACTTGGGAAGCGCAAGGGGTCAGGGAGTTCCCTTTCCTAGTCAAAGAAAGGGGTGACAGACAGCACCTGGAAAATCGGGTCACTCCCACCCTAATACTGCGCTTTTCCGATGGGCTTAAAAAAAGGCGCACCAGGAGATTATATCCCGCACATGGCTGGCAGTGTCCTACGCCCACAGAATCTCGCTGATTGCTAGCACAGCAGTCTGAGATCAAACTGCAAGGCAGCAGCGAGGCTGGGGGAGGGGCGCCTGCCATTGCCCAGGTTTGCTTAGGTAAACAAAGCAGTGGGGAAGCTCGAACTGGGTGGTGCCCACCACAGCTCAAGGAGGCCTGCCTGCCTCTGTAGGCTCCACCTCTGGGCACAGGTCACAGACAAACAAAAAGACAGCAGTAACCTCTGCAGACTTAAATGTCCCTGACAGCTTTGAAGAGAGCAGTGGTTCTCCCAGCACGCAGCTGGAGATCTGAGAACCGGCAGACTGCCTCCTCAAGTGGGTCCCTGACCCCTGACCCCCGAGCAGCCTAACTGGGAGGCACCCTCCAGTAGGGGCAGACTGACACCTCACACAGACGGGTACTCTTCTGAGACAAAACTTCCAGAGGAACGATCAGACAGCAGCATTCGCGGTTCACGAAAATCCGCTGTTCTGCAGCCACTGCTGCTGATACCCAGGCAAACAGGGTCTGGAGTGGACCTCTAGCAAACTCCAACAGACCTGCAGCTGAGGGTCCTGTCTGTTAGAAGGAAAACTAACAAACAGAAAGGACATCCGCACCAAAAACCCATCTGTACATCACCATCATCAAAGACCAAAAGCAGATAAAACCACATAGATGGGGAAAAAACAGAGCAGAAAAACTGGAAACTCTAAAAAGCAGAGTGCCTCTCCTCCTCCAAAGGAACGCAGTTCCTTACCAGCAACAGAACAAAGCTGGACGGAGAATGACTTTCACGAGTTGAGAGAAGAATGCTTCAGACGATCAAACTACTCCGAGCTACAGGAGAAAATTCAAACCAAAGGCAAAGAAGTTAAAAACTTTGAAAAAAATTTAGACAAATGTATAACTAGAATAACCAATCAGAGAAGTGCTTAAAGGAGCTGATGGAGCCGAAAGCCAAGGCTTGAGAACTACATGAAGAATGCAGAAGCCTCAGGAGCCGATGCGATCAACTGGAAGAAAGGGTATCAGTGATGGAAGATGAAATGAATGAAATGAAGCGAGAAGGAAAGTTTAGAGAAAAAAGAATAAAAAGAAACAAACAAAGCCTCCAAGAAATATGGGACTACATGAAAAGACGAAATCTACGTCTGATTGGTGTACCTGAAAGTGACGGGGAGAATGGAACCAAGTTGGAAAACACTCTGCAGGATATTATCCAGAACTTCCCCAATCTAGCAAGGCAGGCCAACATTCAGATTCAGGAAATACAGAGAATGCCGCAAAGATACTCCTCGAGAAGAGCAACCCCAAGACACATAATTGTCAGATTCACCAAAGTTGAAATGAAGGAAAAAATGTTAAGGGCAGCCAGACAGAAAGGTCGGGTTACCCACAAAGGGAATCCCATCAGACTAACAGCGGATCTCTCAGCAGAAACTCTACAAGCCAGAAGAGAGTAGGGGCCAATATTCAACATTCTTAAAGAAAAGAATTTTCAACCCAGAATTTCATATCCACCCAAACTAAGCTTCATAAGTAAAGAAGAAATAAAATACTTTACAGACAAGCAAATGCTGAGAGATTTTGTCACCAACAGGCCTGCCCTAAAAGAGCTCCTGAAGGAAACACTAAACATGGAAAGGAACAACCGGTACCAGCCACTGTGAAATCATGCCAAATTGTAAAGACCATCGAGGCTAGGAAGAAACTGCATCAACTAACGAGCAAAATAACCAGCTAACATCATAATGACAGGATCAAATTCACACATAACAATATTAACTTTAAATGTAAATGGACTAAATGCTCCAATTAAAAGACACAGACTGGCAAATTGGACAAAGAGTCAAGACCCATCAGTGTGCTGTATTCAGGAAACCTATCTCATGTGCAGAGACACACATAGGCTCAAAATAAAAGGATGGAGGAAGATCTACCAAGCAAATGGAAAACAAAAAAAGGCAGGGGTTGCAATCCTAGACTCTGATAAAACAGACTTTAAACCAACAAAGATCAAAAGAGACAAAGAAGGCCATTACATAATGGTAAAGGGACCAATTCAACAAGAAGAGCTAACTATCCTAAATATATATGCACCCAATACAAGAGCACTCAGATTCATAAAGCAAGTCCTGAGTGAACTACAAAGAGACTTAGACTCCCACACGATAATAATGGGAGACTTTAACACCCCACTGTCAAAATTAGACAGATCAACGAGACAGAAAGTTAACAAGGATACCCAGGAATTGAACTCAGCTCTGCACCAAGCGGATCTAATAGACATCTACAGAACTCTCCACCCCACATCAACAGAATATACATTTTTTTCAGCACCACACCACACCTACTCCAAAATTGACCACATAGTTGGAAGTAAAGCACTCCTCAGAAAATGTAAAAGAACAGAAATTATAACAAACTGTCTCTCAGACCACAGTGCAATCAAACTAGAACTTAGGATTAAGAAACTCACTCAAAACCACTCAACTACATGGAAACTGAACAACCTGCTCCTGAATGACTACTGGGTACATAATGATATGAAGGCAGACATATAGATGTTCTTTGAAACCAACGAGAACAAAGACACAACATATCAGAATCTCTGGGACACATTCAAAGCAGCATGTAGAGGGAAACTTATAGCACTAAATGCCCACAAGAGAAAGCAGGAAAGATCCAAAATTGACACCCTAACATCACAATTAAAAGAACTAGAAAAGCAAGAGCAAACACATTCAAAAGCTAGCAGAAGGCAAGAAATAACTAAAATCAGAGCAGAACTGAAGGAAATAGAGACACAAAAATCCTTCAAAAAATTAATGAATCCAGGAGCTGGTTTTTTGAAAGGATCAACAAAATTGATAGACTGCTAGCAAGACTAATAAAGAAGAAAAGAGAGAAGAATCAAATAGATGCAATAAAAAATGATAAAGGGGATATCACCACCAATCCCACAGAAATACAAACTACCATCAGAGAATGCTATAAACACCTCTACGCAAATAAACTAAAAAATCTAGAAGAAATGGATAAATTCCTCGACACACACACCCTCCCAAGACTAAACCAGGAAGAAGTTGACTCTCTGAATAGACCAATAACAGGCTCTGAAATTGTGGCAATAATCAATAGCTTACCAACTAAAAAGAGTCCAGGACCAGATGGATTCACACGCGAATTCTACCAGAGGTACAAGGAGGAATTGGTACCATTCCTTCTGAAACTATTGCAATCAATAGAAAAAGAGGGAATACTCCCTAACTCATTTTATGAGGCCAGCATCATCCTGATACCAAAGCCAGGCAGAGACACAACCAAAAAAGAGAATTTTAGACCAATATCCTTGATGAACATTGATGCAAAAATCCTCAATAAAATACTGACAAACCGAATCCAGCAGCACATCAAAAAGCTTATCCAACATGATCAAGTGGGCTTCATCCCTGGGATGCAAGGCTGGTTTAATACATGCAAATCAATAAATGTAATCCAGCATATAAACAGAACCAAAGACAAAAACCGCATGATTATCTCAATAGATGCACAAAAGGCCTTTGACAAAATTCAACAACTCTTCATGCTAAAAACTCTCAAAAAATTAGGTATTGATGGGACGTATCTCAAAATAATAAGAGCTATCTATGACAAACCCACAGCCAATATCATACTGAATGAGCAAAAAGTGGAAGCATTCCCTTTGAAAACTGGCACAAGACAGGGATGCCCTCTCTCACCACTCCTAGTCAACATAGTGTTGGAAGTTCTGGCCGGGGCAATTAGGCAGGAGAAGGAAATAAAGGGTATTCAATTAGGAAAAGAGGAAGTCAAATTGACCCTGTTTGCAGGTGACATGCTTGTATATCTAGAAAACCCCATTGTCTCAGCCCAAAATGTCCTTCTGCTGATAAGCAACTTCAGCAGTCTCAGGATACAAAATCAATGTACAAAAATCACAAGCATTCTTATACACCAGCAACAGACAAACAGAGAGCCAAATCATGAGTGAACTCCCATTCACAATTGCTTCAAAGAGAATAAAATACCTAGGAATCCAACTTACAAGGGACGTGAAGGACCTCTTCAAGGAGAACTACAAACCACTGCTCAATGAAATAAAAGAGGATACAAACAAATGGAAGAACATTCCATGCTCATGGGTAGGAAGAATCAATATTGTGAAAATGGCCATACGGCCCAAGGTAATTTACAGATTCAATGGCATCCCCATCAAGCTACCAATGGCTTTCTTCACAGAATTGGAAAAAAACTACTTATAGTTCATATGGAACCAAAAAAGAGCCCGCATCGCCAAGTCAATCCTAAGCCAAAAGAACAAAGCTGGAGGCATCACCCTACCTGACTTCAAACTATACTACAAGGCTACAGTAACCAAAACGGCATGGTACTGGTACCAAAACAGAGATATAGATCAATGGAACAGAACAGAGCCCTCAGAAATAGCGCCGCTTATCTACAACTATCTGATCTTTGACAAACCTGAGAAAAACAAGCAATGGGGAAAGGATTTCCTATTTAATAAATGGTGCTGGGAAAACTGGCTAGCCATATGTAGAAAGCTGAAACTGGATCCCTTCCTTACACCTGATACAAAAATTAATTCAAGATGGATTAAAGACTTAAACTTTAGACCTAAAACCATAAAAACCCTAGAAGAAAACCTAGGCATTACCATTCAGGACATAGGCGTGGGCAAGGACTTCATGTCTAAAACACCAAAAGGAATGGTAACAAAAGCCAAAATTGACAAATGGGATCTAATTAAATGAAAGAGCTTCTGCACAGCAAAAAAAAACTACCATCGGAGTGAACAGGCAACCCACAAAATGGGAGAAAATTTTCACAACCTGCTCATCTGACAAAGGGCTAATATCCAGAATCTACAATGAACTCAAACAAATTTACAAGAAAAAAACAAACAACCCCATCAAAAAGTGGGCGAAGGACATGAACAGACACTTCTCAAAAGAAGACATTTATGCAGCCAAAAAACACATGAAAAAATGCTCACCATCACTGGCCATCAGAGAAATGCAAATCAAAACCACAATGAGATACCATCTCACGCCAGTTAGAATGGCAATCATTAAAAAGTCAGGAAACAGCAGGTGCTGGAGAGGATGTGGAGAAATAGGAACACTTTTACACTGTTGGTGGGACTGTAAACTAGTTCAACCATTGTGGAAGTCAGTGTGGCGATTCCTCAGGGATCTAGAACTAGAAATACCATTTGACCCAGCCATCTCTTTACTGGGTATATGCCCAAAGGACTGTAAATCATGCTGCTATAAAGACACATGCACACATATGTTTATTGTGGCACTATTCACAATAGCAAAGACTTGGAACCAACTCAAATGTCCAACAATGATAGACTGGATTAAGAAAATGTGGCACATATACATCATGGAATACTATGCAGCCATAAAAATGATGAGTTCATGTCCTTTGTAGGGACATGGATGAAATTGGAAATCATCATTCTCAGTAAACTATCGCAAGGACAAAAAACCAAACACTGCATGTTCTCACTCATAGGTGGGAATTGAACAATGAGAACACATGGACACAGGAAGGGGAACATCACACTCTGGGGACTGTTGTGAGGTGGGAGGAAGGGGGAGGGATAGCATTAGGAGATATACCTAATGCTAAATGACGAGTCAATGGTCGCAGCACACCAGCATGGCACATGTATACATATGTAACTAACCTGCACATTGTGCCCATGTACCCTAAAACTTAAAGTATAATAATAATAAAAAAAATTGTAATCCCCAGTATTGGAAGAGGGGCCTGGTGGGTGGTGACTGGATCATGGGGGTGGATTTCCCCCTTGCTGTTCTCATTGATAGTGAGTTCTCACGAGACGTGGTTGTTTAAAATTGTGTAGCACATTCCCCTTCACTCTCTTCTTCCTTTTCTGTCAATTTAAGATGTGCCTGCTTCCCCTTCACCTTCTACCATGATTGTGAGTTTCCTGAAGCCTCCCCAGCCATGCTTCCTGTACAGCTTGCAGAACTGTGAGTCAATTAAACCTCCTTTATTCATAAATTACTCAGTCTCAGGTAGTTTTTTATAGCAATGTGAGAACAGACTAATACAGGGAGTTTCTCTTTCTGAGATTTGTTAATTTATTTATTAATTGAAAGCACTACCAAATCTTGTATAAATGTTATTCAACAAACATTTGTTGAAAGGCTACTGTGTTTGATATACTCTAGCTGGTACTGGGCCCACAAAGGTGTGTCAATCTTTGCCTCTTCATAAAGATCACAGTTGAGTAGTGCAGAGGAAAATCATCCTCTCCCTGTTTGCATTTCTGCATCTGGTTTTTTCCCTACAGTGGAAATTGTCAGCTGGCATTCTTTGAAATTCTCATTAAAATAGTGTTGGGAGGAAATAAAAGAATTGAGGCCATGATTACTCTTCTCTGTGCTATTCTGGGAGACTTAAACATGAAAGTGAGGAGCTGGTAGCACTTCAAACAAAATTACCTTAGCCTGTAATGGCCAGCCCAGCTGTTAGCTAGGGTTAAATTTATCTAGAAGATGTTAACCATGGAGTGAACTATTCTGTTTCTTTCAGAGGCTGCTGAGTGATCCTGTATGTTAGAACAATAAGGCACCTGTGGGTTGTTCTTTTTAATTAAAAACTCTTTAATGGGATGGACTCTCAGGCATTCGTTGTAAAGGCTAGAATTTGGTCCACCTTATTTTCCAAAGTCCAATTTGTAAATTGTGTTTAAAAATAGCCTCCTGGTTTGAACACACAATAAAAAAATCCATTGCAGTCTCTGAAGGATGGATTTATAGGCTATTCAGGTTAGAAAGTAAGCAAGATTGCAATGTGTCTGTTGTACGCATGAATGTTTATAAGTACCTGGAAATTGGCAGAAAACTCTTAGAAGGACAGAGGAAGGTCAATCAAAGACGGTCACATTGGGAGAACATGGACCATCACAACCAAGACTGAGTTAGAACAGAAAGTCTTTTGACCAGTTCTAGGGAATGAGAGGGAAAGTAGACAGAGAGATGAAAGGTTCAGGAAATCCATTGAGAGCAACTCTTTTTTTTAAGTTTTATTTTTATGTATTTTCTTTTATTATTATACTTTATGTACTAGGGTACATGTGCACAACGTGCAGGTTTGTTACGTATATATACATGTGCTATATTGGTTTGATGCACCCATTAACTCACAGAGAGTGAGATGCGAAGCTCAGCTGCATTTAGGAGGATGTTATCCTGACACCAACTTTGAGAATATTCCTTAGGAGGGATTGATGGAGCAACACTGTATCAATCAGGTGCCACTCCAGGTGATTTTAGAGCCACTGCCTCACGTCCCCTTATTTCAACACAGATCTAGGGTCCTTGCCCCAAGGAGAGGATAAGCAAAGAACTTTTCACCAGAACTAGCAGATATTGAAGCTCTGCTACATCCAAATGTGGATGGATGATGATTGCTTATGTAAGTAAAAACTGGTTCCCAGAAAATAAAGCCCAAGCTTCTAGCACATTTCCAACATTAGTCCCTGGATTTAGATTGGAGATTTATATATTTTAAGGCTTCCATTGATAAAATGTTATAAATAATAGCAAAATCTACTTCATTTATTCAGTTGTTCTACCAACACTTAATGCAAGCTAATTATGAAGAATTGTATCAACAACAGTATTTAGCTCCATATTGTCTTATTTCCCCATTCTTTCATCTAACATACTCTCTGAGCACTTTCTTTGTCCTAGGACTGTGCCAGGTTCTGGGGAAATAGAAAATAGACACAATTTCTGCACTACTAGAGCTAATAATTTAGTCAAAGAGGAATATATTAAGTTAATAACTCAAAGCAATGTGTAATTACAAACCATGACATATATTGTATTAGTGAGGATGAGGTAAATAGTGCTGCAGTCACAATGTCAACATTTTATTTCTTGTAACAACAAAGGTATATTTATTGTTCACAAAAAATCCACTGTGGAGCCATGTGACTCTCCAGGGCAGACAGTAACTGTCCTCCAAGTGATAATTCAATAGATATATAAGAGGTAAAAGCAAGAAAAGTTGGAGATGCTTGGATATGTGGGATGAGAGAAAGGGAGGTGTTGAGAAAGACCCCTGATGGGTCTACCCACAAGGATGATGGTGCCATTCACAAAAATATAAAATGCCAGAAGAGACCCATGATTTGGGCCAGATAGTGTGTGTTTTATGTGTGTTGCAGGAGACTCCTGAGTTCAGTTTTAGACATACCAATTTTGAGATTCCTTTAAAGGTTTTGACATGTAAATAGAGATGCTGAGTGGGCATTTGGGGTTGAAAAGAGATAAAGAAGGGTATTATATAATGGTAAAGGGTTCCATGAACACTTTATGAATGTTATGAACACTCATAATACAAATTCTTACAGACTACAAAGAGACTTAGACTCCCACACAATAGTAGTGGGAGACTTTAACACCCCCCACTGTCAATATTAGACAAATCAATGAGACAGAAAATTAACAAGGATAATCAGGAGTTGAACTCAGCTGTGGACCAAGTGGACCAAATAGACATCTATGGAACCGTCCATCCCAAATCAACAGAATATACATTCTTCTCAGCACCTCATCACACTTATTCTAAAATTGACGACATAATTGGAAGTAAAACACTCCTCAGCAAATGCAAAAGAATGGAAATCATAACAGTCTCTCAGATCAAGTGCAATCAAATTAGAACTCAGGATTAAGAAACTCACTCAAAACTGCACAACTACATGGAAACTGAACAACCTGCCCCTGAATGACCACTGGGTACATAACGAACTGAAGGCAGAAATAATGAGGTTTTTTGAAACAAATGAGAACAAAGACACAATGTACCAGAATCTCTGGGACACACTTAAAGCAGTGTATAGAGGGAAATTTATAGCACTAAATGACCACAGGAGAAAGCAGGAAAGATCTAAAATCGACACCCTAACATCACAATTGAAAGAACTAGAGAAGCAAGAGCAAACAAATTCAAAAACCAGCAGAAGACAAGAAAGAACTAATATCAGAGCAGAACTGAAGGAGATAGAGACATGAACAACCGTTCAAAAAATCAATGAATGCAAGAGCTGATTTTTTGAAAAGATCAACAAAATTGATAGAGCGATAGCCAGAATAACAAAGAAGAAAAGAGAGAAGAATCAAATAGATGCAATAAAAAATGATAAAGGGGGTATCCCACAGAAATACAAACTACCATCAGAGAATACTATAAACACCTCTATGCAAATAAACTAGAAAATCTAGAAGAAATGGATAAATTCCTGGACACATACACCCTCCCGAGTTTAAACCAGGAAGAAGTCGAATCCCTGAATAGACCAATAACAGGCTCTGAAATTGAGGCAGTAATTAATAGCCTAAAAAGTCTAGGACGAGACCGAATTACAGCTGAATTCTACCAGAGGTACAAGGAGGAGCTGCTACCATTTCTTCTGAAACTATTCCAATCAATAGAAAAAGAGGAGATCCTCCCTAACTCATTTTATGAGGCCGGCATCATCCTGTTACCAAAACCTGACAGAGACACAACAAAAAGAGAAAATTTCAGGCCAATACCCCTGATGAACATCGATGTGAAAATCCTCAATAAAATACTGGCAAACCGAATCCAGTAGCACATTAAAAAGCTTATGTACCACAATCAAGTTGGCTTCATACCTGGGAGGCAAGGGTGGTTCAACATATGCAAATCAATAAATGGAATCCATCACATAAACAGAACCAATGACAAAAACCACATGATTATCTCAATAGATGCAGAAAAGGCCTTTGACAAAATTCAACATCCCTTCATGCTAAAAACTCTCAATAAACTAGGTATCTATGGAACATATCTCAAAATAATAGGAGCTATTTATGACAAACCCACAGCCAATATCATACTGAATGGGCAAAAACCGGAAGCATTCCCTTTGAAAACCGGCACAAGACAAGGATGACCTCTCTCACCACTCCTATTCAACATAGTGTTGGAAGTTCTGGCCAGGGCAATTAGGCAAGAGAAAGAAATAAAGCGTATTCAAATAGGAAGAGAGGAAGTCAAATTGTCTCTGTTTGCAGATGACATGAATATATATTTAGAAAACCCCATTGTCTTAGCCCAAAATCTCCTTAAACTGATAAGCAACTTCAGCAAACTCTTAGGATACAAAATCAATGTGCAAAAATCACATGCATTCCTATACAACACCAAGAACAGACAAACAGAGAGCCAAATCATGAGTGAACTCCCATTCACAATTACTACAAAGAGAATAAAAGCCTAGGAATACAACTTACAAGGGAGGTGAAGGACCTCTTCAAGGAGAACTACAAACCACTGCTCAAGGAAATAAAGGAGGACGCAAACATATGGAAAAACATTCCATGCTTATGGATAGGAAGAATCCATATTGTGAAAATGGCCATAGTGCTCGAAGTAATTTATAGATTCAATGCTATCCCCATCAAGCTACCACTGACTTCCTTCAAGGAATTGGAAAACACTACCTTAAACTTCATATGCAACCCAAAAAGAGCCCACACAGCCAAGACAATCCTAAGCAAAAAGAACAAAGCTGAAGGCATCATGCTACCTGACTTCAAACTATCTTACAAGGCTACAGTAACCAAAACAGCATGGTACTGGTACCAAAACAGTTATATAGACCAATGGAACAGAACAGGGGCCTCAGAAAAAACACCACACATCTACAACCATCTGATCTTTGACAAACCTGACACAAAGAAGCAATGGGGAAAGGATTCCCTATTCAATAAATGCTATTGGAAAAACTGGCTAGCCATATGCAGAAAACTGAAACTGGACCCCTTCCTTACACCTTATACAAAAAATAACTCAAGGTGGATTAAGGACTTAAGCATAAGACCTAAAACCATAAAAATCCTAGAAGAAAACCTAGGCAATAAAATTCAGGACATAGGCATGGGCAAAGATTTCATGTCCAAAACACCAAAAGCAATGGCAACAAAAGGCAAAATTGACAAATGGTATCTAATTAAAGAGCTTTCTTCCACATGCAAAAGAAACTATCATCAGAGTGAACAGGCAACCTACAGAATGGGAGAAATTTTTTGCAATCTATCCGTCTGACAAAGGGCTAATATCCAGAATCTACAAATAACTTAAACAAATTTACAAGAAAAAGAAAAAACCATCAAAAAGTTGGCAAAGGATATGAACAGACACATCTCAAAAGAAGACATTTATACAGCCAACAAACTTATGAAAAAATGTTCATCATTACTGGTCATCAGAGAAATGCAAATCAAAACCACAATGAGATACCATCTCATGCCAGTTAGAATGGAGATCATTAAAAAGTCAGGAAACAACTGATGCTAAAGAGGATGTGGAGAAATAGGAATGCTTTTACACTGTTGGTGGGACTGTAAATTAGTTCAACCATTGTGGAAGACAGTGTGGTGATTCCTCAAGGATCTAGAACTAGAAATACCATTTGACCCAGCAATCTCATTACTGGGCATATACCCAAAGGATTACAAATCATTCTACTATAAAGACCATGCACATGTATGTTTATTGCAGCACTGTTCACAATAGCAAAGACTTGGAACCAACCCAAATGTCCATCAATGATAGACTGGATAAAGAAAATGTGGCACATATATACCACGGAATACTACGCAGTCATAACAAAGCATGAGTTCATGTTCTTTGCAGGGACATGGATGAAGCTGGAAACTATCATTGTCAGCAAACTATCACAAGAACAGAAAAACCAAACACCACATGTTCTCACTCATAAGTGGGAGTTGAACAAGGTTAACACGGACACATGGAGGGGAACATCACACACCTGGGCCTGTCGAGGTGCGGGGGGCTAGGGGAGGATAGCATGAGGAGAAATACCTAATGTAAATGATGGGTTGATGGGTGCAGCAAACCACCATGGCATGTGTATACCTATGTAACAAAACTGCACATTCTGCTCATGTACCCCAGAACTTAAAGTATAATAACAATAAAAAAATTAAACGTTGAGCCACAAATTAAAAAAAAAAAGAAAAGAAAAGAGGACCTAGAACCAAGCCTTGAGGGACTCCAACATTGATGTGCATATCTTGCAGAGGATATTGACAAGGAAGGAACAAAAGAGATAGAGAAAACCAGGAGAATATGGTATCTTGAAATTCAGAAGCTAAATTCTTACAAAGGTAACTGGTGAACATAAACAAATGCTGCTGAAGTGTGAAGTAAAATGAAAACTGGGCTTGTGTTTTGAATATGACAACACAGGTCATGAGTAACTCAGCAAGGAATATTTGAGTGTTGTAGGGGAGAGAAGCTATATCTTCAGTAGGCTGAAGGAGAGTAAGAGTTAAGGAGATTTAAAGACAGTGGATTGAAAATAGTCTTTTATTCTACTCACTTCTCAAACCCCAGAACAATGAAAATAAAGGGATTTTTTTAAAAGGCATAAACTCACAAAGAGAATAAAAGGGAAGATAGAAACCACTGGCAAATGTAGAAAGCTGGATTCTAATCTGGTAGGAAAAACAAAGTGGCAACACAGTGACATCTCAAAATATACCAGAAGGCTCAAGAAATTGTAACACTGGGTTCCTTTATAAGTGGAAATGAGGGGGTTGCTAAACATAAAAAGATTGGTTGAAAATATTTAAAAAGCAGTAAAATCCTCATTTATCCATTTTCATACCTTGTAGCTATACAGCTGCTCTTCCCCATGCCAACATATAATGGTGTATTAATTCTCTAGAAAGGTTAAAGCAGAGGATCTCTAGACTGGTGGACTCCATACACCACTAAAGATAAGGTACCATGCTGAATAATGGAGAATTAAATCAAAGGTTATTTACGGAATGTTAAGACCCTCAAGCCCTCTTCCTTGATGTATATTGTATTTTAACCAAGTTTGCCTGGTTAGGAAGAGATCGGTTGAATTTTCTTTTGGAAATCTGACCAGTTCAAGAAAAAAGACCCAAAGAAACTTACATAGGTTTTCGCCAAGGGAACAGGTCAACCATTATCACCCTGCCTATACAGAAGAACATAGTCAACAAAGATCTTATCCCAGTATCCTCCTTCTCTCTGATTTCTTGCTGGGTATCACCATTGGCCAAACCCAACTGAAATTAGCCATTCCAAGTAGAGAGCAGAATTAGGAAGGACAGAGTGGATCTGGAGGGACCAATGGAACAGGTCCTCGTCAAATGGTAAGATGTTAAAGAGCACCAAGTAGTAGACCTGCACTTCTGGAAACTGGCTGAAAACACTTGGGAGAACAGGATCAGAGAGGAAGGCAGGGAGGAACAGGGATTGATTTTTAAGTCATCTCTGTTGAGATTATTTTAGGATAAAAATCATCTATTAGCACTGGGAGTTGGAAAAAGGCTTAGATATTAGAAAGAAATAACTGTCTTGTTTGTAGAACCCACTTTGGGGGTAGGACTATTTCGAGTTGATCTACTAAATTACTTAAGATATTACTGTTTTACTTGATTTCCTTGCTGTAATTTTTAATAATACAAAGAATATCTTAATGGCCATAGCATGATTCTACCACATATAATACAAATTTTACATAGTAAGATAGACTAAATCAAAATCATTCAAATTTCAAACTTTGTCTCTTTGACCAGTAAAGTAGAAACATTTACATTGATAATATTTGAGAAGTGATTCCACTTCACGACTAACCCTAAGTGGTTTCACATACTGGAAGTCTTCCTCAACTTCTGCCCAGTGATGTTTGCTTTTAGAAATACTCTCAAAACCAAGATAATAATTTTTACTTGGTTCTTTGTCAGAAATAAACATTTCTTGAAATTTTCTGATTGCCTACAACTTAATTCCTTTCATATCAGTGTTCAAACTTAGAATTGTTGTGACAGGTGAGTGCTTCCCTGCAGTAGATCTGAAGATTCTAATTATTGTATTTTTTAAAGTCCATTTTGGAAACTCTTCTGCTTGGATAATAGATGATTTTATCCTAAAATAGTCTCAACAGAGATGACTTAATGTATAATTCCTTCTTGAACCCCAAACTCACTTATGTCATCATGTGAAGGCACTAACATTTCATTCACCACCATGTAATTAAAAGTTGGTTACATAGTGTGGTACTTAAGAACATGAGTTTTGAAGTAGTTCAGTTCAGGATTTAAATATCATCCCTATTTACTGGTAAAATGAGTGATGGAGGGCAAATTATTTCTTAGCCTCTTAAGTTTGTGATGAAGGATTAATCCGAGAATATGTGTGGAGCAGAATGGTTATCTTGTCTACCCAGCACTCGCTCCATATCACCACCACCTGTTTTGAAGACTGCCTTTTTTTCCGACTTATCTGTATAATGACTGTGGTTGGCCCAAAAGTGAAAATCCAACTCACACTCAGCCAATTATTGTTGTTTCTGGAAATTTGGAGAGCCGTCTGGTGATCTTCTTGAACTGAGAATATTTGAACTTAGGAGTTTTTGGCAGAACCATTTATTCCCCTATCTTGTAGATTGGAAAACAGAAAACTGGTCTGCAGTAAGAGGGAATAAGGCAGATATGCAGATATAAAGAAAGAAAGTCCTATGCCGGGCACGGTGGCTCACACCTGTAATCCCAGCACTTTGGGATGCCAAGGCAGGCAGATCATCTGAAGACAGGAGTTTGAGACCAGCCTGGCCAACATGGCAAAATCCCATCTCTACTAAAAATACAAAAGTTAGCCAAGTGTGGTAGCACGTGCCTGTAATCCCAGCTACTTGGGAGGTTGAGGCTGGAGAATAGCTTGAACCTGGGAGGCAGAGGTTGCAGTGAGCTGAGATGGTGCCAGTGAACTCCAGCCTAGGTGACACAGTGAGACTCCATCTCAAAATAAAATAAAATAAAATAAAATAAAATAAAATAAAATAAAATAAAATAAAATAAAGTCCCAATGGTGTGGGAGTCCCCTTAGGGTACCTAAGTTACCCTTTGTATTCTACCCTTGTATTCTGAGAGACACCTCAACATTATAATAATAAATTACCCATTAAGTTTAAATCAATTTAAGCTGCTTTTCTGTTTTTGCAACGAAGAATTATACTGCTTATTGGGACAAAATAAACAGAAGCTATTATTTTTGAATCAGATGTTGGGTTTTCTGTTACAAATTCCTAGAAGAAAATGAAAAAAAAAAGAATTAATAGGAACAGAGTGTTAGATCTGCCTTCACCATGAATAGCATACATAAAAAGGTAAACATCAGTCAGATCATTCCCATATATAATGTCTTTTGCATAAATGTCTTTTGGGTGCTTTACAGCATGCATCAATTATTTTGGTACATTAAATAAATAGTATTTATGTGCATCGAGGACTGTGTACCATTTCACTGCCACCCAGCAATGACAGTTACTCAGGCCTTGCTGTTTCTTGAACAGGACAAATTCATTCCTATCTCAGGGTCTTTACAGTTGTTGTTTTTTTCTTTCTGGAATGGTCTTCCCTCCAGCTTTTACATCGCAGGCTTCTGTTACCATTCAGGTTTACACACAACCTAATGAAAACATCACTTTTTCATAGAAATTGCCAAATAGTCCTAAATTTATCACAAAGCACTAATAGTAATAAAAGTCACATATATAGTGCTTACCATATGCTGATTACTGCTTTAAAATTCTACAACTATGTGCTTATTTAATATTCATATCAACTTTATGGAGTACATATCATTCCCAATCCAACATTATACCCAAGGAAATGAAAATTCAGGAAGGTTAAGCAAAATTGCCCAAGGGCCGGTAGCTAGAAGTTGTTGGCCTGAAATTTGAATTTGGGTAGTCTGGCTTCAGAATTCATATTCTTGACCACTATTCTATGGCTCCTCTTGAAATAGAAGATGGGAAAAATGCAAGTACAAGCAGGGTAATATGAAGAAAGTCGATCATTATCAGTTCTGTCGAACTCTGATTATGACCATTTCCACAAGTTTCTTTATAGAGTGAAGGTGACCTGTAAAGACTTAGGAATTCGGGAGAATGTACTGTAACTTACAATAAACACATCTATATCAACTAAAACATACTGAAAATGTAATAAGTAGGGGAAAGCCTTCATTCGTAGAAATTCAATCATGTTTTTTTCTTACATATTTGAAGCTCATGTAAAAGGATCACTAATTCTTCATTAAACCACATTCTATAACTTTAAGAAAAATATAGACTTCCATATTAAGTTGAAGGACCATTAGTGGTGTTATAGTCACCCTTTTCTACCTTCTCATTGAAATACTCACAATAACACTGAAAGAAAGATATAATCGGCCAGGCACAGTGGCTCACATCTGTAATCCCAACACTTTAGGAGGCCAAGGTGGGTGGATCACCTGAGGTCAGGAGTTCGAGACAGCCTGGCCAACATGGTGAAACCCCATCTCTACTAAAAATACAAGAATTAGCTGGGTTTGGTGGCAGGCATCTGTATTCCCAACTACTCGGGAGGCTGAGGCAGAAGAATTGCTTGAACCTGGGAGGTAGAGGTTGCAGTGAGCCAAGATCGTACCATTGCACTCCAGCCTAGGCAACAAGAGCAAAACTTCCTCTCAAAAAAAAAAAAGAAGCGTAATTACAAGAGCATTGGAAATAAGAAATACTGGTTCATAGCACACCAGATATACCAACCAAATGTGGACAGAACTTAAGGAGAGGACATTAGGCAATTTCCACCACTGCCCAGGGATCACAGAAAGTTTAAGAACTTTCTCTGGTCAAAATGAGAAAAGCCATCAACCTAATATAGGAGCTGTGTTCTGCAGCAGCTGGGGCCCCTTTACCACCTATTTCCACCAATTAAAAGTATGCCCTTCTTTTCTGTACTCATTTGGACACATACGTTTTCAATAAAAACTATCTGATTGGGGTGGGGGATTTCTAATGGAGCATTATTTCTGGGCTACAAAGACAGATTTGTGGTGGGACATCAATCCTGGGATACAAATCTATTGTAAGATGAGAAAAAGAAGAAAGAGTTGTGGGAGCCATCAGAGATGGAGAGGCGATAGTTTTTCTTGCACCACTTCTGGAAAGGGATGATCTGTAGGATGCTTCAGAGAATCTAAAATAAATTCCTCTTCACACAGAGAGATGACAGGAGAGGCAGAAGATCCTTCCTCAATGCAGCACAGCCATGCTGTATATAAATGACCACCAGCCTCAGGAAATAGAAAAGGATCTGTATAAAATAACCCAGGCTGCTGCATGGGAGAGAAATTCTAACAGTGACCAGGTGAAGAGTTAGAGACACTAAGGAGATTTCGCTTGCCCTGTATATCAGCAAAAGCGGATCTGAAGAGTGACCTTCTCACTAAAGAAGAGAAACAGGAAAAAAATGAATCCAGTAGAAAAAATTCTGCCACCCAAAAAAGAGAAATGTCATCTTCAAGAAGAAGAACCACATGCCTCAAAAAAGGTCTACTACAAGATTCACAAGAAGATTGTCAGCAATACTGGTTTTGTCATCTCAAAATTTAATCAGGCCATGAAACAAGAAAAGAAAGATAGCAAGAAATTATTCAGAAGCTGTCTGAGACACAGGAAGAGAAGAAAAGGGAACTAGATAAAATAAGAAGATAGGAGAAGAAAACTAGGCATGTATTGGATAATTTAAAATCTGCATATAAAATTCTAAAAGAAAAAGTATTGAAAATGTGGAAAAATCAATAAAATGTTGGGAAAATATTTAGATGATTTTCAAGAATATGGAGGAAAAGAATGGAGCTGAACACAGAAATAAAGAACATGACAAATATGAAAGGGAAAAAATCCTGTATTTATGTATAATTGGTAGCCCTGCAGGTGCAAGAACAGCAGATAATAGATTATTGAAACAATAATCAAACTCATAAGATAGAATACTTGTGAATTTAAGAAAGTCCTAAGTCAACAATATATCTGATAATCATGTATGAGAAAAGAAAAAAAGATCTCTTACAAAGTCCATTAAAAAGAATCTTAAGCGGCTGGGTGTGCTGGTTCACGCCTGTTATCCCAACACTTTGGGAGGCTCAGGTGGGTGGATCATTTGAGGTCAGGAGTTCGAAACCAGCCTGGCCAACATGGCAAAATCCCATCTCCACTGAAAATGCAAAAATTAGCCAGGCATGGAGGTGGGCACCTGTAATTCCAGCTACTTGGGAGGCTGAGGCAGGAGAATTGCTTGAGCCTCGGAGGCGGAGGTTGCAGTGAGCATAGATGGTGCCACTGCACTCCAGCCTGGGCGATAGAGCGAGACTCCACAAAAAAAGAAAAAAAAAACAGGAAAACAAGTTGTCAATAAACATAAGTCTGTTATCTCCCTAGCCATGAAGTGTCATTTTTCATCTTTTATGTTGATTTAAAATTTTAAACTCATTTTTCTCTACTTTGGGATGTTTACAACAAAATGTATACTGTATTCTCATATATCAGTAATGGGAAATCATTACAAATGTACTTAAAGGCAACCTGATGTCATTTTTCCAAAGTCTTAAGCCTTTTAATCCTGTAACTACACTTCTAGGAATTTAGCTTAAGTAAGCAGAGAAACACGCAAAGATACATGTATAATGATATTAATCACAGTCTTAGTAGTATAAAAAGAAACAATCTCCACATGCCCAACAATCATTAAACAAATTATAATGTGTCCTAGTTGCAGACATGGAAAAGAGGCATTTGGATTTATCCAGGTCTTAGGTTTGCTGAGAAGATGCAGCAGAAAGACAAAAGGACAAGAGGGTTAGGGCTGCTGGCAGAGTTTTGTTGAAGGAATGGGTCATGCAGGCTAAGCAAGGTGGGAGAAATTCACGAAAATAGTTGCCCTATATACAGGGAGAACATCTAGAAGATAACAGCCAGTATGACGAAGTGGTTAAAGAACCAGTACATTAAAAATAATTGGCCATATGTGGTGGCTTATGCCTGCAATCCCAACATTTTGGGAGACAGAGGTGGGTGGATCAATTGAGCCCAGGAGTTCAAGATCAGTCGAGGCAACACAGTGAGACCCCATCTCTAAAAAAAATAAACAACAACAAAATTAGCCAAGCATAGTGGCACATGCCTGTAGTTCTAGCTACTGGAGAGGCTGAGATGGGAGGACTGATTCAGCCCAGGAAGTTGAGGCTGCAATGAGCCATGATCATGCCACTGCACTCCAGCCTAGGTGACAGAGCAAGATCCCATCTCAAAAAAGAAAAAATGACTGAGATTGCTGGAAAGGTGAATGTGTCATTTCAATAGTGAAACAGTTCTGAGTGAAAACCAAAGAATGTCCTTGGGGTGCATGGCTCTGGAAGAGTGAAGAAGAACCTTGGGGATTATTAAATTACTAAGGTCTTGAATGAACCATTTCTCTGGACATTGAAGTCATCCGGGAAGAAGGCAGGGAACTGGGTTGAAAGAAAATCTGAGAACCAGGTGCAAAAATCTGTGAATGAATTGGGCATATTACTTTGCTAGGTCCATCATAAGAAAGTGCCACAGAATGGGTGGCCTGAACAAGAGAAATTTATCTCACAGTCCTAGAGGCTGCCATAAAAAAGTCTGAAATTTTATCATTTGTAGCATCATGGAAGGACCTGGAAGCCATTATATTAAGCAAAACAACTCAGAAACAGAAAGTCAAACACGGCATGTTCTCGCTTATAAGGAGGAGCTAAATAATGTGCATACATGAACATAGAGTGTGGAATTATAGACACGTGAGATTTGGAGGGGTTGCTGGGCATATGAGAGGTGGGGAATGAGAAATTACTTCATGGGCACAATGTACCTTATTCATTCCCTCCCTCCCTCCCTCCCTCCCTTCCTTCCTTCCCACAGGGTCTCACTCTGTCACCCAGGCTAGAGTGCAGTGACACGATCACAGCTCATTGACATCCCAGGCTCAAGCAATCCTCCTCACCTCAGACTCCTGAGTAGCTGGGACCACAGGTGTGTGCTACCATACACGGCTAATTTTTTTTTTTATTTTTTGTGGAGACGGGGGTCTCATTATGTTGCCCAGGCTGGTCTTGAACTCCTGTGTTCCAGCAATCCTCCCGCCTCGGCTTCCCAAAGTGCTGGGATTACAGGCATGAGCAACTGAGCCTGGCCTAAAATGTGCGTTATTCTAATGATGGATACACTAAAAACCAAGACCTCATTGCTATGCAATATATACATGTAAGTAAATTGCATTTGTACCTCTTACATTTATACAAAGTAAAAAAAAAAAAAAAAAGCAGTTCTGGAGGCTAGAAGTCCCAGATCAAGGTATTGGCAGAGGAGGTTTGTTCTGAGGCCTCCCTCCTTGGCTCCTGCATGGCGGTCTGCTCCCTGTGTCTTCACATGGTCCTCCTTCTCTGTGTGTGTGTTCTCACTTCCTCTTGTTATAAGGATATCAGTCATATTGGAGTAGGGCCCAGGGAGATAAATGAAGACATAAAATCCATATAAACTATGCTTATAAACTACCCATAACAATAAACTACGAAACAAAACATGGCAATAAAACAAGAAAAGTAGGTTTTTAAAAGATCTGTTTTGACATATTAGAAATAAAAAATATACATTTAAAAACAAAAAGGCACAGACTGATAGGTTATATCACTTATCTAATAGAAATTCCAGAATCTAGGGAAAGACTACTAAAGCAACATTTGAAGTACAGTATGTAAGAATTTCCAAGAATAATAGAAATACATTGAATGAAAGTAGACAATAATGACCCCATTTTAACTTAGTAACTTCTTTAAAGACCCTATATCCAACTCAGTCACATTCTTATGGTACTGAGGGTTACTTCAACATGAATTTTGGGGGGACACAATCCATCCCATAACAGGAGTTCCCAGGAGGAGCTTAAAAAACAACAAAAACTAGGAGGAACAGAGGGAGATATAGCAAATGAAATACTCATAAAGGAAGGAGAAATGACTTCTCATGGCAGTGTGGTGTGATGAGACATCAATTTCACCGCCAACTTGGCTATATGTGAAATGGGATAGAAAAAAAAAATCATATTCTTAATGGTGACCCAGGTGAGGCTAGAAGATAAAAGGAACACTTACTGAAGACATTAAAGGTGTGGCAGAAAGAAATTTCAGTCAAAATGGTACAGTAAATTCATACTTTTTCATACTCTCACTGCTCTAAACACATACCAATGTGACCAAATAGAAAAAGAGCAAATAAAAACAACATAGCCAGACTTTCAAAGAAATAATTATCACCTTGGATAAGGAAAAGGGCAGAAACATCAATGCCTCAGGTCACAGACCTGCCAGGTACTAATGCAGATGCTAGCAGGGGGTGGAGGGGTTATCTCCTGGGAATAAATATGCCTCAAAGATTGAGGAGGGTTCCCCCTTCTCAGATAAGCCAAAAAAAAATCACTCCATTTTTGAGAAGTTTACCAATGAGTTTCACTTTACATTTCAGCCTTCATATTCTTTTTTCTACTATTAGCATCTGGTCTGGTTTCTTTCTTTCTCCTCTTGAAAGTCTTTCTTCACTTGGGTTCCTGAATGACACTCCTTCCTAGTTCTTCTCTAGTTCACTGACTTATTCTCCATCTCTCTTAGATCCTCTTCATATCTCCCACCTCTAAATCTAGGCATAACTCAGAACCTGGCCCTCAGAACTGTTTATTTTCTTCTCTTATGACATTCTCTCCCTCCATGACTTCATTCAGTCCCATGGCCCAATTACCCCATATCCCAACTCCCAGCCTAGACGTCTTTCCCAAATGCCAGAGCATTTGTTCAACTTCCTACTCCACATCTCCACTTGGATATTTGATAGTCATTTCAAGTGACTACTTACAAAACAGTGATTTGAATGTTTATTCAAATTTATTTTATGAATACGTCTGAATGCTGAATTCTTGCTCTGTGCCCCCACCTGCCACCCCTCCATGGCACAAATCTCCTCCTACAGTCCTCACCATCTTAGTAAATGGCAACCAATCCTGCAGAACACAATTATTGGAGTTGTCCTTGATTCTTCTATCATAACCCACATGCAATCCATTTAGTTTTATCTTCAAACTCCTTCTCATCACCTCCATTGCTTCTACCTGTTCCTTTCTTCATTCCAGCCACACTGCCCCCTTGCCATTTTAATGAAGATTTCTCTCATCATTTTTATGAGTTAACACTGACCCCAAATTCCTCATTTTTCTTTCTTTTTTCTCCATAGTACTTAACCATCTTCTTACATATGGCATGTTTATTTTTTATCGTCTCTCTCTTCCACTAGAATGTCAGCTCATGAGGGAAGAGACTATGTTTTGTTTACAGCTAAACCTCCAGGACTTAGAATAATGCCTAGAATATACTGGTAACTCAATAAATATTATAAAAGTAATGAATAAACCTGACATTGGGTGCTGCACCTTTATTTGAAATAGTTGGCTGATAAGAAAGTAAGCATGCATGCATACATGGAGGAAAAGCTTTGTGTCTAGGAATTGAGCCAAAGTGGAAGGGCAACATTCCTAAGTTACCACAGATCAGAAAGTTCAAAACATAATAAGATCTGGTTCTGAACTAGGAGCCCAGGGGTGAGCAGATAGAAAAGATAAAACAAAATAAAAAGCAAGATTTTCTCACTCAAAATGAGCCTATGAATCTAAATTTCAAAACACAAATATAAGACTAATCCTAGCAAAGACAGCCAAAAACATCAACAGTAGGAACATGAATTCTCTAGACTTGGAATTTAATTTATTTTATGAAACAGTCAAAACAAACTTTAAAGGGAGATAAATGAAGACATGAAATCCATATAAACTATGTTTATAAACCACCCACAACAATAAACTATGAAACAAAACTGATGGCAATAAAACAAGAAAAGCAGATTTTTTAAAGATCTGTTTTGACATATTAGAAATAAAAAATATATATTTAAAAATAAAAGGGCACAGACTGAGAGGTTATATCACTTATCTAATAGAAATTCCAGGATCTAGGGAAAGACTACCAAGGCAACATTTGAAGAGTAGTAGGTAAGAATTTCCAAGAATTATAGAAAGATATTGAATGGAAATAGGCCCTAAGTACCAAAAAAGTTAAATAAAAATAAATACAAAACTAGAGACAGAAGTATTGAAACTGTAAACAAGAAAATGAAGATGAAAGAGAGACTATTAAGATGTGAAGTGTGATGTTAGACTGTATTTTTTCATCAGCAACTACAGCAATCAGGAAATAGTAGAGAAACATCAAAATGCTAAGGAAAGATAATGGTTTACTTAGTTTTTTTTTTTTTTTTTAGACAGTCTCACTCTGTCATCCAGCCTAGAGTGCAGTGGCATGATCTTGGCTCACTGCAACCTCCATCTCCTGGGTTCAAGCAATTCTCCTGCCTCAGCCTCCTGAGTAGCTGTGATTACAGGCAATCACAGTCACACTCTGCTGACTGAGGCTGTGGTTGTTCAGTGAAAGTTGTGAGGGGATGAAGCTTGAGGCAATTAGTTAACTGTCCTCAATGAATAACAGCTAAATTAATTGAGAACTCACTGTAAGCCAAGCTTTTGCTAGGTCCTTTAAATGGATTCTCTCATTTAATTATCATAACAGCCTTATAAAATAGGTGTTATTACTATCTCCATTTTACAGATATACTGGAGTCTAGATATAAAGCCTAAGGTTGATATATTAAGAAAAATAGATTTAAGTATTGATATGGTTTGGCTGTGTCCCCACCCAAATCTCATCTTGAATTCCCATGTCTTGTGGGAGGGACCGGGTGGGAGGTAATTGAATCATGGGGGCAGTTCTTTCCCTGCTGTTCTCATGATAGTGAATAAGTCTCATGAGATCGGACGTTTTTCAAAAAGGGAGTTTTCCTGCACAAGCTCTCTTCTTTTATCTTCCTTTCGCCTTCTGCCATGATTGTGAGGCCTTCCCAGCCACATGGAACTGTAAGTCCATTAAACCTCTTTCTTTTGTAAATTGCCTAATCTCAGGTATGTCTTTATCAGCAGCATGAAAATGGACTAATACACATATATTACTAGAGTTGTGATATTGTGATAAAATGAGAAATATATATTTGATCTCTGCCCCTGGTCCCTGGGATACAGCTCCTAAAACCCTTGTAATCTGTGGAATAATGAGTCTTCTTTTGCATAATAACAAGACAACTGATAACTGGGAGCCCCTAGGATGGGGAGGTGGCTGCCAGGGAAACCAACCATGTTATTAGAGGGTTGGAACTTTCAGCCCTACTCCTGCGCTTCAGGAGAGAGGACAGTATTGAATGATCACCAATGGCCAGTGATGTAATCAAACATCCTTATGCAATGAAGTCTCCATAAAATCCAGAAAGGACAGGGCTCAGAAAGCTTCCTGGTTGGTGAAAACATGGAAGTTCCGGGAGTGCGGTGTGCCCAGAGAGGGCATGAGATCTCTGCACCCTTCCTCCATACCTTGCCCTATGCACCTCTTCATCTGAGGTATCTGCATCTTTTATAATCTTTATAATAGACCAGTAATTGTGTTTCCCTGAGTTCTGTGAGACATCCCAGAAATTAATCAAACCCAAGGAAGTGTCACAGGAACCTGCTTTGTTGCTTGTTAGTCAGAAGTATAAGTGACAATCTGCTATTTGCTATTGGTATCTGAAGTGGCGGAGAGAAGTCTTGTGGGACTGGGCTCTCAACCTGAGAGATCTGACACTATCTCCAGGTAGATAGCACCAGAGTTGAATGGAATTGTAGGATACCCAGTTGGTGTCCACTAGAGAATTGTCCACTGGGAAAAATCTGCACACATCTGGTCACAGAAGTGTTCTGTGTTGAGTGGTGCATGAGGGTAGAAAAAACACTTTGCTTTTTCCTATCTCTCAATAGAGTTATAAAATCAATCATTAGTGAGAACAAAACCTTCTTTAGAAGTGGAAGAAATAGTACAAGTATGCTAAATTCCACATCTTTCATATCAGGGAAGCAATGTATACTATTTAAGGTTGATAGCTCAAAAGGTAGACATTTATACATATCACCTGGATATTATTATAAATATAACCACAAGAAGAATGAAAACCAGAAATGGGAGATCAAGATATGGTTAGGGGAGGAGATATTTATTTTATGTATTATCATCTCTGTACTACTCAAATTTTATCATTAATACACATATTACATTCCTAATACAATTATTTAAACGTACAAGTTGGAAGCTGTGGGACAACTGAGCAACACTGTTGGCATGCAAACACCAAGGAAATCCCTGTTGTATGTTGTATCCCATGTGTATGTCTTCATTTGGAAAATGTCTATTCAAGTTATTTGCCCTTTCTTTTAATGGGCTATCGAGTTGTTTGAATTCCTTATGTATTTTGGATACTAACTCCTTTTTGGATGTATGGTTCATTTGCCAATATTTTCTCCCCATCCATAGGCCATCTTTTTACTCTTTTTGTTTGTTTGTTTGTTTTTTGGTTTTCCATTTTTTTTTTTCTGTGTAAAAGCTTTTCAGTTTCATGTAGTCCCATTTATCTATATTTTTTTGTGTTGCCTACACTTTGGGGTTCATATCCACAAAATCATTGTCTATGTCAATTTCCCCTGTTTGAACTCTTTAATTCATTTTGAGTTGATTTTTGTGTGTAGCACGAGATAAGGGTCTAATTTCTGCTGCTTGGCAAGGCTGGGGTGGGGAAGCTGGTAATTATTCAGGAGTCAGTAGAGAAGACAAGTTCTAGAATTGGAGGTCAACTCAGCTCAGGGCTCTGCAGGATGCTGCCTCCTGCTCACCCGAATCCTTTCCTTTACTGCAAATGCTGTGTCATACTCAATACCTGTGGGCATTTGGAGAGACTTCTAGCTTTAACATGAAATCTGCAGTTTCACATCTGTTTTGTACTTTTTCTGGTCATTAAGCAGGTATATGTGAGTGAGTGTGTGTGTGTGTGTGTGTGTGTGTGTACACATATATCTCTATCTCTATCACCTATCTATTTTCTTTTATGTATCTTCTATTATTCCCCATTCCAGCAATCATCTATCTGTCTATCTAGCTATCTATCTACCTATCTATCTACCTACCTACCTACCTACCTACCTACCTACCTACCTACCTATGATTTCTCATTTTCTATCAATCGTCTATCATCTGTCTCCCTATCATCACTGTCTCCCTTTCTCTCTCTCTTTCTTTCATGCCACACATACCTGCAAGGGAGGAAACTGTGTGTTGTTCATCAACTACTGAAGCTAGGAGCTAAGAAAGGCAGTTCAGAGAGACAGAAGGCTCTTAAAAGCAAAACCCTAGACTGTTTATCACAGCAACGGCCAAACACAAAAATTCTACTATTAAATTCTTCTCAGAGAGCCCTGGACACGGTCGTCTTTTATCAAGATTGTGTCATTTTGATTACATGCCATTTTAAGCAGCCATGTAATTATTATGCAGGACAACCGAATCAAGAGAGACTTCACTGTCAACGAAGGACTGTGTTTATGCTCCAGCACAAAATAGGTGAAACATTCTATCCCCAAACAAATTTGACTGCAAAGAATTCTTCTTTTTAAGGGAGCAAAAAGAACTGCTTTTCTGAGAAGATCTATAAATTGATAATTTACCTTACCCAAAAAAGGGGATATTTTATGGAAGATTGCAACTATTGAATCATTCTGTCATTAAATCAATTACTGCCTCTGATTAGCTTTCCAGTAACACTTGGAGTAGAGAAAATGTTGTTGGCAAAATAGCACAAATTTGGCAGCCCAGAGATTTAAACATTAGCAGCCATTCAGAAACAAACAGAGGCAACTTAGTACAACAGAGAATTCTTTGATCTAATTACTTCCGCTAGTAAGCCCTACCATTTTTCTTCCCACTAATTTATTTAGTTTCACAACATGAGCTCAATTAATTTCTATTTACTAAGAGGTCATGTGCATTCATATCTTCACTATAAATATTTTGAAATGCCTAACAACTATGCAAGGCATTGTTAACCCCTTGCTATCCAAGATTACCACATGTACAAAAAGATTACGTATGTAATACTGAGTACACAGAAGGCAGTCAGTAGAGGATTGTTTAAATAATAGGATATAACTGAATCATATCAAATGACTGTGATGACTGATAATAGTTTGGAAAGAGAGAACATGTTTAGACTACCCAGTGAATAAACATAAAACACTTGGATTAAATAGTGAGTCATGCAAAAAATTATAAATGTGCAAATAATCAAATCTTTCTAATAAAAAGGAGCAAATATATCATATCTGAATCTTACTGAAATTCCAGATCACTGTGAAGGGATTTTGTTTCTGCAGTTTTCTCCTTTTGTATATTTGAACTGTAAGTTTTCACCAAAGCAGTGTCAATATTTTTCCCATGGAGAAGACGAATAACAGAGCTGAGAGTTTGCCTTCCTCTAGGTTCTGTGGGCCATCAGTTGGTTAGTGTGTAGACTGTGATTCAAGTGTCCAGTAATTATCCAGGTAACGGGAAATTAGATGATAAGTGAATAGATATAATAATTGTTTTCATAACTCAATCAATTTCATCCTATTCTTCCACATTTTGTTTTGCAGAATCATAATCTTCCTACAGCCAATGTATCTGAAAATGCTCTTTGCAGCAAAGTAATGTGATATTCAACCTTAGCTGTGATTCCTGCCAAATTGAATAGTGTTATATTTCCTTATCCCTTTATCTGGCATCCTTAAGCAAAAGTGCTTAGGAAAAGGGATTTTGCATATATCAATGTATGTCATAGGACAGAAGTAAGAGGGTAATATCTTTTTTCCTGTTTAATCTGGGGCATTTTATATACTTTCAATTTGCCTTACCTTAATTACTCAACAAAACCCCTACAGAAACTGTGAGATATATATGTAAAGTATTTAACAAAAAGGCAGAGAAAATCCACCAGTTTAAGAAAAAGCCTCATTCCAAGAATGGCCTGGCATAGTTGCTATACACTCAGTTTCTAATAATTACATGCACCTAGGTTGAAATCCCAACTCTGTCACTCCCAAGCCACACAATCTGTAGAAACAGATGTAATCATACAGCATATCTTAGAGGGTTGGTGAGAAAAACAAATAAGTAGTAACAAGAAGCAAATGTAAAGCTCAGAGCATTGGAGGACAGATGCTTTTAAGCAACCCATACATAACTATTGTTAATCAAAAACATTTAGCTTTTGGAACACAGCTTCCTCTTTTAGACAAAAAGTTATAAGTGGTTAGAACTCCAGGTTAGGCTACCAAAGCCAATTTTACTCATAATGTTGATAGCCTGGCATTCACGGTGTTATAAAACCAAACTATCAATGTAATAGGATCACCAGCCATGACCTCCTAGAGTGTCTGAAACAACTCCCATGCCCACCCTCTCAAACCAGACTCTGCCTCCTTCTAGAGCTTCTAGAAGTTTGGAGAGCAGGGAGTCCCTACTCCATCTGCTATTGCTGTATCAGAGGATGTGTTCCTGGCTACCCAAGCTAGAACTCTATGCCTATCTCCCAGGGACACTGGCACAATTAGGTATGGTTTTATAACACCAGGAATCAAGAAGGCTTCTGTGTTTTGGGGAGATTTTCAGAGTTTGGCATAGCTCCGAACTAAACAAGGGCTCAGAGCCAGACCCAGGAACACCCTGTTCCTTGAGCAGTTTATTACCGTCTTTGTGCACAGGACTTAAAACATTGCAGAAAATCAATAAGCGTTAATTAGCTTAAAATTACAAAAGGCTCTTCACAATCTGGCTCAATTCTCCACAACATGCTGTATTCACTGTGTCTCTGTGACTTCACAGGTCATCTTCCTTGGGCCTGAAGTACTTTCCTTCCCATTCTTTCCCTGGGCAAACAGTCATCCTTTAAGACCACCTAGAGGCCACCTCCCCCCAGGGGAAGTCACCCTTTCTGATGTGACACCAACAGCCCTCTTCATTTGTCTTTGTCTTGTTGTCATGGCTTTGCATGTGCCGTTACTCAGCAATTTCAGGCTGTCGTGCACACAGGAATCATACCGGCGGCTTGTGAGCAGAGATTACTGAAGTTCACCCTCAAAGACTTAGTCAATAGGCTGAGGAGGAATTCAAGAGCCTGCTCTGTTAACAAGCTCCCCAGATAGTTCTGCTGGAGGGGAAGATGCAATGTGAGAAACACAAGGCATCCAGGCAGAGACACAATCGTCCTTACTGCTCTGTTCCCACTACTCAGTACAGTGCCTGAGGCATAGTAGATGCTCAATAAATGTTTGCTGTTAAAAAGAAGGAAGCATTAAGAATGGGTATTCATCTATCCACAAACAAACGTTTATTGAGTATATACTAATTACACATGTTCCCTATCAACACGAAAGTAAGGGACATCAAAGTCCAATAATAATATAAGGACAGGTGCAAGAAATCAATGGAAACAAAGGTACCTAAGATTTTACTATCAGCCTGCCACAGAGCCAGTGAAAGTTTTTCAGGCTCTTCCTTAGGCCAGTGGTTCTCAACTTTGTCTTCACATTGAATTACTGGAATCAGCTTTAAAAACACTGATGCCTTCACTCCTTATTCCCAGAGCTTCTGAATTTGTTTGGGATGAAGCATGTGTGGCAGGATGTTTCAAAGCCCTACAGGTGATTCCGATGTGTAGTCAGGGTTGAGAATCACTATAGGTTCACACTGCACCTGTCCTATAAAGTTACTTAATTCTGCCTCACTTTCCTGAATTTGTGTGCTGATCTCCCTCTTCACCTCTCACCAGATTCTAAGTATCTAAAAGTCAGGGACTAAGTCATATTCACCTTTTATTTGTCCATAGTGCCCATGACAAGAGTCTACATAAAAGGGCAGTAAAATTTTATGGAATGAATGAGTGAAGATATCACTATAGGGGACTTGACTCTCAACAACCATGAGTGAGTTGGACCAGAGAAACAGTTCACGAAGCTCTGACCCACAGCATGAAACAGAACATTGCATGTGGGGAGTTTACAGAATAGTAACCGAGAATATGATAGCCCTTGGAGCATTTGAGGAGTCGAAGAAGAGCTTTAAAGTTACAACAGACTGAACACAGAAGAACAGCAACTACACACCACAGGACGCTCCTTATGTTCCCAGCATGGAAGGGACACCCTGGCCGTCCGCTACTTGAACTCCATCCACAGCTTGAATCAGGAGGTCAGCACCATGGACAAGAGCATCTCTGAGGAGGAGTCATAAACCAAGCACCAAAGGAAATGCAGGGAGTTTTGACGGTGCTTTCAAATCACCAGTCAAGGCTGTTTTCTTTTATCGAACTCCTAGCTGGGCTCAAGCGATTCTATCCTCTCAGCCTCCCGAGTAGCTATGACTGCAGGCACATGCTACCATGCCCAGCTTACTTTTGAGAAGAATAATTATCAAGTTCTTAGTGGTAAAACCTTTGAACTACAATAAAGTATCATTTGCTATTGACATGTCAAATCTAATGTAAATAATAAGATGCTACTGTTTTCTAAACCTGTTATAAAATTTCAAATTTCTAATCTTTTTAAAAAGCATTTTTATTATTGCTTTAGAAAATAATCATATTAACTACTTACACTTTTTTTTAGTAGACCTGGAGGGTGTAACTGAAAAAAAAATTCAAACATAACTAGTGCAATATAAAAGAATGTTAAATCTAGATAGACTCAACTCACTCTTACATCACAAAGTTAGGGTTCAGGTTAAAGTTGGATGCAGAGGCTGAGGTTAACATACTAGCATACTGGCCACCCCAGGAGGCAAGGAGATGGTAACTAACAATTTTTTATCTCTGTGTACCAGAAACTGGGCTGGTTATTTCTCAGCAATCTCATTTAATCTGCATCACATTCCTCCCCACCACCCCAGGTTGATACTGCTAACCCCATTTTGCCCATAAAAACACCGAGTGTCAGAAAGAATGAGTGACTTGTGCGAGGTCTTCCAGTTCCTAAGGAACAAAGTCAGCATTGGATCTCAGTCTGCATGACTCAAAAATCCACGTTTTACCACTATTTTTTTACTGTTATTTTCATCTGTGGCGAATTGAATATTTCTCTTATCCACTATTTCCTAAGTGCTTAGCAATCCAGAATAACGCATATATTATTCAGAACTAAACTGTAGTTCATGGAAATCAATTTTACTTAAACCAAAATGGAAACTGTCTCATCATCAAATAACCAGTTCTGCTTAGTGTAATTACTGGAAGGCAAGAGCACTGTATGTGGTTTAATAACCAAAATCAATCTGAAATACAGTCTCATTAAAGCCAGTTAGCTTTTCTATTGGTCAGATGCTCTTTTATTTATCACTATTATTTACATATATGTTCATCAATATAGATTAATTAGCATGCAAACAAGAATGTAACTTCTAAGAGTTTAAACCATTTAAAGAGGATGCAAAGATAAGGAAAAGCTGACATTTTAATGTAAAAAAACTAAAATACAAGAAAGTATGTTCTGAGTTAACATCTAAGAGATAATGAGCGTTCATTTTTCTCCCACCAAAAAGCATAGGATTACACTTTAAACTATGTGTTATGCAATGATATATTACAAGTGGAGAAAGAAAATTAACTTAAAAGAAAAGATGCAGACGTTTTCTAATACCACTAATAGGGTTTGCAGACTGTGAATGTCAGAGACAAATAGAAACAAAAGGTGCGTGCAGGAATTGGAAACTTGATTCAAGGACCTCAGTCAGTCACTGATAAATTTCATGCATTTTGCTGAATTGAGACCAAACCATGTGGAGCAGATGTTCCCGATAACATCTTAAACACTGCAAAAAATGGTAAGCAGATAATGTACCTTTCAAATGGAGCCATATTAAGGAAGGATTACTATGTAATACCTTGTCCAAATCAGGACATTTATGAGAGTGAAAAGGATGCCACTAGTAAATATGCCAGGATAATTAGCGTAATCTGGAGCTGTCTTAGGAAAATTAGAGAATATGTTACCCCAATAGATGATAAATGCCCTACACACCACAGGACCTTCAGTTAACCTTCACTTTAAAGCCCTCTACACTTTCTTCTTCTTCACATGCCTTCTTTTACCTGTTTTCTCCTTTACATATCATATATACATATATATATATATATATATATATTTTTTTTATTTTTTTTTTTTTTTTTTTCTTGAGACAGAGTTTCACTCTTGTTGCCCAGGCTGGAGTGCAATGGCGCCATCTCAGCTCACTGCAACCTCTGCCTCCCGGGTTCAAGCAATTCTCCTGCCTCAGCCTCCTGAGTAGCTGGGATTAGAGGCCCATGTCACCATGCTGAGCTAATTTTTGTATTTTTAGTAGAGACGGGGTTTCACCATGTTGGTCAGGCTGGTCTCAAACTCCTGACCTCATCGTCTGCCCACCTCGACCTCCCAAAGCGCTGGGATTACAGGCGTGAGCCACCGCGCCCGGCCTACATATCTTTATGTATCTTTCTTAGCCTTTATACAATGTCCCTCCTCTTTTTATTTATTTATATATTTTTTGAGACAGGGTCTTAACTCCTGTCACTCAGTCTGCAGTACAGTGGCATGATCTCAGCTCAGTACAACCTCTACCACCCCCAGATCAAGTGATCCTCCCACTTCAGCCTCCCAAGTAGCTGGGACCATAGGTGTGCACCAACACGCTGGGCTAATTTTTTGTATTTTTTGTAGAGATGGGGTTTCACTGTATTTCCCAGGCTGGTGTTGAACTCCTGGGCTCAAGTTGTCCACCTGCCTTGGCCTTCCAAAGTGCTGGGATTACAGGTGTGAGCCACCATGCCCGGTGTGTCCCTCCTCTTTCATCAACCCTCTGCCTTTCTTTTCAGTTCCTTCCCTTCCTTTCCCCCCCTCTCTTCTTCCTCCCTCTTTGTCTTTCTGTGGCTCTTTTCTTCTCCATCTATGCAACTTTCTACTTCCCTTCCACCCCTTTTTAAAACAAAAATCTTCCTTCTAGATTTCATATTCCCTCCATTCTATCAGGCCCATCCCAACTTGCCATTACCCCGAACTAAAACAAAGTTTTGATATTTTAGTCACTCTTATTGAATACTTTTATATTCTTTGTTTTCTAACTTAAAAGTAGGGGGGTTTAATGTTTTATATTCATTTTTCTACGAAAAGGCATCTTGGTAGGCCAAACCCCCTGCCAAACATATCCACGCCCTAATCCCTGGAACCTATGAATATGTTTTATTACATGGCAAGAGGGACTTTGCAGATGTCATTAAAGTTACAGATTTTGAGGGAGTTATCCTGGATTACCTAGGTGAGCCCATTCCACTTACATGAGCCCTTAAAGGTGGAGACCTTTCTCTGCCATCTCTTCTAGGGGCAGAAGAGATGCAGCAAAAGAGGAAGTCAGAGATTCTAAGCGTAAGAAGGACTCAAACTTTTGCTGGCTCTGAGATGGAGGAAATCACATGATGGAGCAGCCCATGGGCAAGGATCAGAGGGAGCCTCTGGGAGCCAAGGGTGGTCCCCAGCTGTCCTGAGAGCAGGCAAGGAAGCAGGACCTCAGTCCTACAACCGTAACGAACCGAATTCTCCCAACAACCTGAATGTGCTTAGAAGTGGATCTCCCCCAAAGCCTCCAGAATGGAACACAGCCCTGCCAACACCTTGGCTTGGGCCTTGTGAGACTCTAAGCAGAGGATCCAGGTGAAGCATGACTCTAAGCAGAGGACCCAGGTGAAGCATGCTTAAGACATTTATTTATTATCTCACAGGCAATTTGTTACTGTAGCAATAAAAAATGAATGCAAGCATAAATTCTATTAAATCCTGCTTAATTTGGGGACACATAGGTTAATAACTCCTAATAAAAAAGTGCTTCCCTCATCTTTAATTTAGGCTAAATTTAGACATATGGTATATGTGCTAATTGATTTTTCAATCATTGTTATGTTTTCAGATCAAAGGATAAACTTAGTAATCTAGAGGGGCTCATTCTCAAGATACATATCATTATTGTAAATACTTGATTCATTCTTATTCTTACAAAACTCTGTGGGAAAAACTCTGTGCTAAATACCTCTCCATCCTTGTGGGAGACTTAAGCAAAGCATTTTGTTTCTTTAAGCAATCAAGGGACATAATGTTCTCTACCACACCACCAGAATGGAAGTACAATTACCCCAATCTGACAAATGGAACGAGAGGTTTGTAGGTCTGTGATGCAGAAACAACCTGTTGATTCTGCCTATTGACTTATCAGTCAAATTGACCTTAAGAAAAGTCTTGCTCCTTCTAACACAAAACAACATCAGCAACAATAATAAAGACAAATATCAATTTTGCAAATTTTCCACAAGTCAAAAAATTCCTGTTTGTCTGCTCCCTATTGGCACAAATTCCCACTCTGATATGTGTGTGTTCAAGATAATTTATTAAAATAAAGTTTATGTCTTGTTTCTGCTACTGCAATCAGATCCAAACATATATAAGGCAAAATTATCAGTCCTTTTTCTAGGTAGCACAGCCCCTTGAGTTCTGAGTTTAGGGCTTCCAGAACTTTTAGGTTCATGAGTTGAAAACAGAAACTGCCAGAAACCTGAAAAAAGCCCTATGCAGGCTTTGGAGTCTGTTACAAACTAAAGAGATGAGTTAGGGTGAGTCTTTCCTGACAGGAAAGGGATGGAGACTATAGTTTTGAGTTTAGGAAATGAAAATGAGTGGGAACTGAGTAAGGAGATGAGTGGTGAATGTGTGGAGCTGTGGTGCCTGCACCCGCTCTTACTTATTGTCTAGGAGATCTGATGGGATGGTCTGAGTAGCTGTAGCCTGAACACAAGCAGCAGGGGCTTCAGGAGACACGGAAGATGATGGCCACATTCCATGCAGTGGGAGAAGTACCTCCTTTGGTGGCTTAGGCCCCAAGGGTTTGGACAACACGCATCTCAGCAGTGATCCTGATGGCCGAAAGAGCTGGAGGCCCCTTCCTAATTTTTTGAACTGCAGAACACCATGAGACTCTTAAGCCACCCTCAGGTAAACAGGCCTCCCACTATGACTGATGTTGGGTGTCAGAGGTAAAACCTAACTAACAGGCAAAAACAGATTTTTATTACATATAGAAATGTAAAGCAATGCAATGTTTTTGTATTTGTTGTGGAGCAAATTCATGCCAACTATATGTGTATGTGTGAATCGGTAGATGGAGGAGCATGAGGAAAGGAATCCAAGAAACTGGCTATTAAAAGAAGGGCCAAGTGGGAAAGGCCCTGCTTCCTTCTGCTTCTCAAGGTTTTCCCCATCATTTGTGTTTGACCTTTGGAATATGGCCCAGGAAGAAGAGTTGCTTCCATGCCTCTCTTAGAAAACACAAACCAGTGCTCACTCTGATTTGTGGTTTGCATGCATTCTTTTGAGTTGGCCAGTCTAGTTTGCTGCAGCCTGTGCCACCTGAACATGGGGCTTTATTCTTGTGCTGTATTCCTGTGACCATGTCCAAATCAGTGCTTAGGAACCATCATGACCCTGTTGGGCAGGTTTGTGCTGCAAAAGAAGTTGACTGGAACTGACACTTAAAACACATGACTTTCCACTTCTAATAACTGATAATTTCAGTGATGATACATGCAGGTAAACACATTGCTTGCAATAAATACACTGCCTATTTACTTTCTCTTCACTTAGTATCACACACACACACACACACACACACACACACACGCACACACACAGCTGCAAGAAAATTAAGCCCATGAAGATACTTTATTAGTGGAAAGACACGGCTGACTTAATTTTCACAAGTCAGGCAATGCTAAGTTCCTTCTGCAACTTTATCTCACCCACACAACATAAGCACACAATGAAGCATGAAACCTAAATATGCAAATGGAATATCTCTTGTACAAAGGGGGCACATTCTTACAGCGATGATTTTGCCATTCTCTGCTCTTCATCTTTAAAATTACTTCCACCAGCATCATATTCTTATCCATCTCTCTTCTACATGAGTGCCATCCAACTCCAAACAAACACTGGGCATAAAGCAAGTATTTCATGCTAATAAGAAAGCCAAGGCAGCAAAGGAACAGCAGGAAAGCTCTGAGATCCCACTCTCTTTAGCCCCACCTTGTACCATCTGCCTTGTGCTGCTGATCATCCACAGCCTGATGTCTTTGCAAATAACATTCACGCCCTTTAAGGCAACCTCCTCACTTCTCTGACAACCCACATTTATCACCTCCCTAAAACTCTGGATCAAAACTCACTTCCTCCATAAAAATGTTTTCTGGTTTAATTGTTCCATTAATTGTTTTAATACGTGGGTATTCAGTGAACAATAGAATATTTTGCCCTCATGGATATATAGCTTTAAAAGTGAGATGAAGCACAGTTAATGTTAATTAGAGAGAGGTTGAATGACTGTTATCATAGCAAGTGGATTAGTCTCACATGGGTAATCATAGAGTAGAACTGTATTTCATGGCATTAAACAAAATTGTTGGAATTTTAAAAGAGTTCTGTAAACCACAGAGCTAGTAGGCCTCTGTCCGTTTAATATGTGAAGCTCTGTGAGATAAGGGATATGAAATAGAAGAGACAGTGTTGAACTAGGAGTCAGGAAACAGGATTTACTCAGAATTTTATGCTTCGATGTTTGCCTCATTTTCTACACAATTAAAATGTAGACTCTTTGACGATGAGCTTTGTGGTCCTCCCCCCAATACACACATACCCTACGTAATAAAAAGTTGAATAATTCTGTACATATACCAGATACTCTGTATTTGTGCACATATATTTACATGTATGACTAGGGCCCAGAATCAGTTTTAGTGGTTTTAAAAAGAAATAGGCACTATCATACATTTATAGATCTTTAGAGCTTAGAGAATTGTTTAGTCCAGAAGTTTTATTTTACACGGAGAGAAACTGAGATCAGGATGGCTTATTCAAGAGCATAGCGCTAAAAAAATGACTCAGGTGGCACTGAATTCAAGCTCCTGAACTACTGGTCTGGTATTTCTCCCAAGGCTCCATATAGCATATAAAGGGAAATCTGGTTCAAAAATTCAATGTTACGACACAAAAAGTTTCAAATCACCAAGACAAATTGCCATGTACAATGGCATCAGAAAAGTATTAGGTAAGACATATTTTTTGTGTCTATGGGCAAAACTTTTTGCTTGATGATTTTCCTACAGGAGCTAAGTGTTTGCATACTATTTTAAGATCTATATTATTTAGGTTTGCATTCAGCTGAATGTATCTGGTGATCTCCAAGTTAATGAGAATTACATTTATTTTTCTGTCACCTAAAGAAGTCCAGCAGCAGGGGGGCCAAAGCTGGTGTGGAGCTCACTGGTGTCAGCAGTCCACGTCATCTCTCACTGCTCCATATCTTTCCCTTATTACATTCAGGTTCAAGGTTGATCCTGAATTCCAGCTATCTCCCCTGAATTCAGAAGGAGAAGAGGTAGAGAAAGGGCACACTCCTCTCTTTCAAGAAGACCTCTTGGAGGACCCAAACAACAGTTCTGCTTACATTGTCTTAGCTAGAACCTAGTCATGTGGCCCTATCTGACTGCAAGGAACCTGGACAATGCAGTCTTTTATCATGGTGGCCATGTTCCCTGCTAAAATAGAGATTCTGCTCCCAAGAAAGAAGGAGAGAGTGAATATGAGGTGCCATCAGCACCCTTTTCCACAGAAAGCCTGCTCAACAATTCCTCAATTGCTTTCTTAATCAATTTAAAGATTGCTTTAATATCATGCAAATAATCCACACTTTAAAATGGAACACTATAATTTCTATGAATAAAGTAATATGAACCAGCATAATGACAATCATTTTAAACACATTATGTACATAAGGGAGATTTTATTAAGATGTGATCATTATGAGCTCACATCTTTGTTTTGTTGAGACTAAGAGCTGCAAAATAATCTCAGGGCTATCAGAAATTCCTCACAGGGCAAGGAAATAGTCACCAGGTCATGACATTTGTCAAGAGAGCTTACAGAGCTGTGATTTCTTCAAGAGTGTGGCTGACCCTTTCCCCCAACCCTTCCCACTTCCTTAAGCCCTGCCAAAGGACAAATTATTGCCAAGGCAACCAAGGCCCTTCATGCTCCCCTGCTGATTCTGGTCGCCTGTGCTGTGATCAAACAAGCACTAAGGAGCAAGAAGGTGCTCTGGGGCAGACGGAAGTGGGTTTTGGTTTCTGTCGCTGAATGCCTGGAGTCCTGGTTTCTGTATCCAAATCACAGAGGTGAAGATTGCTGACTCTTCCTTTATATTCCTTCCTCTTGCTGGGGCTACTACCAACAGGGAATCTGGAAAATATGAGTTACTCAAAATGTAGGGTTTAAATAAATGCAAAATATTTTTCACTTTGGGTCTAATTAGTCCCTTTTAGCCCTTCCCAGTTAGTTGTTCAGAATGGGAGCATGGCTATATATATATATATATATATTTTTTTATATATATATATAAAATATATATATAGTGTTATATATATATAATTTATATATAACATATAAATATATAACATATTATATATTACATATAAAATATATATTATGTATAATATATAAAGTTTTGCCTATAGATGCAAAAAAAATATGTCTTACCTAATACCTTTATTGATGTCATCGTACATGGCAATTTGTCTTCATGGTTTGAAACTTTATGTGTGTGTGAGTATATATATATATGTGTGTGTGTGTGTGTATGTATATCTATATGTGTGTGTGTATATATATATGTATATATATGTGTATATATATGTATATATATGTGTGTATATATATGTGTGTATATATATATATATATATATATATATATATATATATATATATATATGTGCCACCACACCAAGCTATAATTTTTTAATTTTTTGTAGAGACAGAGTCTAGCTATGTTGTCTAGACTGTTCTTGAACCCCTGGCCTCAAGCAATCCTCCTGCCTCAACCTGCCAAAATGTTGGGATTACAAGTATGAGCCACCACATCTGGCCCTATATTTCATATACAAAAACTGCATTACTGTCATCCAAAAACTCTTCTGTCAAACACCTCAAAATGAGACTAGTACTATTTCTGTAACACCGTAACCAAAGTCATTGAAATGTTTCTTCTCTCAAAAACCTGTTCCCTTCTTTCCATTACTCTGACCTCCAATTTCCTATCTGTTGATATTGAAGAGATCTTAGACACCCTTCTGTCTTCTTCATAGTTATAAAAACTGTGATCTTTTGGATTTCTGACAACTTCTTTTATCCTGGAGTTTATTCCTCAAGTTACCTAGCCTCTCTGGATCTCTCTTATCTCATTTGGAAAAGGTGAGAGTTTTGAAAAGAAAGCACCTGAAGTATATCCCAGCTCAAACGTTCCAGGATTTTATGATAGAATTGCCAAATAACAATGTCAAACAATGCAAGTGAAGACTTTAAACTTCTCTTGCAATGTTTCAATAAGAACTATAGCCATTTAAAAATAATTTGACAATTCTTCTGGATGGATTCTTCTGAAGAAGAAGTCATTTGTATATATCATCCTGTCTTATCCTACTGTCGCAACTGCCAATGAGAGGCAATTCACTATGCCATTTTGAGACGGTGAAATGAAGAGTGATATAGCCTCCCAGGTAAGTACCAATTAAAATTACTTCAAATCATTTAAAATGAATATTATATAATACTCTTAGAGTATGGCTTTTGGAAGAACTAGCACTTTGCCTTTTTTGCAAGGGGAAAGGAAACATCTTACTTTCCAACTATGCGGATTATCTGATGTCAAGTACTTCTGCAATACATATTCTGCACTGCTCATTGTTATTTCAAATTCTTGGCAGCAGGGATAGCAGTATATGCTGCAGCCTGAGAACAGCAGAGTCATCCTTTTTTCCACTTCCTTCTCTTTGCCTTGCTTGTTTCCCAGAATTTCTATGAGCCCTGCTCTGTTGCACAAAGAATAGTGCCCAAAGGCCGATTTCCACCATTCTCCTTCTGACTATGCCTCTCCAGTTAGTGATAAACAATGCAGAAATGTCAATCTCTAACCATTTGTCCAATTGCCCTTCCAATTATAATGATAAAATATAGTGTATTCTAGAGCTCCCTAAAGTGATTTAGATTTCTCACACCATCACTCTTCACTCTTCATTTCTTCCAAATAGAGTTGAACAAAGGAGAATTGTGTTTTAAATACAGTATTATCAAAAAGTGAACTCCTGACCTCAAGTGATCCACCTGCCTAGGCCTCCCAAAGTGCTAGGATTATAGCATGAGCCACCGCACCCGGCCAGGAGTTTGAGACAAGACTGGCCAATATGGTGAAACCTCATCTGTACTAAAAATACAAAAATTAGCCGGGTATGGTGGCAGGTGCCTGTAATCCCAGCTACTTGGGAGGCTGAGGCAGGAGAATTGCTTGAACCCAGGAGGTGGAGGTTGCAGTGAGCCGAGATAGCACCACTGCACTCCAGCCTGGGCAACAGAGGAGATTCCGCCTCAAACAAACAAACAAACAAACAACAACAACAACAAAAAGAAATGTGAGCATGGGAAACTACTTCCCCTAAGGATCAAAGTAATGTTTGCAAAAAAGAAAAAATTGTAACCTAGTACTGCTTTGTGTGTATTCAAAATGTCACTCAATGCCTTGCAGAGGGGACCTTTACAGCTCAAGGTAACGCAAATGCTGGTTACCAGGAAATAACATTCTTGAAGTTTTGCTTAAGGGGAGTAGCTTAACTTTAAATATGGCACCTCACAGGAAAGACAGGGAGTTCCTAAAAGACTTCATTAACTTTTATTAATTTCAATGTAACTTAACATCCAGGGAAGACAGTACCTTCCTGTAAGCAGTTCTCTGAAGGAAAGGGCTATGTGGTAAATTGCAGTAAGCTTGGAGAATTTAAACTTTGCCCTGCTTATGCAGCAAAAACATTTTCCAAACACCAAAAGAATCGACTCCACTAAAGACTTCGTAAACGAAATTTCTTATTTCAGATTTTTAAAATTTACCTTGGGACAATAACATTTAAAATGCACTCAAACTCATTATACATGAAATATGTGAATATAAGTTTGTATTTTCTTTGCATTGTGGGGATAAATAATGTAGTCATCTAAGAATATTTTAAATTATTAAATTTTTTTGTTTTTGCTTTTGTTTTTTGAGATGGAGTCTTGCTCTGTCGCCCAGGCTGGAGTGCAGTGGCCTGATCTCAGCTCACTGCAAGCTCTGCCTCCCAGGTTCACGTCATTCTCCTGCCTCAGCCTCCTGAGTAGCTGGGACTACAGGCGCCTGCCACCACGCCCAGCTAATTTTTTGTATTTTTAGTAGAGACGGGGTTTCACCGTGTTAGCCAGGATGGTCTGGATCTCCTGACTTTGTGATCCGCCCACCTCGGCCTCCCAAAGTGCTGGGATTACAGGCGTGAGCCACCGCGCCCAGCCTAAATTATTAAATTTTACCATCCACTGTCTTTCTGTAGAGTAACAAGACTTTTGTTTTAAATGATGTCATCTTAAGCAATTTTATGCTTTTTTTTCATCTGTAAAAGTGAGAGCTTGGGACCACAAAATCTGTAACAATCTGTCTAGCTGTAAGATGTTACAAAATGATTTTAAAAAAAAACCTTTGCCTCAATTTTAAGTTCTTCATTTTTTGTGCTGTTATCACAACAAGATAATAATAATAATAATGTTTTAGATTTATAAAACTTTTCTTGAGGCACTTGCAAATCCATGATCTCATCTACTCATTGGAAAGATGTAGTTAGAGAGAAAGAATCTTCATATTTTCACTTGCATGTCTTCCCTGACAAGTGCTAAGCCTGGGGAATTTATCAGAGCCATAAAATCCTGACCTGGAAAGGTCACTTAATTGATACCTTTTTGCAGCCTTCAACAAAACTGAGGATCAGAAAAACACTGGATCTTTCACACTTCATCCTCTGCTTCTTGATTAAATCAGACTCTTAAGTGATTTTTTTTTTTGGTTATCTACTAAATGATTTAAAATAACAGAAATAAAGAACAATGCATATCCCTGCAAGAACAGAAAAATGTCATGCTACACATAATGGTTTATTTCAAAGTAAAATCTTACTGAGGAAACCTAACTGGATAAGAGCATAGGACAATTTCAAACATGAGGAGGATTAATTTTAAAATGGTGGATTGTGAGTGGCTCATCCTACAGAAAACTGAAACGTTTCTTCCAAGCAAATTTTTAAAAAGTTTTCCCATAACTTGTTCATTTAATACTTATGTTGAGTGCTTGTTTGGGTCATCCCCAATGCTTGCTGTCCAGTTAGGGATACTGAGTGAACAGTCATGGGAAATAGCTAACATATATTGAGAAGCTAGCATGCTCTTAGCTGTGCTAAGTGCTTCATGTGCAATTAAGGCAGACCCAAGATCACTCAGCCAGGAAATAGGAACACCTGGATTCCAACACTGATCTGCTCATCTGGAGTCTGTGCTGTTAAGTGTCCCACATTGTAGGAGTAAGCTGGAGTCCCTGCCCTCGAGGAGATTACCCAGATATAGGAGCAGAATGATCCACTCATTCCTCCCATAACTCTAATGCTTGCCTTTAAATTGTTCCTTTTTGTCAACTATTCCTCTTGGCATCCCCCTCCCTGCCCTGCAAAATAAAACACCAGCTCAGAAGCCATCTCTCTCAGAGATAATTTTTTGGGGGCTCCTTTTAAAAAGTGACTGCTAATGACCTGGTAATTGTTTTATGTCTCTTTAAGTGAATTTTGAAGTCACCAAAAAGTCATGGATATACTACTGTGAAAGCTTTGTCAGAACTTATGACTTCCTGAGCGAACTGCATCATCCTGAATTGACAGCTACGGGCTCAGCATTAAGTAAATGCAGGGTCTGGGCATCAAGGAGAAATGTTCACACAGTTACTACTTGATTAAAAATAACACAGTGTTGATAAGGACATAATGAAACAGGCACTTACTAGAAGAGTGTGAACTGACGCACTTTCTGGAAAACAATTTGCATGCAGTCTAGAAAGATGTTTATGGTCTTGGACCCAGTTACTCTACTTCTTAACTAGAACCCATTCTAGGGATAGACTTAGGTATTTGGATCAACATGTATTTACACATGTGTTTTAGCCCTTAATAATAATACCACAATATTGAAAATACTTTACAAGTGTGCAAGAATATAAAAACAATTAAATACATTATGGTACATAAATTACATAGTAGGATTTATAGCCATTTTATAAATATTTTCCAAATATTTTGAATAATATGGGAAAAATTTTACTATAAAATTTTAAGTGAGAAAAACAGGATCAAACCATTACATACATAAAGATCTTATTTAAAGATAGATAATTACAGAGAGAAAGAAAAGAATAGGACAGGACAAGGTTTATGTGCATAAAAAGGACTATAGTGACACAAAACAAAAAAATAGCAAAAAAAGGAATTATTTATTTTGCAAATCAGGTACCTTATAAGAGAATTTTATATATAATACATAAAGAATTATTACAATGATATAAAGACAAATAACCTAGTTTTAAGGGCAAAGAAGCTGATAGTTGTCCAAAGAAGACACACAAATGGCCAATAGGCTCAAGATGTTCAACATGATGAGCCATCAGAGAAAAACAAACCCAAACCACAAGGAGATAGCACTTAACACACACTAGGATGCTATCATCAAAAAGTCAGATAATAACAAGTACTACAGAGAATGTAGAGACTTTGAAACCTTCTATGCTGCTGGTGAACATGTAACATGGTGTAGCCTCTTTGGAAAACAGTCAGGCAGTCCTCAATGGTTAAACATAGTTACCATAGACCCAGCAATTCCTTTCCTATGTTTACACCCAAGAGAGAAAAACATAGGTCCACACAAAAAGTTGCACATGAATGTTCATAACAGCATTACTCATAATAGCCAAGAAATGGAAACAACCCAAGAAGAAACCTTGAAAATGTTATGCTAAGTAAAATAAGCCAATCACACACACACAAAAAACCACATACTGCGTGATTCCATCTATAAAATTATCTAGAATAGACAAATCTACTGTGAAAGAAAATAAGTGAATGGTAAACTAGTGCTGGAGTAGAAAATTGATGGGAGGCAGTGTTGGGTGTCACAGCCAGTGGGCACAGGGTTTCTCTTTGGGGTGATGAAAATGTTCTAAGATTGATGGTGGTGATGGTTGCACAACTCTGGGAATACACCAAAAACTACTGAATTGTGCACTTTAAATGAGTAACTTGTATGTAATGTGAATTTTATACTATTTCAATAGAGCTAGCTTTTTTAAATAAAAAAAAAGAAACAATAATAATTAGTTTCATTATTTCATCTATTAACCCTATTCCAAGCTCCTACTATGGCCTGTGCCAAATACAATCAAAGATACCAAATAAAGTAAATCCTTTGTTTTTAAGGCATTCACATGAATTAACTCTAACTCATGCTAGAAGTAATAATGTGACTGTGTATATACAACTAATTATAGATTATACATATATTCTGTCATAACACTAGCAAAAGCATGGAATGTGTATTATCATTTCTTACTTCATTATCTTTTTTAAGCAATCATATGTAACTTCATCACTTAATATAAGTGTCTACTAAATCAGATCTGTATTTCCAATTGTCTTATGGAAACATCCAGCTGGGTTTCCCATAATATCTCAAACTTAAGTGGGTTTTTTGTTTGTTTTCGTTTTGAGACAGGGTCTTACTTTGTCACCCAGGCTGGAGTGCAGTGACACAAACACAGCTCACTGCAGCCTCAACTTCCTGGGCTCAAGCGATCCCCTCACCTCAGCCCCCCAAACAGCTGGGACTGTAGGCATGCACTACCCCGTCAAGCTTAAGTGTTAAATAATATTTTCATCCTCCATTCCTCCCCGTTATTGCTATACCAAATGCACACCTCTTCTATTTCCACATCTCAGAAAGCATATGGCACAGCATCCTCTTAGAAAGCAGGTTTAGAAACCTGAGAATCCCCTGAGTCTGCTCACTTCCCCCTGTCCAGATCCAGGCCATCAGCAGGGTCTTATAATTCCACCTCTTGAGTGTCTCTAGCATTCATGTTCCAGTCTCCCACTGCCATCGCCCTGGTTCTTGCCTTCACCATCTCTTGCTTGGAAGAGTGCAGTCATTTCCCAAGTTGTACATCTAATTCCAGCTTCCCCTTCCCCTTTCTCATCCTCACATTGCAGTAAGGATTAGCTTTCCTCCCTTTTTTAAAATTGCATTTTTAAAAAAGTCTAAAATACACTTGACTAAAGAAAATCCTATAACTAAGAATGAACATATCTTAATATAATGTAACTTTTACTGTAATTTTAGTTTCTATTTAGAAATGGAGCATTTTGGCCAAAACTGAGTTCCCCTTTTTTCCCTCTCCAGTCCCACTCCCTTCTTTCTTGCCCCCCAAAATTTGGATGCATAATTCTAGTCCATATACTATATACATACTCCCTCTATATATAATATATACACATACTATATATGCTATGTATAATCTATATATAGATACTATATTATATATACTATATATAATATATATACACGCTATACTATATATAGATTATACTATATACATAGTATATGTATAGTATAGTATATATGTATAGTATACATGTATACTATATACATAGTATAATCTATATATAGTATGTATAGTGTGTATATAATATATAGTATATATAATATAGTGTACTATGTATTATATATAGAGATTAACAATATATATTATATATTGTATACATATCATATAGTATATATACTCTATATAGTATAATAATATAGTATATATACTATAGTATATAATATATACTATATATATTATATAATATATACTATAGTATATATACTATATTATTATACTATATAGAGTATATATACTATATGATATGTATACTATACTGTATAGTATATATACTATATAATATATATACCATATAATATATAGTATATATAATAATTAGTATTTGGTAATTATAATTTAGTAATTAGTGTAATTAGTATATATAGTTATATAATACTATATTATATAGTATATATAATATAGTATACTGTATATGGTATATTTATAGATTAATATAGTATACTATATATAGCATACTATATATAGATTAATTATATATATACACACTATATATTTATTATATATAAGACACTATATATTTATATAATTTATATATACACACTATATATATTATATATAGATTATACTATATATACTATATATAGATTATACTATATATACTATATATAGATTATCTATAGTATATATAGATTATACATAGTATAATATAGTATATATATAGATTATACATAGTATACATAGGATAATCTATATATAGTACATATAGCGTGTGTGTATATATATTATAGAGAGAGTATATATATATAGTATATGGACTAGAATATATACTATATATAATCTATATATAGTATATATAGTGTGTGTATATATAGATATCTACACATATATACTATATAGCTTTTCATATATATATATACAGATAGACAGGTAGGTAGTCAGAAAGAGGGTAGGTAGGTAGGTAGATAGACAGACAGATAGATGAATGGATGGATAAATGCTCGACTTACAATGGAGTTACATTGATAAACCTATCACAAGTTGAAAATGTCTTAAGTCAACAATGCATTTTACACACCTAACCTATGGAACATCATAGCTTAGCCTAGCCTAACTTAAAAGTGCTCAGAACACTTACATTGGCCTACGGTTGGGAAAATCATCTAACATAAAGCTGATTTTATAATAAAGTGTTGAATATCTCATGTAATTTATTCAATACTATACTGAAAGTGAAAAACAGAATGGTTGTATGGGTACTTGAAGTATGGTTTCTACTGAATGTTTATTGCTTTTGCACCACTGTAAAGTTAAAAAGTCATAAGTCAAAGAACTGTTAAGTCAGAGACCATCTGCATATGCAGATACATGTGTTGCTATCCAGCATATTGTAATTAGAGTTATTCCTTGGTATTAAATTTTTTTGATACTATTGTAAGTGATTTTTTCTTTAAAATTTATTTTTAATTGTTGCCATTACATATTACAGAAACATGGTTAGTTTTTGTATATTGAACTTCATTTTAGTGACACTGTTAAATTCTTACTAATTTATAGATTATTTGTGAAAGGTTTTTGTCTTTTACAAGGTATGTTTAAAGCATTTAGTTACAGTGATTACTTACCTGTTTATATTTATTACTGTCATTTTATTTTGTGTTTTGAATTTACCTTGCTTTTCCTTTTTTTCTTCTTACCTCACTTTATTGAATTAATCACTTTCCTTATTCCTTTTTATTTTCTATGCTATATTTTATTTCTCTCCCAAATTATACATTCCACTTCTTTTCTCATAATACCCTTAAAGTTTCACATGGAATCTTAATTTTAGTAAGTCTAGATTTAATTAATATCTTTAATGTTTTTCCAAGTAACCCAAGGACTCAATTCTCTCCCCCTCCCAACCTATGTCCCTTGTTATCACTGTTTTGCGTCTTTTTTCTTAAATATCCATTGTTAAATGTTTCCAATATTACTTTTACTTGCATTTGCTTTTATGATGTTATTTATTCATCATTCTTTACTGTATTTAATTTCCTTCTTTCTCAAGGACACGTTTGAACTGTGAATTCAGAGTTGTAAATACTCATATTCTTTTTAAGTCAAAGTTTGTCATTGCTTATTCTTTTATTTTATCCTAGGTATAGTATTCTACAATGACAATTATTTTCCTCTGTACCTTGAAGATATTTTACTGTCTTACATCATGTCCTGTTGCAGATGCCAAGTGTATTATCTAACATCCCTTCCTTGTTACGGATTTGCCTTCCTCTCTGGAAGCTGATAAAATTTTCTTTATGCTGTTAATATTATACATTTTCACAGTTGTAGGTCTTGGGTGAGTTTATATTTTTATTTTATTATCTACTTATCATATTCAGGAACCAGTATGGAACCACTTGAGTTCTGTAATATTCTCACCATTTTCACTTTGAAAATTGCTTCTTTCTCATCTTTTATTTTCTCTTCTGACAGTTTTATTAGACATATGTTGAGGTGTTTTTAATGTAGCCTCCATTTTTTCTTCTCTTAAATTTTTCATCTCTACCTTTCTGTTATTGAATTCTCCATCATTTTCTCAGATTAATATTCCAGTTCACCCTTTTTTTCTGTTTGATCTATTGCTCAACCCATTTGCTTTTTTCTTTAAATGACTGCAGTTCTAATTTTAGAAAGCCTCTTGTTATTTTCAAATGCTCTTTTACAGTTTTATAAGAGCACTTGAAAAATACGCTTATAAAAACATGTTATACAACAATCCTATGGTTTTTCTTCTTTCTCTGGTTCTTGAACATCCTAAATAACCTGAATTGATGTTTCTGATTATTCTATTATTTCTAATTTTTGGAACCTACATTCTACCATTTGTTGGGCCTAATTCCCTCTGTGTTACTTCATTACTCACAGGCCTTGTACTTGTTTTAGTGTGACTTCACCTTCAGTGGGGATTATTTTCTATTCAAGTTCTCTTAGGAAGAGTACCAATGTGATGACTGTAGATGTCTCTGCCAGAGGCCTACTCATTTCTCCCATTCCAAGACATTTTTCATGTTAATTTCTCAGTACTGGGTTCCCCACCACATAGATAGTATAAATCCAGACCTTACATCTGCAGTGGCAATAGCCTGGAGTTCTAACTTCGCTTTGGTGATCTTTTTCCGATGGCACCAGAGATATGGCAAGTTTGTCATCAATCCTCTGAGCCAGTGTGCAGTTGCTGTTTCCTTTTTAATTGACAAGGCAGCCCTTTCTAACTCCTGGCTTGGTGCCTGTAGCTCAGATCTAAGAGTAAGGCCTGAACTGCTTTCCCATGGGCTTAAAACTCCAATTGCCAGCAGTTAGAGCCTACATCTTTTATTGCTTTCTCTCATGGTCCATTTAAATGCCAGTTCCTGCTCACTGCCCTGCCTCTGAGTTCCCTCCTCATTTCTGACAGCTGAGGCCTTCCATTCTTGATTTTGAATCTGAAGTAGGTATTTACATTTTTATACTTTTTTGATGTGGCTGTGTGCTGAAGTGAAAGGCTGGGAAGTTGTTTCACATCAGCTCACTCAGCCATATTCATCCTATCCTTCTAAACACAAACAGGATCACATTGCCTTCAATGGGTTCCCATTTGCTTGAAGAATAAAGTCGATCTCTCCATCTGACTGTTTTATAAACTTCACATCCAGGTAGGATTCTGGCTTCTAAACTTGACCTGTAGCCACACTCTTAATCCCCCCACTCCACACTACAGCCATAATGGCCCAGGCCTCATTCCTGAACATTCTGTGTAACATCACAACCCCACATCTTTGTTTCAAGAAACTTCATTTAGGGGTAGCTTCTAGGTCCTATTTCTATTTATAATGATTTCTGTGACCTTCATCTAAGATCTGTGAGTTTTCCATTTCAGAAAGTGCTAAATGATGGCAGCATAGTCAACTACATAATCCAGGTCACTAATCCACTAAACAAAAGCCATACAGGAGAGTAAAAATGTCCATTCGAAAGGCCAGAAAGGCCCTGTGCAGACAGGAGCAGCTAACACAGCTGAAATGAATCGCTGAGCTTCATACCAATGCCACAGTCCTGTGTAGACAGTATCCTGAAGTTCATTAAATCCTCAGAGCTTAGCTCCCTGCTCTAAGGCAACATTTGCTCTGCCCTCTTTAGCAGGAGCAGCCTGCTGAGGAGATAGCTGTTATAGTTTGTGTGCTTCGTTAGAGCAAGGAAATATAGTTCACTCTGCCCAAACAAGTCCTAGCTGCTAATGGGCCAAGATATTGTGAATGCAGAGTTAGGATTGCTGGGACAACAGAGAACTGAAAGAGGGGTGGGAAGCACCTTAGGAACCAAAGAAACTGCATTTGTAAGCTTCATTTTATACCACATAGCAAGTGAATCAATAACTCGAAAATGTACAGTGAAGGCAAAAAGGAGTTGATTGCAATCTTCAAAGAATCGGCAAAAAGAAAAAGTAGGAATGCAAATTAAACTCATTCAAAAGAGTCAAGACTGTTGGTTCAAACCTAAGAAGATTCAACTAGGCTAGCAAAAAATCATTATTCCTAGAAGAGATGACAGAGGAAAGTAATGGAATATGAAATGTGAATACAAAAAAAGAAACCACCCAGATGTTTGAGAATTTTTTTTCACAGCATAATTCATGAGAATGCAAAATGGTATCCTTAGCAAGACAGATGAATGTAAAAATGGAAGACCATCACCAAGGTAAAGGGACGTGTAGTCATTGGGGCACAATCTGAAGAAATGAAAAATGACTTCCTCAATCTCTAGTTTTATGCCATTATCTAAAAGCAAAGCCAATTTAATGTAAAAAAGTCATTCACATTTTATCATTTGTTTCTTATTTTTCAGTTTGGATTTGTTAATCCGTCACTTTTAATTTGGTCTTAAATATGCATCCTTTTAACCTATGAGAATATTATCAGGCAATAATGGAATAAACTCAGCAACGGCGGAACATTCTCCTCAACCAATCTTTCCCTTCTCACGTGCACACAGGTGCAAGTGTATGTGTACACACACACATCCCTCAATATCTAAGGAATCCCCAAGATGGGAGTACCATCTGATTAGATGATATCCTTTTTTTGAATAGACAAAAATTTTATCATTTGATGACATCAAATTCATACACCTTTTTCTCTTTTTCTTTCTTTTCTTTTTTTTTTTTTTTTTTTTTTTTTTTTGAGATGGAGTTTTGCTCTTGTTGCCCAGGCTCGAGTCACTGCAAACTCCGCCTCCCAGTATCAAGCGATTCTCCTCACTCAGCCCCCTGAGTAGCTGGGAATACAGGCATGCACCACCACGCCCAGCTAATTTTTTGTATTTGTTAGTAGAGATGGGGTTTCACTATGTTTGCCAGGCTGATCTCAAACTCCTGACCTCAGGGGACCCACCCGCCTCGGCCTCCCAAAGTGCTGGGATTACGGGCGTGAGCCACCGCACCTGGCCCTATTTTTCTTTTATAGTTAGTGCTTTCTATGTCCTGAGAAATTCTATTTTTAACTTTTAAGTTCAGTGGTACATGTTAAGGTTTGTTACATAGGCAAACTTGTGTCATGGGGGTTCATTTGTACAAATTATGTTATCACCCAGGTATTAAGCCTAGTATCCATTTGTTATTTTTCCTGATCCTCTCCCTCCTCCCACCCTCCACCCTCCAATAGGCCCTAGTCTGTTGTTCCCCTCTATGTGTCCATGTTTTCTCATCAGTTAGCTTCCACTTATAAGTGAGAACATATAGTATTTGGTCTTCCATTCCCATGTTAGTTTGCTAAGGATAATGGCCTCCAGCTCCATCCATGTCCCTGCAGAGGACATGATCGTATTCTTTTTTATGGCTACACAGTAGTCCATAATACATGTGGTGTATTTGTAAGAAATTTTCTTTATACAGTCTATCATTGATGGGCATTTAGGTCAATTCTGTGTCTTTGCTATTGTGAGGAGTGCTGCAATGAACATACGCATGTATGTGTCTTTATAATAGAACAATTTTTATATTCCTTTGGATATATACCCATTAATGAGATTGCTAGGTCGAATGGTATTTCTGTCTTTAGTATTTCACCTCTTTTTAAGTGATTTTTAAACACTGTCTTCCACAATACTTGAACTAATTTATACTCCCACCAACAATTTATAAGCATTCCTTTATTTTCACAGCCTCATCAGCATCTGTTATTCTTTTACTTTTTAATATTAGCCACTCTGACTTGTGTTAGATGGTATCTCATTATGGTTTTGATTTGCATTTCTCTAAGATCAGAGATCCTAACTAAAAATATTTGCCTTATACTGTCCTCTCCCAGGGACCAGTATTGAGTGCATATTAAGGTGTCATTAAATACATGATGATTGGGCCAGTTGACTAGCAGACTAATAGGAGCAATATAGTCTGATCTATTGTCTCGGACTATACACTTTCATTCACGCTGGCTATTTCATTGACATATGCCATAAATATGATATTTCTATCATATGCTGTATAAAGCATATATACTTCAGACACTGGCAACGGTGTGTATCTAGACCTGTATATCTCCAGCACAGCACTGAAAAAGTAATTCAGACAAAAGTCTAGACTGCAGAAGCACCAAGGACAAGACCTATGTTCATACTGGCCATGTATGCATTCTCTGTCTTAAAAAATGAAAGAGTTTACCCAAGTGAAAGTCCAACATTTATTCACATGTCCCAGAATCTCTGGTTGTTAGGTGTTATCTTAATGCAAAACACCTGAGTGAGTGGCTCCTAGACCGTACTCATACAGAGAAATTCAAAACATTCTAAAGCTGTCACCCAGCTTCCTATCACACTCACCTCTACACAAAGCAAGCTAAGTGACAAAGGGCTCAGAAAGACAGATGTACTCACGGCTTGGCAGCTTTTCATAGCACATCAGCAGCATATAATTATAACCTTCCCTGAGGTATCCTGGCAGTTGATTTAAGTCATATTTGAATAGTTTCACTCTACCTGTCCTCCTAATAAAGGTGAAGAACCAGCAATGAAGAAAAAAAAAGTGCTGGTTGAAAACATGATCTAGATGGAGGCCTAAGAGAACAATAACAACAACAATCCATGTCTATGGCTATGGCTATGTTTTGCCCATACGCCTATATTTTGTCTGTATTTACATTTATATGATGATGTATATAAAATATTATTTTAGGTCTATATTTTTCCATATTTATATCATATATCTATGAAGCTATATAAAATTATTGATTTTTTATAAACACGTAGATATCTATATGAGTCTGCATCAATGTCTTTGTCATTGTGTGTGTGTGTATGTGTGTGTGCATACAAACACAAACCCACCAGGTAAAATCAAAGCATTCTCATGGTCATTTCATCAAAATGCAATTTGAGATGTGTTTCTTCCACACAGCAATGAGATGCAACAAAAAAGACCTAGGCACTAATAGTTTACTTAATAGATATCCTACATACAATGAGAAAGTAATCTTTCACTGATTTAAAATTGAGAAAAGTACATCATAAACAAAGACAGATGTCATAGTTCAGGTCCCCCCAAGAAACAGATTCTGAGATCAAAATGCATCTGCACGATGTTCACTGGGGAGTGCCTTGGGAGCAGGACTCCTATGGGGCATGAGGACAGCAGGATAGGGCAAAGGGAGAAACTGACTGTGATTTAGTTTCAAAAGAAACCTCAGCCGATCTCATAAGAAGCGATGGGGCTGAGATGCCCTTTCAGAGATGTCCCAGATTGAGGCATGGGGACTGGGCCCTGGCACCCTGCCTTGAGCGGTCATAGGACGGGGGCTGCCCCTGGTGTGGGGCATAACCCCTTCTGGGAGGCAAATGCTCAGGGATGGACTCAGTCATGAGCCATCAGGAAGGGGCATTCCCAGCAGCTGGGGAAATATGTTCCTCAGGACTGAAGGTGGCATGAGCTGGGCACCAGAGTGTCACTACAAGAGATTTATGAATCCATCTTGTTTTTTTCAGAAGAGCTACAACTTGTTACCCCAAATTATAAATCCAGTCTTCTATCTGACTTCTTAGGACAGTGAGTCAACTGTAGTCCAGCTTTTCCACATGGAAAAGTGTCCTTGATCACCTTGTAGAGAAATCTGACGGAAATAGAGAGTTTGCACACTTTGTGGAAAGAGAGTGGGCTCCAGTTCCTTTATCTATAACACAGGGATGATAATAATAGCACCTACCTCATGGGGTGTGCAGAATAAATTATATTACCCATGCAAAGATCTTCGAAGAGTGCCTGTCACACAGTTAGCTATTACCAGCATTATTATTTTTGGAAAACTCTGTGAGCTCAATATGGTTTCATGGTTACTATGCTTACTCAGAATCTACTCCACAAAACACTCTAAGGGACAGAGTCAGGAGCCAGCCCAGTGTCCCAACACTTTAGGTTCTAATGATGTCCTACCTCTTTTTAAGTGATAACCCAATGACTTCACATTACCTTTGGTTGACTTTTATGTCACTGATTTAAAAAATAAAGTTTCTTCTCTGTACTTGATCAGTATATACGGCTTCAAAAGATAACTGGCATTTCTATTGAGAAGCACAGAAAGGATAGCTTTAGGTCAACTATTCTAAAATCAAAACCCTGATAGGTGTCAGATGTCCTCCAACCTTTAATCCCTCATATGCATTGATTCTATGCCATAGGTCAAGTCAATCAGACACCTGGGTGTACAATTTGCAGAGAGGTCAATAGATTAGATAGATTACCAGGAAACAGCTCCATGTAAAGGTAGATAAACTATGGCTGCTTTATTGGAACATTCATGTGGCCATGTTGTACTATTGGAACAATATTTCCTAACTAAAATGATTATGTAGGTAAAAATACTTTGGGCCCTCAATCACTCTTTCATCATGTGTTGGAACAGACACCGTAGATGTTCCCTGGCCAACTTCTCAGCATGTGAGGTGAGAGTGACCACTCACTTAGCAATTGTCCTCAACTTTCATGAAAGGGCCCCAGTCTGTCCCATATCTTACCTGACTGTACAAGCTCATGTATCTGCCCTTCATCTGAAACCTAGCACATCTATACCCCATATTCTGCTATCAGCTAGGGCCCTCAACTCTCCCATCTGCAGTCTCTCAAGTCCTGATAGAAAACTATTTCCAAGAAGGTCCTGAATGACATTGGATCATTCAGTCTTTACAGTTGGAGGCTCTTGATCTATTTAGAAGAAGGACTTTAGGGAATATATGAAAACTGTAAAGAAGACATCTAGATTTTTGTATTTATGTCCGTATGCATATTCTTCTGGAGAGAGAGCTTAATGGTTTTAATCACGTTGTCAAAAAGCTTTGTCCTGACCTGTTCTGTGTGATGGATAACACCAGGCTGAACCCATGCCTGAGTTTATATCTGGTTCTATCACTATCACCTATGTGACCTTAAGCACGTTACTTACTTTGGGAGGTCTTGAGTTCCTAATCTTTAATAGGGGGATAATAACAGTATCTACACCTGGGGTGTCTGTGCAGAGTAAACGAGACAATCTCAGATACCTGGGTATATTCAGTTCTCAGTTTATATTTGTCATTATTCTTCTTCTTAAAGGAGTCCCTACTCCAAAAATGTTCAGAAATGCTGCTGTGGATATTCTCAATTAAACCCTTGGATGGAGTCAGACTATCAGACGATCAGGGAGTTTTGATTTGGACCATGCTTTTTGTTTGTTTGTTTGATTATACTTGAAGTTCTGGGATACATGTGCAGAATGTGCAGGTTTGTTACATAGGTATACACGTGCCATGGTGGTTTTCTGCACCCATCATCCCATCATCTACATTAGGTATTAATCCTAACGCTATCCCTCCCCTAGTCTTCCACTCCCACGACAGGCCCCAGTGTGTTATGTTCCCCTGCCTCTGTTCATGTGTTCTCATTGTTCAACTGCCACTTAGGAGTGAGAACATGTGGTGTATAGTTTTCTGTTCCTGTGTTAGTTTGCTGAGAATGATGGTTTCCAGCTTCATCCATGTCCCTGCAAAGGACATGAACTCATCCTTTTTTATGGCTGCATAGTATTCCATGGTGTATATGTGCCACATTTTCTTTATCCAGTCTGTCATTGATGGGCATTTGGGTTGGTTCCAAGTCTCTGCTATTGTGAACAGTGCTGCAATAAACATACATGTACATGTGTCTTTATAGTAGGATGATTTATAATCCTTTGGGTATATACCCAATAATGAGATTGCTAGGTCAAATGGTATTTCCGGTTCTAGATCCTTGAGAAATTGCCACACTATGTTCCACAATGGTTGAACTAGTTTACACTCCCACCAACAGTGTAAAAGTGTTCCTATTTCTCCACATCCTCCCCAGCATCTGTTGTTTCCTGACGTTTTAGTGATCACCATTCTAACTGCCGTGCGATGGTATCTCATTGTAGTTTTGATTTGCATTTCTCTAATAACCAGTGATAATAAGGTTTTTTTCATATGTTTGCTTTTTTAATTACGCCACACTATTATGCCACTGACCTTCATCAAGGGAAGATACAAGAACCCAACCACATGGTGTCCACTTCTGTATCTGCTACAGCGAAAGGGGCTGAAGACTCTGCCCATAATCACACAGTGTCCTTTTATGAGGGCCCCTGGAAGAAATTTCTCTGCAAGGACACAGAGCAGCTACTCAGGCACAGGGCTCATTACTATGATTATCTTACAGAACCCAGGCATTTGGAGATGAATGGTGTGACCACTGAGAAGCTGGGCACCATCTCAGGTCCAGCTCCAGCGAAAGCACAGGTCCACAGGGTATACATTTCATGGTGTTAAACCCACCTCTAGTTTCCGTATTTTGTCACCCATGTTTGCTCCTTGGCTTTTGCTCCCTCGGTTGTTTATTTAATCTTATTGTAATTTACATGGTTTTATGAACCCCCTCAAATCCACTGAGGAAAAAAGTCATCATATACATAAACAGAGAAACAAATTCATACAGTATGGATTAGTGTCTTATTTCCTATTATGCTATTTGCTGTTTTATGGCAGTTCTCACTCCTGTTTAAATGAATTTTGATCTTCCATTTTTGTGAAAATATGAGAGGCAGGGGTGCAAGGTCGGTGGTCTGTGAGAAGATGAAAAAGCAATCAAGAGATTTCTAAGATACCCAGTGGTGACAGTTTCAAAGCAAACAAAATTGTTCCCAGAAAAATATTATACAGGCGAGGCAAAAGAAATCACTTTCAAATTAATCTTGTTTACATCCTAGAAAGGCATTTCTTGAAGGGCTAACATATTTTCAATTCTTAGTCCAATAGAACCCTCCCCTGTTTGCTGCCTTTTTGAACATAAGCTCCTTTTTATATTTTAAATCTGACATTCCAAAGACGGTGGTCCTTGGGGTTTTCCATTTCAGAAGAGAATGGCAGCTGCTAGGTTTCTCTTAATAGAACAGAATAGAATTTCTATTTCATACATAAGCCCAGTGGGCTTGTGTACAAGAGTGAGTCTTGGTAGGTCCAATACAAATTATAGAGGCAGTTTATTGGATTCCCTCAAAACATCAGAAATTAATTAGTAGGTCCTAATTCCTTAGAAGAATATGCAAAGGGTAGCTGTTTTTTCTCACATCCAAATCCCATGTTGGTAGAAGCATTTTGCCATTTTCACACTTTCTGCAGCGTGACAGTCTGCTCTGCAAAGTCCAAAAATCAAAGGAAAATGGAAAGAAATAGGCTGAATAATTGTAACATGCATAGCAATTACAATAGCAGCAACTCACATCTGTGTTGTACTTCACAGTTTGTGAAGTGCTTTCATAAACATTATCTTACATGATCCTAATAAAAACTCTGATTTCAAAGTCTACAATCCTTTACTGGTTTACAAGTCTGTTAGGAGTCGAATAGTTTCCTCTTCAAAATTTATATGTTGAAATCCTAACCCCCAGGACCTCAGAATGTGACCTTCTTTGGAGAGAGGGTCTTTACAGAAGTTGTTAGGGTTGGGCCTCAATACAATATGACTGATGCCCTTGTAAAAAAGAAAGAAAACATGGAGACTGCCACATACAGGGAGAACACCATGAGAAGATGAAGGCAGAGTCCAGGGTGATGCATGTACAAGCCAAGGAACACCAAAAATTTGCCAGCAACCACCAGAAGCTGGGAAAGAGGCATGGCACAGATTCTCTCTCACAGTCCTCAGAGGGAACCGGCCCTGCTGACATCTCAATCTTGAATTTCTAGCCTCCAGAAATGTGAGACAATATATTTTTTGTTGTTGTTTGAGACACTCTGTTTGTGGTACTTTGTCATGCAGCCCAAAGGCTCTTCGCAATCTGCTCTTTTCTCTCTGGCACCATCTCTCATCCTTCCTTCCAATGGACTCTACGCTTGAGCCAAACTGAACATGATAGACAGGAGACTGTCCACAAAGAATCTGCTAGATGTTGTTAGGATGTTAAGCACTAGAAGTACAGCACCTTGCCTGTCAGGGATCACTGCACATTTCAGAATATTTTAGGGGACAAAATCTTTCCTTTCTTTTCTAGTTTTAGGAGACACACAACAAACTCCATGGAGCTCTGCACTCACTCTACCATTAAGTTTCCTGATTGATTCACAGCAAAACAAAACAAACAAACAAAAAAACTACTATACTCAAGAGGTAGTCTACATCTTTATCTCCAACAATTTGGGATATATCTTCTTTAAAAATTAACGTGAAGTGGCATAAAGAACTCAGAGGGTCAATTGTCCAAGCCCAAGCCAATGCTGAAGATGATGGGTAGAAGTGGTGATGGAGGAGGACACAGAATGTGACACCTATACATGGTCCTTTCTGCTTCCATGAGGACAGGTTTGCTGGGATCATTTTTACAAAAATAATGCAGCTTGAAGAAGATTTAAAATGGACAGAAATTCCGTGATATTGCTTCCATCGAGGGTAAGCTCTGTGTCTTCCTCTTGAGCTTGGATGGATGCTATGACAATCTCACCCATAGAATGCAAAATGCTGGTTCATAGGCCAGGCCTTGAGGGACTGGCAACTTCCTCTTCCTGCCTAATATTTTCCCTCTACAACCTGATTGACTCTCTTGCACATCACACTCCAGAGACCATTGTTTGAATGGAAGAGGCAAAACAAGGAATAATTTCTTTTTTGAGCACCCCATTGAACTTGTGACTAAAAAAAGAATTAATGACCTCTTGGAATGCTATAGGTGGCAGAGTCCCTAAAGATCTTACAATCTATTGTTCCTCCAAGTTTAAATCTCCTTCTAGGATTCATGAGAACTGGTGGCTGTAGAAAGTTCAGATGTTCTTCTGCATGAATGACACCCTGTACTATAACTTGGTATAATGGAATAATATGGTTTGGCTCTGTGTCCCCATCCAAATCTCATATTGAATTTTAATTCCCAGTGTTGGGGGAGGGACCTGGTGGGAGGTGATGGGATCATAGGGGCAGATTTCCCCCTTGTTTTCATGATAGTGAGTGAGTTCTCATGACAGTTGGTGGTTTAAATGGGTGTGGCACTTCCCCTTTTGCTAGCTCTCTCCTGTTGCCCTGTGAAAACGTGCTTGCTTCCTCTTCACCTTCCGCCATGATTGTAAGTTTCCTGAGGCCTCCCCAGCCACGCTTCCTGTACAGCCTGTGGAACTGTGAGTCAATTAAACTTCTTTGCTTCATAAATTACCCAGTCTCGGTAGTTCTTTATAGCAGTGTGAGAACAGGCTAATATACAGAAACACGAGTTTTGGAGTCAATTGTACTTTGAAATTGGACATAATGACTGTGTGGCCTTGAGCAAGTTGTTTATTCTCTCACAAATTCAGTCTCCTCCTTTCTGAAATAGAGATTAAAAATGTCTTATCTTCAGGGTAGTTGTGAGTAGTAAACTACTGCTGACCCCAGTGTCACGAGTCATGAGTGTTCAATAAGCACATCCCTATCACCATTCAGGCCTGAAAACACTCTCCTGTCCACTCAGACCCTTCATCAGGAAAGGTGATACAGCTGGAATATTCCAGACCCACATAACACTATGGACAATATTTGTATTAAAATATACATTTTACAGCTCTGAGAGGCCAAAGCAGGGGGATCGCTTGAGGCCATGAGTTTGAGACTAGCCTGAGCAACATAGTAAGATCCTGTCTTTACAAAAAATTAAGAAACAATTAGCCAGATGTGGTAGCACTGCCTTGAGTCACAGCTACTTGGGTTGGCTGAGGTGAAAAGATCACTTGAGCCCAGGAGATTGAGGCTGCAGTGAGCTATGATTATACCACTGCACTCCAGCCTGGGTGGCAAAGTGAGACCTTGTCTCCAAATATTTATGTATGTATGTATACATACATATATCTTAAAAAGCACTAAAGTCATGTACCTAAAGTATTCTGTTCCTTCAGTGATGGGTTCCTGTGTAAGGTCCTAGTGGGTAGAGCTGCTTTGTTCTCCCATGAGAATTTGAAGGTCCAGACCCTGGAGCTGCTCTACCCTCCAGGATATCAAAGAACATAAGAGACAAACAAAGCAGCCGGGCGCAGTGATTCATGCCTATAATCCCAGCACTTTGGGAGGCTGAGATGGGTGGATCACCTGAAGTCAGGAGTTTAAGACCATCCTGGCCAACATGGTGAAACCCCAACTCTACTAAAAATACAAAAATTAACCAGTGTGGTAGTGCACACCTGTAATCCCAGCTACTAGGAATGCTGAGGCAGAAGAATTGCTTGAACCCGGGAGGCAGAGGTTGCAGTGAGCCGAGGTCATGCCATTGCACTCCAGTCTGGGTGACAGAGTGAGACTTCGTCTCAATTAAAAAATAAATAAATAAATAAATAAATAAATAAATAAGCAGTCTCTCGGGAAGGCAAGGCTTATGTTATCATCTCCACTTTACAAATGGGGAAACTGACGTTTACAGAGGTGAAGTGACTAAGACAAGGTCATTTAGAGGGTCAGGGTCAAGACTCTCAGAACCCAGACATCCTGGCTTTCTAGGCATCTTTCCTAACACACCCCTATGTCCTTTGGGAACCAAAGCTAAAATCTTTGCATGGCATGTAAGAAGACAGAGATCACTTTATATTCCAGGTTTCTTTAGGAAACTACAAAGATTGACATGGAGCAGGGACTTGACTTAGGAGCCTGCCAGGGCCCTGGAAGCATGGAAATAAAGGAAAAATTTTGAGTTCTTTCAAGGGAAATTCCAGGCACTTAGCCTTGAAAAGTAAACGAACAATTTGATAAAGCAAACAAGATAGTAATAATAGTCTCCCAAGCAAGTCAGAGTCACAAGGTGTTTTGGGTCCCTATGGAAACTAAAAGATAACATCTTAACATATCTTCTTGAGTTGTTTTATAGCAATCTGGACCCCCAGAAGATGAAAAATGCCAATTGCTATCATATAGACCTCAGAAAAGGGGGAACTATGGACTGAACTCTGACTACCACTCTTTGTTTTGCATTTCTTCCTGATGGGCCCGAAGAGAGTCATGCCTGTAGGCCAAACCTGAGAACTTCCTTCTGCTGACCCCAAGTTTTTAGCAAAGAATCTCTGAATCTACCTATGACCTATAAGTCCTTACTTCAAGATATCCAGCCTTTTGGACCGAACCACTTTATAACCACCATATAATGATTTATGATTTTGCCTATAACTTCTGGTTTCCTGAAATGTACCCTGCCTTTAAAAGCCCTTGCTTATAAGCCATTGAGAAGTTCAGGTCTTAAGCATTAGCAGCCCATTTTCTTTGCTTTGTGCCCTGAAATCATGTCTCATTTTCTCTTGCTGCAAATCCTGGTGTCCATGTGGCTTTTTCTGTGCACGGGGCAAGTGGACCCAAGTTCAATTTGGCAACAAGATAAGCACCAAGGGTGGAAGCTGAGACCTCTGGGAGAACTAGTGAGGCATAAGGGAGGGAATTTGTTTCTTTAGTAAGGGAGGCAGGGAGACCAAGAGAAAATGAAGTGGAGATAAGGAGACATCAAAGGAGGTCCTTTCTTGAGTGATCTCTCTCCATAGCCCCTAAATTGTCAATAAAGATTACTAAAGTCAGAAAATGTTATTAATGGGGCTGTTCTTACAGGCACTGGTTGAGAAAGAGGTGGTATTCTGTGGCCAGGCTGAGGCAGGCTGAAACTGTCACACACACCCAGGAGCACTGAGGCTGAGGGTCCCGTGAGGAAGAAAGCCCTGGGGCTTCCCAGCTCTCCTACAAAGGACTTTGGGGCATCACAAGCTGGAAACTGAGTCAGGCGAAATGTAATCAGCTATTCAAAGAGTAAGTAGCTCACCTGACATCTCTGTTGCAAGTGGTAAAATCAAGTGATAGCCAAATGCCTTTTGACAATCAGATAAAAGATGTATCTTTATATATTTACCACCAAAAGAAACACACGTATACACGTTAAAATCATCAGACACTTTTAGAGATCCCAGCCTCCCAGGTTAAGGTGATCCATTACACATTTATTTAATTGACTTCATAGAGGTTAGGTTTATTCTACCTTGAGCAAAGCATGCATTCCACATTTATTTCAGGAAATCTAAAATTTTGTTCTGAAATCTGACAGGATGAAAGCCAAGGCTTGAATTATCTATGAAATGATTCACAGTTGTTAACAAATATCAAAACCTCGCTAAAAGAGATAACTGCAATTTTGTCAGCTAAATGAAAATATTAACAACAGCTTTCTCTGCTTTTGTAAGCAAAAGCCAAAAGCCTGAGGGAAAAACGTGTCATTCTTTAGTGAAAACTTGAGCTTTGCTTAGTCCCCTACAATTGGAAATAGATAGAGAGTAGAACAGGATGGGTCGGTTTCCTTACGAATCAACTTATCTCACAAGCCAAGTTATTATATGAAAGATTTTTACCCCCTGCCCTGATGTCCATTTCATAAGTGTTAGGATATTCCCCAAAACATGTAAAGACTTTATGATTAGTGATATCAGTGAAATCAGCAAAAGGTAAGCATCTCAGAATGGGACATGGAGTAGCATCCACTTAACAAAGCAACCCATCAACAGGTGGGAAGACATGACACATTTCTTACTGCACTTTGGTCTAGAAAGGAATCGCTTAAAGGCAAGTTGGAAAGCAAAGTTTAAGCAGGTCTCAAAATTCTATGATCTTACGATGTTAAAGGATATTTTTAAAAATGAAGACTATTTGGAAGGGCAATAGTTTCCTCTTAACAAGCATCCGGGTGCTTTTAAAAGCAATGATTTTACATTAATGGTCAAAATGCCTTTGATTAATGACTATTAAAATTAATTTCACCTCATTTGAACCGTAGGGAGAAAAGGTCAAAATGAAATTATCTCCTTTGCTTTTAAGAGCTCTTACTGACAGAAGCCCAACTTATCTCTGTCAGTTTTGAGTCCACAGCTAGGGGTGTGCTTTGTGCTTGCCTGTGGCTGGCCTGTGTGGTAGGTCACAAGGCGGCTGTAGCAGCAGTTACAGCAGCAAGGGAGGAAGAACCCAGGTCCAGACAGCAGGCGAACTTCTGTGTGGACATTTTATATGAAAAAATGTGCATGGTTAGCAACTATCAGTGTGTTTCAGGCAGCGGACTTACAGCCAAGACATTATTTTTCTTGCCAAAAATGTGCTCAGTAGAAGTACGTTTAATTGTACTACATTTTCATTGAATGACAGGACTTTTCCTGGAAGTAGTGCAAAATGTCCAGGAAGCAAACAGGACCAGAACTGGAAGACAAGGAGGGAAAAGTAAAGACAGGCATGAACAGGAATGTGCCTTCTTGGCTCACACAGACATTTAACCTTCAGCCAGGAAGCCATCAGTGACATGGAATAATCATGCCCAAGGCAAAAGCACAGAACGCACCGGGGACGTGCTATCTGGGAGTGGCATAGGGATCTCATCTTGTGGGCTGCTGTGCCATGAGTAGAAAGGGGTTTTCTGGGTCCTCTCCACTCACTTGTGAAGTTCTCCTTGTGACCACAGTGAGACAACTGAGCAGTTAGAAATCTCATCCTGACAAGAACATACACAGGAACGGGACTGAAGCGCGCACATTCCTAATCAATAGAAGAGAACCATGCACAAATCGTCACTCATTTCTTCTGTGACACGGTCTGGAGCAGAAATGACCTTGCCTTCTCCCACATCCCTTGTCATCCCTTCTCCCACATGAGAGGTGATGATGTTTCCTGGAAAATCATTCAACCCACTGGTGTGACAAACTGTAAGGCACTGTGAAAAATGGCGAATGAAGACTCACTGGCTCCATTTAAACATAACACTGGCTCAGAGAAGAAAAGCAAGCAAATCTCAGAGAAATGCAGTTCTATAGAATGGAGTAGTTATAAGGCCACAGAAGCTTAGAGTTTTTACCCACGTTCAATCTTACTTTAAAATAAAAAGAGACCGGGCGCAGTGGCTCACACCTGTAATCCCAGTACTTTGGGAGGCCGAGACAGGTGGATCACAAGGTCAGGAGATCGAGACCATCCTGGCTAACATGGTGAAACCCTGTCTCTATTAAAAAAAAAAAAAAATACAAAAAATTAGCCGGGCGTGGTGGCAGGCGCCTGTAGTCCCAGTTACTGGGGAGGCTGAGGCAGGAGAACGGCATGAACCCGGGAGGCGGAGCTTGCAGTGAGCCAAGATCGCATCACTGCACTCCAGCCTGGGATGACAGAGCGAGACTCCATCTCAAAAAATAATAATAATAATAAATAAATAAAAATAAAAAGAGTAAAAAGAGGTTAATATTTTAACAGTAATGACATTCAAGTTAGGTCCATTCAAAAAGACTAATATGCGGAAAGTTTACTATAAGAGAACTAAATTAATCATATTTGTTCATGGTTCAAAACAATGTATTCCTCACTTTGCAAAAGGATTCACTGTAGTTTTCCTTAAATAGCAGGCTTCTGTAGACATCTAAAGCATAGCTTGGCTCTGAAAGCATGATTTACACGTGAACATTCTGGAATAGCTATGGCAGAAAGTGAAAAAGCTTGGCCTTTTCCTGACCCCACTGACAGGGTTAAATGTTTGTTTTGTCCTCCAGTGTCCTGGCTTGCAAAGATAAAACATATCATAAAATGATCACCCTAATGAGAGACTTTCTATTTAATTGATTTCTAGGCCACTTATAGCTTTTACAGAAGAAAGTCATGAAACTTTCCATAGATATCAGTATTTTTCCAAGACAGAACACAGTATGCATGTAGCTCAAATTGCAAATCAAAGGAAACTCTTGCAATGGGTTTCCTAAATATAAAATTGGAAGTATAAATTATTCTGGATTAGTCTTCATCGACAGTGTCTAGATAACAGAGAAAAAAAATCACTTCTTATTTGGTGGAAATATAAAACAGTAATGCTGATGTAGGCTGTGGTATTTCTAACTCCCAGTAAAATTCTCATCTTTGGGATCAAGATGCATCTAGCAGTTGCCTTGTAAAATGCAACTACTAAAAAGATATTTTTCAATATGTTACTTCCTAGGAGACAAATGACAGAAATTACTATGGTATACACCACATGAACACAAATGCACAATAAAATTACTTTTTAATTTTTCTTTCATTTTCTTTTACACAAAAGCGGTACTTAAACTATAAAGCAATGCTATGCTCATGAAATAATTGCAGAAATTAGAGAACTGACTGGATATTTGATGATGTTAAGGAATTTAATTTTTAAGGTGTGATATTGGTACTGTGGTTTTATTAACACCAAAGGGTCCTTATCCTCTCGTGATATATTTCTAAGTATTTAGGAATAAAATAATGTAATGTCTGGCTTTCTTTTTTTCAAAATAACTCACTGTGATGAGACAAGAGGGAAGTGAGTGGGAAGTTAGATGAAATAAGACTGGCCATATATTGTTAATTGTTGAGGTTGGGTGAGGTATACATATGGGCTTATCATATTCTTCTCTCAACTTCTGTATAGGTTTGACATTTTTCATTATACAAAGTTTTTTAAAACAGAATTCAAAGATTCAGCAATTATTATGACCAGAAATCATATGATTATTAAGAATGTCTATAGCAATAAACCAAATTAACAGAATTTTTGAAAGACAGCTATTTATAGATGTCAAAAGAGTCTTTTTTCCCCTCATTTTAATTGGTAATACAATGGGGAAAACCACGTATTCTTTAAAAGTGACCTATTTGGCCTGGTATGGTTATTCATGCCTGTAATCCCAGCACTTTGGAGGGCCAAGGCAGGAGGCTCACTTGAGGCCAGGAGTTTGAGACCACCCTGGCAACGTGGCAAAACCCTGACTCTACAAAAAAATATATAAATTAACTGGGCCTGGTGGCACATCCCTGTAGTCCCAGCTATTGGGGGGTGCTGAGGCAGGACAATGGCTTGAGCCCAGGAGGTCGATGTTGCAATGCATCAAGATCATGCCACTGGACTCCAGCCTGGGTGACAGAGGGAGACCCTGTCTCAGATTTTACATACATACATACATACATACATACATACATATATATATGTGTGTGTATATATACATACATATTATATATATGATATATATGTATATATATACACATATGTATACATGTACATATATATGTATATATACATATGTATATATGTACATGTATATATGTACATATACATATGTATATATACATATGTACATATGTATATATGCACATGTATATGTATATATGTATATATACATATGTATATATGCACATGTATATATGTATATATGCACATGTATATATGTATATATGCACATGTATATATGTATATATGTATATGTATATATGTATATATGTATATGTATATATGTATATATACATATGTATATATACATATGTATATGTATATATGCATATATGCATATGTATATATGCATATATGCATATGTGCATATGTATATATGCATATGTGCATATGCATATGTGCATATGCATATGTGCATATGCATATGTGCATATGCATATGTGCATATGCATATGTGCATATGCATATGTGTATATGTGTATATGCATATGTGTATATGTGTATATGCATATGTGTATATGTGTATATGCATATGTGTATATGTGTATATGCATATGTGTATATGTGTATATGCATATGTGTATATGTGTATATGCATATGTGTATATGTGTATATGCATATGTGTATATGTGTATATGCATATGTATATGTGTATATGCATATGTGTATATGTGTATGTGCATATGTGTATATGTATATGTGTATATATGTATATGTATATGTGTATATATACATGTATATGTATATGTGTATATATACATGTATATGCATATGTATATGTATATATCATATATATGATATATATATATGAAGGGAACTATTTTCACCAAATGAAATTTCTACATGGCATTTACTACAAATATCACCTATGACCATGCACTGACAGCTTAGTAAGTGTTAGAGAAATAGTACTTATAAGAACTTCCATACTTATAACCAAAGTTGGCCATTTCTCAGTGATGAACTCAGAGTCAGCGCAATTATGAGGGTTTGAAATATCAGGTACAGTCTGAAAAGCTGAATAAAGCTCTACATTACCAGTCATATTATATTTCATAGCATTTACTGAGTTGCTAGAATGGGCTATGTATCTTGCCAAGGCTTCACTCACTTCACCTCACTTAATCCTCATTAATACCCTGTGACTTGGATTCCATTATCATCCCATTGTGCAGAAGAAAATTCTGAGTCTCAAGAAGTTTACGTCAATTTACCCAGCATCTTTCAGGTGGTATAAGGCTGCACTAAGGTAAGAGCCTAACAATATTTGATTCTAGAGCCTGCGTTCATGGCAGATTCTGCACGATATGTCTAGAGAAAAAGGAAATGCTTACAAATGGCAGGTTTTTGTTTTCAGATAATCAGTGTACTGTACAATACCAGATTACTCACACAGTAGTCTTTTTCAGAAATCTAAATGCAAACGTTGAATCACCAAAGATTAAAAATAAAAGTCACCAACACAAGCCTCTAATACTGATGCCTTAGCTATGTCTATTGCAATAAAACTACAAAAAAACCTTAATAAAATAGAAGTTATTTCTCTTTTCACTTACTAATTTATTTCACAATCAGAGAAACGGAAATAGAAAAGACAAAGTTTTCTCATTTGGTCTCAAATTTTATTAAGAATTATAGAGATGCAAAAAGAGCTTTGCCTTTTATTGGCAAATGCCAGTTCATTGACCCTTTCACACTGTAAAGAAATATATCAAAAATTGTCCCTTTTGACGTGAGCTCATCTCTTTAAGGTCACCGAGTTCTATGGTCATCTGAAGCCTCAATTAAAAGGACATTGGTAATAGTAATAACAAGTCACTTGGCTTCATCTAAAATGTGCCATTGAGCGTTTCAGTTTGAAAGAGTATAACGTGAGTGTTTTGTGTTATGTCCTTGTTGGCTTCTCCCCGTGCCTGTCCTACCCCTACAGATAGAGCTGCCTGACAAGTGCTGCTCATGGTGATTAGCCATGTAAATGAGTACAGTCAGGAAGCTGCTGTCTCCAAAATGTGCATATGTAATTGCTCTCAACAATGCATATCAAAATCCCATCAGAAAGCAAATCATTTGCCATCTGACCTTCCATTAATTAATTAAAACCCCATATGGGGGCAGAGGGAAGTGGAAACAAAGGATAATGTCACAGTGGGCACTTCACAGCAGAACTAGGGGATCCCTACCAAGCCTTTTTTGGAAACCTTATGTCTAAATTCTGGGCATCTGGAGAATGGTACTGGATAGGAATTAAAAACCTTGAGCTCTAGCTCTAGCATTAGCCCCAAGAGGCTGAGTAACCTTGGGCAACTTACTTCCTCCCATTGAGAACTCCTTGGCAAATAAAGGTCTATGAATTCCATTAGGCTTTTCCAACTCAGAAATTCCATGTTTCTCCCACTGGGCTATCAACAAATTGAAATGAAGAGAATCTTAACTTTTCTCAAATAACAAGTTATGGTTTGGTTTTTGTTATTTTTCTTTCCTTTCCAGAAACAGGGTCTTGCCCTGTTGCTCAGGCTGGAATACAGTGGTGTAGTCATAGTTCACTGCAGCCTCAAACTCCCAGGCTCAAGCAGTTCTCCCAACTCAGCCTTCCAAGTAGCTGGGACTACAGGTGTGTGCCACTGTGCCTGGCTAATTTTTTCATTTTTGTTTTGTAGAGATAGGGTGTCGCTTTGTTGCCCAAGCTGGCCTGAACTCCTGGCCTCAACTGATCCTCCCACTTGAACATCTCAAAATCCTGGGATTATAGGTGTGAGCCACCATGCCCAGCCCCATAATTAATTATGTTTGACAGAGGACTTACCAATGAAGGAAACACTAAACACAAGGTAACAACATTTTCACAAATTTCTGTCCTAAAAAAAAAATATGCTCCAAAAGGAATTGCAGTGGGTTAACATTTTTACGATTATTTGTTTCACCAATTGGTTTAGAAAAGAAATATCAGACAAGAAAGGCTGTTTCTCATAAAATATGCATGTAACACATTGAATTAGAAATTTGAGCATTGTGGCGGATTTTTGTTTTGTTTGTCTCCTCACAATTCCCAGCAATACTCCTCCAGTGGCATGCTTCCTTTCATCCCATAGCCTCTGAGTAGACTGTAACTTTTATCCAGAACATCACCTCCAACCCCTCCTTCCAATTTAGCACTCTACCTTAATGGTCTATTTTCTAGGATCCCTTCTTGACCCTAGAGCCTGGATTTGGCAAGCTCCTGAAGAACCCTGTGTTTACCAATATCTGTACCTGTAGAATTATAAGGACCTGGTTCCTGCTCCTGGATCACTGATGATATTGTCAGGAATGCTTCTGTACCGTTATATACCCAATACCTAGCCTCATACCAGCCATAGCAGGTAACCAGTAATTATTGAAAGTCAAATGACATAAATCTCTTAGAATCTCATATATTCTAATGCTATTTTCTAACAAGAGGATTTTTGTATTTATCACACTCCATATTTAAATCACCCCAGAGGATCAATGTGATTGGTGAACATTTGGAAATATGAGCTAATTCATAAAGAGGAGGAAATTGTTTTATTCCACAATATTTACAAAATGTATTAAACTCGCATTTTTACTATCTTGTGGAATTCCTTATAATGCAAAAAAGACTCAAAGATAGATTTTAAATTTTAAAATGTTGCTCAGAAGAAAAATATGTTATTAAAACTTTAACATTTTTTAAAATGTCCATAAAACAGAAAACATGATTTCCATTTCTCATTGTCATATTCAGCCTCCTCTACAGAAGACCTGTGAGCAGGACACAAAGATAGCTGTCATGATCGGTAAAGGTTAAGCTTTGATGATTGGAAAACACTTTCACTAGAGGAGTTCAGACTTCTGAGTAGCACAAGCAGAAAGTGTAATTCTCTGTGGTCAGGTGTGGTATCATTCCTGTGTGCTCTCTGGGTTCCCTGAGCCTGCTGAGTTTAGCTCCTCTTTTAGCCTTTGCTTTACTCTGGCTAAATAATTTTCAATCCTTCATTAGGAAGCAAGGCTATGAAAACTCTGCCATGGCCTATGCTTAATGATTACAGGAGCTCACTTCCTAAGTCTCCATCTTTGCAGCATGTACCAAAGTCGGAGTTAGGATAGTTACATGTCACTATTGTAACTAATTTTTTTTTTTTTTTGGCTACTTCTGAATAGACTTTAAAATTTTGGGAGAGGTAGAAATGGTATTTGTGGTTACCACAATAGCCGGAAAAGTCAAGACAATAAAATAATGCATGTCTAAACTGTCAGAATTTGTTGTCATAGAGGCATGACTGTGAGCCACCAAAACAGAATGATTTGGCCAAACTGGTTTAATCTCAAGTCCCATTCACTCTCCTTTCCTCATGCTGCCTGGAATGTTCTCCTCCCCTCCTCCCATCACCCCAAACTCTCCCCCTTATCCATATTAACCAAATCCTCCCTGTCCTTACCGCCTAAGTCAAGTTTTATTTATCCCTTCCTAGACTCTTTCAGCTAGATGGAATTTTCTTCTCCTCTGAAGTCCCATAAGAACTTCCCCCTGTACCTCTGTTGCTCAATTATTTGTTAATTCCATGGACTTTTACAGAAGACCAATTGCCCCAGACAATTCTCACTACTTGCCTTGTAATTTTATGTAGATACTTGTTTTAATCTCTTTTACCAGAGAGGAAGTTTTTTGAGGGCAACTTTTATGTCTGATTTATTTTTAGTGTGAATACTTTACTTGTCTGCCCAGCATTGGTCTCCTCCTTTTTCTTTATTTCCAACAGAATTCTGATGTTGTTTATGTATCCCACTCACCCCATATGGCTTCATGTTCCTTTTTTTCTTTCTCCTTTACTCTTTTCTCCTCAACTCTTTTACTCCAGCCCCTTTTCCTTCCTTACTTCCTTTAATTTATTCAACAAATTACTACATATATTTCTGAGTGCTAAGGATAGAAAAAATGACCTTACTCTTGATGAATCCTTGGTTACAATTTTTAATGACTCCTCTAAGCTCCTAAAATCTACCAAAGCCCAACCTTTTCATGAGGAAGCTAAGGTCTTATGGTTAAATAACATGTCCATGTTCAGAAAACAAGTGGCAGAGGGGAGTTAAAAGTGAGGTATTTGTAGGTATGTATGTGTGCATGTATACATGTGCATATTTACAAGGTTTTAATTGAAATTCAAAGTGATGAAAAATAAAATAGATGAACACTTCAAGACAGTCCTTCTCCATAAAGTGCCCAAAGTCTAATGGGGGACTCAAGCATGTTCCTAATTATAAAACTCTATGTCAAGTCCCATAACAGAAATGTGTGGATGCTGAGGCACAGGGGTAAGGGGGTACCTGATTCTGCAGGTGAGGGAACAGGCTCTGGAACAGCTTCACAGAGCAGTTGACTCCTAAAGGATGAGTTAGTCAGATAAATAAAGGAAGAAGGAATACTCCAAGCAAAGGGTCTGGGGCCCTATGGCGCATCTGGGAACTTCTGGGTGTAGCTGGAGGATAGGGCTGCTTGGCACATGATTATGCTGGAGAGTGACAGAAGAGGAACTTGGAGAGGTGGCATTCAAGTCACAAAGGGCCTTTCACATCACACTAGCCAGTTGTTACTCTATTTTAAAGATGATAAGAAGCCCCAGTGGATTTTAAGAAGGAAAGTAATTAGATTTTCATGTTAGAAATATCATTCTGGTAGCAGTTGGAAGAGTAGCTTGAAAGGAAGTAAGCCCAGAGATAGCAAAATTGTTCAAAAGCGTTGGTTTTTTTTCAAAACAATAGTTCAGGCAAGAAATGATGGAGGCAGTGGGATTCACATAGGGGAAAAGGTCTGTGAGTTAAGAAACTGGGTTTTAAAAGTGGTCACAGACAAAAAGTAACTACAGCTACATTCATTTATAAAGGAATATACAAGATTTAAAAATGAAAATTGTGACATTGTAAAATTAAAATGTGAGGGTAGAATAAAAGTGTAGAGTTTTTATATGTTATCAAAATTAAGACATTATCAACTTGAAATAGACAGTTATAACTATAAGACTAGCTATGTAACCTCATGGTAACTACAAAGCAAAACATATACTAAATGCACAAAAGATAAAAACAAAGAAATCAAAGCATTCTACTATAGAAAATCATCCAGTCACAAAGGAAGACAGCAAGAAAGGAAATAAAGAACAAAGGATCTAAAAACAAACAAACAAAAAAAACCCCACAGAAAACAATTAACAAAATAGCAGCACTAAGTCTTTACTTATCAGCAATTACCTTGAGTAGAAATGGATTAGATTCTCCAGTCAAAAGACACAGAGTGACTGAGTAGATATATAAACATGATCCAACTATATGCTGACTATAAGAGACACACTTTAGCTTTAAGGACACACAAGTTGAAAGTGAAGGTATTAAAAAAAATTCCTAACAAAAAATATTCCATGCAAAGAGAATACTGGTGGCTATATTTATAATAGACAAAATATATTTTAAGTCAAAAATTGTCACAAGAAACAAAGAAGTTCACTATTAAATGATAAAGGGGTCAATTCATTAAGAAAGTATTTAACAATTGTAAACATACATGAATCCAACCCCAGAGCACCTAAATATTATCAGAACTGAAGGGAGAAATAGACAGCAATACAATAATAGCAGGAGACTTCAATACTTCATTAGAGTATAAAAAATGCAGAAAAAAACCAACAAAAGTTTTTTTTTAATAAATAAATAAAATCGACAAAACCTTAGCCTAAGAAAAAAGAAAGATTCAAATAAATAAAATCACAAATGAAGGGGAGAGACATTACAATGGATGCTTTAAAAATAAGAAGAATCCTAAGGAACTATTATAAACAATCACCTGTCAAGAAAATGGATAACTTAGAGGAAATAGATAAATTCTTAGGAACACACAACCTACTAGGATTGAATCAGGAAGAAACAAAAAGCCCGAACAAATCAATAGCACAGAAAGGATTAAAGTAATTAAAAACCTCCCAACAAAAACAGCCACAAAACCATGACCAGAGAGCTTCATGGATGAATTCTACCAAACACTCAAAGAAAAATTAATACCAATCCATCTAAATCACTTCAAAAAACAAAAGATGGAATACTTCCACACTTATTTTATGAGGCCAGCATTGTCTGATAACAAAACTAGATAAAAACACCTAAAACAAAAAGAAAACTATAAGTCAATATCTCTTATAAATATTGATGCAAAAATCCTCAATTAGATACCAGCAAATTGAAATCAACTACACATTGAAAATATTATACACCATGAGTCAGCAGCATTCATCCCTAGGATGCAAGGTTGGTTTAAATAGACAAATAAATCAATGTAATATATGACATTAACAGGATGAGAAATAAAAAGCATAATCATCTAAATCAAGGTTGTCCAACCTGTGTCCCATGGGCCACATGCAGGCCAGGATAGCTTTAAATGTGGCCCAACGCAAAGTTGTAAACTTTCTTAAAACAGTATGAGATTTTTTTGCAATTTTTTTAAAGCTCATCAGCTATCCTTAGTCTTAATGTATTTTATGTGTGGCCCAAGGCAATTCTCCTTCTTCCAGTGTGGCCCAGGGAAGCCAAAAGATTGGAAAACCCTGATCTAAACAGATGGAGAAAAAGCATTTGACAAAATTCCACATTCTTTCTTGATTAAAAACTCAAAACAATTTAGGTATAGAAAAGAACTTCAACATAACAAAGTCCATTTATGAAAGGCCTCCAGCTAACATAATAATTAATGGGGGAAAACTGTAATCTTTTCCTCTAAAATCCAGTACAAGGCATGGATACCCATTCTTAATACTTGTATTCAACATAATAGTAGAAGTACTGGCAAGAGCAATCAGATAATAACGAGTAATTAAAGGCATCCAAATTGGGAAGGAAAAAGTAAAACTATTTTTATTTGCATATGACATAATCCTATATGTGGAAAACCCTAAAGACTCCATACAAAAAAATAATTGTTAGGTCTAATAAACATAATATACTTTGGGAGGACCATGCAGGCAGCTCACATGAGGTAAAGAGTTCCAGACCAGCCTGGCCAACATGGTGAAACCCCGTCTCTACTAAAAATACAAAAATCAGCCAGGTGTGTTCGCTCATGCATGTAGTCCCAGCTACTTGGGAGACTGAGGCAGGAGAATTACTAGAGACTGGGAGGCAGAGGTTGCAGTGAGCTGAGATCGCACCACTGCACCTCCAGCCTGGGTGACAGAACTAGACTCTGTCTCTAAATAAATAAAATTAACTTAATAAAGTTGCACCATGCAAAATCAACATACAAAAATTAGTTGTATTTTTTTACACCAGTAACAACCCACCTGAAAAAGAAATACAGAAAACTATCCCATTTGTAATAGCATCAAAATCAATAAAATACTTAGGAATAAATTTAACTGAGGAGATAAAAGATCTATACACTGAAAACTATTAAATGACTAATGAAAGAAAATGAAGATACACATAAATGGAAAGATATTTCATATTCATGAATTGTTGAAAGAATATTATTACAATGTATATACTACCCTTAGCAATATACAGACACAATGCAATCACTGTCAAAATGCCAATGGCATTCTTCATGAAAATAGAAAAAAAAATTTTTTTTTTAATTCATATAGAACTACAAAAACCCCAAACAGCGATCTTGAAAAACGAAAACAAAGTTTGGGGTATTGCACTTCTTGATTTAAAATTATCATAAAGCTATAGCGATTGAAACAATGTGGTACTGGCATAAAAACAGACACATAGACCAATGGAACAGAATACAGAGCCTAGAAATAAACCCGTGCATATATAGTCAACAAATTTTTGACAAGAGCATCAAGAAGACAAAAGGGGAAGAGACAGTTCTCTTCAATAAATGGTGCTGGGAAAACTAAATATCTATATACGAAAGAATGACATTGGATCTCATCTTACACTCTACACAAAAAGCAACTCAAAATGAATCAAAGAACTATTGTACAATCTGAAGCCACAGAACTCTCAGAAGAAAACACAGGGGAAAAGCTCCTTAACGTTGGCCTCAGTAATTATTGTTTTGGATATGGCAACAAAAGCAAAAGCAAACAAGTTGACTACTTCAAACTAAAAAACTTCTGCACAGCAAAGGGGACAATCAACAAATTCAAAACGTTGCCTACAGATGGATAGAAAATATTTTAGAACCATATATCTATATAAGGGGTTAATGTCCAAAATACATAAGGAACTCACAATCTTAAAACATGCAAAGGACCTGGATAGATATTTTCCCAAAGAAGACATAAAAATGGCCAACAGAGATGTGAAAAAGTGCTCAACATCACTAATTATCAGAGAAATGCAAATCAAAACCACAATGAGATATCACCCCACACTTATTAGTATGGCTATTATCAAAAAAACAAGAGATAACAAATGTTGGCAAGGGTGTGGAGAAAAGGGAAACCTTGTACATTGTTGGTAGGAGTAAGAATAAATTAGTGTAGCTATTATGGAAAACAGTTTAGAGGTTCCTCAAAAAGTTAAAAACAGAACTACTACATGACCCAATAATCCCTTTTCTGGAGTATATACCCAAAGGAAATGAAATCAGCACCTCATAAAGATATCTGCACTCCCATGTTCATTGCAACATTACTCAACAACGGCCAAGATATGGAAACAACCTAAGTGGCTGTCTATAAATAAGTGGTTAAGAAAATCCGGTGTCCAGGTGTGGTGGCTCACGCCTGTAATCCCAGCCCTTTGGGAGGCTGAGGTTGGTGGCTCACCTGAGGTCAGGAGTTCGAGACCAGCCTACCTAACATGGCGAAACCCAGTCTCTACTAAAAATACAAAAATTAGCCAGGCATGGTGGTGGGCACCTGTAATCCCAGCTACTCGGGAGGCTGAGGCATGAGAATCACTTGAACCTGGGAGGCGGAGGTTGCGGTGAGCTGAGATGGCACCACTGCACTCCAGCCTGGGCAACAAGAGTGAAACTCCATTCCCCCCACCCTCCCAAAAAAGAAAATCTGGTATATCTATAGGATGGAAAATTATTTAACCTTAAGAAAGAAGATCTTGCTATTTGCAACTTTAAGAAAGAAGATCTTGCCTTTTGCAACAGCAACATGTATGTTGCAACATGCCATTTGCAACAACGTACAAGTGGAGGTTATCAGCCTAAATGAAATAAGTCAGACACAGGGAGAAGTGATCTCACTTATATACAAAATCTAAAAGCAAAGCAAAACAAAACAAACAAAAGGTGACTAAACAGGAAATGGGATATGTGGGTCAAAGAGTACAAAGTTTCAGTTATATAGGATAAATAAGTCTAAAGATCTGTCATGTACAGTATGAAGCCTGTAGTTAATAATATTGTCATGCATACTGGAAATTTGCTAAGAGAGTAGATTTTAGGTGCCTTAACACACACAAAAAAGTATAACTATGAGAGACAATGGATGTGTTAACTTGTGCAACTGTACTCACCATTTCACTATGTACAAGTATATCAAAACATCATGTTGTCTACCTTAAATATGTACAATAAAAACAAAACAAAAACTTGGTTACGTAAGTGAGGATCACAACTTCATATTTTTCCTATTATGTGTTCCTTAATGCCGGGGCTACAGTGTGAGAAATGCATCATTAAGTGACTTTGTCCTATGAACATCATAGGGTGCATTTACACAATTCTAGATGGTGTAGCCTACTACACACCTAGGCTATATTGCATGGCCTATTGCTCCTAGACTACAAACCTGTACTGCCTATTACCGTACTAAATATTGTAGGCAATTGTAACACAATGGTGAATATTTGTGTATCTAAACATAGAAAAGATACGGTAAAAATACAGCGTTATAATCTCATGGGAACACTGTCATATACCCAGTTCATTGTTGACTGAAATGTTATTGTGTGTGTGTTTTACCATTTCTTTGAAATAAATAGTTACTATTCACATCAATGTACATTAAGTGAATATCTGGAGTGAAAGAAAAAGCTATTGAAAATCCTAGAAAGCATGCATGTATAAAAGGATGTATTACAATATTAATATTCAATACACAGTAGAGCATTTAAAGGACAGGGTAAACGTAAAATAACAGTGCTGACAATTACTCAATACCAAGGGTTCATCGTAGAATTTGTGGTCAATTTAACTTCCAGTTAAGTATCTATTAGTCACCTGGCCTTGACCGAAAACATTCACACTGAGTGAGCTTTATGTGATAATGTCTGAATAAGCAACTCTGGAGGCTATTTATAATAGCTAGCTTAAAGAGGTTTCTATTCTGCTGGAGTGGTGAAGTTGCCATCCTGACTAACTCCAGACAAAGGGAGACGATGAAGAAAGAAAAGGAGGAGCTTGGATTTTTGTAAAAGGAAGAGAAATAATGACATTTTGTCATAAGAATTTAAAAACCAGGCAAATGTGATTTTCTGACCTGCCTCTGTAAGCTCTAGGAGTCCTGGGTACTGTTTACTAATTCTAGCGATCCACTATTATAGTTACAGTACATCAGCTCTGACCAAGGGAAAAGACAAGAGTTATAGATACTCATCATATCTTTCTGGTCCAAAACCAGAAAGCAGCCACATAGCAGGAAAGTTATCTTATAAAAACATTGAATGAAAATGTCTTCTACAAGTAGACATGAATATTAATGGCAGCATTGTTCAGAATGTTAAAAAGCTGAGATCCAAGCTTATCAACTGGAGAATGAATAAATAAATAGTTGTATAGTCATATAATGAAATACCATTCAACAGCTAAATGAATGAATTTGAGCCTCACATATAGGGGAGACTGAATCTACAGACTGTGGCCAGACCATATATAAAAATGTTACATTGACTCATGACCTGCAGCAACCTGCCCAGGAAACCAATCCCTTTATTGCCAATGAACAATCCAGAAGCCAGCCTACTTTATGTCAGACTTGCAGGAAGACACATTGCTATCTCTAGTGACAATCCACAAAGCTAAACAATGACCTCTATAGCAATTGGCCCCAAATAGCCAGGACTTGATTACTAACAGCTTCTTTAATTTTTGTCCCTGCTTACAACTTATCACCAGAGAAAGCCAAATATGTACCCCTAACCAAGCACATAAGATGTCCCACTTCTAGTTACCCTGCCTCCAGATTCCCCACAACAATGGCCTCCAATCAGGGGCTACCTGATGTCTTTCCCCTTATCCACCATAAAGCTGTAATGTTTAACTTGACAACAATGCAATATCTGAAGCAAATTTAGCAAAAATGCAAAATTTTGACAAAGCTGGATCATGGGCATATGTCTATTACATTTTTCTCTATGTTTTTCTATGTGCTTAAATCTTTAATGATACTAAAAAGAAATGGTAATGGTAACTGTTCAAATTATGAAATAAAAACGGTTTTTATCCAGCAACTGGTGCGTCTACCTGCCACAAAAATATCTGCAGTTTGCCGAGCATGGTGGCTCACACCTGTAATCCCAACACTTTGGGAGGCCGAAGGGGGGGGAATCACGAGGTCAGGAGTTCAAGACCAGCCTGACCAACATGGTGAAACTTGTCTCTACTAAAAATACAAAAATTAGCCAAACATGGTGGTGCACACCCATAATCCCAGCTACTCAGGTGGCTGAGTCAGGAGAATCACTTGAACCCGGAGGCGGTGGTTACAGTGAGCCGAGATCACACCACTGCACTCCAGCCTGGGTGACAGAGTGAGACTCTATCTCAAAAAAGAAAAAGAAAAAAAGAAAAAATTTCCGTAGTTAAGACTGGTAGTCAGTGACTTCTTAAAGAGGTAAACAGAAAGCATTTTCCGTGACTTGACTTCCTTTCCACCCCTACAAGGATGACAAGAAATTGAGTTTTTCTTTTTCTTTCTTGGCTTTATTCTTTCCTTATAGTGAATATGTGAGTGTGAACACATGAGCCTACATATGACTCCTTGTGACCTTACCACCACTCTTCCTCAACCTTCATGCATCTTTATTTTTTTTTAATGACAGATTGGCTTTTTCTAAATGTAATATGAAAATAAGTAATTCAAACTCTAAGCTGTTGGACCTTTAAAATAATTCAGCTGTAAGGGAATGTGATTATGGGTCCTAAGTCACATAAGCAGAGACCTGTAACCTAAGCAGCTCTAACCTTTGTTTCTTTGATTATGGATTAGCCTTTTCCCTTTCTTACACTGTCTTGTAAAATGTTGTGAATGACTAACGGGTTCCAGGCAAGACCCCTTCCCTCTTAACTGCTGATCTTCATTACAGATTAACTTCCCTCTTAACTCTAACACACAAACACTTCATGACTTTTGCATTGTCTAAGATGGAATGTTAAATATACTCTTTTAAACTGGAAAGGAAAAGAAAAGCTGTATAGAAAAGAAAACCAATGGTAACTAATTAAATTGTTGTAACACATAAACCAGGCTTGTATAGAAAACGCTGTAATCCTACTAAGTTTCTTTGTTTTCTATCCTATATAAGCAAGATTTTAACTTTAACTTCAGAGCACTGACCTCATTTCTCTGGAGTTCATGTTTCCCAGATGGCTATTCCCAGCTTTTCACTGAAATAATCTCTTAAAACTACATTCTAATCCTTTTGATTATTTCAGGCTGACCTGACAATAAGAATGATATGCTCATGAGAGAAATTTTGGAAAACACAGGCTATGCTTAAAGAAAGAAAAAGTACCCACAGTCAGCCGGGCCCTGTGGCTCATGCCTGTAATCCCAGCACTTTGGGAGGCTGAGACAGGTGGAGCACTTGAGGCCAGGACTGTTCAAGACCAGCCTGGCCAACATGACAAAACCCCATCACTATTAAAATATACAAAAATTAGCCGGGTGTGGTGGTGCACTCCTGTAATCTCAGCTACTCAGGAGGCTGAGGCACAAGAATTGTTTGAACCCAGGAGGCAGAGGTTGCAGTGAGCCGAGATCACACCACTGCATTCCAGCCTGGGTGACAGAGCAAGACTCTGTCGCAAAAAAAAAAAAAAAAAAAGTACCCACAGTCAATAACACTCAGTACACATAGTAGTAATTCCAATGTATTTTTTCTAGTAATTTTATCTATACATTTAAAAATAATAGAATTTATTAATTTTAGATTTCATTAATATTTATATTATTTTATTGAGATTATAGCCTTAGATAATATCTATAGCCAAATATGCTCCTTATGGTATATACAACTGTCACCTGAAAGCACAGCTTGACATAGGAGAATATTATGAATAAATATATGAGATAAATGGGTGAATAAAGCAATAATGAATTAGGCATAGGGATATCATTATCTTCATCATAGATGAAAAATTGTAAATATATATATATATATATATTTCCAATAGCTCTCCAAAGTTCATTTATTTAACATTGACTAAATTACTTTAAAAGGAATTAAGTTATAAACTACACTGTTACCAGTGTCCTTTGGGGAAGAATCTTGAGGGATCAGACTCATCCTTTGGTTTACTGTCAGGGGCCACTATAACAAGGAAACATTCAAGTTCAGAGGAAACCAGGTGATCATCTTCAATGGTATCTCTTAAGAATCTGGGCACTGATCCAATGTAATTCCTCTACTTAATGTTTGATTATTTTTCTGAACATGACCTGCCCTATAATTTTAAAAGAAATTATTAGAGTTCTTTATGTGACTCTGTGAAAGTCATTTTAATTCAATGTAACTTTCATAACATTATCTGATACGTTTATGGGATAATTATGTTTTATGGTTATAGAAGTTATAGAAGTTAACACAGCTACACATAAAATGGCTTAAATTAAGAATGTATAAAATAGAAAAAAGGCACTGACCAGTGGGAAAAAAAGTCTGTGATGGAAATGTCTTGCAGTACAAATCAGTTACATCAAAGGAAGAAAATCCAGATTTGTCCCATTTTAATGCAATACTCCGGACAATGAATTTAATTACCCAGAAGCCTCATGTTATGTGAAATACTAGTATGACCTAAAAGGTATAGTCCATCATAAGTGAAGTTTCATATCTTGAATTAACTCAACTATTTAGTCAATTTAGACAAAGGGATAATTAACGTTGGCCATTAATTTTGTATGAGATTTTAATCCACTCTCACATGCTACAACAGACGTGTGTGACTTGGGGACGGAGGAGTGACAAAGGTCCAGGCACAGCCCTGACCTCATTTCTCAGTGCCGGGTGCACACTGGCACCTGGGTGTCTTAAGAGACACCTCCAACTTAGGGTACCTGAAACTGAATGCATTGTCTCTCCCCAAAAACCTCCCTTCTAATGTCAATCAATAGTATTGCCATCCTTAGTTTCCCAGACAACAAAATATGCCCATCTCCGTTCCTCCTATGGGTCCTGCTGTTCTGACTTCCCATTTCTCATTCCATCATTCTGCATGTTAGCCAACCTATTAATCAATCAAGAAACCCCATTGATACTACTCATAAATGTCTCTCAAATCTGAATCTCCTCATCTCCCTTCCACTCTCACTGTCTCTTCCACAGGGTTAGGTGCCACTTCCTGGTCATCTGTGAGCTAAGGGCAGCAGCTTTTAATGGACTCACTGCCTGAGGCTGTCTTTATAAAAATGCATCTGATCACACACACCTTATCCTTAAACATGTCTGTTAACTCCCCATAGCTACTTGGCATCATGCACCAAGATCTTCATCATTTGACCCAACCAACCTCATCAGCTTCATCTTCTCCATGAAGCTCACCCTTTCCATTCATGGGGTATAGGCAAGAATAGAAATGGAGGCCCAAATAGCCATGTATGATGATCAAAACTTATAAAGCAAGCTTATACATTGTTAAAAAATGTTAAAGCTTTCTATCTTAACAAATATAACTTCTTAAAGAACTTAGAGATCAGGGATGACTTTAGACTTCTTGGACCCCTCAGAGTCCCACATGGGAAATAGCAGCCAAACAAGAGCAGGCCCTGGGCCCCAGACTGCACCTTTTTCTTCCACCTCTGGTTTCCCTCCATGAACAGTCTTGTGGACAGCCTGGGGACACCCCTGGCTGATGTTAGAGCTGAACTGCACCTCCCTGTGAACAGCCACCCCTTGGCCCAATTCGAGCCTGGAGATGCTCACATCTACCATGCATTTCCATCCTCAAGAGAACTGCCAGTAGAGGAGGTCTGCACAGACCTAGGCAGTGGGCCCCAGGTCATCCTGCAGGGCATTCTAGGGCGCCAAGCCCCTGGGTCATAAGGGACTCTAAGTTATCAGGTCTCTTTGGCTCCACAGGCCTCTTGCCACAGTGACACCCTCTGAAGTACAGGACCTAGGATGGGGGTACCTGTCTCTCAAGGCTAAGGGCAGGACTGTCTCCAGCATAGCCCACACACCAGCAACACAGAACACCTGATGGTCCTTTCACCTCTTTCGCCAGTCCTTTCACCTCTTCTTGTCTGGATAAACTGTATATGAAGTGTTTTCACAGGGAAAGTGAGACACATCTTTATTGTCTACTTTGTTCATTTCCTTTTTTAAATACTCATCTTCCTTCCCTAATGGACTTTGATAAATTAGGTATTGATGGGACATATCTCAAAATAATAAGAGCTATCTATGACAAACCCACAGCCAATATCTTACTGAATGGGCAAAAACTGGAAGCATTCCCTTTCAAAACTGGCACAAGACAGGGATGCCCTCCCTCACCACTCCTATTCAACATAGTGTTGGAAGTTCTGGCCAGGGCAATTAGGCAGGAGAAGGAAATAAATGGTATTCAATTAGGAAAAGAGGAAGTCAAATTGTCCCTGTTTGCAGATGACATGATTGTATATCTAGAAAACCCCATTGTCTCAGCCCAAAATCTCCTTAAGCTGATAAGCAACTTCAGCAAAGTCTCAGGATACAAAATCAATGTACAAAAATCACAAGCATTCTTATACACCAAGAACAGACAGAGAGCCAAATCATGAGTGAACTCCCATTCACAATTGCTTCAAAGAGAATGAAATACCTAGGAATCTAGCTTACAAGGGATGTGAAGGACCTCTTCAAGGAGAACTACAAACCACTGCTCAAGGAAATAAAAGAGGATACAAACAAATGGAAGAACATTCTGTGCTCATGGGTAGGAAGAATCAATATCGTGAAAATGGCCATACTGCCCAAAGTAATTTACAGATTCAATGCCATCCCCATCAAGCTACCAATGACTTTCTTCACAGAATTGGAAAAAACTACTTTAAAGTTCATATGGAACCAAAAAAGAGCCCACATCGCCAAGTCAATCCTAAGCCAAAAGAACAAAGCTGGAGGCATCACGCTACCTGACTTCAAACTATACTACAAGGCTACAGTAACCAAAACAGCATGGTACTGGTACCAAAACAGAGATATAGATCAATGGAACAGAACAGAGCCCTCAGAAATAACGCCGCATATCTACAACTATCTGATCTTTGACAAACCTGAGAAAAACAAGAAATGGGGAAATGATTCCCTGAGTGTACAATAATGCTTGGTACACAATATTCTTGATAACAGTTTGATGATGAATGAAGATAATCATTAATGAATCAGTCAATCATATCCCTCTCTCCAGCCCATCCCTGTTTTTCTCTTCCTCAATGTCCATTCTTATTATTGAATTTCTAAATCCATCAGGGGTTCCAAAAAGAAAAAATAAAATAAAACCCCACTCCATAAGCGAGAATGCAACAGGCTGTTTACAGGACAGCATGAAAGGAAGAGAAACCAGAAACAAAATTAGGGCCTTGATTCAAAATATGAGGAAATGACAAGGGTGTGTCTCCCTGTTTGTGTGTACTACACTTGATCTCAGCCAAAAGGCCGAGAAGCGATCCTTGTTTGTGTATAAAGTTTGAGGCAGCTGCTTGTATGCCAGGGATGTGTGCCTGAACAATTATGTTGTCAGAACACATGCTTCTTAATTATCCAATAGGATTAATTCTAGAATGGGGCAGAGTGAAAAAATTGCTGGCATTTTCCTTTTAATTGTCTCAGCAATATCTCTAATAGTTCGCGGAGTGTTCATTCCTAAATGAACAGCATGACATCGTATAATACAGAGATGTGTGGCCTTCCACCCAGAGTATCACATTTCTGAATTTATAAACTGGGAGTGAGTGATTACAGTACCTTCCTACCAAACTCAGAAGTCAGTACCATCCAAATGCTTAGAACAATGCCTGGTGCTCCTAAGTATTAGCTGATCTTTTTTTGTTGTTGTTCTTTCTTTCTTTTCATCCTCCTGCATTTCTTTATTATTATTATTACCTTTCCATTTCAATGGCATTGATTTTCAGGTACATTTTTAACATTGGCTACTACTTCATGATTTAAAGTAGAATAACCATGAAGGTTAAGAGGATAGCACAACAGGTCATTAAAACCTACAACCAGAGAGTCTAATGCATAAAAATTTTTATAATTCATGTTGTACTAACCAAGGACGTTGGGTATTTCTGCTGTCCGCTGAGGCAAAGGCTCCAAGTGTCAAGAGCATAAACACCTTACTATTTGCTTTGCCAGCCAGCTTTGAGATTACACAATTTAGATTATTTTTAAGTTTGGTATATTTTACTTTTCTTAAATTTCACACATCAAATGAGATTCTGCTAATATTTACTAACATTTAAATCACACTTTTAAAATTCACATAATTTAAAATGCATAAAATATGATGGGCTCATGTATTTTTAGATTCTTTCTTAAATGTTCAACACTTGAGGTTCACTGCCAAGCTTTACATTATAGAATTTAAAAAGACAAATTGCAAAGAAAGGAAGAGGATATAGAGGAATACAGAAGATAATTGCAGCAGAGGTGGGCTAGCTGTTGACCACAGCAGTATCCTTGTCCCCCTGGGCACACCACTGGGCTTTGGTCTTGGCTTCTTTGCATATGATTGATTTCTAGCTGAGTCAAAAGTGATATGTGCCACTTCCAAGACTGACCCTTAAACACATGCAATCCCTCATGTTCTTTCCCCTTCTGAGGTAATGGTGGAAGTGTTGTATCAAAAAAGCCACAAGATGAAAGAAAGCTGGATCTCCAAATCATTGCTTGGAGGGGCACCGCCCACTAATCAGAACACATTATGTACCTGACCAATAAAATTCTATTGTGCCTTAACATTTAAAAGTTTATCTGTTGTACAGTGGCCAGGGATACTATATCTAATATAAACATCACAAAATAGCATCAAGACTTACCAGTATGCTTGATACATAAATGAATGGCTTGGATTGAAATAATGTTTTGAGAGAGCAAAATAATGTTTTGAGCAGCAAAAACATACATTTTCCCAAGTCTATCTTACTTGTGCTAATATTAAAATTTTGTGGGCTTTTCCTAAATCCAAACCTATGGCTTTTAGCTCAAAGGCATGGTCATAAGAGGAAATGGTTTAAAAGCTCCCTATGTAAGGAAGAAAAACAAGTAGGTTCTAATATTCACTGCAGAGACTCTACAGATTGGGTAATTTGTATTAGAAGAGAGCTTTATTCAATCTGAACTATGTAGGAGGCAAAGCCATGTCTTTGGAAACCATCCCTGAAGTCGATCTAACAGTGGCACATGAACCATGTCATAATCATTCTTGGTGGCATCATTGCAATAATATTTCAGCTCTTACAAAGTACACTTCTTTACAGCTTCCAAGATCTTGATGACTTGTATCAAGGTGATGAAAGGAGAAAAGGGCTGATCACAGAAAGAAAGAGTGTTGTTGGGTTGATAACACGCTAATTTATGTTGTCACATTAAGGGAGTACCTCAAACTTGGACAGCAGTACCTTGGATGTACAGCACCAATACTGCAAGCCATAAATATAATCCTTAATTTCATCAGACTCCCCCATTTCATTGAGTTCCATAACATTGGAAAAACAGGTGAAGCCTGGAGAGCCACTGGAGATCAAAGGTCAATCCATGCACAGAAGTTACTTCTGTGTTACATTGCTTTGGGGGAAATTAGGAAGATCCGTGCATCATAGAGATGCTAGAAAACCTACATTGACTCAGTGGTGAATAAGAGGAAAATGATGATCACTCTCTCAGAAAAACCACTGGACACTAACTTTTTAGACTGATGCTACAATATAATCACTCTTCCAGGGTCTTCTCCATCCTCAGGGGCCAATGTAGCAACGTTGTGATAATTGGTTTTGAAGTTGTGTGTCACCAGCTCTTGTCTTTTCCCCTTCCACCACCACAAATGAACTCATTGAACTTTACCTATCAGTGAGTAGCTGGTAGAAATTGAGCTTAGCCTGAAGGAATATTTTAAGCAATCATAGACAACATGTAATGGAACTAAATGAAAGTACACTAAAGCCTAAACAACAGAGATAGCAAGCATGAAGTTTCATCCAATGTGCAACCACCTGAGGAATGGGGCTTGCACATTTTAGGACAGTGTCTGGTGTAGAAGACATGGTAACCACCAAGTAGGGGAAAGTTTGGAGCAGTGAAAAAGATGGCCATGTGTTCCCCAAACATGATTAAAAAACTAGAAGCCACACATCAATTTCCTCATACATGATGTTAGAATGGTTCTCCCAGCCTCCAAAGGGCTTCTAGTCTTCCTAGAATCAAAACTATCTTTATGAACTTGTCCCATTGTACATGGAGAAGGATAGAAAGTGAAACATTGGTTGATTACCAGTTAATTAGGTCTGATTACCCACTTTGGTCCCTGAATTTGTAAATGCCTATAATTAATTATGAGTTAAAAGGGAACTGAGTCCCCAAGGCTGATTGCCTATGTCAAAGCCAAACGTGGTCTAGGGTTCTGAATAGAGCCTCTTGACCTCTCAGATCATTAAGGCAAAATCTGTGAGAAAGTTGGAATGAAAGAATGATGTAGTAGCAATCAATCCTACTCCTTTGATAAAACACATTTTCTGTCTCACCTATTTGGTCTCCATTACCCTAAGTCCTCACTAGACTTGAAATTCTGTGAGGTTGAGAGTGTACAGTTCCATTTAAACTGCCACTGCAAAATTATAACTGAGACAGTGAAAGAGATCTGACCTAACTAGCTCCATCTTGTTTCTCATCTTTAAGCTGTCTTTGTTCATTCCTGGACATCGGCTGAACTAACTTTGGGGAGGAACTTAATTTATAGTTTATAATTTAGAACAAAGATGATAACAGCCCTTTCCCAAAACAAACCCGCTTCTTGCCTGGGGTCCAGACTGCCTTTATAGGACTAACAAATTAGCCAAAAGGTTAGAAATTATGGTTTAGGAGTCATGAAGCCGGAGGCTACAAGATTCTGACTGTCCCCCCTCCCCTCAATTGCTCCTGGGGATAACATCACTACTGTAAAGCCTAAGATCAGTGCCTGAGATATTTTGCATACCCTGCACATAATGGATCAGCTGGCACCACTCAGATGGATAAACTGGCTCATCTGATCCTATGGACCCCACCCAAGAACTGCCTCATTTCAAGACAGTTTCAATTCTCTATGATTTCATCTTCCACCCAACCAACCAGCACTCGTGACTCACTGGCAGCCCCCTACCCATCAAACTGTCCTTAAAATGCTAATCCCAGAATGCTCACAGAGATTGATTTGAGTAACAATAAAACTCTGGTCTCTCACACATCCAGCTCTGCATGGATTACTCTTTCTCTATTGCAATTCCCCTGTCTTAATAAATTGTCTCTGTCTAGGCAGCAGGCAAGGTGAACTTGTTAGGCAGTTACACCATTGTTCAGTGCAGGACTCCCAGTCCTTAGCAGCATGGACAGCAGAGCATAGAAATCAATGCTTATTACACTCTCTGGCCTGGTTCTGGGAGGTTGTTCCTTGTGGATCTGGGCAGCTCCAGAAGACCCAGACAAACCTACATCATCCATAGCTCCAAGCATTCCCATGAGGCAAGTTCAGCCCGAGTGCCTGCGGGAAAGTCAATAATCCTTGAACCCATCTCTGGGCTGTGCTAAATGGTAAAGAGACAAATCCAGGTATTTTCTCAACCCCTCATCTCTTGTGATACCGAGCTCAGTGAAGCCCAATTGCTCCATTAAAACATCAAACCCATTTTCTCCCCTATGTCTTTAAAATGGCAACTTATACTTTCCTCATTGAAAAGTTCACGAATATACCTTTGTTCCTGAATGGTAAAATTAAGAGTTAGGTATCTTTTAGTAGACAAGAGTAGCACAGGAAATTTCACTGATGGATTTAACAAATATTAATTGAGCATTTAATATGTACCTGGCAATGTGCCAAGGGGCCAGGGGCACAATAATGAGCAAAGCCAGACAGGATCCCCCCTCTCATTCCAACCAACATTCTGATGGTTCTCAAATAGTTTTTTCTCTCCACAGCAAGAATCCCTGCTCATGTTTCCTCCCAGTTGTTTGAGAGTTTCCAAAGTCACTGTGTCCAGCATTGGGGGTGAATATGCAACTGTCATCATTCCTATCCCTCCTCTGACCATAAAAGAGACCATGCTCCTGCCCCACTGTTCCACCTCTTCACTGTTACTTCCCCAAGGGAAAAGTTGAAAATCGTATTGGCCAGCTCTTGCAGCATTCATTGGGCTACATTTTAAGAATGGGTGGGATTACTGTTCATTGGATTCACTGGAGACAGAATGGGACTCTACCCACTTTCTAACTGGGAGGTAACTTCTCCCAGGTCTTGCTCTTCCAGATATGCTTGGGCATGGCCTGGCCCTAAGGGCAACCAGCCAGCCCCCTCCTTCTGGTCTCTTGAAGTAGAAGACCCAGCGTGTACTGCCCAAATTCAGCCATTTCAAATTGAGGGGGAAAGGAGAAAGCCCTACTTGGATTCTCAGCTTACACCCTACGCTCTGGGTTTGCATGGGGGTATAGGATGCTTACTTGATTATTCCTAAAGTAGGGCTTTATGTCTTACTTGAGTTTTTCCTTCTGCATACACTTCTGTATTAGGAAATCATGGAGGGGAGAAAGGCACTAAAACCCTGCCCCCATGCAAATGCATCACCAGTGAATGGCACCTCCCCACAGCCCAACCTGAGGGTTCACGGCCTCTTCCTCCTCCCATATCCACAATTACCTCGCCCCTCAAATTCTTTCCTAATAGAATTTAAATATGTCCTTTTACTTTTTCTTTTAAAAAAAATGAGATGGGCTCTCACTATGTTTCCCAGTCTGGTCTCAAACTCCTAGGCTCAAGCAATCCTCCCACCTCAGCCTCCCATAGTGCTGGGATTACAGGCATGAGCCACTGTGCCTGACCTACTAAATATGTCCTTCTTATTTCTTTCTTCTTAGTTGGGACTCCAGAATTTCTCATCTGGAATATTGCAACCAAGAGCCTCAGCACCATTCCTCCAGATCAGCCACCTCCAATTCTTTCTCCACATTGATATCTACATGCATAGCTGATCACATCATTCTCCTTTGAGAAATCCTTCTGTTACCCCAGAGCTTTCAGAGCAAAGCCCAGCTTAGTCCTCATGGGTCTCACCTCCTCCCACCATCAGCTGTAATTCTCAGGATGCACTTTATACGTATTCATAGCTGTTGGCCATTGCATTCACAGCCTTCTTTGTCCATCTCTTTTTCAATATCATTTCTGACCACTCTCTCCCACCACTCTTTCTAGTAATTCACTGTTTCTCTGTGTCCCCATAGAACTCTGGATGCTCCTGCATAACCCAGCTAATCCAAAAGGTCCTTTGGAGGTAGGACTCTGTGCCTGTCTCTGAATCCCTTTTATTTAGCACAGGACAGGTGGTAGATGGAATGTTTGCTAAACGAATGATTCAACAGAGGTAAGAATAAGAATGTCATGTTCCAGCTGGGCATGATGGCTCACGCCTGTAATCCTGGCAGTTTGGGAGGCCAAGGCAGGCAGATCATTTGAGGGCACGAGTTCGAGATGACCCGTCTGGCCAACATGGTGAAACCCCGTCTCCGCTAAAAATACAAAAATTAGCTGGGTATGATGGCACACACCTGTAATCCCAGCTACTCGGGAGGCTGAGGCACAATAATCGCTTGAAACCGGGAGGCAGAGATTGCAGTGAGCCAAGATTGTGCCATTGCACTCCAGCCTGAGTCACAGAGTGAGACGCTGTCTCAAAAAAAAAAAAGAAAAAAGAAAGAAAGAAAAAAAAAAGAAAAGAAAAAGAAAAAAGAAAGAATGATGTGTTCTTGTTCCCAGAGAATCAACTAACTTGAGCACATAGTGATACCAACAGCTCCAGAGTCAAATGACATTTGTAAACCTAAATATTTGTTAAATGAACATTCAGTTAACATTAGGACTGAAAAATAAATTATTGTTCTTTGCTGTTAAGTGGTGCCCACAGTGAAATCATATAACGACAAACTTGAGGACACTATTAACTGTATGTTTTGACATTGAGACCATTGCCATAAATAAAAGCTATTCTTTAAATATTACAAAAACAAAAATCAATTTTTGCTGTATCCACTCTACCATGCCACTAGTGACAGCTGCAGGGCACAAAATCACACTTGACTTAGAAGCCATAAAAATCTCCTGGGGGAACTACTGAGGTTTCTTTTAGAACACATGAGTTTCAACTTGTCATCTGAGGCAAACCTCCTAGAGAAGAAGAATATTAAAATCATTGCTAATTAAAAGATTCAGCAACTCTCTACCTTGTTATTAGTATTAGCCACAGTTTTGCCTGCAAATCACCTTCAAGTTCTGCCTTACTGTGATAATTCAAAAAATTTAAAATTACTGAGTAACGCTGGTAAGACTTGGAAATTTGAAAGTAGCAAACATTAGGCAGTATAGCAAGTTAATGCTTTTTATTCTGATGTTTAATGGATGTATTAGTCCACTTTCACACTGCTATAAAGAACTCTCTGAGACTGGGTAATTTGTAAAGAAAAGAGATCGAACAGACTCACAGTTCTACATGGCTGGGGAAGCCTCAGGAAACCTACAATCATGGCAGAAGGCAAAAGGGAAGCAAGGCATGTATTACATGACAGCAGGAGAGCGCTGATCGGGGGATCTGCCAAACACTTTTAAGCCATCAGATCTTGTGAGAACTCACTCACGGTCATGAGAACAGCATGGCAGAAACCACCCCCATGATTCGATCACTTCCCAGCATATCCCTCCCTCCACATATAGGGATTACAATTCAAGATGAGATTTGGGTGGGGACACAGAGCCAAACCATGTCAATGCATACTTTTGGGATGGCAAAGGGGTGATAAAGAAGAGAACAAAAGACCGGGCGTGGTGGCTCACACCTGTAATCCCAGCACTTTGGGAGGCCGAGGCGGGTGGATCACGAGGTCAGGAGATTGAGACCATCCTGGCTAACACGGTGAAACCCCGTCTCTACTAAAAGTACAAAAAGTTAGCCGGGCTGTAGTCCCAGCTACTCGGGAGGCTGAGGCAGGAGAATGGCGTGAACCCGGGAGCTTGCAGTGAGCGGAGATCGCGCCACTGCACTCCAGCCTGGGCGACAGAGCAAGACTCCGTCTCAAAAAAAAAAAAAAAAAAAAAAAAAGAGAACAAAAAAGGGAAAACAAAAGAAAAAATTTTCTAACCAACAGACAAGAGTCCTATGGTGTTTATCATAACTATTATAATATTATAGTTTATTAACAGGAAAGTGTAACTTAAATGACTTTCCCAACTACCTTTTTAAAACTTTACTTATTTTAGTGGGTTTTTTTGGGGGAGAAGCCAAATAAAACTCTTTTATTTATCAATTACCCAGTCTCAGGTATTCCTTTATAGCAACATGAAACAACAGACTAATACAGACGAGAATGTTGATATTATGTGACTTGTGTGTGTGCACAACGTGCAGGTTTGTTACATAGGTATATGTGTGCCATGGTGGTTTGCTGCACCTATTGACCCATCCTCCAAGTTCCCACCCCTCAGGCCCCACCCCTCAACAGGCCCTGGTGTGTGATGTTCCCCTCCCTGTGCCCATGTGTTCTCACTGTTCAACTCCCACTTATGAGTGAGTACATGTGGTGTTTGGTTTTCTATTCCTGTTTTAGTTTGCTGAGGATGATGGCTTCCAGCTTCATCCATGTCCCTGCAAAGGACATGATCTCATTCTTTTTTATGGCTGCATAGTATTCCATAGTGTATACGTACCATATTTTCTTTATCCAGTCTATCATTGCTGGGCATTTGGGTTGGTTCCATGTTTTTGCTATTGTAAATAGTGCTGTAGTAAACATATGCAGCATGTGTCTTTATAGTAGAATGATTTATAGTCCTTTGAGTACATATCCAGTAATGGGATTGCTGGGTCAAATGGTTCTAAATCCTTGAGGAATTGCCACACTGTTTTCCACAATGGTTGAACTAATTTACACTCCCATCAACAGTGTAAAAGTGTTCCTATTTCTCCAGAGCCTCGCCAACATCTATTGTTTCCTGACTTTTTAATAATCACCATTCCGACTGGCATGAGATGGTAACTCATTGTGGTTTTTATTTTCATTTCTTTGGTGAGCAGTGATGTTCAGCTTTTTTTCATATGTTAGTTGGCTGTGAAACGTCTTCTTTTGAGAAGTGTCTGTTCATATCCTTTGCCCACTTTTTGATGGGGTTGTTTTTTTTCTTGTAAATATGTTTAAATTCCTTTTAAATTCTGGATATTAGGCCTTTGTCAGATGGGTAGATTCTAAAAATTTTCTCTCATTCTGTAGGTTGCCTGTTCACTTTGATGATAGTTTCTTTTGCTGTGCAGAAGCTCTTTAGTTTAATTAGATCCCATTTGTCTATTTTGGCTTTTGTTGCAATTGCTTTTGGCTTTTTTAAATGACTTTCCCAACTACATTTTTTAAACTTTACTTATTTTAGTGGGTTTTTTTGGAAGCCAAATAAATCTCTTTTATTTATCAATTCCCCAGTCTCAGGTATTCCTTTACAGCAACATGAAACAGACTAATACAGAGCAGAATGTTGATATTATATGACTTTGTGTATGTGCAGACTGTGCAGGTTTGTTATGAACCTTTTGGCTTGTCATGAAGTCTTCGCCCATGCTTATGTCCTGAATGGTATTGTCCAGATTTTCTTCTAGGGTTTTTATGGTTCTGGGTTTTACATTTAAGTCTTTAATCCATCTTCAGTTAATTTTTCTATAAGGTGTAAGGAAGGGGACCAGTTTCAGTTTTCTGCATATGGCTAGCTAGTTTTCTCAGCACCATTTACCTTCCCCCATGCTTGTTTTTGTGGGGTTTATCGAAGATCAGATGGTTGTAAATGTGTGGTGTTATTTCTGGGGTCTCTGTTCTGATCCATTGGTCTATATGCCTGTCTTGGTACCAGTACCATGCTGTTTTGGTTACTGTAGCCTTGTAGTATAGTTTGAAGTCAGGTAGTGTGATGCCTCTAGCTTTGTTCTTTTTGCTTAGGATTGTCTTGTCTATACAGTATCTTCTTTGATTCCATATGAAATTTAAAATAGTTTTTTCTAATTCTGTGAAGAATGCCAATGGTAGTTTGATGGAAACAGCATTGAATCTATAAATTACTTTGGGCAGTATGGCCATTTTCATGATATTGATTCTTCCTATCCATGAGGATGGAGTGTTTTTCCATTTGTTTCTGTCCTCTCTTATTTCCTTGAGCAGTGGTTTGTAGTTCTCCTTGAATAGGTCCTTCACAGCCTTGTTAGCTGTATTCCTAGGTATTTTATTCCTTTGTAGCAATTGTGAATGGGAGTTCATTCATGATTTTGCTCTCTGCTTCTCTATTGGTGTATAGGAATGCTTGTGATGTTTGCACATTGATTTTATATCCTGAGACATTGTTGAAGTTCCTTATCAGTTTAAGGAGTTTTTGGGCTGAGATGATGGGGTTTTCTAAAGATAAAATCATGTCATCTGCAAACAGAGATAATTTGACTTCCTCTCTTCCTATTTGAATGCCCTTATTTCTTTCTCTTGCCTGATTGCCCTGGCCAGAAATTCCAATAGTATGTTGAATAGGAGTGGTGAGAGAGAGTATTCTTGTCTTGTGCCAGTTTTCAAGGGGAATGCTTCCAGCCTTTGCCCATTCAATATGATATTGGCTGTGGGTTTGTCATAAATAGTTCTTATTATTTTGAGATATATTCCATCTATACCTATTTTGTTGAGAGTTTTTAACATGAAGAGATGTTGAATTTTATCAAAGGCCTTTTTCTGCATCTATTGAGATAATCATGTGGTTTTTGTCTTTGGTTCTGTTTGTGTGATGGATTACATTTATTGATTTGGGTATGTTGAACCAGCTTTGCAACCCAGGGATGAAGCAGACTTGATCATGGTAGATAAGTTTCTTGATGTGCTACTGGATTTGGTTTGCCCGTTAATGAGGATTTCACATTGATGTTCATCCGGGATATTGGCCTGTTTTCTTTTTTTTTTTTGTTGTGTCTCTTCCAGGTTTTGGTATCAGGATGATGTTGGCTTCATAAAATGAATTAGGGAGGAGTCCCTTCTTTTCAATTGTTTGGAATCATTTCAGAAGGAATGGTATCAGCTCCCCTTTGTATTTCTGGTAGAATTCAGCTATGAATCCATCTGGTCCTGGGCTTTTTGTTGTTATTGTTGTTGTTGTTGGTAGGCTATTAATTACTACCTCAATTTCAGAACTTGTTATTGGTCTACTCAGGAATTTGACTTCTTCCTGGTTTAGTCTTGGGAGTGTGTATGTGTCCAGGAATTTATCCATTTCTTCTAGATGTTCTAGTTTATTTGTATAGAGGTGTTAATAGTATCATCTGATGGTAGTTTGTATTTCTGTGGGGTCAGTGCTGATATCCTCTTTATCATTTTTTGTTGTGTCTATTTGATTCTTCTCTTCTTTATTAGTCTAGCTAGGAATGTATCTATTTTGTTAATTTAACAAAAAAAAACACCAGCTAATTAACAAGGATATTCAGGACTTGAACTCAGCTCTGGACCAAGTGGACCTAGTAGATGTCTGCAGAACTCTGTACCCCAAATCAAAAGAATATACATTCTTTTCAGTGCCACGTGGCAATTATTCTAAAATCGACCATATAGTGGGAAGTAAAACACTCCTCAGCAAATGCAAAAGAAGTGAAATCATAACAAACAGCCTCTCTAAGATCACAGTGCAATCAAATTAGAACTCAGGATTAAGAAACTCACTCAAAACCATACAATTACATGGAAATTGAACAACTTGCTCCTGAATGACTCCCGTAATAATGAAATTAAGGCAGAAATCAAGAAGTTCTTTGAAACCAAGGAGAAAAAAGAGACAATGTACCAGAATCTCTGGGACACAGCTAAAGCACTGTTAAGAGGGAAATTTATAGCACTAAATGCTCACATCAGAAAGCTAGAAAGATCTCAAATCAACACCCTAACATCACACTTAAAAGAGCTAGAGAGGCAATGGCAAACTAATCCAAAAGCTAGCAGAAGACAAGAAATAACAGATCAGGGTTGTTTTTTGTTTGTTTGTTTTTTAAGAGATGAAGGTCAGCCACACTAGGTTGCCTAGGTTGGACTTGAACTCCTGGGCTCAAATGATCTTCCCACCTCAGCCTCCTGAGTAACTGGGACTACAGGTGTGCCCTATAATGCCCAGCTAATTTTTTTAGTTTTCATTTTAATTTTTTTTTGTAGAGATGAGATCTCACGATGTTGCCCAGCCTAATCTCAAACTCCTGGCCTCAAGTGATCCTCCCACCTCATCCTCCCTGTAGCTGGAACTACAGGCCTGCACTGCCATGCCCAGCTATTGTCCAATTACATTTACATTTCTAAAACATCACCATTTAAGAGTTAATGACTGAATTTGGGACTAGATCTTCCTGGAAAGTGGATACTTGTTAAACTGTCTGAACTTTTCTTTTTTTCACTGACTGGTAAACCATCTCAACATAAACGTATGCTGATACTTGTTCTTTTCTTATCTTTTAAAATTTTTTGCAGAGACAGGGTCTTGCTATGTTGCTCAGGCTGGTCTCAAACTCCTGAGCTCAAGCAATCTTCCCACCTGGGCCTCCCAAAGTGCTGAGATTACAGGCATGAGCCACCACACCTGACTTGTTCTTACTATTAACCTTTTGATTCATTTTTAAAATCATTCCCCTATATTGTTATCCATTTTTTTATCCTATTCCTATTCTTCTTAGCATTGGCAAAATAACACTTTGAACACTGAAACAGATGTGCTACTGCGACTGCTAGAATTCAACTTCTGCACATTGTCCACTCCAGTCCCTCCTGCTTTGCTTATTCCTGAAACTTTCTATCTCAATGCACACTGATGCAGCCTTAGGCTGTCACAAACTTAACTAACTCAACTATTAGTCCCGTTAAGATAGTGTGAAAGCCTGAGGGAAAAGCCTGATTCAATAAGCATTGAGGTGAAAATAGGAACTTCTATCTGCTGCATGCATGCACTGTAGCAGTCATCCCAGCCAGCACTCTCATCCTCACACCCTTCATATGCCTAGTGTGAAAGGGAGCCCGATCCATGAGGAGCAAACAGAGCTCTTAGCAAGTACATGCTAGCAAGTGCAATGCACTTTCAGCTCTTCACACTTTTGATTTGATTTGTGTATGCCCACCAACCTGCATGTGCCAACTATGTGTGAGGGTCTAGGCACTGAGTTAAAACTTCCCTAAACCCAAGAAGGGAGGAAAATCCAAAAATAAAATAAAATTAGCTAATCCTCTACCTATGGTATATATACGACATT